>NC_000017.11:49435980-50060980 GCF_000001405.40 Homo sapiens | reverse complement strand
CCACACACACCCAGGTGTGTGCGGAGGGGGTTGGAGAATCCTGAAGGTGAGAGGGACCTTACTGTATGCAAATGAAATGCAAATTAGTACACAAATGAGCAATTCTGCCAGCCACCTGCTTTTAGGTCTGGTCCAGATCACAAAATCCAAAAGCTGACCCCTTCCAGAGCAGTACTGAACCCATCCCCTCAGCTGCAGCCAGAAGGAGGGAGAGTAGGTGGAGGGATGCCTAGATGGAGCTCTTAGAGCAAGGAAGATAGGAGATGGGACTGCCCCTCTCCTGGAGTCAGGCTGGACTGGGGGGAGCAGAGACCCCCAGCCCCCCAGATGGAGTGGGATGGGTGAAGTGACTACTCAAGGGCTTTCCAACAGCTGCCTCCTCACCCTCCCATTGGCTCCAGCCAAACAGCCCCTCTTGGCCTCTGCGGAGCCCCTTGAGCTCCAAGTTCCGAAAAAGCCCTTCCTTACCCCTGCCCTATCACTCCCCTTGGGGCAGTTCAGAGCTAATGGAACAGCCAAGGAGAAAGCAGAAGAATCAAAGAAGGGCGCGGCACAGTACCCAGGAGAATTCAGGGTACCAGGTTGGCTCACCTCAAAGAGGAGAAGGCCCCTGGGGGCACTGGGGTGGGGTAATGCTCAGAGAAGCAGCCTGTAAGATTCACCTTCCCAGATTCTGTCACCTCAGGGAGGCACTTGGTGGCTCCATGGGAGGATTCCAGAGGGGGCCAAAGGATCTAGCACTCAGGCCAACATGGCAGGGCCTCACTCCTTGGGTACCTAGCCTCCTGTGTTCCCCTCCTATCCCCGGCCGGGAGGCAGGTGGGGAGGGTGCCTGCTCCACCTCTGAGCCCCAGAGAAGGGGTGGGGGCAGCTCTGGGATGCCTGGATCCCAGCTCTATGCCAGCCTTGCTGCCCGAATTAGCCATCTCCCCAGAGGCCGGCCCTGTGGCAGCTGAAACTGCAGCCCTCCCCATCCTTCCTGACCCTTCCCTTGCTGCCCACCCAGCCCCCTCTCCCCACTGGTGACTCAGCCCTAGAACCAGAGCAACAAGCTGGAGGGAGAGAGAGAATGAGAAAGGACAGGAAAAAGAGCCCTGGCTAAGCCTCAGATAAAAAAAGAACAAGGCCATTTTTCTCAGTTCTGCTCCCTTTCCTTGGCTCTTCAGTATTTTTCCTGTATTTGACCCCCGAGGGCATTCTAAGTGTCATCTAACCTCAATTCCTCTTACTGCAAAGGGGATCTTCTTCCTTCTTTGTTTACTTCTGACCAAGCCCCCTTCGCTGCTGCTTTTTCTACAAGATCAGGCTTCCCCTACTCCTGCCCAGTTGAAAGCCTCTTGGCCTAGACTGGTCACTGGGTAGAGCCAGAGGAAAAAGATACTACACGAGCAGGCCTTCTGCCTCCAGCCACAGCTGCTGTGCCCATTTCTGCTGGCACGAACCTTGAAGGCTGCCAGGCACCTGCTTTGCCCAGGGAAACATGATGTTAGGAGAGCATGGCAGGTGAGCCTGGCTCCTGCGTACCTCAGGCATGACCTCATTTCTAGGAGCCACCCTGCCCTGGGCTTCCCAGATACCCTCATTTCCAAGCAAAAGTGAAAGAGAGAGAAGGACCGGCAGTATCCCCATAGGCCCACAGGGTCAGGCCAGACCAGAATGCCTGGATTCCCAGGAGGGAATGTCAGTGCAGGTGCTGGAGCAGAGAGGGTGTCAGTAACCACCTCCCAGAGAACAGTCCCTGTCCCTCCAAGGAACCCCTCATGCATCTTGCCAAGAAGCCCAGAGCACTTTGGTCCTCTGCCTGCTCCTTACCCCTCATTTCCACAGACTAGGAGACTGGGCCCTGGGTTGGGGCTAGCCCCCTATGTTGTGGACCAGGAACCCCAGTCCAGAGATGAAGGTGATGGGGCAGCAAAGAGGGTCCCACCCCTGGGTTTCTAACCATTTCTGAGGCCTTATGAATGGAGAACAAGAAAGCTGTGCTCTCCCCTCCTCCCACCCCCAGGGCAGTGGACAAATACTACGATTTTGGGTACACTTTCAGGGAGTCCCTGCATCTCTTGAAAACCTTCTACGAACCCCAGTTTAAGAGCCTGTCCAAGACCACGAACCATCCCACTTTTCCAAAGAGACTTTCAGGCTAACAGAATATGAGGCTGCAGCTCGTCTTACTAGTTAGTTCCTCTGAGTTGTGCACTCAGGCAGCTGTTTGCATCTGGCTACACAGCTGGCTGCAGCTAAGCCCAGCTGGCTCTCCCAAATGGCCGAGGGGTCGAATTTAGTGAGATGAAGAGAAGGGCCAAGACACAGAACCACCCTTAGGAAAGACTGAGGATACTCAAGGGAGAGAACTGCCCCTCAGAGGTTCATTAGCTTTAGAACCTTCTGGGCTCTTGGCAGGCTGAATGCCAGCTCCAGCTTCCCAGACAGAAAAGTAGAACCCCTTTGCTCAGCCACCCTGGGCGGGGCCCATGGGTAATGAGGATGCATCCAGGTTCTGGCCTCAGCGCAAGAGCCTTCAGGTGCTCCTTGGAGAAAGGCACATGTGCAGAGGATTTTACGCACTTTATCTCGTTACAGCCCCACTAACATCCCAGCAGAAGGCATGCTGTTCCCCTCCCTCCAACATGTGCGGAAATTCAGGTTCAGGTATTGGTAACAGATCTGAGACAGGACACTGGCCATGGGACCTCCAAGCCTCTTCTCCCTCTACCATATCAAGTTGCTTCTCACAGGCCAGCAGCAGTGGGAAAGAGCACTAGATCCAGGTCCAACCCGTTTTGGGGGAAACCTGGCCCAGGGAGGGGAAATATCTTGCTCAAGGTCACCAGGCAAAAGGGTTGCGGAATCATTATTGACTCTTTCTTTCCAGTCTGATCTCTTTACCTATGTTATCTTATATCATGCAGATTTGGCATTGAAAGTCTGAAAATCTTTTTCTCAGTTAGGGCAGAAAGAGCTGATGTAGAAACTTGTGCTCATGGTGGCTCAGGATCTCCAAAAGATAGAGGGTTGGCTAAGGCCAGGTGGCAGCTGCTGGGGCCAGGCTGGGAAGGGTGTGGTAGCCCTAGCCTCTGCAAGAGCAAGATGGAGTTGAGGTTAAGTCCAGGTAGGTAGGCTGGGTCAGGAGGGCAGAACCAAGGCGGGGGCAGAGTTTGGACTTTGGACATTCTAAACTTCCTCAAGCTCTGCAGGCCCCAGCCAGAGCAGGGAGATTTTCCAGTGTACCCTGGATGTGACCACGTCTTCTTGTTCAGTGGGGTCAGAGGCCAGGTGGGGGCAGAGGCTAGGTGGGGGCAGATGCCTGGCAGATCGCCCAGCCCAAAGTGGTGGATGGTACCTGCTTAACCTGTCCTAAACACCGTCCCTCTTTGGACAGCTTCACCTCCCCCAACCGCCAACCTCCGCGCGCTCTGAGGCCACGGCAGAGAGACCTCTGAAGCCTGGACATGCTCCTGGGCATGAGGGCGTCTGGTGGAGTGAGGGGGACCCAGGAGGCTGGGTGCAACCTCCTCCTCCTTCCTCCACTGTGCATAGCTCTTCCCCTCCTCCTTGCAGCTGTTGGGGAAGGAGAACAGAAGAAAGAGAAAAACACTGTTTCCCTCTTCAAACCAAAACAAACACACTCAGGGTTGAAGATCCAACACGAATCTGTGGAATGCAGGGAAGATGTCTGCGGGGAGAGTGCCACTGCTTGCGGGTGGGCAGGAGGAGACCCAGCCAGAGTTGGGACAAGTCCTCCTCTCTCTTTCACCGCCCCTATCCTCAAGGCGTCAGAGGGAGCGTATGGACAGCTCCAAACGCCCAGACTCACCCATCGCCTCACCCTCCATCCGCCAAGCCAGCGGTTGAGAAGGCCATCCAGTCTGGCTCTGCAGAGGGTGTGGCTGGCGTGGCCGCAGACTACCAGCGAGGTGCTTAAATGTATATGCTCATTTTTCCCCCAAGCGTACGGGAAGGGGGGAGTCCGCTGGGTGTTTATCTTGCAGTTTACCCCAGCTCCCAGCCCTGGAGAGAACAGGCTAGTGCTGGGTACTCGGTTCACAGAATGGGAGAGGACTCAGCCACCGGGACCCCACTTCCGCTCTCATGAGAGATCTAAAGGGCGGAGGGGTGGCGTCCAGACAGGTTCTGGCCCCGTCAGCACTTGCCAATGATTACTGCCCGACCCCACACCCAATCCTCCACTTCCCGCCAACCCCCAGCAGCCAGAGGGCCGCCCCTTAATCCTGGCTCCCAAGGGCCAGCTGCCCTGGGCTCCGACTCAGCTCCGGACCCGCATCCCGCGCTCGCACACTCTCTCGCTCCCACCCCACACCCTCCAGCTTCACTTACAGGTAGCGCTGCTGCCGCTCTGTCTGCCGATGGAGGGCGACCGAGTAGCCGAAGAGGCTGCCCGGGTTCCCGGCCTCCTTCACTACCAGGAATCGGGTATCCAGGTTGAAGGCGGAGACGACGCAGCCGCCGGCCGCCACCATCAAGGCGAGCGCACAGAGCATCAGGCGTGGGGCGCGGGGCGCGCGGCTGGGGCCGGGGCCCATGGCTGCCAGCGGAAGCGGGGTCCCGGCGAGAGCGCGTGAGGGCGCGGAGCTGGGCGTGAGGACCTGTTCACCTGCTCCCCGCGCCGCCGGAGGACACTGGAACCCGCCGGCCGCTGCGCTCCGTAGCGCTGATCGGTTTCGTGCCCCCAGCCCCAGCCAGTTTCACAGCTGCGCTCTCGGATCCCTTCCTAAGATCCGTGGGTCTATCTTCCTGCCTCCCCAGCGGCCGGGTCGCCGCCGTCCCTGCCCCGGGCAACCGGCCCCCAGCTTGTCCCGGCCGCGCCCCCTTGGCCGCGCTGTCGCCTTCGATCCCGGCTTCGCGGCGGATCTGGCAAGCGCACCGGTCGACCGCAAGGAGGACAGGAGGGAGGGGTCCCCCGGCGCGCGCCCCGCCTCCCCACGCCCAGTCCCGCACCTCCCCACCTTGCGAGCCCAGCCCGGGCTGCGCTTTCCTTCCGGGGAAAGAGAAAAAGATCCCGGCTCGGCCGCCTCCTCTTAAAGGGGCAGCACCGCCCCTCCCTCCTCATCCTCCCTACCCCAGCTCCGCCTTCTCCCCCAAACACCTGTCGGCAACCCCCAAAGGCTTAGATTTCCCCTCCCCGCCCCTCGCTTCTCCGAGAAAGCGTCGCCTGGGGAGCAAGATGGATGTGACGGGCGGGGCCGGGGGTGGGATTTGTCTGGCCGCTTTCCTGCGGCTGCTGCTGCTGCTGCTGAAAAGGCCAGCCGGGCTGGAGAGACCTGGCATTGGCGCATCTGGGAACCGACGTCCGTGCGCGGCTGGCTAGAATGCTGGACTCGCCTCCGCAGCGCTGTGAGTCCCCAAGAGGTGGCTGGCGGTCTCTGGGAGTTCTTCCTCGCACTCAGGCCCCTCGCTGTCTTTGCCGAGATTTATTTCTCCTATCCACTCACCCTGATCCGAGCTGAGATTGGCTCCTCAGCAAAGACAGACATATTTAGCAGTGGTAACAACCAAATGTCGCTAATTATAATTACCAAAAAGCATTTTTCCCCCTAAGTGCTGCGACTTCTGGTATCAAAGGCTAAGACTGTCAATGTAGAAATGAGTCCGTCCTTCACAGAACGCACTGCGTAGCCGGGAAGCTGAGCCTAGACCGTATCCATTTCTCGTCCACTCCTGCCTTCAGGGCCCAGCCCAGCAGAATCCCAGAGGCTCCCTCTTCCCACCCAAGCTCGAACAGAGTGTTTGGAGACTGGGCTCGGACGTCAGCACCCATCAGGTGTTTGGTGGGTAGGGCCAGGTGGCAGTAAGTGGGCGGAGACTAAAGGTCTCCTCCACCAAGGAATCAAATCGAAAGGGAACTTCAAGAGGTTACTCTGGCCAGGCGCAGTGGTTCACGCCTGTAATCCCAGCACTTTGGGAACCCGGGGAGGGCGGATCACGAAGTCAGGAGTTCGAGACCAGCCTGGCCAATGTGGGGAAACCCTGTCTCTACTAAAAAAATACAAAAATTAGCCGGTCGTGGTGGCGGGCGCCTGTAGTTCCAGCTATTTGGGAGGCTGGGGCAGGAGAATCGCTTGAACCCGGGAGGCGCAGGTTGCAGTGAGCCGAGATCGCGCCACTGCACTCCAGCCTGGGTGACAGAGTGAGACGTCGTCTCAAAAAAAAAAAAGAGGTTACTATGTACTTTCTTGGATCTAACTCACATTTCTCTTATTGCAGCTCAGAGACCCATTTTCCCCGGAACATTGTTTTTTTGTTTTGTTTTGTTTTGTTTTTGAGACGACGGAGTCTCGCTCTGTCTCCCAGGCTGGAGTGCAGTGGCGCGATCTCCGCTCACTGCAACCTCTGCCTCCGGGGTTCAAGCGATTCTCCTGCCTCAGCCTCCTGAGTAGCTGGGATTACAGGCGCCCACCACCATGCCCGGCTAATTTTTGTATTTTTAGTAGAGACGGGGTTTCGCCGTGTTGGTCAGGCTGGTCTCGAACTCCTGACCTCGTGATCCACCCCGCCGCCTCCCAAAGTGCTGGGATTACAGGCGTGAGCCACCCTGCCTGGCCTCCCCGAGCATTCTTTTCTCCATCTATTCTTAAAATAATAAGAACAAAACACCATGTATTAAGCACATACGCAGCAGGAACTATGCTAAATGCTTCACAAATGTTAAATCCTCACAACAATCTTTGAAGTGTTATCTCTGTTTTAAAACGAGAAAAATGAGGCTCAGGGAGGTTAGGCAATTTGGCAGAGGTCACACAACTAGGATTTTCATCCTGTGTTATCTGACCCTGGAGCCCTTAACTACTTATGCTAATAATGAACATTTATACACTACTTTGGGCGTGTCCAAGTTTGGTGGGTCCTGAAGCTTGTGCAATCTGGGGTGCTCTTTAAGAATAAAATTATTTTGTACTCATAAGAATTATGAGTACAAAATTAGATTCAGAGCCTGGGAAAGGGTCCTGGCCTAGCTTTACAGTTTACAAATCATTTCACAAGCAGGCTCATTTTATCCTCCTGGCCTCCCTGTGAGGTGGGGATTATGATATTCATTTGACTTAGGAGAAAACAGAGCCTCAGGAGGTTACCTGCCTGTCCAAGATCTGAATTTTATGGGAGGCAGAGCTAGGACTGAAGCCGCTGACCACAACCGTGTCTTTAAGAAGACAAACTCCAGGCAGATGGTTGTCAGACAGCTAGACATGCCTAAACAAAAGCAGCTGTGATAACAGCTTTCTCTGTGGTGTTTGGGGAGAAGACACTTGTCTCTAACGGCCCTTAGAACAGGATTTGTTCCTGACCTCTGACTTCCAGAGCCACCCAGCCTCTCTCATGGTCTGCTTTGTGGCCCAGGGCCTGCAGGGATTAGAAGACATGTGGGGTCAAGGAACAGGAAGCTGACCTGGATGGAAGTTGAACAGTGATCTTTGCTCTCTGCCTGGCTCCTGAGTCCTCTGCCATGTTCCTGGAGAAGAGGAGCCAGCCAGGGTAAGAAGGGCAGGGGCTTAGGGTGGAAACGCCATGTGGGTGAGGATCCTGCCTGAAACAGCTTTGAGAGTCCTGCGATGACAGATTGGCCCCATGCCAGGCCTTATCTCTTTGGACATCCCAAACAGGAATGACCAGCATGTCCGATCCTGGGACTGGGAGCCGGAAAGGGATGAGGGATGGTTTTTCCACTCCAGGGGAGTGTCCAGAGGGAATGTGGAGCAGAGCAGGGGCGACTGGTAGGGGGAGGGCCTGAGCTAAAGAATGTGGGGGAGTGTCAGACCAGTCTGGGGAGATGGAGTGGGAGTGGAGGGAGACATGGAGACTAGAAGGATCTCAGCTGGAGAGATGGAGAAAGAGAAATCTCAGGGTTCTTTGGTTTCAGTGGCACCGTCGTCTGTAGGATCATCTCATCCCTCAGTTGACTTTATCATGTCAACTCTTTATCTGTCAACCCTCCCCCATGGGGAAGAGACCCACCTAGAAACACACAGACAGACAGAGAAACAAGGACACAGGAATAATATGTGTAATGAGGAGTCTAAGTCCATTTGTTGATGTTTGCTGACAGATTTTAAGCCTCACCCTTCCCTCTTCTCTGTGCCCTACACCTGGACAAGCTGATAAGAAAGTCTGGGTGCACCCTCCTTTGGTGTTTGAGGGGGAATATTCACAAGCCCCTTCCTGAGGGAACCCTCACCCCTCAACCACAATAAAAACCCAGGCCAGTCTCCTTCCTGGCTCTCCCAACACATCTGGGACCTGCTTGAAAGACTGCCCCTGCTCCCCCTGGAGACCTCAATTATGTAAATAATAAACCTTTTCATACTCTCTTGGTGTTTGGGTGGTGTCGTCAGTCTTCATTCAAACCAAACCTTGGATGGGATCCATCTGCCTCTGCAGGTGACCGTAACAACATGCAAATGGTGAGTTCTGCTGGGGGGTCATGGAAGCTCCCTGGAGGAGGTGTATCTGGACAACAGGGAAAGAAAGGAGCTGGAGAAGAGAGGCAGAAAAATTGGGTCCTGGTTCAGGTGAAGTTTTCCCAGCTGGAACAATGACAATGTCAATATCCCACAAAGGCGGCTTCTGTTTATTTAGCGCTTGCTGTGTTCCCACAAGTCTTCCTCTACCTGCCCTCTCCCCAGCCCTCATCTCACTCTCCCAGAGCCCCAGAGCACACCAATGGACACCATCACCTCTCGGGCAGATCAGCACAGAGACGTGAAGCACACAGGCAGCTGCTGGAAAAATAACAAGGAATTGCAATGGTGTGCCCCTCCGTTGAATGCAAGCTCTCTTCTGCCTTCTCACCTTGGGCAAGTTACCTTCCGTTCCAGGCCTCGGTTTCTCCATGTGTGAAATGAAAGGGCTGGAGAGAAATCTCTCACTATTCCCCAATCTACATTCATTGTATCCCAAACCTTCTAATATCTGTTCAACGAAGTGTACCAAATCTCAGCTATTGGACTGAGACTCAGGGGTCTATCTGACTTGAATTGAAAATGCAAATTACTGAAGAGGGAGGGAGGGAGGAGTGCTGAAGATTGAATGGATTTATCAGATTTCCTTCTCCTATGGCCCAGATGCAGGCCTAGTCCAGGCGATTCCCCTGGCTCAGAATCTGCCAGGCTCAAGCATTCATTGACAGCCTACTATGTACCAATCCTGGGCTGAGTCCCAACCCGGGGATGACTTAGAGGAGGCCAGGATGTGGCCTCATGTTCTGGTTGCTCTCACATTTAAACAGGCTAAACCCACTTTGCATTGTATGTTAGGGGTGGTGCTTGTGGGACAAAGGGGGCTGTCAGAACATTCTGGCTGCCACATGAAGTTGACTTTGCCAGGACAGACTGGGTTGTGGGGGAAGGCAGCTACTGTAATAATTTGGCCAAGAAGTGGGCTGAGCAGGAGCAGGGCTGAGGGAGGGAGAGAGGGAATGAGTAAGAAAGGCCCAGGGTACTGATTTGACTGGGACTTCAGGGACAGGTGTGGGGCGAGAGGGATGCTGGAAGTGAAGGAGGGAAAGTGCAGAGGCTTTCTGGGGATTAATAGGCAATGATCTCTATGAGGGCGTGGTGAGTAGGCCCCAAACATCCGGGGACTTCCCTGCCTGCCATCCCTCTGTCTCTCTCTTCCTTTCCTACTGCCCAGGGCCTGGCCCTGCTGCACATGCCCTGCCCTGGCCCCCAGAGTCCCCTTCTTTCCTGGCTGGGAGATTAAGACTCTGCTGTGCCTACAGCATTCTCAACCTCAAGTCAAGGTGGCCCTTTGGAGCCCAGGAGGCCACATGGCTGAGTCAGGGCTGAGTCACCACCCCCCAAGGGCCTTGCCATTTCCTGTGGAGAAGCCTCTTTACTGGCAGGGTTCTGTGCTCAGGTGGGAAATCTGGAGAGGTCGGGGGCAGGGCTTCATCTACTTTTACCCACTAACTCCCTAGACACTCCACTGGGGGTAGAGGGTTCCTACACGTATGATGATCAAAACATGTGTCTGTGCACATGGGCCCTTATGCATTCACAGGTGTTTGCCTATGCGACTGCATGTCTGAATGTTTTATGTATATTTGAATATAGATAGGGAACAAATATTTATGGAGCACATATTATGTGTGCAGCCTTTTACGTGTGTTACTTTCTAATAACCCTAGGAGGCGTAGATGCCTCCCAGGCTATGGTTGAAAATACTGACATGCCCAAGGTGCAGGAGGTATGAATACCTCCCCACTGTGGCTGGTAACACCCCAGGTTTCTCCAACTCCACAGTGATGGGCTTTCCTCCAGAGCCGGTTCCTCAGGGGCAGGAGTGAGAAGTGTGTGTGTCTGTATTTATCCTTCCACCAGTGGCTGTGATTGGTCCTGTGGTTGGAAACAGGGTCAAGTAAGGCCCTTGGGAGTAGCTGGGTGAATGGACGATGGTGGCGTCCACCTTGGACATGGCACATACTTCTGGTCGGGTATCCACGTGGCTGGCCAACCCGGACCTGCCCTATTAGGGGCCATCGCCCTCATGGCTCATCAGTGCTGAGTTTCATTGCCTTCTTCGTAATGCAATACTAATGGATACAGGCATGTATCTGCCGTACACTAGATGAAATGTGGTTATTTGCTCAGGTAGAAATAAAGACTAAAATACCAAAGTGGGAAATCCTCTCCATTGTGCCTTACTGATATTTAGGTAAAAATTATCTTATTGGCTCTTTTTTTTTTTTTTTTGAGAGGGAGTCTCACTCTGCCCAGGCTGAAGTGCAATGGCACAGTCTTGGCTTACTGCGAACTCTGCCGCCCGGTTTCAAGCAATTCTCCGCAGCCTCCCGAGTAGCTGGGGTTACAGGCACACACAACCACGCCAGGCTAATTTTTGTATTTTTAGTAGAGACAGGGTTTCACCATGTTGGCCAGGCTGGTCTCGAACTCCCTCCTCAGCCTCCCAAAATGCTGGGATTACAGGTGTGAGTCACCATGCCCAGCCCATCTTATTGGCTCTTAATAACTCAGACCATATGGTGATAACTCCCAAATCAGCACCCTCCCAAGTTCTGGCCCCGTGAATTCAGTTGCTGAATCCAAGTTCCTGATTGGAAGTTCCTCAGGCACCAGCACTTGGGGCACCCGAGTGCTCTGCTCCAGGGGCTCATCCCCGCTGGAAGCTTGAATGTCTGCTCCTCCTTCTCTTCACCCAGCTCAGCCAATCACTGTGTCCCTGATTCTGCCTTCTTGCTGTCTTGCCAGTGTGTCTGCTCCTTTCTGTCCCTTCTCCCTGGATGACTGCCAGTGCTTCCTGTTGCCCTCCCTGCCTCCAACTCTCCCTACCACCTGCATGGCAGCCAGAGTGGGGTTCCTGCAAATCTCCCCAAGTCTGTTTCCTACTTGGTATGTCTGATGGTTTCCTGCTGCCCTCAGCATACAACGCCATCCCTGAGATGGCCCTGCTCATCTTTCCACGCCCCCCCCCTCCGCCCTCCGCTGCCCCTCACCCCTTCTAATTCTTCACCCAGGCCACAGAGCACCTTGCAGTTCCTCGATGGAGCCAGTCTTCCTCTTGCCTCCAGCCTTTTGCTGTTTCTCCACCACCAGTCATCTGGGCTACCCTCTATTCTTCCAGGAGGTCACAGCCTAGAAGTCACATCCTCTGAGTGGAGTCACCTGTCCACCCTTCCCTGGAGTAGGGATCCTGACCTTAGGTTTATCGTGACCCTTTCCACCTCCCCAGTCTGCCTTCAGCCCCCTCCGTCTCACTGGATCCTCCTTCTCTCCTTGGGCACAAGGCTCTTCTGATGGGCAAACACTATGGTCAACTTTGGCCCCTTGCCCTCTGACCTTTCTAGGGTGGCAGCAGCGACCTGTTGACCTCTCCATCTGTATTTTATTTAAACTCCTCTCTACCCTCTCCTTCCTAGAACTCTCTCCCTCTTGCAAGATTCCTCAGTCCACTTTGGGCCTCTGTTTGTGATTCTCATCTCTTATGTCTCCTCAGTTGACCCCTTGTTCGTTAACATTCTCCTCCATGCTGATGAAACCCGCCAGGCTCCAGCCTTGATGTTTAACTCTTGCCAGCCACCTCTGGCTGGCCGCAGGCTCCTTGGACTCCATGTATCCAGAAGTACTTAGCATCTTCCCTTCTTCCTCAACAAGGGGCTCCTCCTGTAATAGCCTCTGTCTCGGTGCCTGGTCCCCACTCCCAGCAGGATTCCACGAGCACACCTGCATGGCAGATACACCTGACAGCAATAACTTGAGAAGAATCTGCATTCGGAATTTGGAGCTAAGGAATCCGAGAGTGGGCAACCCAGAGACTCATTCCTTATCTATGAGGAACATCTAAGCCCCTGGCCCATCTCTCGTGGAATTCGAGCCATGGAGGGGACCGGGGATTGAGGTCTTTTATTTTGGGTTAAATGCGGGTTGCCAGGTAGAGGTTGCTGGGGCAGTGTACTAAGTGAAAATGCTATATAAATGCCATGCATTTTTCAAGCGGTTGTGGTTCTGTCTGGCCCACTGCCACTGGACTGTCCCTGCATGTAAGCTCCCCACAAACCCTATATCTCGTTCACGGACTCTGGGTCTCTTCCTCGGCCTCTTGAACCTGGTGCCATCAGTAGAGGCCCGGCACGACAGCACCAGGCCAGCCCATGCCACCCAACCTCTGCATGCGCCGGTGCCTCTGGTTGGGATGCCCTTTCCCCACTTGTTCAGTTGGAAAATCTCCACTTGTTCTTCAAAATCTTTCGTGAGCTTCTACTTCCTCAGTAAAGCCTTTTCCCACCCCAACGCCAACCCCCATCCCTAGTCACTCTTGAGTTGTCCAGGACTCGCACTGACTTCTCGCTCAGGCTGGCAGTATGATTAGACCAGTGGGACTGTGACCTTGGACAAGTCCCTTCACCTGCTTCCTCATCTATAAATTCCACATAAAGATGCCAAATTCATGGGTTTGTTGAAATGGAACTGGGGCCCAGAAGTCAGCTGCTCTCCCACCAAGTGGTGGTGGTTATGCTCAGTGTTGACCCCTGCGTTTCCCAGCCCCCATGGCAGCTTCTCCGTCACATGGCAGGTCTTCAACCACGGTGTGTCCAGCTGAGTTCCATCACCACGTACTCTATGGCACTAAAACAGGAGCCCAATGCAAGTGAATAAGAGGCCAGCCCTGTCTCTTTAATATCCCTTGCCTCCTGTCCCCTCCCCCACCCTAGGATCCTGTTGGGACAAACGTCTTGGCTCAGTGGGTTGAAAAAGAAAGTCAGAATTCTAAGGCATGAATCGCTGTGCCCACTGACTCACTTCCTCCTCCTCGCCTGCTCTGAATGGACTGAGGCCCTCAGTAACTCAGGCTGAAGCCTCCTCCCAGCCCTCACCCCTCATCACAGCTCCCACAAGCCCCCTCACTGCTGACCTCACCCCTGTGGGACTAATTACTGCTGGTTTGAAACCTGCTTGCAAGCGCCAGCCAAACTAAGGAGTTAGCTCTCCTAGAGTAGACTGAGGGAAGGCACACGCCCTGTTCTTGGGACCCCAGGTCTGATGCCCGGGGCAAGGCGCCCTTAGGGAGCTTGATCTGGGAGGCAACAAAAGTTCCCCATCCCCACAATGGCTCTCTCCTTTCCTGCCAGGATCACAGACATGCTCACTATTAGGCAGCCCTCCTATGGGTTTGGCCCTTGCCCCCTGAAGGCTCCTGTTTAAATGCAGGAGCCCTACCTGGCAGAGTACCGCTGGGTGCTCCCAGGCAGGAAGGGGCAAGAGTGACGGCATTGCCTACAGAGACTCTGGCCCCGAGGTACAAATGAGTCAAGCAACTATTAAGGTGGTCAGGGGTCAGGAGGGCCAGAACATGGGGAAGACCTGGGATAAAGAATGATTTAGTGGGGGCAGGTGGGGTGGGCAGGGGTTCCAGCCAGGCCCGTGGCACCTGCTTCTCAGGCTGTTAACAGGATGAGGGCAATGATGAAGGGGCTTTCGTGTCCTCGGAAAACAATCCCCCAAGACCTTGGCCTTCTCCCTGTGGAGGACCCCTTACCCACCTTGTCATGGACGTCAGGGACCCCTCTGAGTGGAGGAGTCAGATAGGGCTTGGGGGGTGTCAGGGCCACGCCCTCAATGGCAGAACCACCCTGGGCAGCATTTCTGACAGGTGTGACCCAGAGGCAGAGTGAGAGCCCAGCCCACCACACAGCAGAGAGAAGGGAGGGGAGCCAGATGCAACAGGAGCAGGGCAGTGGGGCAGAAACCACGGCACAGCAACATGAGGGACATAGGGACATGCTCAGGAAACACTGGTGCCTGCCCGAGTTTAGGCCTTGGCTTGCTGGCCTTGGAACTGAGGGGAGCTGATGGATTCATGCATGAGAATGAGCCGACAGCCTTTGTGGGTCCAAAGCTCCCTCTGATCGGGAGTTAAGGAGATCCACCTGGGAGTTAATATGGGGGTGAAAATGGGAAAGGGTAAGGGTCTGTGGAAATGTAGATAGGCTCGAGGGACATTTAGGGGAGGGGCTAAGCAGGAGCTGGTGGCAGGTGGGATACAGGGGACATGGGAAGAGGGCAGCAGCAAGGACAGCCAGGAAGTCTCTACCACTTCTAGGGCCTGGAGAAGCCCTAGAAGCTGGAGCTGGCAATTTGCCAAAGACCCTGGGATAGGGTTGGAGCTACACAAGGGGACTGAAGCCCAAAGGGACCACAAGGTGGTCCATGCTAAACCCATGAACAGAGGAAAATTCTTAGAGGTCTTTCCCTGGGGCCTTGGCTTTGATGTTGACCAGGCTGTGCCAGCCTGGCTTTGTGCGGTCAGGCTGGGCCCACAGGAAGCTCACCCAAGATAACCCTCCTAATCCCCAATTTCTTCCCTTCCCGTTCCCCTTCCCCTTTCTCTTCCCCTTCCCCTCCCCTTCCCTTCCCTTTCGTTTTCTTCGTTTTTTGAGATAGACACTGTCACCCGGGCTGGGGTGCAGTGGCGTGATCTTGGCTCACTGCAACCTCCACTTCCTGGGTTGAAGTGATTCTCCTGCCTCAGCCTCCAGAGTAGCTGGGATTACAGGGGCCCACCACCACACCCAGCTAATTTTTGTATTTTTTTTAGTAGAGATGAGGTTTCACCATGTTGGCCAGGCTGGTCTCAAACTGCTCACCTCAATTGATCCACCCACCCTAGCCTCCCAAAGTGCTGGGATAACAGACGTGAGCCTGTTTGGCCCTAATCCCCAATTTCTATAGGCCTTTCACCACTTGCACCCTGGGCTCTAGTTCCTCAGCTCTGCTCTTCCTTCCAGCCCTCTTCTCATTCTAGCTTCTTGGTGACCCTGTCTGCAGCTCCAGTGGTCCCTACTTCATTCATTCTCTGAGAGTCCCTCCCTCCTTTCTGCACCTGAAGGTGAGCAAGGTGGTTTGCAAAGGACCTCAAACTCTGGGCTGGGGAGCTGAGCTTTGGGCTTGGTTCTGTAAGATATCCAGGGTTGGGTTTTGAGTGGGGTCAGATCAGGGAATAAGATGGCCTCCTGGAGCCAGGAGATGATTGACTTGAAGGGAAGGGAAGGGCACCGTGTGCTGGGCCCAACGCCAGGTGCTTCCCATGGATGGCTCAGTTAACCCTCCCCACGGCCCTGAGAGTTGGGCATGGCTATTATTACCTCTTTGCAAATAAAGAAACTATGGCTCAGAGATGACCAGAGGCCAGTTAGAGGCTAATGTGCATTGGGGTGGGAGGGACCCCATGGCCTGGGAGTGGGGCCAGGATGCAGGCCATGATTGCACACTGGCAGGGACGGTGGGTGTGCAGTGCCATGAGGCCTTCTCAGGGCTCACCTTCAGCCCCTGTCCTCCACTCTCTGCACAACCCCAGCCTGTGAGGCAGGTCTTCATGCCCCAAACACCTGCCTGCCACTTTCTCCAGGACTTTGCTTGGCGGGCCCTCTCCCTGCAACACTCTAGCTTCCTCTTGCTTGTTGAAAGCTCCCCTTCCTTCAAGGCCAACTGAAATCCACCAACTTCCAGGCTTCCCAAGTCTTGGCCGATGCTTTCCAGTTCAGCATAGGTCTGTTTCTCCCTCTGATGGAGCATGAGCCACATTAGGTCACCTATTAGCTTGGGTGAAGTTGCTTCAGCTCTCCATGCCTCAATTTCTCTATCTGTAAAATGGAGTTGATAATTGCACCCCAATCATAGAACCCTTGTGGAGAGTAAATGAAGACTCAGACAGTGCCCAGCACATAGTAAAATAAATAGAAAATAAACCCCCTTCCCTGGAGGAGGCAGACAGGGCAGGGTCCCGGGGGTCTTGTCTTGTTTGCCTATTTTCTACTGGGATGATGGCGGCCATGGTGGCAGGGCGTGGCAGCAGCTGTCTCTCCACCAGGAGCTCTGACCTCTAGGAAAGCCAGCTCAGACCCTCTTTCTCCACCCTGCCAATGGCTGCTACTACAGTGTTCTGCTTGGATGGAGATCAATGATGTGGTCAAATTGAACCTCCTCTGGTCCATTAAAACACTTACGATGTCCCCGTGGGTCCTCTCAGGTCCCATCACTGTGAGGCATGTGTGTTTCTATGGGTACCCAAGAGTTGGCAGAGGGATCAGCACCTGGGGAAGGTGTTCCCATCACAGAGGACCCCAGAAAAGGCTCTACCTAGGGCTCAGACTGAGACTCCAACACAGGGATGGGGAGGCAGGGGGAAGTGGGCATCCTGGAAGAGTGGGGGAAATTGGGAGAGGCAGGCAGAGAAAAAGGGATAGTCGTTTTTATTGGGAATTTTACTGTGCCAGGCCTTCATGTATATTATCCTTGATTCTTCATGACAAGCCTGTGAGATCAGTCATGTTTTCCCCTTTTCCAGAAGAGGAAACAAAGGCCCAGACTGGCAAAGTGACATGCCCAAGGTCATGCGCAGTGCGAGGAGCAGAATTCTCCCCCAGATCTGCTGGGCTCCGAGAATGGCCCCAGCGGAGAGATGACGGAGGCCGAGGATATGGGAGAATTCCAGTCCAGGCCAGCTGCCCACTCAGCCAGGGAGGGACACTGTGGGCGTGGTGGAAACAGCCACCAGAAGCCAGGGGCATGCAGCAAACAACGGTGCCAGGAAATGAACCGGACCTGGGGCCCTTCCTCCGCCCCACCCTGTGCCCCTGGCTGCCTGCCGCCTTTCATTCCCGATGCTCCCTCCAAGGAAACAGAGAAAGCTAGGTTGAGACCCCAGGGATGGCCCTGCATGGGGGAGGAACCAGGAGGGTCTTGAAGCCCAAGAGCAGCTCTGCCGGGCCTAAGCCTCCTTCCCTGGAGGAGGGAGACAGGGCAGGGTCCCAGGGGTCTTGTCCTGTTTGCCTCGGACTGAGTTCAGATTGGAGTCTGAAACAAAGGAGATACTCAAGTAATATGCTGCATGGAGGTGCAGCCAGCATGGCGTCAACACTGCCCGGCAGAAGGGGCAGAGACCTGGGCCCTGATGTCACCTCTGTCCCTACCTTATGACCCTGGAGGAGTTGCAGAGACCTCCCCATCCATCAAGTCAGGTCATTATGCTGGAATGCATACCACTACTTGGATCCCTTCCAACTCTGACAATCCAGTTCTATTCATTCTTTTACTCACTCACTAACTTGTTCTTTCAGTAAAATACTGGGTGAAGCTCAGTAAATATACTTTAGTACAAATAAAGTGGTGGACAGAGTTGCAGAGATAAGCAAAGACTGGTAGGAGAGTAGTGATTTGTTAAAAGCAGGGACTCTCAAGTCAGATTGCCTGGGTTCAAATTCTTCCCCCATCACTTGCTAACTGCATAACCATGGGCAAGTTACCTGATCACCTTGAACACTGATTTCCTCATCTGTAAAATGGGTATAATAGGAGTATATGCCTCATAGAGTCACTGCAAGAATTAAATGAGATAACACAAATAATGTTCTTAGAAAAAAATGTCAGGTACGTCTTGAACACTCAATAAATATTAGCTATTATTTTTCCTTGGAGGATGAATGAATTTCAGCAGGCAAAGATGTGTGCGTGGGAGTGACCTACAGAACAGTACACACTAAGGCACAGAGACAGGAAAACCCCGGTGCAAGTCTAGAGAATAGCAAGAGGCCAGTCCAGAGAAATTGGGAAAAGACAAGTTGGGGGCAGATGGTGAGATGCCTTGTGTTGACTAAGAAACTTGGACCTCATCAACATTTTCCAGTTAGTGTTTCCTGGAGCACCAGAGTCCCATAAGATGCTATTGGATATTTTGTAAAGATACAAGAAGGATATCAACAAGCAAAAGAATGAAGTGGACCCTTACCTCAGGCCATATACAAAAGTTAACTCAAAATGGATCAAAGCCCTAAATATAAGTGCTAAATCTATTAAATTATTTTTTTCTTTTTGAGATGCAGTCTCACTCTGTTGCCCAGTCCGGAGTGCAGTGGCACCATCTCGGCTCACCACAACCTCCGTCTCCCAGGTTCATGTGATTCTCCTTCCTCAGCCTCCTGAGTAGCTGGGATTACAGGCATGCACCAACATACTCAGCTAATTTTTGTATTTGTAGTGGAGACAGGGTTTCCCCAAGTTGGCCAGGCTGGTCTTGAACTACTGACCTCAGGTGATCTGCCCACCTAAACCTCCCAAAGTGCTGAGATTACAGGCGTGAGCCACCGCGCTGGGCCCTAAACCTATAAAATTCTTAGAAGAAAACATTGGAGTAAATCTTTGTGATCTTGGATTTGGCAATGGCTTCTTAGATATAAAACCAAAAGTACAAGCAACAAAGGAAAAAATAGATAAACTGAACTCTATCAAAATAGACAACCCACAGAATGGAGTAAAATATTTGTAAGATAAATATCTGATCAGGGATTTGTATCTAGCATATATAAAGAACTCCTATAACTCAGTAGTAAAAAGATGACCCAATTTAAAAATGGGCAAAGGATCTGAATAGACCGACCTTTCTTTAGAGAAGATATAGAAATGGCCAATAAGCACATTAAAAAATGCTCAATACCATTAGCCATCAGGGAAATGCAAGACAAAACTATGATAAAATACAACCTCATACTCACAAGGATGGCTAGAACCAAAAAGTTAGATAAAAGTTGTTAGCAATGGCCAGGTGCAGTGGCTCATGCCTGTAATCCCAGCAATTAGGGAGGCTGAGGTGGGCGGATCACCTAGGGCCAGGAGTTCGAGACCAGCCTGGCCAACATGGCAAAACCTCGTCTCCACTAAAAATACAAAAATTAGCCAGATGTGGTGGCTCATGCATGTACTCCCAGCTACTCGGAAGGCTGAGGCAGGAGAATTGCTTGAACCAGGAGGCGGAGGTTGCAGTGAGCCAATATCGTGCCACTGCACTCCAGCCTGGGTGACAGAGCAAGACTCCATCTCAGAATAAAAAAAAGAAACAGAAAAAGAAAAAAAAGTGTTAGCAAAGATGTGGGGAAATTGGAGCCCTCAACGGTGCTGGGGGAAAGGTAGAATGGTGCAATCGATTCAAAACATAGTCTGGCATTTCCTGAAATGGTTAAACATAGAGTTGCCATGTGACCCAGCAATTTCATTCATACGTATGTACACATGAAAAATGAAAACATGTATTCACACAAAAACCTGTGCATGAGGGCCAGGTGTGGTGGCTCATGCCTATAATCCCAGCACTTTGGGAGGCCAAGGCAGGCAGATCACCTGAGATCAGGAGTTCAAGACCATCCTGGCCCCATCCCATCTCTACTAAAAATACAAAAATTAGCTGGGTGTGGTGGCACACACCTGTAATTCCAGCTATTCAGGAGGCTGAGGCAGGAGAATTACTTGAACCCGGAACCCAGGAGGCGAAAGTTACTGTGAGCTGGGATTGCACCACTGCACTCCAGCCTGGGTGATAGAGTGAGATTACATCTCAAAAAACAAAAAACAACTTAACACCACTGACATTAGAGAAATGCAAAACAAAACCACAACAAGGTACTATCTCATGTCAGTCAGAATGGCAATTATTAAAAAGTTAAGAAACAACAGATGCTGGTGAGGTCCCAGAGAGATAGGAATGCTTTTACACTGTTAGTGGGAATGTAAATTAGTTCAACCATTGTGGAAGACAGTGTGGCGATTCCTCAAAGACCTAGAACCACAAATACCATTTGACCCAGTAATCCCATTACTGGGTACATACCCAAAGGAATATAAACCATTATATTATAAAGATACATGCAAACATATGCTCACTGCAGCACTATTCACAATAGCAAAAACATGGAATCAACCCAAATACCCATCGGTGATAGACTGGATAAAGAAAATGTGGTACATATACACCATGGAATACTATTCAGCCATGAAAAGGAATGAGATCACGTCCTTTGCGGGGACATGAATGGAGCTGGAAGTCATTATCCTCAGCAAACTAACACAGGAACAGGAAACCTAATGTGTTCTCACTCATAAGTGGGAGACGAACAATGAGAACACATGGACACAGGGAGGGAGACAACACATACTGGGGCTTGGCAGGGGAGAGGGCGAGGGGAGGGACAGCATCAGGAAAAATAGCTAATGCAGGGCTTAATACTTAGGTGATAGGTGCAGTAAACCACCATGTCTCATGTCTATGTGTGTAACAAACCTGCACATGTACCTCAGAACTTAAAATAAAATTAAATACTTTTTTTTGGTAGAGACAGCATCTCATTATTTTGCCCAGGCTGGTCTCCAACTCCTGGTCTCAAGTGATCCTCCTGCCTTGGCTTCTCAAAATTCTAGGCTTACAGGTGTGAGCCACCATGCCTGGCGAAACTGTACACTTTAAATGAATGAGTTCTATGACATGTGAATTATATTTCCATAAAGCTGTAAAAAATAAATACAAGTAGGGGGTGTGAATCTATCATCAAAACAGCTTGGGAAATGCTGGGTTAAGCAGAGGATTGTTGCTAGGCATGGTGGCCCGGGCCTGTAGTCCCAGCTGCTCAGGAGGCTGAGGCAGGAGGATCCCTTGAGCCTAGGAGTTTGAATCCAGCGTCATCTTAGCAACATAGCAAGATCCTGTCTCTAAACAAGAAAAAAAGAGGGGATTGTTTGCTTTGGGACTTCTCTGAGCCTTTTATATGCTAATATGCATTGGCAAAGTCCTGGAGTGGGTTAGTGTATGTATCATTTTCCAAACCTTTGACCATGGTTCAACCATGGAATCATCTTCAGAAGAACCTCTTCCAACCTCTCACAAAACACTTTTCACACTTTTTAGCAAGTTTGGCTGCAAGCAGTGGGGAGCCATTGAAGGTTCAAGCAGGGAAAGGGCCTGGTAGAGCTGCACCTAGAGGGAAGCCAGGCTGTGGTGGGGACATGAAAGCGGGAGGACAGCCTAGTGGCTTCGTGCCAGTGAAATGGTTAAAAAGGATTCTGAATAGACATTTCTCTAAAGAAGATATACAAATGGCCAATAGACATACAAAAAGATGTTCAATATCGTTAGTCGTCAAGGAAATGCAATTCAAACCATAATGAGATACCACTTCACACCCACCGGATATGGAGGCAGAGGTGGTAGGGATCCAAACACAGTGTTCAGAGGGGACTACCCTGCCACTTCTTTCCTCAGCTCTAGGAACGGGAGCTTCTCCTCTCCCTGGACTCCCTGACCTGAGTCCTAGGAATTCCCAGATTCTCCCTGATCCATCCTGGAGCCCCTGACTGCTTCACTGCTTCCAGAGAGGATGCTGGGGGCCCTCGTCCACCCCAGCTGTGTTTATGTCCCTCTTCCTGGAAGTGGGATAGGCACCAGCCTGGCCAGGCTGGTGGGTGTGGGAGGAAGGCACCGGATCTGGGGGCCTATGATAATCCTGGCAGTGGGGGCAAGAGTGGGTGAAGCAGGTTGGCCTGATCAGGGCCAGTCAGGCTGGAGCAGAGTGTCTTGTCCCGTCCCAAGGTGCCTTCTTCCAGAACAGCTCTGTTTCTCCCAGGCCATGAGAAACACACCTGGAGCTTGGAGCTGAGGGAACTTGGAGAAGGAAAACTGGCCTTTAAGTCTTAAAAGTCTTAGTCATACTGGTTACCATTTGTTGAGTACTTACTACATATTCTACCTTATGCTAAGTGCTTTGCATGCATATCTCATCTGATGCTCAAAAAAATCCTCATTTCCCCATTTGACAGATGAGGAAACTGAGCCTTAGAGGATTTCAATACCTTGCTCAATATTATCCAAGGAAGTGGGTCAAAGGAGTCTCATGAAACTAGATTTGAAATCAAGTTCTGGACAAGGGAGTAAGATTGGAGAAGCACATACAACTGCCTTCTTCCAGCTTTCCTGCTCCAGAGCCCAACCCAGCGCAGCCCTGCATCCACAGCCTCTCTCAGGGCCCTAGGAGTGGGGACAGGGAGCACCTTGAGATGACCTCAAAATTCCCAGCTGCCTGGTATGGTAAGTGTTCAGAGACTTCTTTCAAACGACATCCTTGTCTCAATCTAAGGCCACAGGAGAGGGGGAAATGTCAGGAAAGGTAGAGAGGCCATGCCTGCTCCAGGCTTCTGCTAAGGCAGGGAAGGGGACCCCAAGAAGTTTAGGGATATCCACCAGGGTTGGGCCCTTGGACAGGGTGACAGCAGGCAGAAGCTCTCCAGGAGGGGATGCAGCAGAGCAGGGTGAGGAGCACCATTAACTACCTAAAGGGCAGACCCATTCATTGCCATCCCAGAACCATGGAAGGGGTTCCTGGAAGGGCAGAAGCTAGATTTCAGAAAGAACATCCATTAACAAAGGATTCTGTGCCTGAGAGAGAAGGCTTGGGATCTCCAGGCTGGAGGAGATGCTGGCTGGCCTGGAGGCCGGGGGGATGGCTGAGATGGTGCAGCCACATTACAAGTATGGTTCTCCTGTCTGTGGCCAAACCCAGTCAAGGACCCAGCAGTCTGGACCCCTATATCCTTAATGTTGTCTCAGCTCGGAGGCAGAGGGATGGACACTGTGGCCTCCTCCCATAAGCCTTCTGGGTTGCAGGAGAGAGTTGGCTGGGGAGAAGGAGCATCATTAATTCCCCCAAATATTTACAGTGTTCCTAGTGCTGGGCCTGCAGCCAAGGCCCTTGGGTCAGGCCCTGTGCTGTGTCCATTACTCATGTCTCACTCAGGCGAGCAGGCCTTGGACACAGGGAGGGGTGGCCAGAGGAGGCAGGAGCCTGGGAGGCGGTGCAGGAGAACAGTAGCCCGCTGCCTGCCCCGATCCCTCCCCCAGCCCACCCGCCTGGCAGGAATCTGGCTGCACCCCAGATGCTTATGGCCTGCTCTCCAACGAGAGGTAGAGAAGCAAAGGGCGGGGAGCAGTCTCTCTTGCCTTGCTCTTCCAGGCTGCTGAGATGGGGGTGGGAGCAGTCTCTCTTGTCTCCCTGGCTCAGATTATCCAGCCACCAAGAATGGGGTCTCCCCCAGGGCCAGGCTGGGTCAGACAAGCTGCTGCCTGCCTTACATCCTGGGCGGGAAGCGGTCCCTAGAGGCAGAGCCGACAGGAAAAAATACTCAAGGAGCTTGACAGGAGTGGGGACACTGCCCTGGGCCCGCCAGCCACCTCCCAGGGCACACAGCCACATCCCATACCCAAACTACTGGAGGGTTTGGGGAGGCTGCAGCGGCCCCTGGACAATCAGCCCTGTGCTGCCCCTCCCAAGCTGGGCAGCCGGGCCCCACTCCCAGGACCCTGCCCAAGTCCCTCTTGGAGTCTTCTCCCCTGCTCCACCGACTCTGCCTCCATGACCCACCTCCTTCTCCTATTCCTGTCTCCCTCTGTCTCTCTGTCCCCCTCTTTCTTCATCTCTCATGTCTGCACAGACAGGGTGGGACAGGAATCCAGGTGCCACTCACTGAAAAGAGGTTTGGTGGGAGGAAGAGAACCAGGCCAGGTGAAGCAGTGGCTGACGTCCTTGGAGTGTCAAGAGCCCAGGCCCTCAGCCTTCCCTGCCCTTTGCAGGCCCCCACCCCTGCCCTGGGAGGTTTGGGGTGGAAACGTAGGAACAAACAGCCTCCCTCTCCCCCTCGACGTGGTTTAAGCAGATAAACCTGGACTTCAACCAAGCCTCTCCTGAGTCGGTAAACACCTGCTCCCTTGCCCCATAAGGCACCTGAGGACAATGAGGGACACTGTCTCATCTGCCCCCTGGGGAGTCCTCATTCTGCCTCCAGGCCAGCCCGGGAGGGGCCGTCAGCCTGAGAGACTCTAGGCCCCTTGGGACAAAGGGCTCTTGTAAAGGACGGGACCCCTACTCACTCACCACCTCTCCTCCCCTGAACAGGGCTTTCCAGGCTGGGACTGGATCACAGGGGAGAGTGGGAGCTGAGAGGCAGAGAGGGGTCCCAAATTCTTGCCCATCCAGGATGGGGCAACCGGCTGGTCCTTCCACACCTTTTGCAAGTCCTGAGCCAGGGCAGGGAGGGCAGGTCCACCCTGGCATCAGGGCTTTGGAGGGCAGTGCGGCCATCATGGGAGAGCTAAACACCCCTGCCCAGCCCCAAGCTCTCCTTTTCCTCTCCCAGCTTCTGGAAGATCCTCTGTCTGTCCCTGGCTCCTACTCTCTGCCACCGTCTTTCCCTCCCTCAGGAAGTCTTCTAGGAGGCAGCAGGCTGCGGGGAGCTGATACTGCGGGCCAGGGAGATGAGCAGGGAGAAAAGTTTACCCACACGATCTCATTTGCCTCTCACCATTTGGAGACTGCAGAGATTCTGAAGCCTTGGATTGGGCTGACCTCACCTGTCATGGAGCTTTCCCAAGGAGAGCTTGGGGCTGGGCAGAGGTGCATGGAGCTCTTCTCTGGTTGGCCTAAGTGCTGGTGAGCAGCTACCCTGCTCAAAGTCCATGTGAGGCTCCCTGAGGAGGACAGCCTGCAGAGCCCATCCACCCTGCTACTCAGATACCAGTCAGTGCTCGGGGGAGACAGGCAGGGCAGGGCCCCACTCAGGCTGGGAGACAGGACTCAGTATGGTCTGTGTGCTGGGGGGTTGGGGATGGAGATGAGGAAGGAGACAGCCTCTTTGATAAGGACATCTGGGAAGGCTGGCTGGAGGAGGTGGCATCTGGAGATAAGCCTTGATGAGGAGGGTTCCATCAAAGCAGTCTCCCATTTCTCTTAGGGGCTATGTTCACCACTGCTCCTCCCCCAGCCTGGAGCCTCCTTCACCACCAGGAGCAAAGCAGCTCCTAGCACTCCTGCCAGCTCCCCCAGAGTGCTGGCCTCTTCTCCCCCCAGCCCATGACCTCCCAGCTGTGCAGCTTTGGGTATGTGGTGGAGCCTCTCCAGGCCTCAGCTGTGCACTACAGTCACTAAAGTGCCACCTCCTGCAGTTTTCCTGCTGGTGGACTGCGGTCATGCTGGCGACAGCTCAGTCAGAGGTGAGGCCCAGCCCGATCAAAGCCTTCAGAATCTTTGCCGCCTCCAAATGGTGAGAGGCAGATGATATTATGGGTAAACCTCCTTCCCCCCCCTCACCTCCCTGGCCTTCAGTATCAGCTGCTCCTTGATGTGTTGCAATCAGCAGGCCACTAGTTCCTGGCTGCTCAGGGCCAGATGATTCTATCCTTGGGGACTGGGACCTGCGTGGAATCCCTTGCCTCTTTTGGGGGTCAGAATCCTTCCATCCAAGGACAAGTCTGGGTGGGGAATGGGTGGGGTGGGGAGAGCTCTCCTTCAAGCCTCCAGATGTCAGTAAGGAAAATCACCATGGCTTTTTCTAGCCACTTCGGCCTTTGGCCTCCAACATTCTCCATGAGTTTGTGTTCATGTCTGGCCAGCGGGGCTGACCTTCTGCAGCCCTGAGCTAGTGTGGGCAGGGGCTTGGAGAAAGTTCGCTGGGCTGGGTTGGCCCTAAACCACATCTAATTTCCCCTGCTGCTTTTGTGGGAAAACCAAGGCTCCGTCACCTGGGTACCTGAGTCCTCCAAACCTGCAGGCTCTCCTTCCACCCTCACATTTAGAAGACACACCCAGGCCAGGCGCAGTGGGAATCCCAGCATTTTGGGAGGCCAAGGCGGGCGGATCACTTGAGGTCTGGAGTTTGAAGTCAGGAGTTTGAGATCAGCCTGGCCAACATGGCAAAACCTCGTCTCTACTAACAATACAAAAATTAGCCAGGCATGGTGGCGGGTGGCTGTAGTCCCAGCTACTCGGGAGGCTGAGGCAGAAGAATCACTTGAACAAGGGAGGTGGAGGTTGCAGTGAGCTGAGATTGCGCCACTGCACTCCAACCTTGGTGACGGAGTGAGAGTCTGGCTCAAAGAAAACAACACATACTCGAGTGGCGTTGAGTGTTGCCCTCACCCCGGCCTCCCTGACCTGTCCTTGCTGCATTCCCACTGCCCTCTGCCTCTCACCTGTGGGCTGTTTGCTCCGAACTGTGTCAGCCCAGGTGTGGAATGCAGCCCCCCTTCCCTTTAATTCCTCCCTAAATACTCTTCACCCAAGGCAGTGAGGGTGGGGGATCATTCCTGAGGGATGGGGGTGATGGAGAAGAAGGGGCTACTTTTCCACCCAGCTCCCAAGCCCATGTTTCCACCTCCCTCTGGTTGCCTACCACTTATTGTCTTGGTTTTCAATCTCTCTTCGTCTCTATCTCTATCTGTCTGTCTCTCTCTCTCCACATCTGTCCTCAGGAATTCTCTCCTGAGTGGTCTCCTGAAACCGAGAGTTCTCCCAAGCTATTAGTTAGATAGATCCTTTCTCTCTCTCTCTCTCTCTCTCTCTCTCTCTCTCTCTCTCTCTCTCTCTCTGTTTCACATCCCAAGAGAGCCCAGCAAGGTATTTCCTAGTTCTGCTGCCAGCTTTTGCAATAACGTGTGTGTGTGCGTGTGTGTGCGCATGTGTGTGTGTTTTCTATTCCACACAGTTGGGGAAAGTAAACCCCAGAAAGAGATCGCTTGCCCAGAACCTTACAGAGTGAGGAACGAAGAAGGAATAAGAACCTAAGACTTTTAACTTCCTGCGTAAGAACTGCGTGACTCTGGGCAAGTTAATGAGTCTCTCTGGGCCACCATTTTATTTTATTTTAATGGAAATATTTAATTGAAGTGTAACGCATAGACAGAAAAGTGGATGGATTTTCACCAAATGGACACACCTGTGTAACCAGAACCCAGGTTGGGAAATATATTTCCAGCATCCCCCAAGCCCTTTTATATCTCCTCCCAATTTCTTCCTTCTTAGAAGGTAGCAATCATCTTGACTTCTACCACCATAGGTTCGTTTTGCTGGTTTTTTAACTTTTCATCAGCAGAATCGTAGAATATGTGTTCTTTTGTGTCTGGCAGTTTTTGCTCAACATTAAGCCTATGACATTCGCCCATCTTGTTTCTTGTACTTACAGTTTGTTTCTTTGCATTGCTGGACACCCTCGTATGAATACGCCACCATTTATTTATTCATTCTACTGCTGATGGACATCTGGATTTTTTCAGTTTAGGACTGTTGACAATAGTGCTGTGGTGAACATTCTTTTGCATGTTTTTTGGGGCACAATGAATACTTTTCTGTTGGATACAGGCCCAGATATGGACTTGCTAGTCATAGGGGCTGCGTATGCTTAGCTTTAGTTGGTGCTGTCATAAAGTTTTCCAAAGCGGTTGTGCCAACCCACGCTCCTGCCAGCTGGTACAAGAGCCCCATTTGCTGCACACCCCTGCCAATCTTCAGAAGTCAGTCTTTTTCATTTTAGCTCATTGTAGCTTTTGCATTTCCCTAGTGACTTATGATATCGAGCGTCTTTCCATATGACTACAGGGCATTTGGAAAGCCTTATTGTGGCGGGGTTGTTCACGTTGCCTGCCCATTTCTACTGAGTTATCTGTCTCTTTCCTGTTGATCTATTAGTGTTCTTTATATGCTCTGGATACAAGCCTTTTGTGGTGCAAATTTCTCCTGCAACTCTGCAGCTTTCCTTTTCACTTTCTTTTTATTTATTTATTTATTTATTTATTTATTGAGACAGTTTCGCTTTTGTTGCGCAGGCTGAAGTGCAATGGCGCGATCTCGGCTAACTGCAACCTCTGCCTCCCAGGTTCAAGGAGGTCCTGCCTCAGTCTCCCAACTAGCTGGGATTACAGGCATGCACCACCACGCCCAGCTAATTTTGTATTTTTAGTAGAGATGGGGTTTCACCATGTTGGTCAGGCTGGTCTCGAACTCCTGACCTCAGGTGATCCACCTGCCTTGCTCCCAAAGTGCTGGGATTACAGGCGTGAGCCACCATGCCCGGCCCCTTTTCACTTTCTTAATGGTGACTTTTGATCAACAGAAGTTCTAATTTTATTTTATTTTGATTATAAAGATAGGGTCTTGCTCTCTCACCCAGGCTGGAGTGCTGCGGCACAATCATAGCTCACTGCAGCCTTGAACTCGTGGCCTCGGGTAATCCTTCTGACTCAATCTCCCAAGTAGCTGGGACTATAGGCACACACCACAGTGCCCGGCTTAGAAGTTCTAAATTTCATGGAGAATAATTTATCAAGTTTTTTTTCTTTATGGCTAGAACTTTTTGTGTCCTGTTTAGGAAATTTAGCTACCCAGAAGGCTGAGGCAGGAGGATCGCTTGAGCCCAGGAGTTCGAGACCAGCCTGAGCAATGTGGTGAAATCCAGTCTCTACAAAAAAAAAATACAAAAATTAGCCTGGCATGGTGGCATCTGCCTATAGTCCCAGCTACTCAGGAGGCTGAGGTAGAGGTGGAAAGATTGCTTGAGCCTGGGAGGTTGATGCTGCAGCGAGCTAGGATTGCACTAATGCACTCCAGCCTGGGTGACAGAGCAAGACCCTATCTCAACAAACAAACAAACAAACAAACAACAACAAAATTTTGCCTACCCAAGGTCATGAATATATTCTGTTTTTTTCTAGTGGTTTTACCTTTTATATTTAGATATATATTCCATGTAGAATTTTATGTTTGTGTATGATGTGACATAGGGATCAAGATACCTTTTTTCCACATGAATATCCAATTGCCCAGCACCATTTATTGGAAAGACTATCCTTTCCCCAGTATAGCTGAGCAGTATCATCTTTGTTAGAAATCAAATAATCACATCTGGGTGGATTCACTTCAAGGCTCTCTATTCTGTCCCACAGGCTCTCTATTCTGTCCTTGCACTAATACCATGTTGTCTTAATATCTAGTACTGGAAGTCTTACAGCTGTGCTCTACTTGAAGAAAGTCTTGGCTATTCTTGATCCTTTCCATTTCCATACAAATTTTAGAATCAACTTATCGATTTCTGCACACACACACACACACACACACATTCCTGCCAGGATTTTGATTGGAATTGCATTGAATCTATAGATTGATTTGGGGAGGATTTACAAGGTGGAGCTTTCCAATCCATGAACACTAATTTAGATTATCTTTAAATTTTTTTATTTTTTGAGGCAAGATCTTACTCTGTCACCCAGGCTGGACTGTAGTGGCACAGTCATGGCTCACTGCAGTGTCGACCTCCTGCGCTGAAGTGATTCTCCCACCTCAGCCTCTTACAGGCACACGCCACCACACCAGACTAATTTTTCTATTTTTTGTGGAGATGGGGTTTCACTATGTTGCACAGGCTGGTCACAAACTCCTGGGCTCAAGTGATCTGCCCGCCTCCACCTCCCAAAGGGTTAGGATTATAGGCATGAGCCACCATGCCTGGCCTAGATATTTTTAAGTATTTATCAAAGATGTTTTGAAGTTTTCTGTGTAGTGAGGGAGCTTTCACTGTTTGGGTTAGATTTATTTTTAGGTATTTGATATTTTTATGATGTATAAATGATGTTGTCCTTTTAATTCCTTTCCCTAATTGTACATTGGTAGAAAAACATTTGATTCGTTCCTTTTTTTTTTTTTTTTTCACTTTTAGAGACAGGGTCTCACTATGTTGCCCAGGCTGGACTCAAACTCTTAGGCTCAAGGAATCCTCCTGCCTCAGCCTCTCTACTAGCTGGGACCACAGACATGGGTTACCACATCCGGCTTAGTAATTCTAATTTCAATGGAGAAAAATTTATCAAGTTTTTTCCTTTATGGTTAGTACTTTCTGTGTCCTATTTAGGAAATCTTGTTATTCAGGAGGCTGAGGCAGGAGGATTGCTTGAGCCCAGGAGTCCAAGGCCAGACTAGGCAACATAGTGAGACCGCATCTCTATTTAAAGGAAAAAAAAAAAAAGAAATCTTTGCCTACCCCAGCAACATTTGATTTTTTATACTGATTTTGTATCCAGTGAGCTTACTCAATTTACTTATTTATTCTAACAGCTTGTCTGTATATTTTGGGGGATTTTGTCTATGGGCCACTATGTCATCTAAATACTGGCAGTTTTCTTTCTCCCTTTACAATTCTCACAATGTTTCTTGTGCCTTATTCCCTTGCCTGAGGCCTCCCTTGTAGGGTAGTGCTGGATGGAGTGGTAACAGTGGGCTCCTCAGCTGCCTCCTGATCGTAGTAGAAAGCTTTGAATATTTCACCACTCAACCTAATGGAGTGTGTGTGTGTGTATTTCAGATAATCTTCATAGTACTACTTTTTCAGACATACCTTGCTGATAAGGGAAGGGTCTGAGGGGCTGGGATAGGGAGCAGTGGTTTGAGGTTGGGGAACCCCTGGGAGTGGCCTGCCCCTTGCTCAATTAAAAAGCAAAACAGTGCCGGGCGTGGTGGCTCACGCCTGTAATCCCAGCACTTTGTGAGGCTGAGAACGGCAAATCACTTGAGGCCAAGAGTTAGAGACCAGCCTGGCCAACATGGCGAATCCCCGTCTCTACTAAAAATACAAAAATTAGCTGGGCATCGTGTACTTGTAGTCCCAGCTACTCCAGAGGCTGAGAGGCACTAGAATCGCTTGAGCCCAGGAGGCGGAGGTTGCAGTGAGCTGAGATCGCATCACTGCACTCCAACTGGGCAACAGAGCGAGACTCCATCTCAAAAAAAAAAAAAAAAAAAAGCAAAGCAGAAGCTGGACCCTGCCTATAATCCAAGCACTTTGGGAGGCCAAGGTGGGAGGATCACTTGAGCCCAGTAGCTCAGGGCTGCAGTCAGCTATGATGGCACCACTGCATTCCAGCCTGGGTAACAGAGCAAGACTCCATCTCTTAAAAATAAAAATAGAAATAAACAGGCCAGGGGCGGTGGCTCATGCCTGTAATCCCAGCACTTTGGGAGGCCAAGGCGGGCGGATCACAAGGTCAGGAGTTCTAGACCAGCCTGGCCAACATAGTGAAACCCCGTCTCTACTAAAAATGCAAAAAATTAGCTGGGCGTGGTGGCAGGTGCCTGTAATCCCAGCTACTCGGGAGGCTGAGGCAGGAGAATCGTTTGAACCTGGGGGGCAGAGGTTGCAGTGAGCCAAGATTGTGCCACTACACTCCAGCCTGGGCGACAGAGTAAGTAAGACTCTGTCTCAAAAATAAATAAATAAATAAATAAATAAAAATAAAAGAAAAGAAATAAACAAAACAGAGTTGTCTCCAAAGGGGAACACCTCTCTGGTGACTCCCTCTATGTCCTCCATCAGAACCTGGTCAGAACATCTGTCTGGTCTGGGGCTGCTGGGTATCCCCTTTGGCTCTGGAGCATGAGGCTACCGGTCCATTCCTGTCATTCCCCCGGGCGCTGAGGCTCAGAGCAGGGTGGTGACTAGCTTAGGTCCCACAGCAAGTGAGTGGCAGAGCCAGGACTGGAACTCGAGGTTCCTGGAGCCCAGCTCCACTTCGGCCACCACACTGTGGTCAGGAGCTGGGAGGTGACCAGAGGGCAGAGGGAGGGGCATGTAGGTATTTCAGGAACGGGACAACTTTGTGCAGGTACTGGACTCTATGCCCACAGATGTGCGTAAAGAAGATAGGTGGGCAGCCCCTCCTCCAACAAGAGAGGAGCGGGGTCCAGGTGGGGTGGGAGGCAGGTGAGCAGCTGACCCTCAAATCTAGTCCTGCGCCATTTGGAAGGAGGATTTGGGGAGAAATCTCCCCAGGGCAGCATGGAGACCTGGACCATTGGGGTTTGCTCCATCCCCACTAAGGCCCTTGGGAGGAGCTTAGATATCAGGACTGGGACCCTGGGAGCCCAGCGCTCCCAGGAGGAGCCCATGGCCAGAGAGGGCAAGTCCTGGATGCACAAGGAGATGGCGCAGAGCTGTGGCCATACCAAACCCAGCGTGCTTGGCTGTCTAGGACAGGAACAGTGGCCCTGTGTAGAACCCAGCCTGGTCTCCCCAATTCTCACCACAGACTCCAGGATGACAGAGAGGAGAGGGCTGAGCGAGAGAGGAGAAAATGGAGAGGAAGGACGGGTCAGAAAAGGGAAGACAGCCCTGAGAGGCGGGAGCTAGACAGGGGGTCCAAGGTGTGAGGGGCCAGGAGGCACATGGAGGGGAGCTGAGCCCAGGCGGGGAGGGTAGGGATGAAGCAAACCCAGACACAGGATGTCAGAGGCAAGCGGCATTCTTCCTCCCTGGCTAGCCCCTCCTCCACCCTGCCCACTGGGAATGTGCGGAATGTGATGAGCCGGTAGGATCAGGACTCCCACTCCACCTGGCACAGTGCGCGGCGGGGCGCTATGCCATCCCCACGTATCACAGGGGGGTTTCTTGGGGGTGGGGTGGAGAGATTTCAATGGACATTACCCTAATATAGAAACTGTGTGGAAGGTCTTGGGGAGGGGTGCCACTCCTGTGGGCCAGATGCCAGGGCTGTGGGCATGATCAGATGCTTTCCTGTTGAGCTGCTGTGAGTCAGAAGGCACGGGGCCTGGGTTGGTAGTTGGGGTGGGGGGCAGTGTCCCCAGTTGCCAGGGAAGCTGGGGCAGCAGGAGAGGGGAGGAGGGAAGCAATACAGAGTGGCAGCTGACACTCTCCTGGAGGACTGGGCACTGCAGCTGCTGGCCAAGGAAGTCCTCTGGGGGCCCCAAAAAATGACTCCACCCCTGCTGGATTTAGAGTCCCATGGAGCAAACTGGGGCTCCTATGGTCCTCACTGCAGCGGGTCCAGGGGCTCCACCAATTCAACGCAGGGCAGTCTCGAGGCGCGTGGGCACGCTCTGTGTCCTGCAGCATCCACGCCTGCCCCGCCCTCCCATAGATGCTCGTGGCCCTCCTCTTTGCACAGCTGCATTCACTCCCCTTCCTTGAGTGATGCAGCCCACCTTTGTTGAGGCTTGCTCTGTGGCAGGCACTGTGCAAGGTCCTGGGGCTTCAACAGTGAATCAGCTGAGGTCCCTGCCCTCCTGGGGCTATGCGTCATGTGGGGCCTGAGCCAACAGCCAAGACATGGATGCTTCTGGCTGAACGCTGGCCTCACAGCCGGAAGCAGGGGAGGGGCAGGAGCAAGGCTTGAGGAAAGCAGAAGGGATCCGGTGACCCTGAGGCCCCGGGACCCAGTCCTGTTCCAGGGATCCACTTTCTGCCCTGGAGAGGTACACGTCTGAGAAACGCTGCAGAACACAGCAGAGGGAAGGGAGAAGGGGGGCAGAGGGGTGGACTCGCGGTTTGAGGTTGAGCCTGGTTGGAGGAAGAACAGAGACGGAGAAAACCTCAGCCCCAGGGACCACTGTGCGGCTACACCTGAGCCCCACTGCGGGCGGCCTGAGCCCAGCATGGGAGGCCAGCCAAACCTCTCTCAGGGCCCACTGCCCGCTGGCTCCGCGGCAGAACGGAGGGCAGGGGGCGCTAGCCCGAGTGGCTGCCGTGGGATCCGATCCAGGCAGGCCCCGCCAGCTGCAGGACTGACCCACAGGTACCTGGCCGCCATGGCCCACTCTGGTCCCGGCACCCCCGCGGGGCTGCTGAGCAGGGAGGGCCGTGTGAGGTGCCCACAACAGCCACCTCTTCTGGGCCAGTTTTGGTTCCTCCTCACACTTAGCACAATGCCTGCTGGCACAAATGAGTCAAAAATGCTTGGGGGGAATCAAAGCTATGAATGAATGACGATTGAATAAATAAATGATGGATGGATAAACAAATCCATCAACCAACCAGTTATCGGAGTTCCAGCAGCCAATCCTTCAGAAATGGGCATGCTTGCCACCTGGTGGCGACTGCGCTAACTGCAGCCATGGTCAGGGCCAGCATCACCGGTCACCACACAGCAGAAGCCTGGGCTGCCACCACCAAGGCAGATCCCGGGGTCACCCTGTTCCTCCTCCTGCCTCTCAGCCATGCTGCCTTATTTTCCAGCACACTTAAGCAATTTTCTGTTATGTTTGAAAACCCTCTTAGGTAAGAGATTCCTTCCTCGCCTGTGCCCTTTGGAAACTCCTACGTATGCCCTGACCTTTGTTTTCGTCTGGTTCTCTTTTGTCCTCCAGGCAGAAAGAGCATGAGCGCCTCCTTCCCCTCACCCGGACAGGAAGGTCAGCCTGGCAAGAGTCAGGCCCTGGACCGGACAGGCAGGAATTCTGTCTGTCCTTCCCTGTCTCTTCCCCGACTTCTAAATATGTTAAGTCGGTTGGTTTGTCTCAGGGTGGGTCCTTCACTCCTGCTTCTGAATTCGTGTGAAGACACTTGGCCTGCTGGCTCCAGGCAGTCCCCATGGGCACCCAGGGCCCAGAGCCACACTCTGCCATTTAGAGCAGGACAGCAGTGAGGATCCACCACGGCCAGCAGTGAACACAACAGCTCTAATACAGGGAAATACCCTGGCCTGGAGACAGGAGACAGCATTATGTGGCTTTGGACAGGTCACAGGCCCCCTCTAGGCCTCAGTTCCCCCATCTGTGTAACCGGGGGTAACTCTGGTTCTGGCATTCCGTGGCTCTGCCTCTCCATGCCTGGCTGATGTCCACAGTGTTTCTTCCCTCCTTTTCACAGGTCCGGGCTTCATAGCTGCCCTCACTCCCCCTTGTCCTGCTCTCTAGCCCCAGGGCCAGCTGTAAAACACATGGTGGCTTTCAGGCATCCCTTTACTTTGTGTCCCTGTAAGGGGGGATCCCAGGTGTGGTGAGATCACTGGTTGCCTATCCCTGACATCCATTCCCCCTTCCTTGTTAGTTATAGAACCCCACTTTCATGTGGGGCAGCGGGAGCCTCGGGGTCCTCAAAGGGGAAGCCCATGATTGATCACAGACCCATCTCCATGTGACTCTTTCTCCCCTGCTCTATTTGAGGACCCTGTGGCCCAGTCTGGTTGACACATAAAATTTAAGCATCACAGCTGGGTGTGGTGGCTCATACCTGTAATCCCAAGCACTTTGGGTGGCTGAGGCAGGTGGATCACTTGAGGTCACGAGTTTGAGACCAGCTTGGCCAACACAGTGAAATCCCGTTTCTACTAAAATTACAAAAAATTAGCTGGGAGTGGTGGTGCGCACCTGTAATCCCAGCACTTTGGGAGGTCGAGGCAGGAGGATTGCTTGAGCCCAGGAGTTCATGACCAGCTTTGGCAACATAGCAAGATCCTGTCCCGAAAAAAGATACATATATATATATCTAAATTTTCTCTCTCTATATATATTTCTTTCTCTCTATATATTCTCTCTCTCTCCATATATATATATATATATATATATATATATATATATACACACACACACACACACACACGTATATATATATATATATACATATATACACACACGGGGCATCTAGCTACAGCCTTGGTTACCAGGAAGACAGTGGGTACTTGTTAGAGTTAGCTGCTGTGATGAACTCTCTCTCTATATATGTGTGTGTGTGTGTATACATACATGTATACAGGTACACACACATACATATATGCATGCATGTATGCATGCGTGCGTGCATGCTGCATGCATGCGTGCGTGCATGCTGCATGTATGCGTGCGTGCATGCATGCATGCAGCATGTATGCATGCAGCATGTATGCATGTATGCATGCATGCATGTTGCATGCATGGATGCATGGATGCATGTATGGATGCACGTGTACATGTATGGATGCATGTATGCATGCACGTGTACATGTATGTATACATGTATGGATGCATGTGTGGATGTATGTATGCATGTATGTATACATGCATGGATGCGCACATACATGTATGTATACATGTTGCGTGTATGCATGTATACATGTGTGGATGCATGCATGGATGCATGCATACATGTGTGGATGCATGCATGGATGCATGGGCACATGTATGTATGTATGTATGCACGCATATATGTAAATGCATGTATGTATACACGCATAAATGCATACACATACATGCATACATGCGTGCACACATACATGAAGACATGCAGACATGCATCCATGCATGCATACATGTATGCATACATATATGTGTACATGGATAATGCATACATACATGCATACACACATCCATACATTGTACATATGTGTGCACACATGCATGCATACGTGCACACATGCATACATGCATTCATATACATACGTGCATACATGCATGCATACATGTATGCATGTGCACACACATACATATGTGTATATATACATATGTGTGTATACATGCATGCACGCATGTATCCACATACACATACATGTATGTATGCATGTACGCATGTATACATGTGTGCATGCATTCACATGCATGCGTGCATACATGCATGTGTGTATGCATACATGTATGTATAATGCATGCGTGTTTACACATGCATACATGTGTGTATACATAGATGTATGTATACACATATACATACATGTATATGCATACATATGTGTACATACATGCATGCATACACATATGCGTACATGTATGCATGCATGCATGCATGTAAATGCATGTATGTATGCACACATGCATATGTATATGTGCATGCATACATACATGTATATGCACACATGTGTATGTATGCATACATGTGTGTATATGCGCATACACATGTGTGTATGCAAACATGTATGGGTACATGTATGCATGTGTGGGTACATACATGTACATATGCCCTACATACATATATGCATGCATGCGTGTTTGCATGTGTATACATACATGTACATATGCATGTGTGCATGTGTGTATACATACATGTATGTGTGCATGTGTGTATACATACATGTATGTGTGCATGTGTGTATACACATAGGTGTGTATATATGTATATGTTATATATGTATATACACATATATGTATACATATATACACATATATACATACATATGTATAGAGTTCATCACAGCAAGACAAGTATATGTATACATACACTTATATATACTTATATGTATACATATATACACATATATACATATACACATATATGTGTATACATGTACACGTATATGTGTATACATGTACACATATGTGTTTATACACACATGCATACATGCATACATACGTGTGTATTCATACATGCACACATACACGTGTGTATACACACATGCACTCATGCGTGCGTACATGTATGTACACACATGCACGCATGCATGTATGTATACATACATGTGCATGCACATATGCATACATGTATGCATACATACATATGTGTGTATGTATGCATATATGCACATATACATATACAGGTATGTATGCGTGTATGCATATATGTATATACATGTATGCATGTATGCATGCATATGTGCGTGTGTGTACATACATGCACTATGCATGTATGCATGCATGTGTGCATACACATATATGTGTGTGTATACATATATACGTGTATATGTATACATATATGTGTATATGTAGACATACCTATATGTGTATATATGTATACATATATGTATATATACGTGTATATATACATATACTTGTCAGAGTTAGTTGCTGTGATGAACTCTATATATACGAATGTACATATGTGTTATATATGTATATATACATATGTAACAATTGTGTATATATACATATATAACACATACATATATAGATACACACACACATATATAGAGAGAGAGATAGAGACAGAGAGAGAGAGAGTTCACAGCAACTAATTCTGACAAGTACCCACCATCTTCCTGGGAACCAAGGCTGTAGATAGATGCCCCAGGCATTAGCCAGGGAAGGAACCAGGAGGGCCGAGTCTCGAGGGGAAAGGCCTCAGGGAACCCAGGGAAAGGCAGAAGAGACAGGGGCTGACAAAGGAATGAAAGCATGCAGAAAAATGTGCTTTCCAACTGTTCAGCTGAGGAAGTGCTATTCATAGTAAATATCTGCCTGTCACTGGCTTGCCCATAGTGCTGGTCATCATGTGAGTGTGAGAGTGATGGAGAATCCAGGCGGCTGGGCTGGAGGAGGTCAGGGAAAAGTGGCTAACTTATTGTCCGCAAGGAGCTCTGAGTCTGAAAAGGGAGACATGACAAGGACAATGCTCTGGGAATGGGGGGTTGAGGGTGGGCAGGAAGTAAGATTGGAGGGTGGGAGAAAGGGCCAGGGGGCTAGGCTGAGAAGGGGACAGAAGACAGGAGCAGGTCTCGTTGGGGAGGAAGGTGGGGGCCGGAAGTTATTCCCAAGTGCTGCAGGAAGTTCATTCCTGTAGCTCAAAGGTCAGCAAACTACAATCCACAAGCTAAATCCAGCTTTTGTAAACAAAATTGTATTTATGTACTGTCTATGGCTGCTTTCTTGTTGAGACAGAGATCACATGGCCTGCAAAGTCTAAAATAATTTCTATCTGGCCTTTTACAAAGTTTGTTAATCTCTGCTGTAGCTGGTCTGTTGATCCATTCATTGAACAATTGATAGCACATACTAGGTGCCAGGCCCGGAGTAACCTTGGCTGCAGTCATGGAGATAAGGGATGTCATCCCTGCCCTCTTGGCCCTTACACTCCAGAGGGAGAGACTGGTAGGTAGGGGTCACCTGTCTAACCACAGGAACTTTACCACATAAGTCAAATTATTGTTGAGTATAACAGTGGGCACACAATCCAATGCACCACTGAAAAGATGAATGAATGAATGAATGAATGAATGAATGAATGAAATGTGGGAAAAGGCAGAGAAGAGAAAAGCACAGAGGGCCGCAGGAGCCCAGAGGCAGGGCTCTCAGTGTGAGGGGCTGGGTTGTGTATTATGGGGGGCCTCTTGGTAGTAAGGCTGGTCTCCCAGGACAAAAGGGAATTAGCCACCTGAAGAAAGGGATCAGACAGGGAGGCATGTGCTCCCAGGGAAATGCAAGGCTTGTGGAAGGGCTGGAGCCCCAAAGCTGGGCAGAACTATGGGACTGGAGGCTGCAGAGCTGACGTGCTGCTGGTTTGGGCTTGAGTGTGTAGTTAATGGGAGGCACCAAGGGGCTTCAGGCTGGACCCTTGTATCGCTGCTCTAGGGGAGCGGATTCTGGCACAGGATGCCTGCGTGCCATTGGGGGAGAGAGGGCTGAGGCCTGGGGCAGGGCGGTGCAGGACAGTGCAGGGCAGTGGAATGAAGAGGATGGGGGTGGAGGGAAGATTTGAAAGGTATATGGAAGGCAGGACCAATGATACCTGGGCATTGACCAATTGTGGAGGATGAGAGTGTAGTTGGTTGAATGAACAATAGAGCTGTCACTGAGAAAGGGAACAGTGCAGGAGGAGAATAGGGTGAAGACAGCAAGTTCAATTTCCCACGCGTGGAGTTCGAGCCACCTGTGGGACATTCAATTTAGAGTCCTGAAGATGGCAGGACTCACAGCTCTGGACTCAAAGGAAAGGTCTGTGCTGAGCTACAGATGTGAAGGCTGTGCACATCTGCAGATTGTGCAAGGAACATGTGAACCGGGAGCTGAGAACAAGAAACAAAAAGAGGAACCCAAGGATATCTTGGGGCACTTGTCAAGCGTCTGGCTGAGGACAGGGTGCTGAGGACACAGCGGGAGCCAGATGCTGTCCCTGTCCTTGAGAGCTTACTGTGCAGTCAGCAAGCGAGGCACATCAATAGATCATTTCCATAGAATACAGTAAGTGAGACAATGGATGCGTGTTTGTGTGGCTCCAGGAATTTGGCCAAAAATGGTTTAGCAGAAAGCACTTTGGCTCCCTGCCGAAGGGGAAATGGACAGCCTGTCTTCCCTCTTCTGAGAAGGGGGCCTCAGTTTCCCAGTAGAGAACCGCTTCTCCAGTATCTGAAAGGGTGTGAGGGGGCTCCTCCCCCCAGCCACCATCTCGCGCTGGAAGCAATGATCCCACATGATCCAGGCTCTGCCACTCCCTTTGGAGACGGCAAGTAGTTTGGGGACAGGTGTGTGACTCAAAGGCACCCAATGAGACTCTATCTCAAGCCTGTGCCTGGGACAGAAGTGCTTTCATTGCTAGGCTTGCTGGGTGAGGATAATACAAGCACAGGCTGGGAGGGGAACAAAGGGCCCAGAGAGACAATGTGGACCTGGTGACACTGTTTGAGCTCTTCAAAGTGAGTTCTACCCTGGTGCTGGCTGGCAGAGGTGGTGAGTCCCCTCACCCTCTGGTGACCAACTTTTTGGAGAGCCAGGTGGGACACAGCTATACCAGAAAAAACATAAAAAGCATAATATTATATGTCATATATACACATTTTATAACTTTAATGTAAAAATATGAAAATAGGTGTTTATTTGAAATTCTATGTTGTTCTCTATTATTTACTTTTCTAATCCATAAATGCTGTTATTTAAGCCAAACAACAATAGGACAAGTTAAAAGTGGCAATTAGTACTAATTAACAGTGGGGCAATTAAACAAATGATATGTGTGAATAAACACTACTTTTATAAAGTCTCTTTCTGTCCATTTATTTTAACTTTTTTTTTTTTGAGATGGAGTCTTGCTCTGTCACCCAGGCTGGAGTGCAGTGGCATGATCTCAACTCACTGCAACCTCCGCCTCCAGGGTTCAAGAGATTCTCCTGCCCCAGCCTCCCGAGTAGCTAGGACTACAGGTGCCTGCCATCATGTCTGGCTAATTTTTGTATTTTTGTAGAGATGGGGTTTCACCATGTTGGCCAGGCTGGTCTTGAACTCCTGACCTCAGGTGATCTGCCCTCCTTGGCCTCCTGAAGTGCTGGGATTACAGGCATGAGCCACTGCACCGGCCTTATTTTAACTGTTTTTTAAAACTCTTTACTAGGTATTTAAATTCTATAGTCTATACTACTGTGTATTCTTTTTTATTTTGAGACCAAGTCTTACTCTGTCGCCAGGCTGGAGTGCCACTAGTGGTGCGATCTCAGCTCACTGCAACCTCCGCCTCCCCAGTTCAAGCAATTCTCCTGCCTGAGCCTCTCGAGTAGCTGGGACTACAGGTGCGCGCCACCACGCCCAGCTAATATTTGTATTTTTAGTATAGACGGGGTTTCACCATGTTGGCCAGGTTGGTCTCGATCTCTTGACCTTGTCATCCCCCTGCCTTGGCCTCCCAAAGTGCTGGGATTACAGGCATGAGCCACTGTGCCCGGCCATTACTGTGTATTCTTAAGATACATACATGAAATATTTTGTAAAAGGAGAACACAAATATAATAGGACTAATTAAACAGATATTACCTATATTTAACTTTTTTAAAACAGCAATGACATGTTTTGTTTTGTTTTGAGACAGGGTCTTGCTCCGTTGCCCAGGCAGAAGTGCTGTGGCATGATCACGGCTCACTGCAGCCCCTACCTCCCAGACTCAAGTAATCCTTCCACTTCAGCCATCTGAGTACCTGGGACTACAGGCATGGGCCACAACCCCCAGCTAATTTTTTGGATGTTTAGTAGAGATGAGGTCTCATTATATTGCCTAGGCTGATCTTGAACTGCTGGGCTCAAGCAATCCTCCTGCCTTGGCCTCCCAAAGTGCTGGGATTACAGTGAGCCACTGCGCCTGGTCAGTGACATGTTTCTTTGTGTCCCATGTCATAGTAAGATCATATGACTCTTCCTGTTTTCTATTCTGGTAACACTCCTCCTAACTGCCTGCAGCCTTTGGGACATGTTTTATTTCTTTTAGATAGTGGGAAACTGTAGACAATCAAATGTAAGATCCACTTAGACCTGCAGTTCTGCCATTGTCAAGCCTGTATTACACTGATTCCTCTTGTCATTCCAATGTGATGATATCAAACTCAATATCCTCTCAACAAAAACATTTGAGCCTGGAATACTTAGAATTTTATACTAACTAGCCACAGCAGGTGTTTAGGCTTGTAGAAATCAGTTTATAGCTCTTCAAAAATGTCCATCTAGTTTTGTTTTTTTTTTAATGGAGTCTTGCTCTATTACCCAGGCTGGAGTGCAGTGGCATGATCTCAGCCCGCTGCAACCTCTACCTCCCAGGTTCAAGCAATTCTCCTGCCTCAGCCTCCCAAGTAGCTAGGACTATAGGCGTGCACCACCATGCCCAGCTAATTTTTGTATTTTTAGTAGAGATGGGGTTTCACCATGTTGGCCAGTCTGGTCTCGAACTCCTGACCTCAGGTGATCCACCTGCCTCAGCCTCCCAAAGTTCTGGGATTACAGGAGTGAGGCACCGTGCCTGGACTAAAAATGTCCATCTACTTTGTGTCTACAGGCTTGTTTTGGTGGAGCAGCAATGTGTTTATCAATCAGGCCCTTTGCATCTTATATCCATAAGATATAAATCTATCTTATAGACTATCAATGTCTAAAATGTCTGTCATTTTTAAATGCTTGGAAGTACCTTGGATATCATCAGAAGTTTAACTCTTCTTTCTAAGGGAAAATGCTTTTAAAGCCCAGAAATAATTCAAACTTGTGAAATCAAAGTTGGATTCAAAATAACTTATAGTTTTAGTAAAGAAATTAAGGAAATTCTATTTAATTTGGCTGTTTTTCGGGTGGCTCTTTTTTTTTTTTTAACTCTGAAGCAGTCTTATTTCCAAAATATAAGTCACTTTATTTTACTGTATGAATATTCTGTCACAACCTACACATGGCATGGAACATGTCTGATGCAGTCAGTTCATCCTTAGGGCCTCTTCACAGATCATCAGATGGTTTTGGAGAAAGAACTTATTTCTGTGTTACTGTAATCCCTTTCTCCATTCTCATCCTTAATCCTTAATGTATTTCCAAATTAGAAAAGAACACTCTTTTTATCTCGCCCTTTCAGAATGTGATTTAACATCAGGTCAAGATTTTAACTTCTTTGCTATGAATAGCAACAATGAGAAGCATTTTGGAGGCACATGTCTAAGCTATCTCCTTCCATTTATATAAAGTAAAAAATGTAGCCAGGCACGGTGGCTCACACCTGTAATCCCAGCACTCTGGGAGGCCAAGGCAGGCGGATCACCTGAGGTCAGGAGTTCAAGACCAGCCTGGTCAACATGGTGAAACCCCATCTCTACTAAAAATACAAAAATTAGCCCGGCATGGTGGCAGGCACCTGTAATCCCAGTTACTCCGGAGGCCAAGGCAGGAGAATTGCTTGAACCCAGGAGGCAGAGGTTGCAGTGAGCCGAGATCTCACCACTGCACTCCAGCCTGGGCCACAGAGCGAGACTCCATCTCAATAATAATAATAATAAAGTAAAAACTTTTTATAAATTGCTTCTGCACATTTTGGAGAAACTGAAAAGTGACCTCAAACTTCCATCATGAGGCCGGGCATGGTGGGTCACGCCTATAATCCCAGCACTTTGGGAGGCTGAGGTGGACAGATCACCTGAGGTCAGGAGTTTGAGGCCAGCCTGGCCAACATGATGAAACCCCTTCTCTACTAAAAGTACAAAAATTACCCGGGCATGGTGGCATGCGCCTGTAATCTCAGCTACTCGGGAGGCTGAGGCAGGAGAATCACTTGAACCTGGGAGGCGGAGGTTGCAGTGAGCCGAGACCGTACCACCGCACTCCAGCCTGGGCAATGGAGGGAGACTGTCTCAAAAAACAAACAGACAAAAAAAAAAAAAAAAACTTCCATTATGAAAGCCTCAATATCATAGGTCAGTAAATCATCCCTCTTTTCATGGTATTGTGTACAGGTGTGCAGGATTTAGCAGATGAGATCTTTTTTATTTTTTGGTAAGAAGCTTATAGACTGAATGATATTTGCTAGACTTTATGTTTGCCCTGTCTGCTGACTATGAAAGATGAGATGCACCAGGTTTGGTTTGTATTTGGATAAGATATTGACAATCTTTTGTCTTATGTTTTTCTGTGAATTTCTTAGAAAATCTTCATAGACAGTAAGATGAACAGTTAAATTTTTGTTTGTTTGTTTTTGAGATGGAGTCTTGCTCTGTCGCCCAGGCTAGAGTGCAATGACTCAATCTCGGCTCACTGAAACCTCCGCCTCCTGGGTTCAAGCAGTTCTCCTGCGTCAGCCTCCCGAGTAGCTGGGATTACAGGCGCCCGCCATCATGCCAGGCTAATTTTTGTGTGTGGAGACAAGGTCTTGATATGTTGCTCAGGCTGGTCTCAAACTTCTGGGCTCAAGTAATGATCTTCCCACGTCAGCCTCCCAAAGCGCTGGGATTACAGGCATGAGGCACCACACCCAGCCAAAACTCCATTTTTCAAATTAAAGTACCTGAGAGCAGAGGGGATCATTTTTGGTGTTGTTGCTGTGATTGGATGGATTGCCTGATGTGCTGTGGAAAGCATGACGGACCTCTTTCGCTCCTACAGGATATTTCAGTTGCAACCTTGGCATCAGGAAACTGAGTAACTTTACTCAGTCTCAGAGCAATCAAGGGAACAAATGATAAGTCCTGTTCATTTGCGTGGCATGCCCAAGCTGCAAAGCAGGTCCACTGTGCACTGGTTACCACTTCAGCTCATTGTATCCTGGGACTAGACTTTTACCAATGACCCAAGTCCTGTGAAACAGAACATTCACATACACAAGTTACTGAAGCAGGTTTATTATTTACAGATAGGCAGCAAGGGACAGCAGAAGCATAAAATTCATTTGGAGCTGGTCTTTGATATGTTTGGATATTTATCCCCTCTAAATCTCATGTTGAAATGTGATTCCCAGTGTTGGAGGTGGGGCCTGGTGGGAGGTAATTGGATCATGGAGGTGGATCCCTCTTGAAGGGCTTCATGAGTTCAATGAGTTCTCACTCTGGTCATTCACATGAGATCTGATTATTTAAAGAGCTTAGCACCTCCCTCCTCTCTCTCTTGCTGTCACCATGGGACATGCCTGCTCCTTCTTCACCTTCCACCATGACTGTAAGTTTCCTGAGGCCCTCACCAGAAGCAGGTGCTGACACCACACTTCCTGTACAGCCTGCAGAATCATGAGCCAATTAAGCCTCTTTTCTTTATAAATTATCCAGCCTCAGGTATTTCTTTTTTTTTTTTTTTTAGACAGAGTCTTGCTCTGTCACCCAGGCTGGAGTGCAGTGGCACAATCTTTGCTCACTGCAAGCTCCACCTCCCAGGTTCACGCCATTCTCCTGCCTCAGCCTCCCAAGTAGCTGGGACTACATGTGCCCATCACCATGCCCGGCTAATTTTTTCTATTTTTTAGTAGAGACAGGGTTTCACCGTGTTAGCCAGGATGGTCGCGATCTCCTGACCTTGTGATCCGCCCACCTCGGCCTCCCAAAGTGCTGGGATTACAGGTGTGAGCCACCGCGCCCAGCAGGTATTTCTTTACAGCAATGCAAAAATGGGCTAACAGAAAATTGGCACTAAGGAGTAGGGTGTTACTATAAAGGTACCTGAAAATGTGGAAGTGGCTTTGGAACTGGGTAATGGGCAGAGGTTGGAAGAGTTTGGAGGGCTCAGAAGATGACAGCAAGATGAAGGCAAGTTTAAAACTTCTTAGAGACTTGTTAAGTGGTTGTGACCCAAATGCTGATAAACATATGAACAGCAAAAGCCAGGCTGACAAAGTCTTGGAAATGAGGAAGTCGTTGGGAACTAGCGTAAAGATCACCCATGTTATGCCTTAGCAAAGAACTTGGCTGTATTTTGTCCAGGCCCTAGGGATCTGTGGAAGATTGAACCTAAGAGCAATGACCTAGGGTATCTGGTGGAAGAAACTTCTAAGCAGCAAAGCATTCAGGAAGTGGCATGACTTCTTATAATAGCCTATGATCATATATGGGAGCAATGAAATGACTTAAAGTTGGAGCTTATATTTAAAAGGGAAACAGAGTGTAAGTCTGGAAAAATTGCACCTTGGCCACGTGGCAGAGAAAGGGAAAGTTCAGGAGAGGAATACAAGTAGACTGTGGAGCAACCACTTGCTGGAGAGATTAGCATGACTAAAAGGAGTCAAGTGCTAATATCCAAGACAACAGGGAAAAGACCTTGAAAGCATTTCAGAGACCTTGGAGATAGCACATTTATTACAGAGCCAGAGGCCTAGGAGGAAAAAATGGTTTCAGGGGCCAGGCCCAGGGTCCCACTTCTCCCCACATTCTGACTGCTCCAGCTCCAGCTGTGGCTAAGAGGGCCCCAGGTGCAGCTTGGGCCACTACTCTGTAAGGCACAAGCTGTAAACCTTGGTGGTTTCCATATGATGGTAAGCCTGTAGATACTCAGAATGTAAGCATGAGGGAGGCTTGGTGGTTTCCACCTACATTTCAAGGATGTATGGAAAAGCTTGGGTGCCCAGACAGAAGCTTGCTGCAGGGGCAGAGCCCCCTCAGAGAAACTCCACTAGGGCAATGCTGAGGAGAAATCTGGGGTTGCAGCCCCACAGAGTCCCCACCAGGGCATTGCCTAGTGGAGCTGTGGGAAGGGGACCATCACCTTCCAGACCCCAGAATGGTAGATTCACCAGCAGCTTGCACCCTCTGCCTGGAAAAGCTGCAAGCACTCAACTCCAACCCATGACAGCAGTCATGTGGGCTGCACCCTGCAAAGCCACATGGGCAGGTCTGTCCAAGGCTTTAGGAGTCCACCCCTCACACCAGGATGTAGGACATGAAGTCAAGGATTATGTTGGAGCTTTAAAATTTAATGTCTGCCCTCTGGGTTTCAGACTTGCATGGGGCCTATTACCCCTTTCTTTTGGCCAATTTCTCCCTTTTGGTATGGGACTGTTTACCCAATGCCTGCCATTGTGTCTTGGAAGTAAATAACTTGCTTTTGATTTTACAGGCTCATAGGTGAAAGGAACTTGGGCATGAGTCTCAGATGAGACTTTGGACTTTGGATTTTGGACTTGATGTTGGAACAAGTTAAGACTTTGGGGGACTGTTGGGAAGAGATGATTGTATTTTCATACACTCATGGGGGTGGATCCCTCATGAATTGTGTCATCCCCACGGTAATGAGTGAGTTCTCACTCAAGTTAGTTTATGCAAGATCTAGTTGTTTAAAGGGCCTGGCACCCCCCACCCACCCACAGACTTGCTCCCACTCTCACCATGTAATTCATCTGCTCCCCCTTTGCCTTCCACCATGATTGCAAGCTTCCTGAGTCCCTCACCAGAAGCAAATGCTGGCACCATGCTTCCTGCACAGCCTGCAGAACAATGAACCAATTAAACCTCTTTTCTTTATAAATTACCCAATCTCAGGTATTACTTTATAGTAGCACAAAAGCTGCCTAATGGCTGGGTGCAGTGGCTCACCCCTATAATCTCAGCACTTTGGGAGGCCAAGATGGGCAGATCACGAGGTCAGGAGATTGAGACCATCCTGGCTAACATGGTGAAACCCCATCTCTACTAAAAATACAAAAAAAAAAAAAAATTAGCCAGGCATGGTGGCGGGCACCTGTAGTCCCAGTTACTTGGGAGGCTGAGGCAGGAGAATAGCATGAACCCAGGAGGTGGAGCTTGCAGTGAGCCGAGATTGTGCCACTGCACTCTAGCCTGGGTGACTGAGCGAGACTCCATCTCAAAAAAACAGAAAGCTGCCTAACACAGTCTTCCAAAACTCAGGAAATCTCCATATGGTGGCTAGAATCTCATCTCTGCATGCCTCACTTGCACCATAGTAGAGGGACCTGGAAACCAGCCCACCCTGGGTTTTATACTCTGGAGATATGGTACTTGCTGAGCCAAAGCATTGAAGGTCACCTTGTTTTGAGGGGGAACTGGAACAGAACCTGAACTGTCCCAGCCAATTCTTCCTTATCTCAGGATATTACTCTCCCAGTACATTCTACACAGTTATTCTTGAGTACTACAAGTAAGAAAGAAGGGAAAATCAATTCTGTCCAAGGCCACCTGGAGAACTGTCCTGAATAAGCCAATTCAGCAGATGCCATTTCTGACCAAGGATTGGTGTCTTTTTGGAAAATAAAAAATCTTTTTATTGATGTAGAAGTACTTGCCCGTCTTATCCTGGACTTGTGAGATTTAGTTTTCATGTGTGCTTTCATATGCCCAACTTCACTGTGCCCAAGCCCAGATTCTTCTCTGCATATTGTGGAATTCTGTTTTGGTTCTTTACGTCCCCAATTCAATGTATGTGTCCTTCCATCTTTCGTGAAGATAATACAGTCATTTAGCATTTTTCCCCAGTGATGTTATTGGTATTATATTGTGCGGTAATCATTGGCATTGGTATTATAATAATTCTTGTTTTCATTATCTGAACTCTAGAAAACATGGTCACAACATTCACAGTGTTAAAAGTTAAATTAGCATTATCTCAATCCATAGGCAAAATCTCAATCCAAAGGCAGACTGCTAAAGCCCCCGATTACAACCCACTTAAGTTGTACACTTAAGTCGCATCCCTCAGAAAATTGCAATAATGACAATCCATTATTGTAAATGAAATATCCCAGTTGACATCTGCAGTCCTGTATCTTTTGTTAGCTTAACACCTAAATATTTCTCTCTTTTTTAAAGCAATGTAAATAGTATTGTGTTTCTAACTTGAGTTTTTCTATGTTCATTGCCCATATATAGAAGTACGATTAATTTTTATATGTTGATCTTATATCCTTTGACCTTGCTAAATTCACGTATTAGTCATAGAAGGTATTTTTTTGTATATTCCGTGGGATTTTCTTTGTAGAAAACCGTGTCATCTGCAAATAGAAATAGCAGTGGTGAAGTGCACATCTTTGCCTTGTTTCTGATCTTAGGGATGAGGTATTCAGTCTTTTACCATTAAGTATGATGTTACCTATAAGTATTCTGTAGATACACTTATCAAGTTGAGGAAATTCCCCTCTACTCCTGGTTTTGTGGGAATTTTCAAAATGAATGGGTGTTAAGTGTTTGTCAAATACTTTTTCTGCTTCAATTTATATGACCATGTGATTTTTTTTCTTCGTTAACCTGCTAATACAGTGGACTACACTGATTAATTTCCAAATATTGAACCATCTTTACATTCCTGGAATAAATCCCACCTGGTCATGGTATAATACTGAATTCTATTTGCTAATAATTTGTTAAGATTTTTTTCACATCTATACTCATCAGGGATAGGTGTATAATCGCTCTTTTTAAGTTTTGTGGTTTTACATTCACTATTCATAAGCCAATATCCACCCCCCTCACCTTTAGATAAATAGTAGCATGCCATACACACGTTTCTACACCTTGATTTTTTTCACTTAACAATATATCATGAGCCAGGTGTGGTGGCTCACATCTGTAATCCCAGCACTTTGGGAGGACAAGGCACGGAAAATTGCTTGAGCCCAGGAGTTTGAGACCAGCCTGGGAAACATAGGGAAACTCTGTCCCTACAAAAATAACAATAATAATAATAATTATTATTATTATTATTTATTTATGAGATGGAGTCTCGCTCTGTCGCCAGGCTGGAGTGCAGTGGCACAATCTCGGCTCACTGCAACCTCCACCTCCTGGGTTCAAGCTATTCTCCTGCCTCAGCCTCCCAAGTAAGTAGCTGAGACTACAGACACACACCACCATGCCCAGCTAATTTTTGTATTTTTAGTAGAGATGGGGTTTCTCCATGTTGGCCAGGATGGTCTTGATTTCCTGACCTCGTGATCTGGCCACGTTGGCCTCCCAAATTGCTGGGATTACAGGCATGCACCCGGCCAAAAAAATATTTTTTTAATAGCTGGGCATGGTGGCTCATGCTTGTAGTCCACTTACTTGAGAGGCTGAGGTGGGAGGATCTCTTGAGCCTGGGGAGTCAAGGCTATAGTGAGCTGTGATTGTGCCACTGCACTCCAGCCTGGGTGACAGAGCGAGACCCTGTCTCAACAAAACAAAGCAAAGCAAAACAAACAAACAAACTAAAACAATATATCTTGAACAGAGTGAACTTTAAAAACATATCAGGGATGACATTATGGAAAATAGCAGAGTAGGAAGCTCCAAGAATTGGTCTATTTACTGAAGCAACTGACAGAATCAAGTTTTTGGATCTCTAGAATCTAATAAAAAAAAAAAACTATAGTAACCAAAGGAGTGTGGAATGAAGAAAGAGACTGCTAAATAAAGTGGCATTTAAGGTCAGGCCATTAACTGATGACTGAGATAATAGAAAACACTTCAGTGACCACACATGACAAGAAATGCAGTATTTACAAAGCTAGTTTGGAAAAGCCAATAAACAAATTGATGACTGCAGCCTGCAGTAAGCAACAACAGCAAATGGGGTGCAGAATCTGATTTCAGAGTTACAATCTTATAATATTCAGTATGTCTAGTTTTCAAGAAAATAATTACAAGGCATACGAAAAAACAAGAAAGGCAATTTATAGAAAAGAGAAAAAGAAATCAATAGAAACCATCCCATAGAAGTGCAGACATTGGACTTATTAGACAAAAACTTTAAGTTAACTGTTTTAAATATACTCAAAGAGCTAAAGGAAACCAAGAGAATAATGTCTAAACAAACAGAGAATATCAATAAAGAGACAGAATTTATATTTAAAAAAAGAAACCAAATAGAAGTTCTAGAGCTGAAAAGTACAATCGCTGAAATGAAAAACTTACAAGAGGTGTTCCTCAGCAGATTTAAACAGGCAGAATAAAGAATTAGCAAAACTGCCAGGTGCGGTGGCTCATGCCTGTAATCCCAGCCGAGGCAGGTGGATCATGAGGTCAGCAGTTTGAGACCAGCCTGACCAATATGGTGAGACCCCCATCTCTACAGAAAATACAAAAATTAGCCAGGCGTGGTGGCATGCACCTGCAATCCCAGCTACTCAGGAGGCTGAGGCAGGAGAATCACTTGAACCCAGGAGGCGGAGGTTGCAGTGAGCTGAGATCATGCCACTGCACTCCAGCCTGGGCAACAGAGCGAGACACCATCTCAAAAAAAAAAAAAAAAGAAAGAAACAAAGAAACAAAGGAAAAGAATTAGCAAACCTGAAAATAGTCCATTGGAATTATTCAGCCTGAAGGACAGAAAGAAACCAGAACTCAAAAAAGAGGGAGCCAGACAGGCACAGTGGCTCACACCTATAATCCCAGCACTTTGGGAGGCTGAGGCAGGTGGATCACAAGGTCAAGAGATTAAGACCATCCTGGCCAACATAGTGAAACCCTGTCTCTACTGAAAATACAAAAATTAGCTGGGCGTGGTGGCATGTGCCTGTAGTCCCAGCTATTTGGGAGGCTGAGGCAGGAGAATCGCTTGAACCCAGGAGGCGGAGGTTGCAGTGAGCCAAGATTGTGCCACTGCACTCCAGCCTGGTGACAGAGTGAGACTCCATCTTGGGGAAAAAAAAAAAAAAAACAGAGGGAGCCTAAGAGACCTGTGGAACACAATCACGCATGTCAACATATACGTTTTGGTAGTCCCAGATAGAGAAGAGGCATGGGAAGAATGAATATTTGAAGAAATAATGGCCAAAACCTTTCCAAATTTGATGAAAGATATGAATCTACACATCCAAGAAGTTCAATGAACTGTACATAGGATAAACTCAGAGATCCACAATGTGACACATTCAAATAAAATACAAGTCAGACCATGTCCACTTCTCTGCTCAAAATTCTGCAATAATTACTCATCTCACTTTAAGAAAAACTCAAAGTCTTACAATATGCTTTGAGGCCCTTTATGATCCCCCAACCCCTGCCACATTGCCTTTCTGACCCCCCTCTCCTGGCACACTCCCTCATTCTTTCTGCTCTCTCTCTTTCTATGCTGGCCTCCTTGCTGTTCTTCAAACTCACCAGGTATGCTCCCACCTCAGACCCTTTGCACCAGTTCTCCCCTCTGTCTGGAACACTGTCCCTCACACATCTTCATGGCTCACTCTTTCACTTCTTTCAGGTCTTTGCTCACAGTCCATCTTCTCAATGAAGACTCTCATAACTGCCCTTCCAATACCCAATCCTCCTCATTCTGTCCTACTTTTTTCTTTTGTTCCAGAGTTCTTATTACTTTCTAATGCAATATATAATTGACTTCTTTATCACGAATATTGTTTTTTGTCTGTACTACCTACAAGCTCCATGAGGTCAGGGATCTTTTTTTGTTCATTGCTGAATGCCAAGAGCTTAGAACATTGGCTGGCATATGACAAACACTCAATGAATACTTGCTGAATAATTTAATTAGTGTGTATTTTCTTGGTTTTTATGTGTTCTTGCAAAATATGTACATGTATTTTATGTAAACATAATACATTTTTCATTTATTCATTCGAATGCAATATCATTCTTACATTTCTCCTTCAGAACTATATTTCTAAAATCTATCCATGTTTCTATGTTTTGTATTTTGTTACTGTGGTGAAGTACTCCATGGAGTATGTCTACCACATTTTACCTCTCCATACTCCAAGAATGGACGTTCTCCCTGCTACCATGAGTAACATACAATGAACATTTTCATACATGTTCCTTGGTGATCTGTGTGAGGGTTCTACCAGGAGCAAGACTGCTGGATCATGAGGTATGTATGTATCAGAGAGTTCAGAAACAGATGCACATTTCAGCCAACATGACACTAATAAGTTTTTGAATTTTTACCAATCTTACAGTTGTAAAGGGCTACCTCATGGGTGTTTTAATGTACATTTCTCTGATTACTAGTGAATCTGAGCATCTTTTCCTATATACACAGGGGTATATAGGTAACATCCTGAAAATTGCATGTTTGAATCTTTTGTCCTTTAATTAGGTTGCTATCTTTTTCCTTATTAAATTGCAAGAGTTTATACATAGTCTGAATTTTTCTACATATTCTTCTGTTTATTTTAGATATTGTGAACCTCTTTTCTCATTCTGTATACATCTATTCATTTTGTCTATGGTGTCCTTATTTGAATTGAAACTCTTAATGTTAACATAAAATTTTTCAATTTTTTATCTTTAGAGATTGAAGACACTCCCTACCCTAGATTACAAAGACAGGACACTGCATTTTCTTCTATTTTATACTTTCACCCTTTTTTTTTTTTTCTGAGATGGATTTTAGCTCTTGTTGCCCAGGCTGGAGTGCAATGGTGCGATCTCAGCTCACTGCAAACTCTGCCTCCTGGGTTCAAGTGATTCTCCCACCTCAGCTTCCCAAGTAGCTGGGATTATAGGCACGTACCACCACACCCAGCTTATTTTTGTATTTTTAGTAGAAATGGGGTTTCACCATGTTGGCCAGGCTAGTCTTAAACTCCTGACCTCAAGTGATCTGCCCACCTCAGCCTCCCAAAGGGCTGGGATTACAGGCATGAATCACCATGCCTGGCCTTTTTACCTTTCAGATTTAGAACTTTCATTCATCTGGAGTCCACCTTTGTATATCGTATTAGGTAAGGATCTAAACTTTGTTTTCTTTCTTTCTTCTTCTTTTTTGTTTTCGTTTTTGAGACAGAGTCTCGCTCTGTTGCCCAGGCTGGCGTGCAGTGGTGTGATCTCGGCTCACTGCAACCTCTGCCTTCCAGCTTCAAGCAATTCTCTTCCCTCAGCCACCCAAGTAACTGGGTGGCAGATGTGAGCCACCACGCATGGCTAATTTTTGTATTTTTAGTAGAGATGGGGTTTCACCATGTTGGCCAGGCTGATCTTGGACTCCTGGCCTCAAGTGATCTGCCCACCTCAGCCTCCCAAAAGGCTGGGATTATAGGCATGAGCCACCACTCCCAGCCTGAATTTTGTTTTCTCTGAGTATCTATTAAACAATCTATCCTCTCTCCCATTGATTTGCAGTACACCCTGGGTCTGTGGCTGAACCCTTGATTATATGCTATTACTCTATTCGTTCTTAAACCAATCATTATTACCATGCCTTATGGTATGTCTTAATATCTGCTAAGTCCTCCCTCTTTACTCCTTGTTAAGATTGTCTTCGATATTTATTAATATTTACTTTTTCAAATAGATTTTAGAATCATTTTTTAAAGTTGACTGCAAAACCAAAATAATTTTTACAAAGTCCCTCTATAGATCAGTTTTGGGGCAATTGACATCTGAACAATATTGAGTCATTTGTCCTACTTTCTACACTTATTCAGGTGTTAATCTCTCAGAATTTTTTTTGTAGTGTTCAGAGGACAAGGTTTATACATGTTTTAAGCTTATCCCCTTGTGTATTCTGTTTTTTGTTTGTTTGTTTGAGATGGAGTCTCGCTCTGTCGCCCAGGCTGGAGTGCAGTGGCATGATCTCGGTTCACTGCAACCTCCGCCTCCCGGGTTCATGCCATTCTCCTGCCTCAGCCTCCAGAGTACCTGGGACTACAGGCGCCCGCTACCACACCCGGCTAATTTTTTGTATATTCAGTAGAGACGGGGTTTCACCTTGTTGGCCAGGATGGTCTTGATCTCTTGACCTCGTGATCCACTCGCCTCGGCCTCCCAAAATGCTGGGATTACAGACATGAGCCACCGCACCCGGCCCTGTTTTTATTCTAAGTAGTATTTTCTTTTATCTTCAATTTCCTTTTTTTTTTTTTTTGCTAGTCTATTGAAATATATAATATCTGACCAAGTGTCCTGTGACCTTGATAAACTCACTTATTAGTTCAGTAGATTTTTTATAGATTACACATCCAATCATGTTGTTTGTAAATAAAGACAATTTTCCTTCTTCCTTTGCAATCTGTAAGCCTTTTACTTCTTTTTCTTGCCTTATTGTACTGACTAGAACCACAGCATAATAGAAATGGTCAGAGTGAACATTCTTGCTTCAGACCTGATGTTAAGGGTAAAGTTTTCAATTACCATTATTATGCTAGCTATAGTTTTATATTATTATATAACATTATTATATATTATATAATATTTTATATATTATAGCAGATTATGTAACACTGTTAGCTATACTTTTTAAAAACATATCCCTTATCAGATTGAGAAAGTTTCCTTTTATTCCCAGTTGTTAGAGTTTTTATCATGAATGGGTGTTGAGTTTCATCACACCCTTTTTCTGCATCTATTGAGATTATCATATAACTTTCTCCTTTATTCTGTTAATATGATGAATTATATTGATTGATGTTCAAATGTTAAATCAATCTTTTTTTTTTTTTTGAGACGGACTTCTGCTCTTGTTGCCCAGTGCAATGGCACCATCTTGGCTCACTGCAGCCTCCACCTCCTGGGTTCAAGAAATCCTCCTGCCTCAGCCTCCCGAGTAGCTGGGATTATAGGTGCCCACCACCACGCCTGGCTAATTTTTTTGTATTTTAGTAGAGATGGGGTTTTGCCATGTTGGTCAGGCTGGTCTTGAACTTCTGGCCTCAGGGGATCCGCCTGCCTTGGCCTCCCAAAGTGCTGGGATTATAGGCATGAGCCACCATGCCCAGCCAAAATCAATCTTACATTCCTGGGAATGTAATGGTAATGGTGTGCCATCTCTTTTCTATATTGCTGCATTACTTTTTGTATATTTCTGGATTCAATTTGCTAATGTTTTGTTAAGAATTTATTTATTTATTTTATTTTCATTATTTTTATTTTTTTTTTAATTTTTAGAGACAGGGTCTTGCTATGTTGCCTAAGCTGGATATGAACTCTTAGGCTCAAGGGACCTTCCCACCTCAGCCTCCTGAGTAGCTGGGACAATAGGCACGCCACCATACCTGGCTGTTGCTAAGGACTCTGCATCTGTGTTCATGAAGACATTGGTTTGGAGCTTTCATTTCTTGTAATGTATTTGTCTGGTTTTGGTATCAAGGTCATGCTTGCATTAAATTAGCTGAAAAGTTGCCAGCCTCTTCTATTTTCCAAAACAGAAGATAAATTTGGAACCATTTCTTCTTTGAATGTTTGACAGAAGTCACCAATGGAGCCATTTACACCTAGATTTTCCTTTATGGGAAAGTTTTAAATTACAAATTTAATGTGATAGACATAGAGTTATCCAGGTTTTCTATTTCTTGTGTTCTTTTTTTTTTTTTTTTTTTTGAGATGGAGTTTCACTCTTACTGCCCAGGCTGGAGTGCAATGGCACGATCTCGGCTCATTGCAACCTCTGCCTCCCAGGTTCAAGCAATTCTCCTGCCTCAGCCTCCTGAGTAGCTGGGATTACAGGCGTGCACTGCTAATTTTTTTGTATTTTTTTAGTAGAGACGGTGTTTCATTATGTTGGTCAGGCTGGTTTCGAACTCCTGACCTTGTGATCTGCCCGCCTCGGCCTCCCAAAGTGCTGGGATTACAGGCGTTAGCCACCACACCCGGCCTCTTCTTGTGTTCTTTATACAACCCCAGGGCCTGGCCTCATAGACATTCAATTTCCCCATTAAGCGTAGGGTTTTTGTGGGTGTTTGGTAAGTGCTTCTACCATTTCATCAAATTCCCTCCATTCCTACTTTGCTAGTCTCAAAATTTAGTTAATTAAGTCTCAATGTATAGATATTTAACTTTACCAAGTGCCTTTTAAAAAGCCAAAAGGGGCTGGACACAGTGGTACACCTCTATAATACTGGCACTTTGGGAGGCTGAGGCAGAAAGATTGTTTGAGGACAGGAGTACAAGACCAGCCTGGGCAACAGAGCAGGACCCTGTCTCTACACACACACACACACACACACACACACACACACACACAAATTAGCCAGGTATGGTGGTGCGTGCCTGTAGTCCCAGCTACCCAGGAGGCTGAGGTGGGAGGATTGCTTGAGCCTGGAAGGTTCGAGGCTGCAGTGAGCTATGACTACACTACTGTACTCCAGCCTCGGTGACACAGTGACACCCTGTTCCATAAACAAACAGCTAAAAGAAATTTCCTGAAAGGATTTCCATGGTGCATGCATTCAGTGTGTGGCTGGTGAAACAGGCTTGGGAATAAGCAGGAGGCAGGACAGCCTGGGGTGCATGATGTCATGGCTCATGGAAAGTCCCATCAAGACACCACCACTGAATGGGTAGCTTCCATCTTTCTAAAATCTCTTTGCCTCATTTTTTTTTCAAGTTAAGAGACTATTTTTTATTATTTATTAATTTATTTATTTTGAGACAGAGTCTGGCTCTGTCGCCCAGGCTGGAGTGTAGTGGTGCGATCTCAGCTCCCTGCAAGCTCCGCCTCCCGGGTTCACGCCATTCTCCTGCCTCAGCCTCCTGAGTAGCTGGGACTACAGACGCCTGCCACCACACCTGGCTAATTTTTTGTATTTTTTTAGTAGAGACAGGGTTTCACCGTGTTAGCCAGGATGGTCTTGATCTCCTGACCTCGTGATCCGCCTGCCTCGGCCTCCCAAAGTGCTGGGATTACAGGTGTGAGCCACTGCGCCCAGCCAAGAGACTATTTTTTAGAACACTTTAAGGTTCACAGAAAAATTGAACAGATAGTACAGAGTTTCCATCTACCCTCTTGCCTCACCGGACACAGTATCTCTTATTATTAACATCCTACATTAGTGTGATACATTTGTTACAACTGATGACTCAATATTGATACATAATTATTATTAATTAAGGCTGGACATGGTGGCTCAGGCTGGTAATTCCAGCACTTTGGGAGGCTAAGGCAGGTGCATCGCTTGAGGATAGGAGTTTGAGACCAGCCTGGCCAATATAGTGAAACCCCATCTCTACTAAAAATACAAAAATTAGCCAGGCATGGTGGTGCACAACTGCAATCCCAGCTACTTGGGAGGCTGAGGCAGGAGAATCGCTTGAGCTCGGGAGATGGAGGTTGCAGTGAGCCAAGATCCCACTACTGCACTCCAGCCTGGGCAACAGAGTGAGACTCCATCTCAGGAAAAAAAAAAAAAAAAAAAAGGCTTTTTTCCTTTGTCAAAGATCAATTCACTGTATTTGTGTAGGTCTACTTCTGGGCTCTTGATTCTATTCCATCGATCTATTTCACTATTCTTTCACCAATACCACATTGTCTTTTTATTTTATTTTATTTTATTTTATTTTATTTTATTTTATTTTATTTTATTTTATTTTATTTTATTTTGTTAGAGATGGGGTTTCACCATGTTGCCCAGACTGGTCTTGAACTCCTGAGCTCGAGTGATCCTCCCATTTTGGCCTCCCAAAGTGCTAGGATTACAAGCATGAGCCATCGCGCCTGGCCCAACATTATGTCGGTCAGTGTCAGTCCTCAGACTGTTTTTCTTCTTCTTCAGTATTGTGTTGGCTACTTCGAGTCTTTTGCCTTTACCTATACATTTTAGAATCCATTTGTAAATATCCACAAAAGAACTTTCTGAGATTTTGATTGGGACTGCATTGAATGGATAGATCAACTTGGAAGGAACTGACATTTTAACAATCTTCCTCTCCATGAATCCATGAGTCTCTCTCCATTTATTTAGATTTTTATTTGTCTCATCAGAGTTTTATGTACTCATATAGATCTTGTACATATTTTGTTAATCCTCCTACCTTACCCTCCTGAGTAGCTAAAACTACAGGTGTATGCCATCACACCTAGCTAATTTTTTTTACTTTTCGTAGAGATAGGGTTTCACTATGTTGACCAGGCTGGTCTCGAACTTCTGGGCTCAAGCAATTCTCTTGCCTCTGCCTCCCAAAGTGCTGAGATTACAGGCATGAGCCACTGCACCTTGCCAGAATTTTCTACATAGATATCATGTTATCTGTGAACAAAGGCAATACATTTCTTCCCTCTCAATCTCTCTCTCTCTCTCTCCCTCTGTGTGTGTGCGTGCGTGCGCATACACACATTTTTTTTTCTTTTGAGACAGGATCTCACTCTGTCACCAAGGCAGGCATGCAGTGGTGTGATCATGGCTCACTGTAGCCTCAAACTCCTGGGCTCTAGCCATCCTTCCACCTCAGCCTCCTGAGTAGCTGGGGACTGCCCCTGTCTAATTTTTTTCATTTCCTTTTTTGTAGAGATGGGATCTTACTGTGTTGCTCAGGCTGGTCTCTAACTCCTGGGCTCAAGCAGTCCTCCTACCTCAGCCTCCCAAAGTGCTGGGATCACAGGTGTGAGCCACCACAGCCAGCTAATTTTTGTTTTTTGTTTTGTTTTGTTTTGTTTTGTAGAGATGCAGTTCTGCCATGTTCTTGGCCTCCCAAGTACAATTCTTTTTACTCTGAGATGTTTCAAACATATAGAAAAGTACAGAGGGTAGTATAAAAAACACCCACATGGCCAGTGCCTAGCTCCGTCAAATTACCTTCTGACTGCTAAACCTGCAAGCTGAATGCCTGCCCCATAGAGGTTAACAGACTGCCTGGGCTCAAATCCTAAATCCACTTACTTAGCTTCCTGTGCCTCAGTTCCCTCCTCTGTCAAAAGACAGACATGAGAGTGCCCATCTCATAGGGTTGGGAGCAGTGAATGAACTCATATATGTAGATGGCTTCGAGCAGTGCCTGGCACACAGTGAGCACTCAATGAAAGCCAGCTTTTATCAGTTCATCTTCTCTCTTGACTCAACGGAATAGATAATAATCTGCTATAAGGCCAACCCCTTTGGAGAAGTTCCAGATCCTTCCCCTCCCACCTACTCAGGGATGGCACTCGTGATTAACCCTTCTCTACTGGAGGTGATAATTGGCATCTAAACATGCTGCTCCCATTTCAAACACACACCCTCCCAATATGCCAAATACCCTCCAGCTACCGCCCTCTGCCTCCCTCCTCCTTTCACAGCCATCAGGACAGAGTGGCTGGCACGTGTTCTCTTCACTGCCTCGCATCCCACTGGCCCCTCAGCCAGCTGTGAACCGCTTCCAGCTCCCCACTCCCCTTACCCGCTCTTCCTGATATCATCAACCTCCTCCTTGAGACATTGCCCAGTAGGCGCATCTCAGTCCTCACCCCACCCTGACTACAAATCCACAGCAAGATTTGACCTTGCCGACTACTCTCTCCTCCTTGAACCCTCCCCCCAGCTCTCCCCACACCCAATTCAGGGTACACTCTCTCTGCACTGCTTCCCACCTCCCTCTGACCCCTCTCTCACAGGTGCTGCCTGGACCTTTGCCCCGTGTTCTCTCCCTCCTTTCCTGGACCATCTCACCCATGCCAATGGCTCCACTTACCGCAAGAAGCCAGATACTCACAATTTACATCTCCAATCCCAGCTTCTTTACTGATTTTTCAGATCCATGTTGCTAACTATGGCTAGGACTGCTCTTCCTAGATGTCTCAAAGACACTCAAACTCAGCATGATCACACTTAAGCTGATGGCACAACCACTTTGGAGAACTGCTTGGCAGCCTCTTCTAAAGCCAAACATGTGCCCACCTGGTGGCACACAATTCCACCCATAGGTACCCAACAACAGCATAGATGCAGGCACCAAAAGACATGTACAAGAATGCTCATAGCAGCACTGCTCATGATAGTCCCAAACTGGAAACTACCCAAATGCCCATCAACAGTAGAAGAGAAAAATAGATAACGATATATTCATATGAGAAAATATCCACATTACAGCAATGAAAATGAACAATCTATAAATATAGCCAACAATATGGATAAATCTCACAACATAATGTTGAGCAAAAGAAGCCAAACATAAAAGAATACAGCCCTCCCTTGTTCGTGGGAGATTGGTTCTAAGACCTTCCTCGGATACCAAAATCTGTGGATGCTCAAGTCCCTGATATAAAATGGAGTAGTATTTGCAGATAACCTATGCACATCTTCCCATATATTTTAAATTATCTCTAGATTACTTGTAATACCAAATAAAATGTAATTGTTATTTAAGTAATTATTATGCTATATTATTTAGGGAATAATGACAAGAAAAAAAGTCTATATGTGTCCAAGCACAGATGCAATTATTTTGCTGAATAATTTCGATCCAAGGTTGGATGAATCCATGGATGCACAGCCCATGGATATGGAAGAGGGCTGACTGTATATACTATACACTTCCGTTTATATAAAAGTAAAAAACATGCAAACCTGATCTGCGGTGCTAGGAGCAGAGACAGTGTTTACTCTCAGGGAGTAGGAACTGGAAGGGAGAGTGAGGGGGCTTCTGAGGGTTGGATATTGCTTCCTCAATACCTGCTGCTCAGCCTGGGTGCTGGTTGCACAGCTATGTTTGATTGATGCAAAGCCTTTAATTAGGACTTGTGCACTTTTCTGCAGGTATGTTAGATTCCAGTGGGGGGAAAAAACGGACACATTCTTTTCCTCATCAAGCGTCTCCTCTTGCTGGTGTTCTCTTTATTTCGAGAACGGCCCCAACTTTCCACCCAGTTGCCCAAATCAGAAGCTCAGGGGTCATTCCCCCCCTTCCCTTCTCCCTGCCATTCATACCCAGTCCATTCCCCAGCCCTGTCCCTCTGACCTCCTCAATGGCTCTCAAATCCACCCACTGCTCTCCACTTCTACCCACTTCTCTTCTCTCTGGCATTGGCCACACTGCCTCTGCCTTAACCCAGACTTGATTCCCTTTGCTTGAGCTTCTGCAGTAGTCTCATATCTGGGCCCCTCGCCCTCAGTCTTATCACTTCTGATTCGTCTCCACACAGCTGCCAGAGGGATCCTTCTAGAATGAAAACCCAATCATGATCCTCCCCTGGTTAAAATCTTTCAGTGGTTCCCTGTAGCTTCTAAGTAAAGCCCATTCTCCTGCTTCAGGCTTCCAACTGCTCTGAGTCCTGGGTCCCTGCTTCACCTTTAGTACCCCCCAACCACCCCCACAAATACTGTGCTTCACCCTTGAGAGACAAGAGTCCTAGAGTCTACAATCACGGAGCATCAGAGTTTGGATGGCCCACAGAGGCCATCTAAGAACCCACTTTTTGATTTACATATGAGAAAACCCAAGGGAAAGCGCCCCTGGCTGGACAAAGGTGGGTGGAGGAGGGGGAGGTGGCACTTTCCAAGGGCCGGGAAGCCTCTCCTTTCCCTCATCCCTGTTTTTCCAAGCCAAGTCCCACACATCCTTCACTTCTTATTTCAGATATCCTCCTGCCCCCTGAAGGGTTCAGGCCCCCTTAGGCTGGCACGGCGGCAAGTGCTGCCCCATCACAGCACACATCACATGATGGCGAAGCTGTCGTTAAGTGTCCGCACCCCCTGCTGGAACGTGGGCTCCATCGAGAGGGGCCTGGTCTGTCTTGTTCATCACTACATCCCCAGCACCTAGCATGGGATCAGATACATAGCAGAGACTCAGCAAAGATCTGTTGAATGAACGAAGGACTCTGGAAGTAAGTCCAGGCTGCAAAATGCTGGAAGCTTGGGGTGTATCTCCAAGGGAGTTAGTGAGAAGGTCGAGGAGTTCGCCCGTGAGAGACGAGAGTCCTAGAATTTACAATCACGGAGCATCCGAGCTTGGACGGACCTCAGAGGTCATCTAAGAATCCAGTTTTTTATTTACAAATGAGAAAACCAAGGGAAAGAGCCACTGGCTGTTCAAAGGGGGTGAGAGGAGGGAGAGGTGGCAGCCAAAGAGTAACACAAGGTGATGATGAAAAGTGAATATTTAGTGCCAATAGGGCTCCTCAAGTAAGTAAATTCCTTCTGGGCACGATGGCCCTGCCCCTGCAGGTGACCCACTTCCGGGTCTTCCCAGTGGAGCTAAGCAGGCTCTTTCTTACAATCACCACTAGATGGCGCCACTCCCCAAGGCAATGGAGAAAGCAGGGTCAGCCCACCAGTGCTCGGTCCTCCCTGAGGCCTCTCTCTGAGCCCCACTGCTGTGCCAGTGCCCAGGTGGCATGATGCCTGGGTTCCAGGGAATAGCTTGCTTCAACAGGGTACCTTTTCTCAGTGCTAGAGACAGGGTGGGCAATGGACTGTGACCTTGGCATTGGCTGGCACTGCCCTTTCTCCCTCCTACCAGACTCCCAGAGGCCCCTGACACAGGCCGCCCCACGTCACCCCTCCACCAGAGGCAGGACTCGGCCAGGCTGACACCTGCTCGTCTTGTTGGCCCGGGCAAGGTGGGGTGGGTGGCTGTGGTCCCACTGCATCCTCCGGCTACCTCGCCATCCTAAGCTAACAGGTGCCCGCCCAGCAGTTGGTGGCTCCGGTCCTGCCGGCCTGACGAGACCCTTGGGGCCTTCCCCTACCCTGCAGCCCAGTGCCTGCCCCATGCTTCCCGCTGTCCTGACTCTGCCCAGCATGTCTGAGCCTCAGCCAGGGGTCCACGGGAGCAGTGCCAAGATGATTCAGCCCTTCTTCAGCATTAGGAAGCTTCATTTATTCATTCAACAATGGGTCCTGGGTATCTGGAAGGCAGTGGTGAAGTGGATGGACCCACTCTGGCATCTTGGAGCATGTCATGCAATGGGGGTAGGGGAACATGTGTCAACCTCACAATAGCAAACAATGGTTTAATTGCTTATTTAAGTTCCTACTGTTGCAGTTTCTATGAACTATGAACCATTTCGAGAGCTCTTAGAATTCCAGAGCATAGTGGAGCTTAGAAATTATCCTAGTATAATCCACCACCACTGCCCTTTCAAGATTCCAGGATTCCAGAATTCAGCCTAGGGCTCATTCTCTTTACTCAGGAGCCAAGGCTTGGGGTAGGAGTGAGGAAAGAAGAGTGAGGCTTCTGTGAGGGCCTGAGGAGGGAGGGAGGTAGACTCCCAGCTCTGAGTCGCCTGCCACTTCTTGATCTCGGTTGATGAATGAATGAATGAATGGATGAACCCCTGAGAAGGGCTCGCCCCACGCTGTCTGTTCTCTGAGGCAGCTGCAGTTAGCGAAAACAGAGGGCACAGTCTGCGGGGCGGGGCAGGGGGAGCTCCAAAGCAGGCCCTGAACGCCTCCCCCGCTCCCATCCTGGGAGGGAGCCGGCCCGCCCAGTGCCCTTCCTGCCCCCAACGCCGCAGGCTCTCTTGGCGCCCTCTTGGCAGCAGAACAGAGGGCACCCGGAGCGGGTGGCAACTCGCCCCGCCACGGGCTCGGAGCGGCGGGCGCTGGGCGCTGGGGGGACGCGGAGATAGACAGACAGATAGCGCTCCCCTCGCCCGCCCCCGCCCCCACCTTTCCCACGCGGCGGCCTCCGGGAGTGGCCCAGACCAAGCGGGCACTCACCCCTGCCCCTCAGTCCGCGGACCGTGCCCTCTGTTTCTGCCAACTGCAGCTCTCAAAGCCCTTTGGACTGCCGGAAGCCTGCTGCGCGAGTCTGACTTTGGAAAGGGGCATACAGCCCCCTGTACACTGCTCTGCCAGGCAGGGTCTTCGGAGGAAACCCCTCCCCGAGGCTTGGCCGGGCGCCGGGCTCGGGGAGCTGCAGAGCTCGAAGGAACCACGAGGTGGCGCGCTAGCACTGCGTTCGCCCGGCGAGGCAGGGCGAGTGGACGTGGGGTCGACGGAGCGAGCCGGGCAGGCTGGGAACTGAGATTTGGATTCTCTCCCCCAGAGAAAGGCGAAGGGCAAAATGGGGTGTGGGAGGCAGGGATGAGCTAGACGTTGGGAACAGCTAGCATGACCTAGGGGGCCCAGCTTGGTGGGCTAGACAGGACTAAAAGCTGGGGGTCCCCACAGAGGGGAGCCATTCTTCAGGGCTTTTCTGGTGCAGGAGGAATTCAGTGGAGCAGTACAGCTCCCAGCTACTGGAGATGAGGAAGGTACTAAGCGGTCTAGACACATCTGCCTACAACCACATGTTCACACGCGGATGGCCCTCCACTCATGCTGCCTGCACCCCGCCCCCGACACACTCCTGCATGCATGTACCTCTGTGGATACTGTGGAACACATGAAATCCTCACATCACACACCCCAAATACACTCGTCCCATGCACCCAGTCCCCAAAAGTGTCCCAATTCCCCAGTGCTGTCCCATGATACACAAAATCTGCCCTCAGACTTACTGAAGCACACAGTCACAGAGCCAGCCTGTGTCCACCCAACCTCGTGGGGACCCCAGGTCCCTTGCTACCTTCAGCAAGACTGGGCCATCTGTGAAACTGCACATACATAGCTTTGGAGATAGTTCTGGTATCACCGGACAGGCTGTACATCCCCAACAACCTCTAAATCCACACAGGTCTGCTTCCCCTTCTCCAATAGGATCCTCCTAGTGCTAAATTATGTCTTTCATAGGCTCAAGACATTCTTGCCCGGTGGGCACCTTCCTAAATAAAAAGAAAATTTTTTAAATTACGTTTTTGTAATTATGTAATACAAGGATATAATAGCAATGACTGCATTGCTATTAAGATAATATATTAATATCATATATTCAAACATTCTCTTTCACCTAAAAGGTGTTTTCCTTTTCTTCTGATTTTAAGAGAAACCATTTTCAGGGGCTGTGAGTCCTCACCACTTTGGGTACATTTGTGTGCCTGTCATTTGCACAGTGCGTGCACACGTGTGCACACACACACAACCATACCCCACCTTAGACCATCTCTTTCCACAAACACACAATGGGCAAACTCCCCTCCTTGCCCACCTCACCTAAGCCCATCTCTCATCCCCCAGCCAGAGAAACAGACTGACAGATCCTGGGGGCTCCACAGAGCAACCCTTCCCCTCCACCTCCACGCCCCTCCTTCAGAGAACTTATCTGGGCTGGAGCTACAAGAGTAGCGAGGGTGTGTGTGTGTGTGTGTGTGTGTGTGTGTGTTTTGAGTAACAACAAAGACTGGGGAAAAAGAAGAGAGAGGAGGGAGGAGAGAAGGAAAAGGGAGAGAGAGAGAGAGAGGAGAGCATAGGAGCGAGAGAGCAAAAGCGTGTTTTGCCTGGAAGGCAAGACTTGCAGCCAATCAGCGCGTAGGAGCCTCCCTCGGCGACTCCACTATTGAGTCTATAACCGGCTGGCCGGGCGGAGCTGGCAGCATTTGATTGTGGCTTGGGACGCGAGGAGAGGCGCGCAGCGACCGCCTGACGGCAGGCAATGGTGTAAGCGCCTCTCGGCCTCCCCCTCCCCCCAGACGCGGCCGGGTCCTCCCTTCGCCTTCTGGACACACACCCCTGCCTCGTCTCTTCCGCCTCTCTCGCACTCCGGTCCGTTCCTGTCCTCTGCGGAGGCCAGCCCTGGGGAGGTGCAGCGCCCGCCAGGATGAGTGGCTCCTTCGATCGCAAGCTCAGCAGCATCCTCACCGACATCTCCAGCTCCCTTAGCTGCCATGCGGGCTCCAAGGACTCGCCTACCCTGCCCGAGTCTTCTGTCACTGACCTGGGCTACTACAGCGCTCCCCAGCACGATTACTACTCGGGCCAGCCCTATGGCCAGACGGTGAACCCCTACACCTACCACCACCAATTCAATCTCAATGGGCTTGCAGGCACGGGCGCTTACTCGCCCAAGTCGGAATATACCTACGGAGCCTCCTACCGGCAATACGGGGCGTATCGGGAGCAGCCGCTGCCAGCCCAGGACCCAGGTGAGGGCCACGGGGTCGCGAGGACAGTGGGAGACACTGGAAGGTTCCCGAGGGAGGAAAAGGCATGGACTGGAAGCCAAAATCTAGGAAAACTTCTAAGAAAAGTACTGTCTGGAGTTAGAGAAGTTGGCCTAGATGACCCTCAGAGGGACCAGGCGACCTTCCAGCCCCGGGTGTGCAAGCATTTGGGGCGCGATGTGCGCAGTGCGCCGCGGTCCCGGATGAGGATCGGGATGAGCTGAGAGAGGAAGGGGAAGGCTGTGGGTTGTTAGGAAACCTCCGAATCGAGGTGATTTCGTGGGCATTTCAGCAGGCGATCCTCGATCAAGTCGCAGAGGGCTTGGGGGTAGGCGGCAGGGGCTGGAAACTCTAGGGGCCCTCCTTTGGATAAGGGATGGGGAGACTAGGAGTCGTGAGGGGGCAATGAGAAGGACCCACGGAAGTTGCGGGAAAGCGGAGGGAAGCAGCCACCGAGAGGCAGAGAAGCTGAAAAAGGGAAAAGTGAAGGCAGCAAGAGGGAAGTATGGAAAGACAGTGAGAGAAAGGGCAGAAGAAACAAGAAAGGAAGGAGAGAAGGAAGGGGGGAAGAAGGGGGACAGGGAAAGAAAGAAAGTCTGCACTATCCTTGCAACTTTTCTGAAAATCTAAAGAGATTCTAAAATGAAACTTTTTTAAAGGGCGGGGGGCGGACGGGAAGGAGCGAGAGAAACAACCGACGGCGAGATGGGACTGGGAAGGGGGCGGCTAGCAGCCGGGCGGCGAGGAGCCCCGAGGCTGGGAGGCGAGCCGGGAAGGCGTCGTGAGCGAAGCCGAGGCGGTCCTGGCGCAGGCGGCGGCTGGCGCCGGGGACAGTGCTGCGGCGGCCGGGCGCGGAGCTGGGAGCGCCGCGTTGTGGGCCGCGGCCAGTTCTGGCTCTGGGGCCGCGGCTCCCCCCTGGGCCGCGGGCAGCGGAGCGCGCGGCCGGGAATCCCGCGGCGAGTCGGTGGGCGGAAGCGAGGGGCGTCCGGCGGGGCCCTGGAGGGTCGCAGGAGTCGCAGGCCGAGGCTGAACCGCCCCCTCTTCCGCCCGGTGCGTTCCCCGCAGTGTCGGTGAAGGAGGAGCCGGAAGCAGAGGTGCGCATGGTGAATGGGAAGCCCAAGAAGGTCCGAAAGCCGCGTACGATCTACTCCAGCTACCAGCTGGCCGCCCTGCAGCGCCGCTTCCAGAAGGCCCAGTACCTGGCGCTGCCCGAGCGCGCCGAGCTGGCCGCGCAGCTGGGCCTCACGCAGACACAGGTTGGTGTTTGGCTGTCCAGGGCCGCGGGGGCGCGCGGGACCCCGTAGTTCCCCGCGCGCTGCCGAGCCTGGCTGGCCACTGAAGGGCCCTGCGGGCTCCTGGAACTCTTGCCTTTGGGATGGGGGCCTGCGAGGTTCAACTTCGGTGGGAAGGTTCTGCGTTAGCACGTGTACAAGTGAGCATAGTTGTGAACCCGTGCAACTGTGTATGTTCCCCTACTCCAGAATTCCCAGCTCCCAAGTCCCCCAGCAGTGCTAGTCACTTAGTAGGAGTCCACATCGTGTTTTCCCTCCAGGCTAGGCATGTGTGCAGACTGTCTGTGTGCATGTATAGGCGAGTGTGTTTGCACACATGCTGTGTGGGTCTGCATGCACCGGAGGATGCTCATGTAAGGAGTGTGATCCTGCCGGGGTCATTGTGCATAACGATGGGGGCATGTGTGTGTGACTGTGCGCCCTGAATGTATATGCGTTCTGAATGCATGTTCAGAAATGTGTGCTTGCATCAAAATACCACATTCCTGCTCAGCACTTGAACGCTCAAGAGAGGCCAAATTCCCTACCTGAAGGAGATGGGGACTCAAAAGTGAGTGCCGCACCCCCACCCTCATCCAGTCCCTAAAGCCCCCAGCAGCCTGTCACTGCTCAGGGGAGGAGCAGTGGATGCCTGGCTCCCTCCAGGTGTTGACAGGCGGGCCTAGGTTGTGGCTGTGGCTGCGTGGGGCCCCATCCGCCGGGAATCTGGGTCACCTGGTGAGGAGCTGATTCATTGTTTGTACCAGTCATGGGGTGGGGAGTGGCAGGGGGAGGGGGAGATACCCCAGGGGAAATTTGGGGAATCATGGCTCACCTGCTCCTGAGTCCCCAGGTCACCCCCATTATCCAGCCCGAGCCCAGGAGAACTTCTCCACACCTGAGTGTGTGAATGTGGGTGCTCATGTTGTGGGGTGCTTATCTGGGTGTATCTGTGTCTGCGTGTATTTTTATTGTCTGGTGTCTGTGTGTGAGGCTGTGAGTGGGAACGTGGCTGGGTATGGAGATGTGTATGTGGGTGTGTTTGTCTCTGTGTATCTGTGCACCTCTGCTTATGGGTGTCTAATGTGAATGAAATGCTACAAACCGTCCATCTCCCACCTCAACGGCCTTTTATTGAGTGCTTACTACATACCAGGCTGCTTTAAGTTTTTTATATGTCGTACCTTATTTGAGCCTCAGAATGACCCTATGAGGCAGGTAATAGTGCTGTTCTCATCCCCATTTTGCAGACAAGAGGAAGTCAAGAACAAGAGAGGTTAAACAACTTGCCCAAGGTCACGCTTAGTAAGTGACAGAGCAGAATTTGGACCCAGGCAGCTGAACGTTCCTAGCCACAATTCTATCCCAGATCCAAGAAACTGGGAGTCAGGAGGCCTGTTTTTTGCCTGATTCTTATGTGAAATTGGGTTCTGGCCTTTCTTTTTCTTGGCTAGGTTCTTCCCAGGGTTGTTTTAGCATTCTGAGAGGCTAACTAGCTACCCCTTTCTTCTCTGGCCCAGGTGAAAATCTGGTTCCAGAACCGCCGTTCCAAGTTCAAGAAACTCTACAAGAACGGGGAGGTGCCGCTGGAGCACAGTCCCAATAACAGTGATTCCATGGCCTGCAACTCACCACCATCACCCGCCCTCTGGGACACCTCTTCCCACTCCACTCCGGCCCCTGCCCGCAGTCAGCTGCCCCCGCCGCTCCCATACAGTGCCTCCCCCAGCTACCTGGACGACCCCACCAACTCCTGGTATCACGCACAGAACCTGAGTGGACCCCACTTACAGCAGCAGCCGCCTCAGCCAGCCACCCTGCACCATGCCTCTCCCGGGCCCCCGCCCAACCCTGGGGCTGTGTACTGAGCACCCATCTGGCCTGCACCCTTGACAAAGGACCCCAGGACCAGGCAGAAGGCGCCTCCGTCCTAGCCACTCAGGAATCATCGAGGAGCACAGGGAAAAGGAACTCCCTTTCCCCCTCCCTTGCCCCTTCCTCCAGGGACCCAAGCGCTTCCAGATGACAATTGCATGGACCAAGGATGCCCCCTGAACCTCCCTCCCTCTGCCTAGACACTGGGGTACCCCTCCAGATGTGGGGACATTCCACCCCAGTGGGGACAGCCATTCCCCTACCTGCTCCAGGAGCCTGGATTGGCTTTAAATGGCTCATCATCTTCCAGCTTCTTAAACTTAGTGCCTGTTCCCAGACTGGAGACCTTGGGATGGGGGAGAGTGTGGAGGGTTTGCGGGTCCTGCCTGTGCTGGGGCACCTGGCACCGTGGATCTTAAAACTTGCCAGGCCTAGTTCCTCCTGAGCCTCTGGTGGTCTCCCCCTGCTCGAGCGGCCCCTCGGCCAATAAGACAGTGGACATCATGACGAGGACTCCGGGTGGGGACCTGAACTGGTCACCGCCCTGCACTTCTAGCCCTCATTTAAGATTTGAGGGTGAAACCAAAGAAAACCCCCTAAGTGAGGGAATCTTTTAATATTTGTGGCTTTAGAGGAAAGAACTAAAGGAGCCATCTCTCTCCCCTCTCCTCCGTTCCGAGAGGAGGGGTGGGTCTCAGACGTTTTTCCTATGGACTTATTTCTTCCATGTCCAGGACTTTGCACAACTTTGGTTTTAAAAGCTGTTGAAAAATAGGAAAACAAAGGGCATTGTTCACAGATAGGGCCAAGTCTCCCCTTGCAAGGGTGCCTCTGTTCTGTCCCTGCCCCCACCTCACCTTCTCTACTCCTCCAGTAAGTTGGCAGTTTTGGTGCCAAACCCCAAATCTCCAAAGAGACATACCAGGCAAGACAAACCCCCAAACACCTCCTTTCCGGTGGCCTTGGAAACAGATTGCTCCGAGCTGGAGAATGTCGGGTGAGGTGTATGGGAGAGGAGGGGAGAGTTAGAACTTGTGCCTTTGGGAGTAAGGGGTAACTGCCTGGAGGGCTGGTGGCACTGCCCCTCCCTGACCCAGACATCCCACCAAAGCTAACTTTCCCCCACCCCTGATGCAGTAAAACATTGAAAAAAAAAAAAAAGGAGAGGTAGAAGACTGTAGCTATATATATAAATATATAGTAAGTTTTTTTTTTTTAAGAGCAACAGAGAGAAGCAGCCTCCTCCCTGCTGCGGTTTCCTATTTATGTGGCCATGTTCCTCCTGGACGGATCTCCCTGTGTGTTTCAAGCTGAGAGATGTGGGCTCCGGCTGGATTTGGGTTTTGTGGGAGGTGCAGGGGCCAAGAGAGACGTGGTAGGTCTCCAAGAGTCCCACCCGGGGGGGAAGAAGCAAAGCCATCTCCCACCCCCTCCCAGCCTTCTCATTTCTGCTTTCTTACTGGACTCATCTTTATATATAATGTTAATAAAAAAGACGAAAATAACCACTGAGCTCTTTGAACTGGAGGCTGGTGGCAGCTCTTGTGGGGAGGGTCTGAGAGTTGGGGAAGGTGTCCAGTGAGGAGGCACTTCTGCGCTCTGAGGGAGACGGGGCCCCTAGGAAACCACTACTAAGGTGCTGGGCTGGGCCTGGCCCCTGGTGGCAGGTGCTCCTGAAACCATGGCTGTCCCCAATCTGGGCAGGTCTTTGGGGGAGGCTCCCAGCAGCAGCTTCCCTGACTCCACTGCTTGGCAGCTTGGTGCTCAGAATCAGACAGCTCCCTCTGCACCGCCGCCGGGTCACCTCAGGGCTGGTCTTTGATCTGGAGCTCACATGCAGACATGCTTGCACATGTGTGTAACCCCCTGCCTCCATGCCCAGGCACTCCTGGCCCCTCACCCTCCTGTCTGTCCCTTTCAGCTTGGGGTGAGGGTGGGGCCTCAGTCAGGGGGACACGACTGCTCCCTCAGTGGGGAGGGACCTAGCACTGTGATCCAGGCCTGGTGATGGGGGAGGGGTCTGTGTTTAATTCTCAAGGAGGGCTCAGGCCCTGACTCAGAGCCTTTTCCCTGCCGCCACCCTCCTCTTCTAGGTGCCCAACTCCAAGGCTTTGGAGACGGAGAGCTGGAGGTGGCAGAATGAACGGAGGTGTGTGAGAGTGACACATCTTGGCACAGATGGGAGACAGCGTGAATGCATGCACACGCTTGTGAAGCTACCTCTCTCTCACATGCATGCATCAAGACACACAATGACATCTCCCCATCGTCACACACACATGGACTCCCACTTGAGGCAAACCTGTCATCTGCAGACACATCCACAGACGCAAACACACACCTGAGACATGTTGGCATCACACGAGGTACAAAGCCAAAGCCATAATACTCCAAGAGATGCGGGCTGCCAACACAGGTGCACAGCCACACATCACTCAAGTCACCCTAGCATCAGACACACACACACACACACACACACACACACACACACACACACACACACACAGAAGCAGAGCAGCTCCCTGTAATGGAAAAAGTCAGATAGAAAATCAGTAGCATGGCCACGCATGGTGGCTCACGCCTATAATCCTAGCCCTTTGATAGGCCAAGGTGGGCAGGTCATTTCGGCCTAGGAGCTCGAGACTAGCCTGGGCAACAAGGTGAAACCCCGTCTCTACAAAAAACACAAAAATTAGCCGGGTATGGTGGCATGCACCTGTAGTTCCAGCTACTCAGGAGGCGGAGGTGGGAGGATTGCTTAAGCATGAGAGGTTGAGGCTACAGTGAGAAGTGATCACACCACTGCACTCCAGCCTGGGCGACAGAGCAAGACCCTGAAAAAAAAAAAAAAGGAAAGAACGAGAGAAAGAGAAAGAAGAAAACACTACCCAACAGCTGAGGTGACCCAGCTTAGATAGGAACCTCTGTGTCAAGGCCCTCAGTTTCCCCATCTGTCAAATAGGGATAACGATCCCCACCCTGTTGACCTCTGGGGCTGTTTTGAGGCACACAGCCGACTAAGGATGAGGCAGAAGGAGCGGGTCTCAAGCTCACAGAAGGGATTTGTTGGACGCTCACAGCCACACAGATGGGGGGTCCTCCAGCAGGGCTCCAGAGCTGGGGAGACCCAGCCCTCATCCAGTCCCCTCCCTCTCAGAAGGTAGGCTCTTCCCTCCCCCATGCCCACGGGAGGCGGAAGGGAGGAGGGCCTCCAGCCCACGGATGCCAGCCGGGCTGGCAAGGGTTAAGGTGGCAGCTGCCAGGCAGGGCTGAGCTGAGTAGTTTGGTTTGAGGGCTGCGTGCAGGCGGGAGCAGCGAGGCGGCAGCCGGGCAGACTTGCTGGAGACACTGCATTTTATTAGGGCTGGGCTGCCAGCAAAGGGAGGGAGAGAGAAGGAAAGGGCAGAGAGAGAGGAAGGAAGGAGGGAGGCAGGGCGGGCAGTCCGCGGCTCTGGGATGAAAGGATGTTGTAAGCTCCCTAATTCCTCCCTGCTCATCCCGGCTCTGTCAGGCTGGATTAACTGCCCAGGTGACCTCCTGTGGGGGTCAGCCCCACCCCTGACCTCCCCTTCCTCCTCTCCTCTCCTCTAGGCCAGGCAGGTCACCCTCTTCATCAGCCCTGATGGGGGCCCCCCACAAGCACAGGGGCTGGGGGTGGAGGCCCTGGCAGGGTACCAGGGTAAGCCTGCTGAGCCCATCTTCTACCAGGTGCTTCTTGACTACACCCATGGCCTCGTGACAACCTTTGTGAGGCGGGGAAGAAGCAGGGCGGGCTAGGGAACCCCAGCCTGCCCTGAGGGTCACTGTTCTCCAAAACTTAGACACAGCTGGCATTCGCTAAACTCCTACTCCGTGCCAAGCACTTTGCATGTGACCTTCACAACAGCTTGGGAGGTAGGTGGTATAGTGCCCATTTATCAGGTGGGAAAACGGAGGCAAAAGAAATTTAGTCTCTGCTGAGGTCACATAACTCATACTTGCCAATGCTAGAATTTGAACCCTAGGTCTGGAGAATGGGTGCTCTTAGTGGGCTTTTCAGAATCTCTGGGCATCCCAGTGCAGAGTGTCTGAAAGCTGGAGCCACCACAGCCCCACCCACCCCAGCTGGCCAGCCCTCCTCCCTGGGTTCTTCCCTGGGAGGCGAAATGGAGAGGGGAGGGCTGGTCCTGGGAAAGCTTAATGTTGCAGTCAGGAATGTGCATGCTGGAGTCAGCTGACCTGGATTTGAATCCTGCCTCCAGTACTTTATTGGTTGTGTGACCTTGGGCAAGTCACTTAACCTTTCTAAGCCTCAGTTTCCTCATCTGTAGTGTAGGGATAATGCTACCTACCTAGCAGGGTTGTTGAGAGGATTAAATGAGATAATGTGAGTAAAATATTTAACAAGGTCCCCAGCAGATGGTGAGTACTACTCAGTTAATGGAAGCGGCGGCTGCTAATGGTGACCAGGGGGATGGGGCTTGCTCCCCAGCCTGCCTCCTGCCCCATCCATCACTCCACACCCCCAGTTCAGACCCAGCCCACTGGCTGCACTTGCTACATTGGCTGACCCATGCATCTCTAGGTGCACTCATAAAAGGAATAAATCAACCAATTATTTATTGAGCACCTGCTATATCTCAGGCACTGTTCCAGGAGGTGGTCTGACTGATGACCAAAGCCTGGAAAAGGAAGGCACAGACCCTGTGCTAAGAGCTCCAGGGCCAGAAGCAGACCCACTCGGGAGGGGCCTGAAGCTGGGCACACCTGACATAGTCCAGGGAGGACAGGATGGACTGTCAGAGGAAAGGGCAAGGCAGTTGGTGGTGAGTGGGAGGGAAGCCTGGAAAGATTGCATAGAGGAGGAGGCATTTGAAGGAAGCCTTGTAAGAAGATGGAAGCATGATAGGCAAAGATGGGTGGGGGGCGGCTCTGGGAACATATCCCCCCTCTGGGACTTCATGGGGTCAAGAGGAGTGAGGCTTGTGGAGCCTGATCGCAGCTGTCTTATGAATCATGCTGGGGCCAGTGCAGGGAGGGAAACCGCAGACTCAGAGGGTCCCCACATCCTTCCCTGGGTGTCAGGCTAAGAGAAGGGTAAGGGTCTTGCCATTCCCAGACCCTCAGGTTTGCTGGAAGATGCTCCAGCACCTTGAGCTTGGGGTACGGAAGCTCCTGCGCCTCTTTTGGGAGGAGATAGCTTCTGCTTTTCTCACTTGGGGAAGTGGATGAGAAGGATGATCTCTCTTTCCCTAAGGACCCCTCCCTGGAGGGGGTCCCAGATACTAGGGGATCTCAGAGACCCCACCCACTTCAGCCTCCATATGCCACACCCTTCAGGACCACACTACCCCTACCGCTTATTATCTAGTCCAGCAGAGCCACTGGGGTAATGTGAGCAAAGTGGTAAAGATTCTAGACAGCTGGCAAAGACCCTTGACCCTCAGCCTCCCAGCCCCTGACTTCCAAGACCCTAGATGAGGGCTCTAGGTGGCTACGTTGGCTGAATTCCATCAACTAAGCCTGGAGGGGATTGGAAGGGAAGGGGAGAATGGAGGGGGAAGGAGAAGGGGAAGCAGCCAGCACCCTGGCCTCTGTTTTTCCAGCTTTAATTGCAGTGTTAATCACCTTAATAAGCTGTTTACCAACTACCCAACAGCCTGAGACTTGGAGACTTCCAAGCCAAAAAGTGCTTGGAGATGAGTTTCCGAGGCCCCAGGTGGGCAGGAGGATGATGTTGATGGGGCACTAGTGGGGCTGGGGGCAGAGGGAGCAGGTTGGGGGATTGCAGGAGAAGGCTGGGGCCAGGAAGTCAGGGAAGGGCAGCCTCAGTCTCTTCAAAGGGGCCCAGCAACCTCCCCACCAGAAGCCCTTAAGGCCACTTCCTCAGGGAAGCCTTCCCCCATCTCCAACATGGGTCTCCAGCCCTTGCCTTTCTCTTTTGTCACTGGGCTATGCTTGTCACCACTAACTCAGTGACTCTCTGCAGGCTCCATCCTAGCTCTGTGGAGGCAGAGCCTGCATGGCGCCTTCCTTATTGCTTTGTCCCCAGCTCATAGCATGGGCATGAACCACGTGGAGTATTTTTGTTCCCCCTGGGGAGGGTTGCTGGGCTGGAAGGCAAGGGACCTGGAAATGCCTTTTTATACCAAGGTCCCTAGGGGCAAAACTAGGGAAGAATCTGAACTGGGGGCATCAGGAATGAAGTCAGGGACTGGGACATGTTCTCCTGGACACCCCCCACCCCCACCTCATGCCTAGCACAGGCTGGAATAGCAGGATGCTCAGTGAACACATAATGAATGAATAATGACATGAAATGATTGATCTTGGGACCCCTCTCCTAGTCCCTCTCTCAGCATCAGGGGAGGGGCTGTGAAGCTGAGGGGGACATGATAACTGTCCCTCCCCAGGCTGATGGGGGTTAAATGAGATGACAACAGGAAAGCCCAGCATCCAATTGCTTCTCCTGAGCAACTGCAGGAGTTGACAGTGATCGCACTCTCTCTAGGCATTCTAATCTAATCATCAGGAAGCAGGCCCAGAGAGGTTGTGTGACTTGCCCAAGGTCACACAGCAGGTGATTGTTCTTAGTGCTGGGGCTCCTCTCCCTACACGAGGCTACACCTGGACAGGCACTGCTGAGTGGGCTCTCAAACCCTTGCAGAACCAAGAGAGGCCTCTGGATCACAAGCAGGTGGTCCCAGTGATCTGACACCCCTGAATGCTTTTCTTCAATTGGCCTGTTTTGTTGGGGAATCTAGCAGACTTTTTGGGGGTGGGAGAGAGTATGGACCAGGCCTGTTAAGCTCCAGGAGCGTCCTGGGAAGCTCAGAGGCCCAGGAAGCATTGAGGAAGGGCCAGGAGTCTCCTGGCTGCCTCTGCCCAAGATGAGGAGTCAGAGGAGGGGCTTAGGGGTCAGGCAGCCAGGATAGGCACCTTGGAAGGAGACAAACCTGGGGATGGGAACAGTGGGTGGGGCCTCAAGGCCCAAATTCCTGGGTTGTCTCCTGGGGCAAATCAGAGCAGGATTGGAAGTGTCTGCTGAGTCAGCAGGGAACAGAGACTCCACACCCTGGAGGATTAGCTGGAGCAGGGGAGGGGTATCCCCCACCCCAGGCAGTTCACCTCGCACCTGGCAGCAGCGTGTGCTTCCCTGCACACTGAGGGTGCCTGGCCACGTCATGCAATGTGTGTGGCACTGTCCCACACCCACTCCCTAGGTCAGTTAGGCCTGCCCTGAGCTCAGGAACCACTGATGGTGAGTGGGGGAGGATGATGTGCCTTCAGCCAGGGGAGGGTGGGCAACTAAAGAAGTCAGAAGGCCAGAGGGAGCAGAATTGGGGCTGGAAAGGAAGGCAAGCAGAAGAGCAGAGAGTTCCTCCCAAGATCTGGGCAGGGATGGTGCTAACGGAAGACCTACTGTGTGCTAAGCCCTATGCCAGGAGCTTCCACAGGCACTGTCTCATTTCATCCTCACAGCTACCTGCCAAGATCAGTGTCATTATTATCCCATTTTGTTGGTGAGATCAATGAGACTGTGTAACCTCAGGTCAGTCGCTTGTGGTCTCTGAGCCGGACTTTCCCTCATCAATATAATGGAGCTAACCAAATCTCTTTTGCAGGGCAGCTGAGGAAATTAAATGAGATAACACATATAAAGGGCTTAACACAATGATGGGAGCTCAACAAACTGTACTGTCAGGTTTCTGTTTGTTTTGTTTTGTTTTTTGGAGATGGAGTTTCACTCTTGTCACCTGGGCTAGAGTGCAGTCGTGCAATCTTGGTTCACTGCAACCTCCGCCTCCGGGGTTCAAGGGATTCTCATGCCTCAGCTTCCCGAGTAGCTGGGATTACAGGCACCCACCACCATGCCTGGCTAATTTTTGTATTTTTAGTAGAGGTGGGGTTTCACCATGTTGGCTAGACTGGTCTTGAACTCCTGACCTCATGTGATCTGCCCACCTCAGCCTCCCAAAGTGCTGGGATTACAGGTGTGAGCCACCGCGCCGGCCTGTACTGTCCGTTTTAGATTAAATCAGCCATAGGCAGGTAGGACACTCCTCAGCGTCCTCCTCAGTTGGCCCAGGGAGTTCTATGTACCCTCCATGAGTCCAAAGTTGACCCTTTCTTCTCTGTCAGGGGAGATCACCTACAAAATTCCTCCCTCTACTGGAAAAGTGCTTTCTTGATCTCATGACTCAGATAATAGAAGGATGATCACCCAGGAAACCATCATGTGCCTAGAACCAGCAGAAGGGATGATGACAGGGGTTTATATATCTCAGTTACTGATCAGCTAAATATCTGGTCTCCACGTCTATATGCTTACAGATTTTGTTTTGCATTTCCATTTTAAAAGGAATATTTTTCCTTATTTATTGCTATACTAAAGAACAGTTACTGATGTCTTATATTTATCTCATATCTAGCCACCATGCCAAAATTCTCTTAATTCTGGAAGATTTTTTCCTCTGGAGTTTCTTGAGTTTTCTAAGCATGCAATCAAATATCAGTAAAAAGAGATATTTTTGTTGTTATTGTTGTTTTTTCTTTTTTTGAGACGGAGTCTCATTCTGTCGCCCAGGCTGGAGTGCAGTGGCGCAATCTCGGCTCACCACAACCTCTGCCTCCCAGGTTCAAGCGATTCTCCTGCCTCAGCCTCCCAAGTAGCTGGGATTACAGGCACCTGCCACCACACCCGGCTAATTTTTGTATTTTTAGTAGAGATGGGGTTTCACCATGTTGGCCAGGCTGGTCTTGAACTCCTGACCTCAAGTGACCCACCCGCCTTGGCCTCCCAAAGTGCTGGGATTACAGGCGTGAGCCACCGTGCCCAGCCGGAGACAGTTTTATCTCTGCTTTTTTGCGTAGTTGGAGGGAATCTGGGGTTACAGGAGGGGGCAATCTTTCACGAATGAAGAAGTCAGGGGCATTGTCTGCCTCTGCATTAGCTCTGACTGAGGCAGGCACTGTATGGCCTTCCCTCTTCAGTTGTCTTCCCACCTGAGGTGTTCAGAGGGCTGCCCAGGGAGCGCAGTCAGACATCCTCACACTTTAGCCAGTCTCCTGCACAACCTCCTCCACTAGTCACAAAGCAGCTTCTGTCCAGCCCATTACCCACACTACAGGGTGGCTGAAGAAGATAGCCCACACCAGGGCTTTACTGACAGGTGGCTCCAACCCAAAAAGATGCTTGGTGGGAATAGAGACTTCCTTAGACCACTTGGCCATCCTGACACCTGGGAATAGAGACTTCCAAGCAGAGAAGAGCAATAGAGGAACTGGTACTTGGGCAAGATTCCTCGTGGACAGAGAGTGTTTTCCTTGCTTGTCAGTCAGAGATACTAATAATTATGAATCCTTGCTGAATGCTTACTGTATTATTGTGACTTTTTCTTTTTTTTTTTTTTTTGAGATGTAGTCTTGCTCTGTCACCCAGGCTGGAGTGCAGTGGCGTGATCTCGGCTCACTGCAACCTCTGCCTCCTGGGTTCAAGCGATTCTCCTGCCTGAGCAACCCGAGTAGCTGGGATTACAGGCATGCACCACCACACCCGGCTAATTTTTTTTGTATTTTTAGTAGAGATGGGGTTTCACCATGTTGGCCAGGCTGGTCTTGAATTCCTGACCTCAAGTGATCTGCCTGCCTCGGCCTCCCAAAGTGCTGGGATTACAGACGTGAGCCACCGCGCCTGGCTGACTTTTGGGTTTCAACTCATATAGTTCCCACAAAAAACTCTGTGAAGCACATGCTCTCATCTTCATTTTCCAGGTAAGAAAGGTGCGGTACACAGAGGTTAAGAAACTTGCCCAAGGTCATCGAGTTGGACTTGAATCAGGAATCTGGCTCTTTGTTATTTTGTGTTCCTGGGGGTAGAACTATACTATTCTCCATTATATGGTGAACTGGTGGGTCAGAGAAGAAGTTAGGGGATGGAAAGAGAGACACTTCCAGCACCAAGTTGGTCTAGCCAGGGTGAAGGAATAAGCCACCATATCTCCTAGCATACCTGGTATTTTTCACAACTTACTAGGGGTGCACTCTCCTTGTCTCCATGACCTTTGGAGGCATCATTTGATCATTGGCCCTACTGCATAGGTGAAGAAATAAAGACCCAGAGATGTGAAGTGACTTGCCCAAGGCCTCTCGACTGAGTGCCTGCATCTCAGAGTGCAAATCCATGAAGACTTTATAAAGGCTGTATGGAGAAGGAGGTAAATGTTATTCCAAGGGAGCTGGGGGGATAACAATTATTGCTCGGGTAGGGCTGCCAAGGGGCTGGGAGTGGGAGGGATCCAAAGTCAGAGGTGAGTCCCAAGACAGAATTCACGGTTTAGAAAGGTGGGTAGGAGGATTTGAGGCGGTAAGGCAAAGACCTGGGTCACAAGGGGTGGAAGAAGCCTGCATTGGTGGATCCAGCTGATCCCCCTGGGCTTGGGGAATGTGACAGGAGCTGGGTAGAGGCATGTCAGGAGCCTCCTGCAGTCTGGCTTCCCCCAGGATCTGTTGGAGCAAAGAATTCCCGGCGGCTCCAGGGCTGGGAGGAGGAGTTTGCAGCAGGCCCGAGCTTGCAGAGACAGAGAAAGCAGCTCCTGGGTCCAGCCCGAGAGGAGTGGTCTTGTGGCTCTCTGGCAGGCAAGGCAGGCAGTGGAAAGGGCGTGGCCTGGCAAGTACCACGTGGCCCCATCCCCTCTTAGGCCTCTACCCAACCCCATGTGCTGAGCCTCTCCACCCCAAAGAGAGTGGGAGCATCAGGGTTGAGGGAGGGGTGAGCAGGCAGAGGAAGAAGCCAGGGTGCCCAGGAGTCCCCAGTCCAAGAGGGGAGGCCCATGAAGCGCTCTCTGGCAACCCCCAGTCTGAAGAAAGAGTGCAAGTCTTAATGGATCAGGTTAAGGTGCAAACCAGGACAGAGAAGATAATCATGGGGTGGGCTTGTAGGTGGAGGAGATGCCCAGGGAACCTCGTGATCAAAGTGGGATGATCCAGGTGGGTGCTCCAACCTCATGATGTGGGCTCTACGTTACATCAGCTGGAGATGGGGAGGGTGAGAGAATGGGGGCCACAGACCTGAGTGAAGTCTCATGCAGCGGCAAAATGATCTTCTTCAGGCTTAACCCCAAGCAACTAAACTCTGAAAGGAATGGTTCATACAGAGCTGAGAGGAATCTCTTCCACATGCCCTCCACAGAGAGTGGCACCCTCCCCTGGAAATGAAGTCATCTCTCCAGTTTTGGGTCAGAGAGGCTGAAGGCCTGGCACTGTGAGACACTGAATCAGAAAGCTTGATGTTTGGAGGAAGCTTGGGGCCGACTCCTTTCCCCTTCCTGAGCTGGCCAGACATGCCCCCTAGGGTGCCAGTGGGGCTGAGTACCTCAGCATCATCAAACTGGGGGGCTGGGAAGAGCCAGCTGTAGGATGCATCCCATCTGAGGCACAGGGGAGCTCAGTCTGATGGTAGAGGCAGGGTCTGCCTTTACAAAGCCCCAGACTAGAGTGGAGAGTGGTGGTAGACACACATTAGCCCACTCTGGTCCCTGCACCCAGAACTTAGCAAGAGAAATTATCTGAGTTTCAGAGAGGGTATGTAACTTGCCCAAGGTCACACAGCAAGTAGTATCAGATACAGATCTTTGGTTCGCAGAGCTGTGCCTTCCTCACCACTTTGTGATCCCAAGCCCCCTCCTGCTTCCCTGGATTGGAGTCAATGTCGGGAAGTGGGGAAGAGGGATCAGTGGAGACTTCTGAAGGAAAGGCCACTTAAGCCCCCTTAAATAGCCTCTGGGTTCCCGTGGCAGAGCTGGACTCCAAGGACATGTCTGGGAGCCATGAGTTGTACCAGGAAGGGCTGGGGACAGAAGCTTTTCTTGCTAGAGCTTAGGAAAAGAAGTAGGCAAAGCTTCAGGGAACACAAACAATCAAGTCAGAATAAAATTATCGAGTTTCTGTGGCTGTTCAGCCTCTCTCCTCAACCACTCACCAGAGAAATGTTCCCAGAAAATAGATGGAGAGCTGGGAAAGGGAGAGAGAAAGGGAAGGTGGCAGGAGAAGAAAGAGGTAGAGAAAAAGAGACTGCCCCCCCCCGCCTACACACATGTGCTGCTTGCACACAAGGAAGCTAGTCTGTATATTTCTGGACATGCATGTCTGTTTCTGCCTACGGTCAAGTCGCCGGGCATCTCCCTTTTGGTGCTTCGCTGTGTTGTGCTTCTCTCTGTGAGTATATAAGCTGCGAGGGCATCTCTCTGTGTTATGTCCATGTACAACCATGGGAATGCTTCATGTACACATGTGTCTACATGTGGCTCTGCCCACTCCCTGCACCCCATTGTGTGTGTCCGCCTGCCTGTGTGCGTGTCTTCTGTGGGTTCATGTGTGCACATGCGGTGTCTGTGTGCCTAGCTCCCTGGGCCTGCTTGTCTCCAAGCATTTCTTTGGGGCCTTTGTATTGTGAGGTTAGGAGTAGAAGGGCCTTTTATTTCCACCCCCACCACCAATTTTTTTTTTTTTTTTTTGAGACGGAGTCTGGCTCTGTCACCAGGCTGGAGTGCAGTGGCGCAATCTCGGCTCACTGTAACCTCTGCCTCCTGGGTTCAAGTGATTCTCCTGCCTTAGTCTCCCTAGTAGCTGGGACTACAGGTGCCCGCGACCATGCCTGGCTAATTTTTGTATTTTTGCAGAGACAGGGTTTCACCATGTTGGCCAGGACGGTCTCCAGCTCTTGACCTCATGATCCGCCCACCTCGGCCTCCCAGAGCGCTGGGATTACAGGCATGAGCCACCGCGCCCAGCCCTATTCCCCCTTTTTAAGCAATCTGCACAGGCCAGGAAATGGGGAAGTGGAGGCGTGGTGAGGAGGCCGCTTGTCTCTCTCGAAGTGTTTTCATCTTGGAAGGAGAGAGAGCAGTCACCCAAGGACTCACTGATAGAATTTCTCCTGGCTCCCCAGGTCCAACAGCCATGCTGCTCAGAGTAGGGGCAGGGGCACGAGGTGGGGTGGGGTGAGGTGAGGAGAAACAAGAGCTGACGGAACTCTTCCTCTTTACCCCACCTTGAAATGAGAGGGGGAGATATGAAAGAGAAACACTATGGGGTCGGTGACTTTTTCTTTTCAACCATCATTGTTAAAACATTACTCACCTCCTGGAACGGGGCTCCCAGGTCAAGGGGAACCCTAGGCTCTTGAAAGCCAGCTCCTTCATGGGCGGGCTTGAGAGGGTCTTTGCAGAGCCCTGAAGTCCATCCCCACACCTTGTTTTAAACCCCTGCCTCCCAGCATCTACCTCTCAGCTCCATCATGTCCCCCTCCTGCCTCCTCCTGGCCAAATGAGGCCTGGGAAGGAAAGGGTTATCCCAGGGGCAGAGGGGAGGGGAAACACCTGTAGGATGCCTTTTGGAAGGAAGAAGCCTCTGTGCATTCAACTGAGAGGAGCTTTGCCATCACTATAATGGGAGGAATTGAGATTAGACACCAGGCAGAAACTAGACAGACTTCGAGCAGGGAGGAGAGAAATGAGTGTCCCGTCAGCTCCTTGGTGGAAGCAGGAAATCACTGTCCACCTTCTAAAGACTTTTCCTTTCTCTACCCATATCCCTTATAAATTCTGGGGAGGTCCTTGATCTCCAAAGCCCCCGTCTACACAGGCCTCAGCTACTGGGATAACATTCCATTGACTCTCTGGATACAATCCCAGAGGCAAGTCCAGGCATCCAAACTCAAATGAGGTTTGGAGCTGAGTAATCAGCTGCTATGGCATTGCAGACATTTTGTCGGGGAACAACCAGCTCCCCACCCCCACCTCAGATTTGGGGGTGGAGGAGGGGCAGCCTGTCACTGGGTGTCTTCCCCCTCAACCATCACCACCACATTCTCCCTCTTCCCACCTGCAAGTAATTTGGCCAGTGGGAGGGCAGTTAAGATTGCAGTGTGGAATCCCTCAAGATCTGTGTGTATTTGGTGAGGAGGGGGCTACCTCCCTTCCCCTCAGACCCCATGTGCCCTTTTCCTCTTCACGGCAGCAAATTACTTGTAATTATCTCACATTGAAAGCCTTCAGGAGCTGCTCCCAAAATTGCTTTAATTGAATTAATTAAATCTCATTTTGTTGGGGGAAAACATGGAGGCATGACCTAAAATAGTATACGGGGAGAGGGAAGGTTGAGTGACCCAGAAAGGTGGGGAAGCCCAAGTCAGCTTCCCTGTAGCTGAGACCCTTGTAGTGCCCTGGACGTTCTCTGAACACACTTTCCCGTCTTCCAGTTTCAGCTGACTTCAGATGCACTGTGCTGCGTCTTCTGCATTTGGGACCTTGCCTGTATCCAGCTCTCGGATGGTGGTGACCAGGGATGTTTTGAGTTCTCCAGCCTCATTCCTCGTCTGCCTCCTTAGGAGGCAGTTCTCCCAGGGGCAGAAGGTGAATGGATGGCAGTAAGAATTCCCCCTCACTGTAACCCCTCCTCTTCTTCCCCTGATAATAACAGCAGTCGTAAATGCCATTTATTAAGTGCTTACTATGTTCCAGGCACCATGTCAAGCGTGTTACAAGCACTATCTCATTTTGTCATCACAATCACTCTGCAAAGCAAGTCCTATTAGTATTCTCATCTTGGGTGGGGGTGGGGGATGGGAAAAAGCAAGGCTCAGAGAGAGGTTAAGTAACTCACCAAAAGTCACACTGCTAGAAGATGACAGAGCCGGGACTCTTTATAGCTTAAAGCCCCTGTTCTTCACCACCCAGTCTTGGTCCCCCTCCCTTACTGACCCAATTTTCCCAGTGGGGCTTCCTCAGGGAAAGGAACCATGGGGTTCTCCTTCTACAGCCCTGATGGCCTGAGGGAAGGGAACCGGGCACCTCCTCCACTGGGAGCTCCAGGCCCATCACTGCCCGGGAGCTCCAGGCCCATCACTGCCCAGGAGCTCAGGGAAACTGGGCCAGCTCCCAAATGGAAAAGAGGTTCCCATTTCCCCTGAAAAGGATGGATAGAAGGAGAGGGGGCCAGAGGGGGGTGGATGCTGTCAGCTCAGGGCCTCTAGCTGAGAGAGTAATTACACTCCTTGTGCTACTTAACTTTACAACCTGGGCTGTTGTTTTAACAATGTGACTTGTGTTGGGCTGTCCAATTAATCTCGCCTTTGGAGGCTTTCCTAGATGGGGCGGTAGATCTTATCTTGGGTCTGTAGAAAGAGGAGTGTGCAACCTGCAGTGGGCGGGAACAGCTGCCTGGAGGGCCTGTGGCCTCAGAGGAGACCAAGAGGAGAGAACTGGGCCTGGGGTGACAGAGAGCCAGTGGAGCCTGGGGCTTGGAGCAGGGGAAGGCATTGTAGGAAGAGGAAGATATTTATCCTCCTGGCACTCCCATTCCTCACCACTCCTGGATCTTGGCTTTGGTCTACCCATGCCATGTGCCATCCCCAAGAGAATTCTCTGGGAGTGTTTTGTGGAATAGGGGTGGTCACTGACCCAACACAGGGTGAGGAACAGGGGCTGAGGAGGAACTGACTGTAGGCGTCAGGAGCTGGGGGATTTCATACCCCTCTGCCCTACACATGACTCCAATTTGGGCTTCTCTCTGGCCTGCAGCGGTTGGCTGGAAGTGTCTGAGTGGGCTTTTCAGACTGGGACAGGCACCGAGTTTGCAGTGTCTGGGAACAGGTCTAGGCAGTCAGAGGGAAGCTCAACTTGGAAGCTTTTTGCCTGGATTTGGAGGCCCCTCCCCCAGCCCCTCAGGCCATGCTGGGCTGGATTCGCTGAATTATTCTGCCACCCTTGTCCTCAGCTCCTCTCCCAAGGCGTTCCTTATCCTGCTGATCCTGGTGGGAGCAGGGGTGGTGCTATGTAGTCCAGTGAGGTGTGGTGGCCAGGAGTCTGTCAGGTCCTGCTGCTCCCCAGGCCGCCCGCCCTTCTCGCCCAGCACTGACCCCTCTGGCCCAGGCTGGATTGGAGGCCCTTGACAATACCCACGCCACCATCTGTGTTTTCCTTTGCCTGGAACTCACCACACCAGCGTCTGGTCATTTGTTTGCTTCAGTCACCATGGTATCCCTAGGATCTAGCAGAGCACAGGGTCTCCAAATGTTTGTTGGATGGAAGAGAATTCCAGTTCTTTTTGGTGTTTTCCTTCTCAGACCTGCCCCTCCTCCTTCCCCAAGGTGAGCTGAGGCCATCCTGCCCCCAAGCAGCACACTTCTCCAGGTAGGACTGGACCGGATCCGTGGGTGTGCCCTCTCTCAAGGTGAACAGGGCCTCTCCCTGGGCTAAAGGTGGGGCCTGGGGGCTGGTAAGGTGCCTGGCTCCCTCCTGAACTGGGCCAGGAGAGCATCTCCTGGGAAGGAGCACTCAGACCCTGCATGAGCATCTCCTGGGTTCACATGGGAGCATATGAAACTGTGGACGTTGTTAGAACATTCCAGAGCCAGAATCACAGAGCTAGTTAGTGGCCAAGACAAATCTAGAATCCAGTGCCTCTGATACCTGTAATTCCATGGTAGAAAAGTCAGATGGGCCAGAAGAGATGCATGACCAGCCGCTACCCATAAGAAGTCAGGAAACAAACACATCTCACAGCCAGAATGCAATGTTTTGTACAAACTTTAATCTCTGGAAGCTGGTGGTGTGAAGCTCAAGCTCCAATTCGTTCTAAATCTGCACAGTTCCTTTGAACAGAGACAGCTGCAAGGAGCTGAATCAATGGGCCTACCCACCTATTTGGGGGTGTCTATACCCGCACTAATCCAGAGAGCCAGTTTGTCCCCATTTCCCCCTAAGTGTTACTTTACCAGGTTTCCAAAAGTGTGTGCCCGTGGGTTCGTTAGGGATTAGGGATGGGGAATAGAAGGGAGCCTCTCAATAAATACCTATTGAATTATATGGATAATTGGATCCATTATCTATTCAAAAAGGGGAGATGGGGAGGGGGTGGGAAAGAGGGCTTTTTTTTTTTTTTTAGGAGGAAAGCATAAATTACCCATAGGTCCACAAATTCCACATTTCTCTGCATCTCTTCTACCTCCCAGTATGGTAAGTAGGTAAATCAGTTATGGGGGTAACGGGCTGACCTCCAAGGAAAAATCGCTGGGTGGGTGGGAGCTGATGGTGGTCCACTTCTGCTTTTGCTCACAAATGGGTTGTGCAAGGCCAAAGGCATACAAAGAAAAAAAAATACTCAATGTTTCTTGCTGATTTTGCACCCAGGCTGTAGTGGCGATTCAGTCCTTTTCAAGAAAGCAGGGAGAGGAGAAAGGGAGAGAGGGAAGAAGGAGTGGGGGAGTGGCAAGACCAAGGGTTCTGGGGACAGTCTCAACTCCAGCCAATGGCTCTCTCTCCAGAGTCTTTGTCCAGCTGGAGTGAAGGTGTCCAGTCCATGGTAGTGGTGGGGACAATGATTATATAAGGCTGAGGTCCTTGATTTAGCTGTTAGGGTTAGGGGTACAGGCTCTGCTCCATTCCTTTTTCTCCTCTAACTGCTTGTCCTCCAGAGAAAACCCATCTGGAGCTGGTTTCCTCCCAGCCCAGAAGGGGTGCAGGTGGACTGCCTGGGTCCTGGGCTTTGCAGGAAGGCTGTGGGCCTGACCCGCCCTTCCCCAGATTCACATCATCTGAGGCGAAGCCAGGACATCTGAGGAGTGATGCTGATACCAGGCTCCAAAGCTGTTGCCATAGCCACTGGTGGGCAGGGTCCCTGCCTTGGGTAGATCCCAGAGGGAGGGGAGGGGTGGGGAGCAGGGAGACACAGAGAAGGTCCTCCCAGGGAAGTCCCCTTCCTGCCCCCCAGAATTCTGCTTCAGGAGCTTCTTATACTTGGAGCGTTTGTTCTGAAACCAGATCTTTACCTTCGGGAAGAAAAGGGGAAAGAATGAAAGATCAGGAGGAAGATATGTGTGAAAAGTTTCGAGGAAGGGAAAGGGATCCAGGTGCAGGCACAGTCCTGGGAGACCAGCAGTTCCCTAGGCTGGGAACATTTGCTTCAGTCCCCCACAGCCCCAGGAGCCTTCTGAGTTCCTGCCTCTGAGCTAGTATCCATGTCTCCCTGTCTGACCTACCCTCCTCTTCCTGACCCACTCCACCCCACCCGCACATACATGCACACCTTTCAACACATTCCCCCCAAGGCTTACTAAGAGCCAGCTATGAACATTCCCTGGAGAACTGTGACAACAGGGCCACAGCACCAATCCATCAGTCATTCACAGCTGGGGCTGGGGGATGAGTTCCCAGAGAACCAGGGAAGGTGAGAGATGGGGAAGGACGACACTGGCCCCACCTGGGTCTGGGTGAGGCCGAGCTGCGCTGCCAGCTGGGCCCTCTCGGGCAGCGCCAGGTACTGCGTGTGCTGGAAACGCTGGTTTAGGTGCTGCAGCTGCAGGCTGGAGTAGATGGTCCTCGGCTTGCGGAGCTTTTTGGCGGGGGCCTGAGGGCGCCGCTCGGAGGGTTCCGGGGACAGCCGCGGCTTCTCCGAGTCTGGTGGGCAGCACAACACGGTGTAGGGGGCGAGGAGGGAGCGAGGGGGTAGGACGGACAGTTTCATAAGCTTATTTGCATCTCGTCTGCATGCCGTCGGCAGCAAATAGCAAAAAGCGCAGCCACCAGGATCGCCCCCTTGGCCCCTGCCCTCTACCTTCCGCGTGGAGCGTTTCAACCCCCACGTTCACCGCGCCAGGTGATACAAGACGCAGTTCTGCTCCCAGGGAGCTCCCACTCGTATGGGTCCTGTGACCCTAGGAAGAAAGCGCCGAGGGCCACAGCCAGGGTACCGCGGCGCCTGCGGTGGGAGGTCGGAGTTCAGCCACGGGCGGTGGCGCCAGCTTGGGGTAGGGCGGGGCAGAAAGGCTAGGTCCAGGGCTGAGCCGAGGCCTAGAGATGACAGAGGAAGGACATTGCAGGCAGAGGCTCAGAGCAATGCTCAGAGGCTTGAGACGGTGTCCGCGTGGCAGCCTCCGGCTGCGGCCAGCGGGGTGGGTGAGAGGCCCGGCTGAGAGGACCTTGAATACCAGTCTCGCAGCGCTGATAGTGACCCCGGGTTTGCCCTGGCCTCGCCTACTGTAACGGGCTGCCCCTCTGCTCAGGCGCACCCTGCAGGAAAAGTGACCATGTCTCCCCCGCCACACCGTGGCCGCCTGGGTTTCCAGGGACCCCCAGAAGCCGGGTCTGCGTGGGGCAGCCCCTTCCTTCGTTGGGCAGCGCGCACAGAGCGGTTCCGGCGGCAGGGAAGGTGACCCGGGTTCCAAGAGCGCGCAGCGTAGCCCGGCGGGGCCACTCCTGGATCGCGCTGCGGTGCCGCCGCGGGGGATCTGGTCAGCTCTGGCCCGCCTAGCTCTCCAGGAATCTCGGCCGCGGGACAGCCCAGCCCTAGAATGCTGAGGGACAGGGGAGGGTTGGGCCGAGGGGTTTCTGTTCTTCCAAGCCAGCCACCCTAACCTGCGCGGCTCTACGGGGACGCTGCAGAGGTCCCAGGCAATGGGAGGAGTAGGGCGGATGGAGCAGCCGCAATGCCCGGGCGCTTAGGGCAGCGTTCGCCGCATTCCCTGCGGGTCTGTCCAGCCGACCTGAGCCGAGAGAGAGCGGCTTCTGTCCGCCCGCGTCCCCCCACCTTCTTCCCCTAGTCGGGCTCACCCTCCACACGTCAGTGTACCCGCCCTCGGCCAGCCGCGGTCACCAGCTGCCGTCACCTCCCCCGCATCCCTCACCCGTGGCCTCGGGCGCTGCGGGCTTCTGAGATCCTCCCTCCTCGACCCTGCCTCAACCAATTCCCAGAAAAACCGTTGGGTTTCCGCTCCCGCCCGCGCCTGTCCTGCCTCCCCTGCCTCGACCCCACTGCTGGCAGCTCTGGGCTGGCAGCCCAGAGCCCACCCGCGCCTCTCTGGCTGCGTGGACTGCGCAATTCGAGCGGGGACGCAGAGTCTCTGAGGCCGACCCGGTTGCTGAATTCGCATAGCCCTCCGCGCCCCAACTCTCCCAGCAGACCCCCTCCAAGTTCCTTCCCGGACAGCTGCCTTTCCCTACCCCAGTTCCAGCAAGTTACGAGATCTGCCCGGGTCGCGATCATGGAGCCCCAAGGCCTCCCTCCAGGCCCGCTGCTCCCTACGGCTCAACGGGGTGGTGGCACCGCTCACTTGGAGCCAAACCTTTTCCCAAGGCAGGAGTGGACATAGAGTGGAAGTAAAAGGAGGACCCCAAGCTCTCGATCACATGCCCTCCACTCTAGAGCGCCCAAACCCACCAGTTCCAGCAGAGAAATGCTAGAAATGTATTCTAAGGAAATCTGGGTGTGTGTGGTTTTTCGCTGGATGGGGGAAAGTCCTTAAAGAAAATGAACTCTCCACTCTGTTGTCCTTAGATCTCAGACAAGACTGACAACACCAACCCTACTGCCAGCAATTCCCCTGAGGACAAGGTCATGATATTCCCACCCCAGTCCCCAAACACATAACACACACAAACATATCCTATTAGCATACACTAAAGGACAGTCAAAGGGATTCATTTGAAAAACTAGAACTACTCCTCCCTGCAACTGCGCCCACTCCAGCCACACTCCGCAGCCCAGGAGACAGCCACAGTTCTGTCACAGAAGGCAGTTAATTTTGGGGGGGTTGGAGGAAGCTCCCTAAAATCGATGCTCCTGGCCACATGCTTTACCCATCTATACATCAAAGAAGTTGAGCTTCTAAATCCTAGGGTCACTTCTGGCTCTGATGGTTTGTGAGCATGTCAGAGCCACAGGAGAAGGGAGGAAGATGTCTTGGTCCTGAGCTGACTCCAGTGAAGTCACCTAATGGGTGTGCCTCCTTGGAAGAGACTGCCAAAGACAATTGCAGGAGGAGGGGGTGAGCAATTAGATGGAGGCAGAGAGTCCAGAGACCTGGAGGCTAAGCTGGAGCCAGTGCAGATGGGATTGTGGGCAATGCCATACCCACATTGTATGTCAGCTCAGCTGCAAGGCCCAGGATCCCAAAGACGGGCCAGGTTCTCCGCTTCATTGAGGCCTTCCAGTGAGCACTTTCTCAGGAGCTCAGAGTTGCTCCAGGCAACGGGAACTGTGGCCTAACCTACCCCAAAGCCAAAGAGTGGAGATGACAGCGATGGCCGGCTCCTTTGGCTGGAAGGCTGAGGTAGTCAGGGAGAGATGAGCGACTTTCCTACCAGCCTTTGGCTACCTTCTCAGAACAATGGATAGAAGGGTCCTACTCCCAGATTCTGCCAGGCCAGCTTCCAGTCAAGGTCAGGCCTGGTCTGAGGAGAGCGGGTAAGGCCAGGGAAGGGAGAGGACAGAGCCCAGAATAAGCCTCGATGTCTACAGCCCTCCTACCAGGACTTGATCTGTTTTTCAGTGTTTGGCTTGATCACTGCTTTCTGAGACAAGACTAACGCAGAGAGGGGCGACAATGGGGCAGGAAGGGAGTACAGGACGGGGGCTGGGGGATTCTGACAAAGGGGCTAGGCCCCCATCCCCACATCTGGATTGCTTCAGTTTTCCGTTACTAGTAGGTACAGACAGCCCCGCTGCTCCAGGTGGGGGGTTGGGGGGGCCCTCTCGCCTGTCTTTACACAACTGCAAATCGAAACCAGGTCGGTTTTGAAAGGAGACCTAGATCAACTCTCCCCCGCCCCTCCCCCCGTGTCTCCCGCCCCATCCCTTCGCCCTCCCCCCACCCCCACATCCCAGGGAATCCAAGGAAGGTTTGAATCCCGCTAGCTGCGTCCAACCAGGCGAGGGAGAAGTTTAGGGGCGCACAGGAGCCGAACCCCAGAGGTGGGAAGAGCCTCCACGGCCGAACTTACCTGCCTCGAGTTCCTGAGGGTGCTCTGCAGGTCCGCAGAGGGGCTGAGAGAGCGCCGCGGGTTGCTGGCAGGACAGGTAGGAGTCTCCGGGGTTCGCTGGCTCGGTGTAGGGGTAAGACAGGAGGTGGCCATACGGCCTGGAGTAGGACAAATTGGGGGAGGCTGCGGTTGTAGGGGACAAGCCAAGCGGGTAGGCAGCCGCTACCGACGGGACAGGGGCGAGGTCTGGGAAGACAGCTTTGGAGGCGTCCCGGCCGGGGAGGGGGCAGGGCAAAGAGGTCATTGTGGCCAGGGCCCGGGCAGAAGGGCCATGGCCCGGCACGTAGTCCGCTCCCGCTGCCAACTCTCTTTTCCAAGCCTCCGGCGTTGGGCCGGACGGGCCCCCCAGCCAGCAGCCCCCACACTTAAGATCCCGGAGAAAGTGTCTCTCTGAGCCTCTTTCAGCGGAGAACGCGCGCCTGGGAAAGGGGTTCCGGGGGGGTGCCCCCCATGACTTTCCCCTCCCCCCCTAAATCCATGGGGGCCCCCTCCTCTCCATCGGGTTCGGTTCCCGGGACCCGACGGGGGCCCCGCCCTCTTAGACGTCCCGGATTGGCTACCGCCCGCGGTGACCTCACGGAGACTTGCAGCCGGGCCCCGCCCCCCGGGACAGCCCGCTGTAGAGAAGTGGTAAATGGGAGAGGGGCGGTGCGCATGCTCCAGGCCGGTCTACCTCGGGGTCTCCTCCGAGAGGTGCTGGGGTTGCAGAGCGATTGGTGCAGTCCAGGAACCTCGGTTATAATGGCAGAAATGCTAGAGAGGTGGCGAGACTGGATGCCCAAGAGACAGGGAGCTGGGTGGTGGGCAGAGGCCCGGGGGCTGCGGAGACGCAGGGAATCTGCATTTGCAGTCTCCCGATTTCGGGGATCTGCACGTCGATTCTGGTCCAGCCGCGGTGGACCTGAAGGGGAGTCAAGTGCAGACCGCCAGCGCCAACCGCTTAGTCAGCGCGTCGGAATGCGCCGCTGCTGAGCGCCGGCAGTTTGTTGGTAAATAGACGCCGGGGCTGGGAGGGTGCCGCCCGGCGCCCAGCCTGCCCCGCACGCGTGTGGCGCGCACGCCCCCGCGGGGCGCCCTGGGCCTGGCACGCCGAGACCGCCGCCGCTGCACCCCACCGCCCTGCGTGCTGGCTTCCGCTTCCGGCAGGGGCCCTGGTTTGGTTGCGACACCGCAGCTCCTTGCAGGCCCCCGAGGCTGAAGAAGGGATCCGCCCTCTGGGCTTTAGCCTGTGCGGTGCCCCGCCTTACCTGGCGCCGCAGGGGGCTGAAGTGTTGCTTGAACCCGGACGAAATCTGGGAGTGGGAGATGAGTCCAGTTGGATGGCTCCTGGGCGGGCACAGGAAATACTGCAGGCCAGTCTCCCTGGCGCATTTTCCAGGCTGTGTTCAGGACTTGCTTCTAAACATTAGTATCCATGGCCTCGATGGACACGTGTCCACGTATACAAGCATTTATTGACACGTGTACACAACTACACAGGGACTCCATTCAAATACAACATGTATACTCACATATACCAACATGGAGGTACCTACACTGATGTTCACACTAGCATTCCTCTATAAAAAGAGAGGTTCATTTGTAAATCTGCAAACACTTTAGGCTGTGATGTGTATACATCTACATACCTAAAGATGAATTAGCACTATCCCTAAATAAAAACACTATCTAGTACTTGTCTCTTACATGGATTCATGAGTATACAAGTCAAATCACTGGTGTACCTACTAGAAAATACAGAAGATCCAAGCATATAAAATGTATACTTGTGTTCCTGCTCTATGAGAAATACCTGTCCACACACATCTAAGATGCCTTATGTTAGATGTGTCCCTAAACTGCCAGTCTTCACAAATTCCCCAGCATACCCAAACACCTGTTCCCACTTTATGCAACTGGGCAGGCATATTCATGTTTGTACACACACACATGCTCTCATTGTTAGCGTTCAGAGTGAAGGTAGCCCTCGTAGAACTGGGAGATGGAAGAGGATGGTGATAAGAAAGAGAGATCAGGCAAGGTGGCTCAGGCCGGTAATCCCAGCATTTGGCCCAGGCAGGCAGATCGGTTGAGCTCAGGAGTTTGAGATCAGCCTGGGCAACATAGGGAGACTCATCTCTACAAAAAGTACAAAAATTAGCTGGTCATGGTGGTGTATGCCCGTAGTCCCAGCTACTCAGGAGACTGAGGCAGGAGGATCACTTGAGCCCTGGATGTTAAGGCAGCAGTGAGTTGAGATCATGCCACTTCACTCCAGCCTGACTGACCGAGTGAGACTCTATGTCGAAAAAAGAAGGAGGAGGATGAGGAGGAGGAGGAGGAGGAGGCAGCAGCCTGGAAGAATAGGAGAAAACACTGGCTGGGGAATGGAGCCCAAGCCTCCTTAGACAAAATCAATCAAATGGGTGTGCAGGGGTGGTTGAAGTTCAGTCAGGTGTCCTGCAAGGAGGAAGAGCAAGTCTATTTCAAACTAGACTCCCCAGTGGAATAGATAGAGGTGAGTTTTTCCAAGGAGAGACTCTAGCACCTGGCTTGGAGCTCTTCATCTTGAAGCCTTGGAGCCGGGAAGAAGGGGCTTTTGCAGGGCAGCTGGAGAACCCACTCCCCTCTCGTCCAACAGGCTGTGGAGGGTTTGCTCAGTAGAGAAATGCTTATTCTATGTGGGACTACCTTTCTCCCTTTCTTCCTTAATTCTCGCCATGCCACCATCTCCTTAGAGCTGGAGCTGTGAACCTGTGAGGATATATATCCTTCTAAACCTTTCATTCTACCATCACCATTTTCCTCTACAGGGATGGAGGCAGCCTTACAGCAGTGCTGAGGAGAGTTTCCAGGGATGGCATCAAAGTTGTGCATCAAAGGAAGAGAATGTTTTTTGGGTGGGGTTGGCTGTGAGGGAGGGTTTCCCAAAGGAAGTGCTTTTGAGCTGGAGTTGACAGGATAAGTGGAAAGACATTCCCTCTTAGAACCATGTGCACAGAATCCTTTCTTGTCAGACCCAGGAAAGAAGGGCAGGCATGGGTTTTCTGGCAGGGTTCTGCCACAGTTGGCTTTGGGCATCCTCCAAAGCCAAGAGATCCCCAGTGCATACTTGTCTTAAGTTCTAAGCTCTCAGGGCTTCTCTGGACTCAGAGGATCTTCACCCCTATGCAGCAGCAGGACATACTCTGCAGCCCTTTGGAATTTATCAAGCACTCACAACATCCAAGTCCTGTGCGTGCATACACACACACACACACACACACACACACACACACACACACGCTCAAACTCCAGGCACTATTATCCCCATTTTACAAATGAGGAAACATCTCCTTCCATCATCACCTGTTTCTTCAAGGCTCCCTTCTCCCATATTCCAGAGGGTGTGGGGCTGGGGCACCAGCTTGGGATAACCTGGGGTCTCCTCAGAAGCAGGCTCCCCAGGGAGGGATCCTCTCCAATAGGAGTCTCATCTCACCAACCTCAGGAAAGGTGGACGTGGTGAGGATGTGGGCTGGGAAGCACAGTAATCTCGTATTGGATCAGAGGGGAGAGAGGATGCTTGCTTAGGAAAAAAAGTTGAACCAATACAGAGACGATTAGCATGGCCCTTGCACCAGGATGACATGCAAATTTATGAAGCATTCCATATTTTACAAAAAAATTTTTAAAGAGGGAGAGCTGGCTTGAGACTCTTGAGGCTTGGGTTCTGGTCCAGTTCAGCCACGAAGTTGCTGGTTGGGATATTTTGCATCAGTCATTTGCCTTCTCTGAGACTGGTTTACCCAGAAGGGATAAAAGAACTGAGCTGGACTAAGAACTCCAAGCCTTTGTCATTTGCTTTATGACAAATTGCAAAAACTAAAATCCAAAACCATGAGAAAACCAAAAAGAAGAAGTGGGGGGAGGAGGAGGGATGGAAAGAAGGAAGAAAAAAAGAGAACTCTCTCCTGTCACTACCAATACCTCAGGCCCGGGATCTTCACAAAAGCCAGAAGTGGCTCTCCCAACTTTCCCTCACAGATCCTCTCGCTTAGCGCAAGGGGCCTGCTCGGAAAACTCCAGCACCCTGGTGATGCCGCGGGGACAGACGGCGGGGTCCAGAGTTGGGGGGGAGGGGATACGGCGCCGCGGGGCTCTAGGGATTGGGCCGAGGCGCAGGGATTGGACCTGATCCGCTGGGTGGACGGTAGTTTGCTTACTCTTCTTGGGTCGCCGGGCAAAGGCCATCGCAACCGCTCCGGTAATAATTCCTTGCGCAGCACAAGCACCCACGGAGGTGAGATGCATTCCTTGTTTGATCACCCCGAGTTCCGACCTTCCCGGTAGCGGGAATTCCCTCCGAACCAGCCCCTTCCCTGGCGGTCTATCACGGGCACCCCTAACACTTGGTGAGTGCGCAGTGCTCTCGGCAGTCTCTGGGCTCCATACGATGCCTACCGCACGCCCTAGCAGAGGAGGTCTCTGTCTGCCCCTGCAGCCGGATGCCGAGGTCTGTAACCCCGAGCCAGCACTCAGAGCCGCACCTGCGCGGATGTGCCAGCGGAACAGAGATTCCACCGCGACCATAGTCCTCCTCACTCCGCGGCCCTCCGGGATTATCCGTGCCCTTTCTCCTCCATCCCACCCACCGGCCCCAAAACGAACTTGTAGTATAGTATTGTCATTCGCAGTGATTTTCAGTTTTATTTGGAAGGACCTTTCTTTCTTAGTAACTCAGGTTGAAGAAACTGATTAATTCGGTTTGGCGGCGGGAAGGAAAGAATCAGATCTTCGCCCCAGCCTGCCTGAGCTCGGCCCCGCGCGCTGTGGATAGAGCCCCCGCATTCAGCGAGGCCCGGAGAATGGGCAGTCTGAAGAGACCTGCGTCCCCCCTCTCCGATTTGACTTTTCCTGAAATTTGGAATTATTGCGCCTCTTTTTCTCTTTCTGATCGAGCATTTAGTGCTGGCGCAAGCCGGGCAGCCGACTGGTTACTGAGCCCACGGCCAGCCCGGCCTTGTGCTTCCATTTGCGCTCACCTCAGCAAGCCCCTGAGCGCTTTCTCAGGGATTGGAGTTCCCCCTCATTTCCCAAATAACCCTGGAGAAGCTCCCGGGGGAGGAGGAGGGGAGAGGTCTTGGGGTCAGCACCACTTCGATCCCAGCACTGCAGTGGGGCTCCCCACGCCCGTCTCCCGCTCCACCATCGGCGACGCTCTCCCGGAGTCTTCTTTGCATTACTTGCAAATTTCAGCCTCTGCTCAGGAAAAGTCTATTTGAGATTAGCTGGGATGTTTTATGCACACACTAAACATGTTAAAAACAAAACTAGGAAAAATTCTTGGGACACGGGGTGGGGGGACGGAGGAAGAGAGAGAGAGACAGAGAGAGAGAGAGAGAGAAAACGGTTAACAAAAAATGAGGCGGTTTTGAGGGTGTCTTGGAGGCAGGCTGCGCCGCTGGGGAGACACGCGACGCTGAACTTCGCTGGATGAGGGAGCAGGAAATACCCCGGGATTGGGGACGCGTGGGCTGGGGGACGCGTAACTTCCAGGCTCGGTGGCCCGGAGCTCTGAAGTTTTCCCTCGGTGTCCCAGCCCCGGACCCGGTGGACCAAAACGAGGCGCCCGCACCAGGAGCTGGACTGACAGACCGCCGGCTGGCCTGCCAGGGCGCCCCGGGGAAACATAGCGAGCCGGCGAGAGGCCCTGAGGCCAACCCGGCTGCAACGAATTTGCCCGGCCCCGAACGAAGGCAGCTCCGCCGGGATCTTCAGACCTTCCCAGACCTAGGCATGGAAAGTAGGCGTTTCGCCGACGTCTTCATCGCCGGGTGCAGGGTGAAAGCCGGAGGTGGGAGTAGTGGGAGTTGGAAGGTTCCTCTAGCGGCAACATCGAAGACAATGCGTGCACTAGCGCACACAATACAACACAGAGCGCGCGCGCGCACACACAGACACACACACCAAAAACACCACAAACACATAGATGCACAGACGTATACTTCTGCCACCCAATAGCCTCAGCATACACTCCATAGGCAACCACACAGCCACATCACACATACACAACAAACACAGCACACGGCCACCACACGTACACACACAACCACCCCCCCCACAACACACACACACACACACACACTCACTCACACCTGCCCTCTGGACCCCCTGGAGTTGATGGAGGGTCTACAAGGGTGGGGTTATTGGTTTAACTTTTTGACCAGTGACCCCACCCGAACCAGACCCTTTGGAAGTCCAGACTGCTTTTCTTTCATAACAAAAGGTCTGGTCTCTGAATCCTGATCAGGGCAGCTCAGCCTGGGAGGAGACAGCCTTACCTCTGCTGGTTTGGGCTTGGGAGAACGAGGGAAATATTGCCTTGAGGAGGAGAGTGGAGTGGCCGCATGGGCGCACAGACATACCCATACCCCTTCCCTTCAATGTGAGAAAAATAATCACAACTACAAAAAATCTCAAACTCAGGCTTTCCCTGTGTACCCCTGTGTTGGGCTCTTGGGTCCCCAGGCCTGGTGTGGGGGGAGGGTAGGCAGAGGTAAAGGTGAAAGGTAACTCAGTCCCACCCTCCCTCCGCTGTCTCTCCCCCAAACCTCCCCCTCACCTTGCTCAGCTATGGGGGCGGGGCGGGAGTGGTTGGCCGAGAGGAGGGTCGTGGACCCACTCTCAGCGGTTTACGGAGGGGGTGGTGCATGGCGCACCTCCTCCAGCCTGGCTTCCACCCTCGGCTGTCAATCACCCTCATTAATTCTCCTTAGAAAATGATCCCACACTGGAAGTTCACTAGCTGCTGCCTGGAAAAGGCTGGAGGACGTGGTGAGGGGGAAGGAAAATGGGCAGAGAAGTGGGGAGGGTTTGCACTAGTTTCATGGGGTGAGGGCGGTGCAAGCTGGTTGGGGAACTGAGCCCTGAAGACTTTCCACCTTCTCAAGTCAGTTTGCCTCTCCCCTCCCCTGCACACCCCTCCCAGACTCTGAGCTGACTCTCACCTGTCCAGGCTGGACCTTGGGGGAAAACAGCTCTTTGTAGCCCAAATTCTGGCATGAGCCCCAAAACTAGTGAGGAAGGGGAGCTCAGCCCCACACTCCCAACCAATGGGGCACTGCTGCCTCTGGTGCTTTCCACAGGAAAGAGAGGGAGGGCAGGGTAGTAGATCTCTGGGTGTGTAGACAAGAGGATCCAGATGAAGGCTCTATTCTTGGAGACCCCTCTGAGAAACCTTGCAGAGCCTGTCCCAGGGCCTTTAGGGGAGAAGGGGAGCAGTGGTGACCTGAGGCCTTGTGCCTTGGGTAACACAATAATATTGATAATATCAGCAAACACTTAAGTGTTGTCTGTGCTCCAGGCACTTTGCTAAGCCCTTACATGGATTATTTTATTGAATCATCACAAGAATTGTATGTGGTACATTCTCTCTATATAAGAATATAAGACACTCTGGCTGGGAGCAGTAGCTCACGCCTGTAATCCCAGCACTTTGGGAGGCCGAGGCGGGTGGATCAAGAGGTCAGGAGTTCCAGACCAGCCTGGCCAACATAGTGAAACCCCATCTCTACTAAAAAAAAAAAAATACAAAAATTAGCCAGGCATGGTGGCATGTGCCTGTAGTCCCAGCTACTCAGGAGACTGAGGCAGGAGAATGGCGTAAACCCAGGAGGCAGAGCTTGCAGTGAGCCGAGATCACGCCACTGCACTCCAGCCTGGGAAACAGAGCGAGACTCCGTCTCAAAAAAAAAAAAAAGAATATAAGACATACTCTATCAATAGTATCCTCATTTTATAGATGAGGAAACTGGAAACCGAGGCACAGAAATGTCAAATAACTTGCCTAAAAGCTGGAACTGGAACCCAGGCCAGCTTAGCCCTCTTAACTACCATGGGGTTGTCTTACCTGGAGAAGCACCATTCAGCAAGTGCAGAGGAAGGGCTGAAGATGGCTGAGAAGAGGAGGGGACCCCAGGAGAGGAATGTCTTCTATAGAATGTCAGTAAGAGAAGTGATAACATTAATACTGGCTAATATTGTGGGCTTGTGTAGTAGACATACTTTACATACTCGCTCTTTCTTTCTTTCTTTCTCTTTCTTTCTTTCCTTCCTTCTTTCTTTCTCTCTTTCTTTTTTTTTCTTTTTAGATGAGGTCTTGCTCTGTTGCCAGGCTGGAGTGCCGTGGCGCAGTCTCGGCTCACTGCAACCTCTGCCTCCCGGGTTCAAGCAATTCTCCTGCCTCAGCCTCACAAGTAGCTGGGACTACAGGCACCTGCCACCACGCCCAGCTAATTTTTGTATTTTTAGTAGAGATTGGGTTTCACCATGTCGCCCAGGATGGTCTCAATCTCTTGACCTCGTGATTCACCCGCCTTGGCCTCCCAAAGTGCTGGGATTACAGGTGTGAGCCATTGTGCCCAGCCACATGCATTTTCTTAGAAATCTTCATACAATCCTGCAAAGAGAGTCCTTTTTTTTTTTTTTTTTTTTTTTTTTTTTTTTTTTTTTTTTTTTTTTTTGTAGATAGGGTCTCACTCTGTTGCCAAGGCTGGAGTGCAGTGGCAAGAACACGACTCACTGTAGCTTCAACCTCGTGGGCTCAAGTGATCATCCTGCCTCATCCTCCCAAGTAGCTGGGACTACAGGCATGTGCCACCATGCCTGGCTAATTTTTAAATTTTTGTACAGACAAAGTCTCACTATGTTGCCCAGACTGGTCTCTAACTCCTATGCTCAATCAAGAATCCTACTCTTGTTTTTGTTGTTGTTGTTGTTGTTGGGTTTTTTGTTTGTTTGTTTGTTTGTTTTTTGAGACGGAGTCTCACTCTGTTGCCCAGGCTGGAGTGCAGTGGCACGATCTCAGCTCACTGAAACCTCTGCCCCAGGTTCAAGTGATTTCTGGCTAATTTTGTATTTTTAGTACAGATGGGGCTTCACCATGTTGACCAGGCTGGTCTCGAACTCCTGATCTCAAGTGATCCACCTGCCTCGGCCTCCCAAAGTGCTAGGATTACAGGCGTGAGCCACCATACCTTGGCCACGAGAATCCTGTTCTTTTTCTTTTTTTTTTTTTTTTTGAGATGGAGTCTTACTCTGTCACCCAGGCTGGAGTGCAGTGGTGTGATCTCAGCTCACTGCAAGCTCCGCCTCCTGGGTTCACGTCATTCTCCTGCCTCAGCCTCCCGAGTAGCTGGGACTACAGGCACCCGCCACCATGCCCGGCTAATTTTTTTTTTGTATTCTTAGTAGAGACGGGGTTTCACCGTGTTAACCAGGATGGTCTCGATCTCCTGACCTTGTGATCTGCCCGCCTTGGCCTCCCAAAGTGCTGGGATTACAGGCATAAGCCACTGCGCCTGGCCGAGAATCCTATTCTTATCCCCACTTTACAAATGAGGAGACTGGGCCGGGCGCGGTGGCTCACGCCTGTAATCCCAGCACTTTGGGAGGCAGAGGCGGGCGGATCATGAGGTCAGGAGATCGAGACCATCCTGGCTAACGCGGTGAAACCCCGCCTCTACTAAAAATACAAAAAATTAGCCGGGCGTGGTGGCGGGCGCCTGTGGTCCCGGCTACTCGGGAGGCTGAGGCAGGAGAATGGCGTGAACCCGGGAGGCAGAGCTTGCAGTGAGCCGAGGTCGCGCCACTGCACTCCAGCCTGGGCGACAGAGCGAGACTCTGTCTCAAAAAAAAAAAAAAAAAAAAAAAAAAAACAAATGAGGAGACTGGGGCACATAAAAGGTGTGTGCAGGGCCCACATCCACTTGGCTGAAAGGCAAGAAAGTGAGGAAAGAGCTGAGACTGAGAGTCAGGAGGCTCCACCCTGTGGAGGGTCTCAAACGCCAACCAAGAGCTTCAAATGGGGCCCATGGGCAGTGGAGAAGACCAGGATGGGAGTGGAGAAGCTTCCCAGGGGCATCTTGGGTACGAGGGTGGGTTGGGAGGGATGAGTCAGGTGGCAGAGAGAGCCCAGTTAGGAGGCTGTTGCAATAGGTCAAGCATGAAGTGAGAAGGGAAGGTTCAAGGGGGTGGTGGCAAAGGCAACGGAAAGGAAGAGAAGCATGAGAAGAGTGGCTCAAAGACAAACCCTACTGGGCTAGGTAACTGTACCAGAGAGGGTAGAAGCAAAAATGACTGTGAAGTTGCCGGCCTGGGCAACCAGAGGAGACAGGTGCCTGGTTCACACATTCAGGCATTTTATGGTGGGAATGAACCATGGACCAAGATCCTGGGTTAGATGTTCCAGCAAGCAGCCAGCCACACTGACTAGTTTGCCCCTGCACAAGTGTCTTTCCCAGTCCTGCCAGTGTGCACAGGTGAAATTTACATATATGCAGATGTATGCAAATGAGAGTAACCTCATCTGGGCCCTGAGCCAGAAGCTAGTTAGGCAGGCCCTCTCCCACCTCCAGGGAGGAGGAGGAGGACCGCCCCAGCCCTGACTCACTCGCTGACATGCCGCCTGGAATGCCACCTCCCCAGCTGCCTTCCTCCAACTTGGGGAACTCGCTCCTGGAATCACCATGAAGCTCAAGCCCAGAAGATCACAAGCAGGAAAGACTTGGGGCTGGGGCTGAGGACTTTCTAAATCAAAATAATGATGTATTTTGAGTCCTCCTGGCAAGTCAGCAAGGGGCAGGGGACAGGAGGAGTCTGCGCAAATGCCTAGGGAATATGACATTTTCCCTACAATATATATGGCCTTCCCCAAAGCACGTGGACATCTATAACTACAGTGGGCCCTCATAATAACTTGTGAAGTAGGTGGTTATTTGCCCCATTTTACAGATGAAGACACCGAGGCCCATGTCTTAAAGTGCCTTGCTAGGGAAAACCTCACTCATGTGTACAGAGCAGGATTTTCAATCCAGGCCTCTGACTCAGTGCATTTTGCGCTACTTTATGGTTTGGTGCTGGGCTGAGGGAATGGGCAGCTAACTCTGGAATCTGGGGCTCAGTTTGGAGAAACTGTTGACCCTCAGGTATCCAGTTACAAGAAAGAAATCTCTAGTCTTCTCAGTCCTTAAGGACTTCAGCAAATAAGTGAACTCTTGTCTCTAGACCTAAGGCCATACCTCTCAAGTGGGGTGATAGACCATGCACCCCACTTCTGGCTTCTTCAATGCTCTCTTTTTAAAACATTAACTAGATACAGAGTCTGTGTAGGGTGCCATGGGAGACTGGTCCCACCCAATAGCAAATTTAGCAATTTGTGTATATTAAAATTATGAAAAAAAATAAAATAAACAGGCCAGGCACGGTGGCTCATACCTGTAATCCCAGCACTTTGGGAGGCCAAGGCAGGTGGATCACCTAAGGTCAGGAGTTCGAGACCAGCCTGGCCAACATGGTGAAACCTCGTCTCTACTAAAAATACAAAAATTAGCTGGGCATGCTGGTGCACGCCTGTAATCTCAGCTACTTAGGAGGCTGAGGCAGGAGAATGGCTTGAACCCGGGAGGCAGAGGTTGCAGTGAGCTGAGATCGCACCACTGCACTCCAGCCTGGGTGACAGAGTGAGACTCCGTCTCAAAAAAAAAAAAAAAAAAAGAATAGATATGAGTGTATTGCTCTGCGCCCAGGCTGGAGTGCAGTGGTGTGGTCATAGCTCACTGCTGCCTCAACCTCCCAAGCTAAAGCAATCCTCCCACCTCAGCCTCCCAAGTAGCTGGGACTACAGGCGCATGCCACCATGCCCAGCAATTTTTTTTTTTTTTTTTTGAGATGGAGTCTCGCTCTTGTCACCCAGGCTGGAGTGCAGTGGTGCGATCTTGGCTCCCTGCAGCCTCTGCCTCCCGGGTTCAAGCAATTCTCTGCCTCAGCCTCCCAAGTAGCTGGGATTACAGGCTCCCGCCACCATGCCCGGCTAATTTTTATGTTTTTAGTAGAGACGGGGTTTCACCATCTTGGCCAGGCTGGTCTTGAACTCCTGATCTCGTAATCCACCCGCCTCGGCCTCCCAAAGTGCTGGGATTACAGACGTGAGCCACCGCACCTGGCCCAGCAATTTTTAAAAAATTTTTTGTAAAGATGGGGGTCTCAGAATGTTGCCCAGTCGTCTCAAACTCCTAAGCTCAAGTGATCCTCCTGCCTTGGCTTCCCAAAGTGCTGGGACTACAGGCATGAGCCAACACATCTGGCCCAGATCTGAATTCTAATCCCACCTACATCACCTACTGACTTGGGCAAATAAAACTTCCCTGTGTCTCAGTTTCCCCATCTGTGAAATGGACATCATAATAAGCCCAACCTCACAGGGTTGTGAAGATTCAGTAAATAACTCTAAGTGACCATGCGTAGCAGACATTTCACACACATTAACTCCCTTTCCTCTTGTTGGTTCCTTTGGCTCACCCACAAGGGATGTGTGAATCTCCATCACACAATCCACTTGCGGGGGTGGGGTGAGGTGCCACACCCAATTTGATTAAAAAGCTTTGTCCCCAAGGATTTGGTGATGGTGGGAGATGTCACCCCCAGGATACAGAACTCCTGCAGGGCGGAGTTCCTTAGCTCCTCATCCTCACAGCACCTGGCACTGTGCCTTGCATGCTGAGGCACTCAGGGCAGCCTTTATTCTCCAGCTAATCCTGAAGCCACCCTCAGCTTCTAAGCACAGGGACGCTTGTGAAGGTCAGTCCTCCCGGTGGCATATGGAATACTTTCACACTCAGGATCTCAGCTAATCCTTACCACCCAGTCAGGTGGGGCAAGTATTGCTGGCCCCATTTCACAGATGAAGAAACCAATGCTCAGAGCAGCTCAGGGCCTTGCCCAACATTGCACAACCAGTAAGTGACAGAGCTGGGATTGGAACCCCAGCCTCCCGACTCTGGAATTCTCTGGGTTTTTCCAGAGCAGCTCAACTCTCTCTGAATGGGTGGGTGAAGGAGGAGAGGAGGACAGAGCTTTCAGAAACTGGATGTTGCATGGACGTGAGGGAGTCTCTCTGCTATGTGGGTTGTGGGGTCTGGCAGTGGTCAGAGCGAAGCCCCAATCTCTGCAGCAGAGTAGTACAATGACAAGAGTCAAGACTGAAAGAGCAGTAAGGCAATTGGCCCTATGGAAAGCCAGCAGTGGGGACGTGTGACTTGTCTGCAATGTTGATTTATGCTCAATATAAGGAAGACATTTTTAATAACTAGAGCTTTCAAAAGTAGCATATTCTCCACCTCTATCTTAGGTACCAATTCCTTCTATCTTAAACGGAGTGGTGATTTCACATCTTGTTTCCTCTGTTAGAATAAGACATTCTGGGGGCAAGTTCATCTCCCATTGAGCTTTGCTTCCTCCAATATGTGTGTGTTTATCATCTGTCCTCAGTAAGTGTTTGTGAGCCCCTCTCGCTGAAGGTGTTCAAGCAGAGGCTTGCTGTGGGATCTCAGGGAATGCTGTGAGATGGGGCTGAGGGCCTGGACCCTGGAGCAGTAGGTTTGAATCTAGTTCTGCTGCTTACTAGCTAGAGGACCTGGCATAGGTGGCTCAGAATTTCTGGGTCTCATTTTTCTCATCTGTAAGGTGGAGTTAATACCACCTACTCCATAAAATTGCTGTGAGGACTGTGAGGCACTCTATGTGACTAGCAGGGTGCCCAGCACAAGGACAGCCAAGAAGGCAGCTTTTTGGATGATATACGTAGTTGAGGGGCTGTGACATAGACTAAAGAAATGGGCTAGGGGGCTGGGCGCTGTGGCTCACGCCTGTAATCCCAGCACTTTGAGAGGCCGAGGTGGGCAGATCACCTGAGGTTGGGAGTTCGAGACCAGCCTGACCAACATGGAGAAACCCTGTCTCTACTAAAAATACAAAATTAGACGGGCGTGGTGGCACATGCCTGTAATCCCAGCTACTCGAGAGGCTGAGGCAGGAGAATCGCTTGAACCTGGGAGGCGGAGGTTGCGGTGAGCTGAGATCGCACCATTGCACTCCAGCCTGGGCAACAAGAGTGAAACTCCGTCTAAAAAAAAAGAAAAGAAATGGGCTAGGGACCCACTAATGTCCCTCCAGTTCTGACATATGAGCCTATTCCATAAGCACCAGGAAAGGAGCTAAGCAGAACCCAGGAAGCCAATTGACTCAACATAGGAAACTGAGTGAGAAATAAACAGGCCTCATTCAAGTCCCTCGGTACTTGAGACTCTCACATGGACTTTTCCTTTTTTTGGCCCTGCCCCCGCTTAGATAAGCCCTCTAGGCCTGGGCTTGGGTTCAGGGACTCTCCTGGTTCCTGGGCATCATTTGCCCTGGCAAAGGTACCAGGAGTCCCAAGTACCCCACCCTGCCCTGGAAGCCTAGCCTCAGCCAAGAACAGGACCCAAAAGTTCAGATTTGGTCATCACCTGCTCTGACTACAAGCCCTTAACCAGCCCAAGCCTCTAAACCAGAAAGATGACGTGGCACCTCCTGGAGGGTGGCAGTGGCTCCTGAGTGCCAAGTGCCTGGGGCTGGGAGGGGCCTCCAGCAGGGCTGCTCCTCAAAGTTTCATGGCCCTTCTTAGAGATGGAAAGCACCTCAGAGGCCCAGAACCAGAGGTTCTCAAATTCTGGGATCAAGAAGGTCTGGGTGGGCCAGGTGTGGTAGTTTATGCTTGTAATCCCAGCACTTTGGGAGGCTGAGACAGGAGGATCGCTCAAAGCCAGGAGTTCCAGACCAGTGTGGGCAACATTGTGAGACCTCATCTCTACCAAAAAAAAAATAAATAAAATTATTTTACAAATATATAAAATATTTATTAAATTTACTTTTAAAATAAAGAAGCTCAGCAGGGAGCAGTGGCTCATGCCTATAATCCCAGCACTTTGGGAGGCTGAAGTGGACAGATCACTAGGTCAGGAGTTCGAGACCAGCCTAACCAACATGGTGAAACCCTGTCTCTACTAAAAATACAAAACTTAGCCGCGCGTGGTGGCGCATGCCTGTAGTCCCAGCTACTTAGGGGGCCGAGGAAGGAGAATCGCTTGAACCTGGGAGGTGGAGGTTGCAGGGAGCCGAGATCATGCCATTGCACTGCAGCCTGGGTGACACAGTGAGACTCCACCACCCCCCCCCTCCAAAAAAAAAGAAAGAAAGAAGCCCTGGGTGGGCCTGGAAACCTGCATAATAATAAGTACTAATGGTGAGAAACTGATTTGGCCCAGCACCCCTAGTGTTAACACTAGGGAAGAAAAGGGGATAAGACTGGCCCATAAGGACACGCCGGAACAGGACAAAAGCCCCACTCTCTGGACCCTAGCATAGAGTTTTTTCAAACCAGCAGCCTCTTGAGATTCACCCACCCAGAGAAGGGGAGGCCAAGTTCACAGGGATGTTTTTCCTGAGTCTATGCCCCATGCCCCCCATTAGAGGTTGTATCGATTGCATGAGAACAATTCAGCCTCTTGGAACTGGCCTCTGAACAAAATGAGATTGAAGTATTGGTCCTGTGTGGGGCCACCCCAAGGCTGGGGAGTGGGAACAAGTAGGCATCTGGGGCTAGATCTGTGGAGGGTCACCCAGGCGTGTGTTTGGAAATAGCCATTACACTGGTGGGAAATTTTTTGTCTGATTTAGAATAATCTCTTGTTCACTAGCACCTAGCACAGTACCTGGCACACAGAGCAAGATGGTGTACTGAGTAAATGGATGATGCAAAATGGGGGTTGGACGCAGCCGTCTTCAAGGCAAAGGGTGTAGGATCTCAGCAGAGCCTGGAGAACACCAAATAGTGGATGCCTAGAATGCAGGATGGCCAGGGAGGTGCAGCCAAGAGGAGAGAGGGAGTTGGGCAGGCAGCTGGGAATCACATTATGCCCCCGTCCCCACCCCAGGGTCAATTGCCATTGAGTCTCAGCCCCAGAAGTTCCATGAACAGAACTGGTTTGGGTGATTGAGTAATCGTGTGGATGTCGTGTTTGTGACCATGACCATGTGACACATGTGTAAATGTGTATGTGGTGGGTTGTAACCGAGACTGCATGTGTGTGACTCCTTGTGGCTTGGGTGTGGCCCTGTGCATTGTATAGGAGCTATGTGCTTGTGGCTGCATGTGACTGTGTGGTTGTGTGTGTGGTTGTGTGTGTGATTATGTGCACAGAAATCGGCGTTGCCTCTGCCATGAGTGCGACTCTCAGAAACTGGTTCTGAGAGTGGCTGGGAGTTGGGGGTGTGGATGCGGCAGTCTGTGTAGCTGTGTGTTGTCTGCATGATGTAGGTGCAGCTCTGCGTGGAGACAGCTGTCGTGGATGGATGTGACTGTATGGGACTCTGATATTGTCTCCAGGTGGGCCTGGGAGACTCTGGCTAGGCTCTCTTCTGTGTGACTGTATCCACGCAACTGCCTGGTGGGTTACTGGCTTTGCATGTTGTGTACGTAGCTGGGTGTCGCACCCTCCTGTGTGTGTCACTGTATGCTCCTCTGAGGGACTCGGCTGTGTCACTGTGTGTGACTGTGACTGTGTGTGTGACCCAGCATCCCTCTTAAACCACCTTCCTTGGGTGACTTTGATGTGGTTGAGTTTCTAGGGGCCATAAGGACGCCGGCCTCACTCTGGAGGACTTCAAAAGATGGCAACTCTTTTCCCCCAGCAGGGGAAAAAACCCATCTCCCCCTCCCTCTTCCCACTCCCCCTGCCTGGAGGAGAAGCCTGTTTGTTTTCCTATTTTTACTGCCTAGGATGAGTTCATGGCCGCAGCTGACTCACCAGTCTTTCCGAAAGACTTGGGGAAGGAAATAGGGGTTGCTTGGTTGGGACCTCTGCCCAGGAGCCCAGAACATTCAGAACAGAGCCAAGGAAGATATCTGGGTCCACTGTGGGTTGTGTGAGCACCTCAAGTCACTCACCCACCCTGAGCTTGGAAGGTCAAGGAGACTTCTTTAGAGGTCACTGTCTAGCCTCCAGCTTCCTACGCCAAAAGACGGGCCTCTGTCCTTATCTAAAACCTCTCCCCTCCCATCAGTCCAGTTGAAAAGTAAGGCTGAGCCAAGGCCAATTGAAACATAGGCTGGAGCTCTGGAGGTGCATTTGACAGGTCACCCAGATCCATATCCCTGCAGGTGGTTCAGTAAGTAGCAAGGATGCCTGGGCTTAACAACACTGTTTGCGCGCCCCCTATGGGCAGAGCCTGCCCCAGCAGAAGGAGGTACAGCTAGAGGAAGGAGGCTTGCACAGTTTGACAGGGGAGACGCAGTCCTCTTCCCCAGGCACTCTTAGCCTTATGAGAGACTCTTAGCTTTAACCCCCTACCCCATACACAGACTCTGACACAAAGAATCAAGAGGATTCAAACTATATTTTCCTAGGCTTGGAAAAGAGTCATGTCCAGAACCTGAGGAAGAATTAGAGAGGGCTTCTGGCAGGGCTTCGGGGACTTTGGTGCAGACTAGGAGGGAGAGTACTTCCTGGTGGGTGGGTGACTAGGAGGACCCAGGATGGAACAAATTCTTGGGAGATATATAGGAGGTGAGGAGAGGTGGGAAGTCCACAGTGGCATAATCCTTGTGTGAGATGGCAAGCGAGGGCTTGGGCTGGACCTGGTTCACAGTGCACAGGAACTCTGCCTGAGCAAAGAGTCTGTGGATGGAAGTCCCCTTTGGTATCTACCTAGTGTCTCTGCAGCTGCAGCCAGCCTATAGTTTCCCATGTCTGGTTGCCCAGGAGGCAGCTCTGAGGCTGGGGCTTTGCCCCCTTCCCCCTACTCTACTCTGGGGAGCCAGACACCCCAACTGTGCTCCCAGCCAGCTTGCCTGGCTGGCCAGCACTCCTGCCCCCCGCTCCCATGTCCACCCTGAAGAAGCCCCTGCCAGGCTGTCACCCAGCCAGTGGCTGGAGCCATAAAAACTTCCCTCCACCCCCGCCGTCCTGGCTCACTGCCCGAGAGGCTCCTTCCAGCTCCTGTGACAGATCCTACTCATCAGATCCTACCCTTCCGTCTGCCTGAAACTCCCCGACTTGAATTTGGGGTGTTTGGGCCACCCTCCTGGAGGAATTGAGAAGAGCTTCAAACTAAGAAGTTAGGAGGCTGGGCCTTGGGGAACTCACTGGGCGGGGCACCTAGCCTCAGTTTCCCCATCTGCAAAATGGAGCTAATGGTGTTTGCCCTGTTGGGTTTCCAGGGTGGGTGGGGAAGGCTCCAGTGAGCTCATGGGTGTGAAGGCCCTGGTGAGTTGTAAATAGTCCAGTACTCGTGGGAGGGAGGAGGGAGCGGAGCCGTGTTATTCCAGCTGGGCCTGGCTGCCTGCGTGGAGGGCTTGGTCAGGGGGGGTCAAGGGGAACTGTGAGGGTCTCTGTGCCAAGTGCTGGAAACAGGAGAATTTGAGGCTGGCACCCCGCTGAGAGCTGGGTGTACATAAGGCCTTGCAGGGGCCGCATCTGGAGGCGACAGCAGCAGGGTCTATGACATGAAGGCTTGAGGCAAGTCACTCGGACAAGTGGTTCCAAAAAAGCTGCTTTTTGGAAGAAGGGTGCTGAGAAACCTGAGGTCACCAGGTGACATCACTCTCAGCCTCTCTGACATCCTTGCCTTTGCAGAGAGGGAATGCAAATGCCATCTTTTCTTTTCTTTTTTTTTCTTTTTGAGACGGAGTCTCACTCTGTCTCCCAGGCTGGAGTGCAGTGGCGCAATCTTGGCTCACTGCAACCTCCTCCTCCTAGGTTCACGCCATTCCCCTGCCTCAGCCTCCCGAGTAGCTGGGACTACAGGCGCCCGCCACCACGCCCGGCTAATTTTTTGTATTTTTAGTAGAGATGGGGTTTCATCATGTTAGCCAGGATGGTCTCGATCTCCCGAGCTCGTGATCAGCCCACCTCGGCCTCCCAAAGTGCTGGGATCACAGGCGTGAGCCACCGTGCCCGGCCACCATCTTTTCTCTTCTAGGGACAGAGGGCCTAGGGAGAGGAGGTTGAGCTCCCGGTATGGACTCAGGAAATTAGCTGCAGCTTTTTCTGACAGGAAAATTCTAAAGTCCTAGTCAGCTCACCAGGAGGGGCATCTGGCTGCATTTTCCTTCAGCCTGTCAGAGAGGCAGTTCCAGAGTCCTCTCCCCTCTTCTTCAAATGGGCAAACCAGTGCCTTCCCGCATGTACCACTCACCCCTTCCAGCGCATCTGCCCACTCTCTCCCTCCACACACTCACCCTGGCTTTCCCCTTGGACTCTTTGAACAGGCTGCTCCCCCTCTGAAATGCTCTTCCCCAGACCACACCCCGCCCCCAGCCTCAGATCAAATCCTGCCCCTGCCAATTTCTAGCCATGTGGCCCTGGGCAAGTCACCGCATCTCTTTGAACCTCAGTCTCCCCATCTGTAAAATGGAGTTAATACTACCTCCCACACTGGTAAGAATGAGGAGATAACACATGAAGCGCTGAGTCCAGTTTCTGTCACAAGGGAGAGGCTCAACACCCCTTCACCCCTTCTAGAATCCCTTCCAACACCTGCTTGCCACTTACTGATTTGCCTTATTTATTGCTTCATAATAAATCAAAAGACAGATATTCACTGAGTACTCACTGTATGTTTAACACTGGCAAGTTCTAGAGAGATCCAAGGGGTGGTTCTTTGCCCACCTGGAAACAGCTACCAACCTGGATGGGCAGGCAACATCTGTAACGATGGAATATCCAACTGCTCGGACAGCATGGCTGTCCCACTGGGCTGAGTGAGTAGCAGGCTCCCGGAGGAGCCAGAGAATGGGCAAGGGAGGTGTGGCTTGGGGAGGGCTTCCTCGAGAAGGGGGCCTTGGTTTGCAAGTAGGATAGGCAGAGGGGACAAGAAGGGCAGTGTGGACAGAAGGCATGGCAGAGGCATGACCGTGGTCATGGGGACACAGGAGTAAAGAGGGAGTGTGGGAAGATTTCGGGGTGATGACTGGATGGAAAAGGCCAGGCCACACACTGGAGATCCTTGAGAGCCAGGCAGAGGAATTTAGATCAGACATGGTATGAAACAGGGAGCCACAGCAGGTTCTTGAGCAGGGGGCAGGAGTACAGGTTGAAAGGGAAGGGATGAGCTTCTCATTTATTAACATCAGCTGTATTTCAGAATTTTTCTAGGTGCTTATTATATGTTTTCCCACATAATCTCCAAGCAACCTGGTAAAATATATCTGTTTATCTTCATTTTAGAGACAGAGAAACAAACAGAGAAATTGAGTAACTTCCCCAAGGTCACAGAGTAAGTAGAAAGTGAGATAATTGAAGTCTGTCTAACTCCAGACTCCACTTCCAACACAACCTAGTTTCCCTTACAGAGGATGTGGATCAGAATTTGGCAGGACCCTTCCTCCCTTCTCCACCCCCACCGACCCCTTGGTAGAATTTGTTTCAGAGGCTGGAGGAGTCTTGGACCGATGGAGGTAAAACTGCCTCGGACGCTTCCCTTTCCAGCTGCTTTATACGAAGGAGAGGCCCAGGATGACGGGGAAGCCTGGTCCCCGGTCACTGCACAGGGAGGGGTCTGTGGGGCCGTGGGTAAGTGAGGGGGGTAGGCAGAGGCGACTCTGGGCTTTCGGGCCTGCCTGCCTGGGAGGAGCAGCAGTCTGTTGATGGTGCTAGAGAAGCCAGGGCAAGCTGCAGGAAGAATGAGGCGTTGGGTTTGGAACGCACAGAGCCTGACACAGTGGGCCAAGCAGAACTGCCCATGGCTTCAGAAACCCAGGCTCAAAGCTGGGTAGACAGGTCTGACCCCGAGGACTTTCCAAGCACTGTTTTCCTGTCCCTTCCAGACCAGGGACGCCCAAGAATGGGTCTGTGGTGCCTCCTTCCTCAGCCCCACTGGCACCCAGAGTTGTGTTTTCTGACCGGGGTGGGGACATTCAAGGACAGTACTGCCTGGCAGCCTCCCTTCCCTCTGCCCCCTCCCACCTCCCTCCCACTCCTCCCTCAGCCCGTGGTACCTTTGAGGCCTGACAGCCCCCTTCCCTACATCCTGTAAGGACTGCTGTCCCGTCCTTGCTCGTACCCACCCCACCAGTCCCTGGGGTATCTGTGTGTGTTTCTCTCCCTCCAAAGGGCACTCATTTAACAGATGTCTCTGGAGCAACCACTACGCCAGCCTGTGCCAGGCACTGAGGATGAGGATACAGCCACACCCTCATGGAGCTTACATCCCCGTGGGCGGGGGAGACAGTAACCAGGTGATTCAAAGAAACCCATTTCAATCAGTGACAAGTGCTGGGAGGAAGAATGAGGCCAGGGTTGTAGAGAGGGAAGGGATAGGGGCATCCGGAGAAACACAGGGCACTGTTTCAGATGGGGTCATCTAGGAAGGCCTCTTGAAGAAGTCTCTCGAGTTTTGAAGAACAAGAATAAGGAAAAGTGTAGGGAAAAGTATTCTAGGTGGAAGGAATGACGAGTACAAAAGCCCTGAGGTGGCCGGGTGTGGTGGCTCATGCCTGTAATCCCAGCACTTTGGGAGGCCGAGGCAGGAGGATCATGAGGTCAGGAGTTTTGAGACCAGCCTGGCCAACATGGTGAAACCCCACCTCTACTAAAAATACAAAAATTAGCCGGGCATGGTGGTGGGCACCTGTAACCCCAGCTACTCAGGAGGCTGAGGCAGGAGAATTGCTTGAACCGAGGGGGTGGAGGTTGCACTGAGCCGAGATCTCGCCACTGCACTCCAGCCTGGGCGACAGAGCAAGACTACGGCTTTGGGGTGGGGTGGGGCGGGGAAGCCCTGAGGATGGGTGAACCTGGAGTGTGTGAGAATCAGTAGCCTAGAGAGGAATGGACGAAGGGAAAGGCCAGAGATGAGGCTGAGGTGGACAGGGTCCTGATGGAATAGGGCCTTGTTATCCTGAGAGAGAAAGGAGGCTGTTGGCAGGTTGGAAGCAGGAGAGGACACACCCTGATTTACGTTTTTAAAGCTCCCTTTAGCTGAGCGCGTGCGGGCTGAGATCAGGCAGGGGCACCTCTCGCCCTGCCCCTCCAGGACCTCCATCCCCCAAGCCCTCAGACTCCGCTGCAAATCTAGACCCAGGCTCTGGGGAACGTACCACAGGAGTCGCCTTCATTTATTTTCTCCTAATGAGAAAGATTCTGGGGGTGACTTAGCCACTACCTTGAGGGGGTCTCCTATCATGGAAGAACTGCCTTGTTTGCCTTTTGGGGATCCCCTTGTCCCCAGCCTCTGTGTCAGGGACTCTGTGAGGAGGGTGGGAAGGGATGGGGGTAGTGGAGCAAGGGGCCTGGCAGGTGACCTTTGCCCTCTGCTCTCCCCTTCAACCCTGATGGAGCCCCTGGCGACCCCAGTGGGGTCTGGGGGCAGTGGCCTCCAACTGGGTGGGGCCTGTGGAATCTGGTGGCCTCCTCGGGCTGACCCTGGGGATGGACGCCCAGCAGCAGCCCCAGGAAGGTTCTGAGTCAGATCCGGAGGGCAGCCTGGGGCGGCCCAGCTGAGGTCATGGTCTGGTGGCTGGAGGTGCCGACCCGAGTCCTCCACCCCCAGCTGGTGTTTGTCCAGAGGCCCTCCAGCGAGTGCCAGGCGCCTTCCTGGCCTCCCCATAGCACTCCTGGGATGAAAGACACTCAGAACCGAGACAGGGTGTGGATGGACTATAGTCTCCAACCTTCCTGTGTGCCCGTCTGAGGGGAAACATGACCCTGCTCTCAGGGAGCCTCCAGTCTGAGGGGAGAGGCAGGATCCTGGCCTCATAGAGCCCCCAATCTGAGGGGAGAGGCAGGATCCTGGCCTCACAGAGCCCCCAGTCTGAGGGGAGAGGCAGGATCCTGGCCTCACAGACCCCCCAGTCTGAGGGGAGAGGGAGGATCCTGGCCTCACAGAGCCCCCAGTCTGAGGGGAGAGGCAGGATCCTGGCCTCACAGACCCCCCAGTCTGAGGGGAGAGGCAGGATCCTGGTCTCACAGAGCCCCCAGTCTGAGGGGAGAGGCAGGATCCTGTTCTCACAGAGCCCCTAGCCTGAGGTGAGAGGCAGGATCTGGGCCTCAAGACCGCCCCGCAGTCTGAGAGGAGAGGCAGGGTCCTGGCCTCACAGAGCTTCTAGTCTGAGGGAAGACGAAGACATGTAAAGAGCGCAAAGTGGAGACCAAAAGGAAACTCTCCACTTGGATGAAGGCTGGAGAGGAGAATGGCTAAGGGCGGAGACATGGGAGGAGATGGCTACGCTGAGTGGAGTGGCCTCCGAAGAGAGCCTCCTCAGGCTCTGAGACGCTTTGTGGACACAGGGTTCTTTGTGTCTTGCATGTCCCAGTCCTCTGTATAACCGTGGGTAACAGGCTGGGTCCAGAGGCAGCCGTAGACTCTGACAGCCACTTTCGTCCCCTGGAGGTCCTCCCCGGGAGAGGAGTGCTGTGCCCTAGACGCTGAGGGCAGGCACTGTCCTGACAGGAGGGTGCCCCTGGTGCCCACCTGGGTTAGCTCACTCCTGGCTCCTTCATCTGGAAGCTCAGCCTCTGAGGCTCTGAAACCCACAGTGCCCTGAGGCAGGGAGGTGTGTGAGGGTCAGGGCAGCAGGCTAGCTGGGGAGGGGAGATGCCCTCCACCAGGCCTTCCCCTCGGCAGGGCAGCCTCGGCCTGTGTGTGCAGCAGGCTCCCTCCCTGGTGCTTGCCGGCTGTCAGAGCTTGTTTGGCACGAGGCCTCTCACCCCAGTGTCTCCTCCCCTTCACCTTCCTCTGCAGGAACAGCAGCCAGAGGTCCGAGACAGAAGGAGACCCAGGTGCTAGAGCTGGGCTGGGGTAAGGCTGAATCCTTAAGCCTGGGAGGAGAAGCGAGTGCTCCTGGACAGAGCCCCACGCTGGGAAGTTTCCCGCCTGAGGTGCGGACATCAAGGAGCCCCTAGTAAGAAACACAGGACTGAGCCTCAGACTCAGAACACAGCAAGGTGGAGTCTACATTCAGGGCTATGAAGATCAGAAGGTGCTGGGGAGAGATGTGGGCAGTACATGAGGGGAGAGTGGTTTTATAACCGTCCCAGCCATCCAAGGTGGCGCTGGCTGCCTTGGGAGAAAGTGAGCTGCCTATCAACTAAGACATTCAAATAGAGGCTGCAGAGGTTCATCATCCTCTCACTGAATATTCACTGAGTACCTTCTGTAGGTGGCCCAATCCAGGTAGCAAATGAGGGTGCCACTATCGAACCACATGGCATTTTTTTTTTTTTGAGACGGAGTCTCACTCTGTCGTCCAGGCTGGAGTGCAGTGGCGCTATCTCAGTTCACTGCAAGCTCTGCCTCCCGGGTTCACGCCATTCTCCTGCCTCAGCCTCCCGAGTAGCTGGGACTACAGGCGCCCGCCACCATGCCCGACCAATTTTTTTGGTATTTTTAGTAGAGGCAGGGTTTCACTGTGTTAGCCAGGATGGTCTCGATCTGCTGACCTTGTGATCTGCCCGCCCGCCTAGGCCTCCCAAAGTGCAGGGATTACAGGCGTGAGCCACCGCGCCCGGCCTTTTTCTTTTTCTTTTTTTTTTTTGAGACAGAGTCTTGCTCTGTTGCCCAGGCTGGAGTACAGTGGTGCGATCTGCGCTCACTGCAACCACTCCGCCTCCCGAGTTCAAGCGATTCTCCTGCCTCAGCCTCCTGAGTAGCTGGGATTACAGGCACCCGCCACCACACCTGGCTACTTTTTTGTATTTTTAGTAGAGATGGGGTTTCGCCATGTTGGCCAGGCTGGTCTGGAACTCCCGACCTCAGGTGATCCTCCCGCCTAGGCCTCCCAAAGTGCTGGGATTACAAGCATGAGCCACCGCACGGGTGGCCCACATGGCAATTTAAAGTCCCTTCCAGGCCTGATATCCAAGACAAAGTTAATCCAGGCAGGGTTCTTGGAGAAGGCAGAAGAGAGGAAGAGGAAGGGCTTCTATGAGGGGCTGGGATGGGGCAGACCTGAGGCTCTGGAGCCGGCTGAATCCTTGGGCAAGCTGCTGCTAGACACCAGCCCCCACCCCAGGGGGTGTAGAGGCTTAGGTCCTGGGGGTGCGGGACGGCAAAGAGAGCCAGACAGCTTCTTAGAAAGTGGCAGGCAGGTGAGCGAGCTCCCCAGTGATAATTAAGGAACAAAGGTGCCGAGGTGCAGGGAGCCTGCGCGGGCCTCTGGGGCAGGCGGACTAATGGGAGCCTGAGGAGAGGTAATAACCAGCGGCCGAGTGGAGCAGACAGCCCGGCGTCGCAACGCCCACGAGCCGCCCCCTCGCCCTCCTTCGCCAGAACAATGACTGCAGCACCCAGCTGGGGTGAAAACATGGATGCTGACTGCGAGCTGCTCCCGGCTTTCCAATGAGGTTGTTGCGGGATGTGGGTTTGCAGGAGCAGGGGTCTAGGGGAGCTGAGGAGCCTGGAGGTGGAGGGAGGTGGGTCAGGGTGAGGTCAGGGATTCGCCCGGGATTCTGAAGGTGCATAGGTGCCTGGGAGGAGATGCCTTGCCTAGAGGTAAAGGCAGCACTGTTCCTCCAACCGTGTTCTGGTGACTCACGTCCCCACGTAATAGAGGTAGCCACTGAGGCAAGAGCTCTGCGCTTGGACTCCTGGGGTCTGGCTATGCTTTGCATTGTACTGTGACTCTGGGCAAGGTTCTGGGAGCCTCGGCTTCTTCACTTGTTGAAACGGAAACAAGAAGGATCATGACGGGTGGCTAGGATGGCTCAGGGAGCTGGTGTATGGGAAAGGCCCTCGCTCACAGCAACCCCCAAAACTGGTGTCCCCAGACTGGTCAGAAATCAGAACCTCACAGGGGCCGGGCACTGTGGCTCATGCCTGTAATCCCAGCACTTTGGGAGGCCGAGGCGGGAAGATCGCTTGAGCCCAGGAGTTCAAGACCAGCCTGGGCAACACAACAAAACCCTGTCTCTACAAAAAATAAAAATAATTTAAAATGAGCCCAACGTGGTGGAGCATGCCTGTGGTCCTAGCCATTCAGGAGGCTGAGGTGGGAGGATTGCTTAAACCCAGGAGGTGAAGGCTGCAGTGAGCCATGTTCACACTACAGCACTCCAGCCTGGGCAACAGAGTGAGAGCCTGTCTCAAAAGAAAAAAAGAGAGAATGTCACAGGGAGCCACACGCCAGGCCACTCCTCCACCCCAAGCTGCAACAACAAATTCCCTCACAAAGCCTCACTCAGCCCTTGGACGTCCCCAATCCCATCTCCTACACACACATACCCACACACACGCACACACACCTGTGTGTCACACCTGGGACAGCAAAATCCCACAGGGTCATGAGTATCTTGAATGTTTGCTTCCCAGCTATACTCCCAAATAGAGGCCCACAAAGTCACCCCAACACCAAGTCACCCTGTGGTGTGCACTCCTGCTCCCCACATCAGACCTCGCTGATGAAGGAGTAGTGAACTCAGTCGATACTCATAGACACCCAGGTCTGCACATACACCCACAGACACTCCTGCATGTGCCTAAAGCTTTGGAAATGGGCTTGAAATATCACAGAGTTCAACTCCTGCTTCAAGACTAGAGACCATTCAACGCTGTCACAACTGATGGTTGTCTAGTCTTTGGAGGTTTCTGCTTGCATGCACATTGTACGTGTTTTCACATGCACACACCCCCATTGATGCATTTGGCTAGTCTAGTAATTGGTCTCCTCCCTTCTATGTCCCTCCTTACCCCAGTCTGATCCAGCATAGTGCTGTCTGATTCATCTTTCCAAGACTCAGCCTTCCATGTGTCTCTCTGCTGCTCCAACACCCAACATGGCTCCCTACTGCCCTCTAAGATAAAGTCCAAGTGCTTCACGCCACCATTCCTCCCTCCAGTCCTTTAGTGACTCCCCCAACTTTATAGGACCCAAGTAACCTTATTGAGGACATTCGTGCTATCCCGCAATCCAGTCCTTGAATCCCCTTCACAAGTTGTCAAGCCTTCCTTTGAGGTTCCGGTGATAAGAACTCGCTACCTCCTGAGCTAGGCCATTTTATTTCATTACAGGCAGCTGCAGCTCTTAGAGCTTAATCTAGTAAAGGCCATCTAGGCTGGTTCAACTTCTGCTGCTTCCCGGGATGTTTTCTATAACCTCTTGCCCCTTGGTTCTGCCTTCAGCATTCCCTGCCTTCATGCGAGCTGTTGTTTTGCATCTGAGACCTCTTAGGGACAAGGTGCCTGAAATAGCACTGGTGCTGAAATAGCACTGGGTGTCTATCGATGGTACATATCTATATGCACATTCATGTCCAGATGTGTGCAGTCTGTCCCCTTGCATTCTGGGTGCACACAGTGTCGGAGATCATTTCAGAAAGCCCCACTGTGCCTGCTCTTTGCCATGATGTTTGGGGACCATGGGCCTGGGACAAAGGTGCTCTGAATTCCCCATTTCCATTCTTAACTCCCTTCAGGAGAGCAAGCACAGCTCAGGGAGGGGTCAGAGGTCCCTTCTCTGCTCTTCTACAGCCCCCAAACTGTCCACAGCACCAGTGAATTTTGTGATATGATCGCAACTCCCACACTCCCACTCTCTGGCACCTCCCTGCATTATCTATCTTTCTCCCTAGCACACATTCCCTTCTACAGGCTATGTCACTTGCTTATTTATTTTAGTTCCATTCTGTCTCTCTCTTCTCAAATGTGAGCTCCTTGAGGACAGAGATTTGGGCTGTTCTGTTCATATCTGGACCCCTAGTGCCTACAGTGGTGCTTGGCACACAAGGTTCACTGTCTGCAGGTTGAATGGAGGTGGTGGGTTTCTTCTCCACCTACCCTGGACAGTGAGCTCTAGGAGGGCAGAGTCTACATTCCAGACTTGCCTGCCCAGTGCCCAGGACCATGTGGGGGCACAATAGGAGCTCAAGTCCATGTTTGTGGGCTAAATGATCAGGGACTGTCAACGGTGTTTCTTTCTTTTTGTTAAAAAAAAAAAAATTTTGAGACAAGGATCTCACTGTGTTCCCTAGGCTAGTCTCGAACTCCTGGCCTCAAGTGATTTTCCCATCTCAGCCTCCTGAGTAGCTGGGATTACAGGTGCGTGCCAGCATGCCCAGCCCTGTGAGCAGTGTTCCCGTCCATCCCCAGCACATCGAGAGCTGCCTTTGGGCACAGCCACGGGCAGGATGGGAGAGGGGATAGAGGCAGAGAGGAGGATCCCCAGGCTCTCTCTCTGATGGGGTCTGCACACACACCCAGCTCCTAGACGGAGAGTTCCTCTGGCTGACCAAACTACAGCCTTGAGGGGTGGGCGTGAAGGGAGGGTAGGTGTCACAGCCGGTTTCTCAGGTGTCCCGGGAGAGGGAGGAGGAGCTGATGGTCGTGGCTCAGAGGGGATAGAGATAGAGCAGGAATGCTCACCTTTGCACACCCCCAGCGGACCAGGGAGTCGGCCCCTTTCTGATTCTTTTGAATAGGGTACCTTGGGCTTCAATCACCCTCTCTGACCCCATTTCCTCCAGCTGGAAAATGGAGCAAATAATAGTCCCTGCTTGTAATCAGAGCCCAGAGTGGACCCTCGAATGTTCTCAATCATTGTGAGGACATCGATGATGACAATCATGATGAAAAAAATAAATAGAATGAAACAGGGGACCCAGCCTCTCACTTCCCAGTCCCAGTGGTTGTCTCAGACTCCTCCTGGCTTTGGGTTAAAGGAGACAGCATCCCATGGGCCTTAGGGGAGCTGAAGGCTGGATTGGGGAGTCAGGGATCCAGAGAGAGGAGATAGCTGGGCCCGTGGGAGGCAGGGCCCTTTCTTTCTTTCAGGAGAAAGAAGAGCCTGCAGCTGAATCAGCCCCTCCTAGTCCCCTTGCCACCAGCACCAGGCATTATGGGCCATGGCAGGGACACAGAGGGTGGCGGCATCAGGACAGAGCCAGCTACCATGTCGGGAGCTTGGGGTGGTCCAATGCTGTGGTTCCACCAGCTCTGGGCAGAGCATGTCCTTGTCCTGGATGGCCCAGGGACAGTTAAGGAAGCACCCGGGACAAGGAGTCAAGAGACCCAAACTCCAGCCCAGGGTCCTCTTCTCGCTCACCTCAGGGCAAGTCACTCCCCACGTCTGAGCCTCAGCTTCCTCCTCCGGCAAATGGGAGAATTGGATTAGGTGGTCTCTGATGCCACCCGACAGGTAGGCCATCGCTCTCTAGGGAAAGTGAGGTGAAGTCCCTCAGCACAGTGCCTGGCACACAGCAGGTACTTGGTAAATATTGGGACTCCCACTCATTTGAAGTGTCCTCTGAGGAAAGTAAGGGCAGGGTTCCCTTCACACTCCACCTGCCCTGGCTTCTGCCAAAAAGAACATCCTTCTCCAGGGAGCCAGAAGCTGTGAGTGAGGTATGGGTTGGCCTCCTAGGCTGGTCCCTGCCTCTTTTCAGCTCAGCCACTTCCATCCCACCCCCAACCTTGGCTGCCTCCAACATCCTGCCATTTCCCTTCTTCCCCCACCTCAGAGCCACCAGCTGAGCCTGGATTTTCTGCAAGAGGCCCCTCTCCACTTTCTGCCCTCCCCACTGAGCCCCTGGCTGCCACTCACCACCTTGGCCCTCAGAGATAGCGGCTGGCAGGGGTGCCAATGGGGGTTCCCACCAACCTCCTCTCAGACCTTGGTTCTCTGGGGCCTTCTCAGGTGGCTTCACCCCTGGGCAAAGCCCAAGTCCTCAGCTAGTTTTCCCTAGAATTTTGAGTTTCTTCAGTGCTCAAGCCCTGCAGACTTCAGAGATATCAAAACCCCATCATCCCAGCACTGAGCTCTGAGCCCCACACAGAGGCCCTGCCCCCTCCCTACTCCCAGAGCTCCCAAGTTCCTGCTCAAGAAAAGGTCCTGATCCATAAAGAGGCAGTCCACAAACCTCCCGTGTGGCAGAAGAACTTTTTTTTTTTTTGTCTCCAGGGAGACATCCTGCAAAGTTTTATTCTTTATAGGAAGTCGGTGCCCAGCACGTTCCCTGTCTACAGCCAAATAAAAAGCTGCTCTCTCTAGAGGGGTGGCAGCAGTCCTGCATGGTCCAGTGAGACTCAGAAGGTTCCAGGAGACCTTCAGTCCTAAGACCCTTTCAGTCATTGTCTTCTGAGTCTGACTCTTCTGCAGACTCGGATGCGCCCTCTGGCAAGTCATCTCCCATCTGCTGGAAACTTCCCTACTGTGAATCCCACATGTATTTGATGGTCACCTTGAATTCAGCCATCTCATACCCAAAAAGCTTCGGGACACAAGCCTGCTCTGGGGTCAGCACACCTCATAGTTGGACAGCAGGGTCACCACACCTCTCTTGAGGGCAGTGGGCAGGGCCAGCTGCGTGAGCTGTGGCTCCATGGAGTGGGGGAACTGCTCCAGGGGCCCTGAGTCCAGGCTTGCAGTGAAAGCTGCTTTGTTACCAGCTCGGGCGTAGTCCATTTCTGTGTATTTCGTAAACCATTCATTCACTTCCTCCTTTGTGCGGTTGGTGAACAGGAGACCCACTTCACCCCTCAACCTTTTGCTGACGTGGTGCAGGTTATCTTTGTTCTCATCAGGTGGGCTCTGACCCAGGGCCACCATCATCACCTTGTTTTTGCCAAAGAACATCCAGCTGTGCTTTCAGGTGTTCTGGATGTCCCTCAGCCTGTTGTTCCTCATGTTGGCCACAGAGAAGATGAAAAGGTACTGTAGGTGTCCACACATTTCCAAAGCTCTTCTATCAGGTTTTGTTTCAATTCCAAGCCTTTCTTGGCAGTTTTGGTTAAGGAGACTTTCTTGTCACACTTGGATTTGGGCATTGCACTGAATCCACGTGGAAGAACCATTTTTAATAGGTAACTTGCAAATAGCATGGGGCATCTGGAGGGGCAGCCATCTGCCTGCTGGAGCCGGGGAGGGCAGATCTGGGCTGAGACTGGAAGTATGAGCTGGCACTTGCCCCTCATACAGTGACTAGGGAAGGAGAGGTCGTCTGAGACCTGGGAAAAGCACAGCAAAATGTGTGTTCTGGGATTCCCCACCTCCCCACGGTCCAGGGCTGTGTGAAGACAGCAGGGAACCCTGGAGTCTCAGGCAGAGGAAGCCTTTGTGGGTCATGCTCTGGGGTCCAGCAGCAAATGGGCAATGAAGCAAGCCGCCCCTAAACAGTGTGGGGTCCAGGACAAGAGTACAAGTGGAGGGTCACTATCCAGCTAAACATCGCTAAACACATTCTTCCTACTTTCTTTGACAATAAGCCTTCATAACAACAATTTTTTTTTTTTTTTTTGAGACGGAGTCTTGCTCTGTCACCCAGGCTGGAGTGCAGTGGCGTGATCTTGGCTCACCGCAACCTCCGCCTCCCGGGTTCAAGTGATTCTCCTCAGCCTCCCAAGTAGCTGGGGTTACAGGCACGCGCCACCACAGTTGGCTAATTCTTGTATTTTTAGTAGAGACGGGGTTTCTCCATGTTGGCCAGGCTAGTCTCGAACTCCTGACCTCAAGTGATCCGCTCGCTTCGGCCTCCTAAAGTGCTGGGATTATAGGCGTGAGCCACTGCACTTGACCAACAACAAATTTTTTTTGTTGTTTTTTTTTGAGACAGAGTCTTGCTCTGTTACCCAGGCTGGAGTACAGTGCCATGATCTTGGCTTACTGCAACCTCCGACTCCTGGGTTCAAGCGATTCTCCTGCCTCAGCCTCCTGAGTAGCTGGGATTACAGGCATGCACCACCACACCCAGATAATTTTTATATTTTTAGTAGAGACGGGGTTTCACCATGTTAGTCAGGCTGGTTTCGAACTCCTGACCTTGTGATCTGCTCACCTCGGCCTCTCAAAGTGCTGGGGTTACAGGCATGAGCCACCGCACCTGGACAACAAAATTTTTTAAATTGCATAAAGCCACGGTTTTTATACAGTTAAATATATATGTGACTAAAATATTCTAATTTATTAAAATAAAAGGCAGAATGTAAATTATAACAAATGAATGTTAAGTAGAAAATTAAGATTATTTAATTGAATCTAATTTCTTTCTTTCTTTACTTTTTTTTTGTCTCACTCTGTTGCCCAGGCTGGAGGGCAGTGGCACAATGATAGCTCACTGCATCCTCAAGCTCCTGGGCTCAAGCGATCCTTCTGACTTGGTCTCCTGAGAAGCTGGGGCTACAGTTGCACACCACCACTCCTGGCTTTTTTTTTTTTTTTTTTGTAGAGACAGGGGCCTTGCTTTGTTGCCCAGGCTGGTTTCCAACTCCTGGCTTCAAGCAATCCTCCCACCTCTGCCTCGCAAAGTGCTGGAATTATAGGCATGAGCCACCTCGTCCAGCCTGAAACTAAATTTTTTATTTAAAATTTTGTAAATCTAAATATTATTATATATTTTGATAAAATATAATGCTTTGTAATTTCAACGTTCACCATCCATCAAATTGCCAATGTACAGTTACTATCAAGTTTCATGCATGTTCCATCTAGACCTACCTTTGTACAAATTAAGAATTATATGAAGGTCGGGCACGATGGCTCACCTCTGTAATCCCAGCACTTTGGGAGGCCAAGGCAGGTGGATCATAAAGTCAGGAGTTCGAGACCAGTCTGGCCAACATGGAGAAACCCCGTCTCTACTAAAGATACAAAAAATTAGCCTGGCATGGTGGCGTGCACCTGTAATCCCAGCTACTCGGGAGGCTGAGGCAGGAGAATCACTTGAACCCATGAGGCAGAGGTTGCAGTGAGCCGAGATCGCACCATTGCACTCCAGCCTGGGCAACAGAGCAAGACTCCGTATCAAAACAAAAAAAATTATATGAATTATTTAGTAGAGCAAAGTGTTTCTCATCTGCAACATGCATTCATTTGAATGCTACACTGATTTATGAGTACCTCTTGTACTCACAAAGAAGAAATAAGGACAAGGATGCTCAACACTACAAGGAGAGTTTATGTAAGAATCCATTTAATTATTCTTGAATGTTTTTAAAATATTAATAATCTATTGCATGTACGCTACTTGAAAGAAATAATCTAACAAGTATATGTATTTTTTCTTTCAGTTACTTCTGTTTTTTGTAATTAGGATGGAGCGGTGACTTCCAAGCTTCTTATGTGGCAGACTGGAAACCCGAAGTTATGATGCTCCCCATTCATTTTTCATTTCACTCCGGCGCTTGTACAAAGTCCATCTCCACCAATGGCGCGCAGACGCAGTTGCTCTTTGTTTCAAACACTTAGAGCAAGAAGCCTGTGACTGAGGCCCGATGGCTGTAGTGACAGAAGTGTAGAGCAGAAGTTTGAAGCTGTGGGTTGCACCCCGCAGCCCTTGGTACCAGAGCCTGCATGACCTAGGCTGTCATGGGTTCTCCAGCAAAGGAAGCGTCAGTGTCATATCCATGTCATGAGGGGCCTGGGGCAGGGATTCCTCTTGCTGGCTCTGGAAGCAGTACTGCTTTGAAGGGTGTTGAGCAGAGAAGTGACATGGTGAGACTCTCGTGTTAGACAGACCACTGAGGCAGCAGATCAGAGGGCAGTGAGGAGGCTGGGGGGCATATTAGGGGAATTGTCAAAGTAATTTCTGGATGAGAAAATTAGAAGCCTGGACTAGAGAATTAGGTGTGAGTACAGAAAGACAACAAGAGGTTAAGAGAGAGATTTAGGAAGCAAGACTCTTGTCCTGGACCCCACACTGTTTAGGAGCGGCTTGCTTCATTGCTCATGCTTTTTCCATGCTTTCTAGAACCTTCTCTCCAAGTTTGGGGCTAGGGGCAAGGCACCAACAAATAATCATACAACTACAGTAAGAGAGGTTTGGAATCAAGGAGACGAAAGGTGATAGGGACCAACCCAGTCCTGGGCTACCCCAGCAGTTAGTGACTAAGAGGAGGCCGGGCTTGGCGGACCCTCTCTATGGAGCGCTGTGCCTTTAAGTGCGGAGAGGACTCTGGGTTGGACTTCTGGGGCACTGCTCTGGGATGGGTGCAGTGCGGAGGACAGGCTGGGGGCTGGGGCCAGGGAGGAGCACCAAGTGCCAGAAGCAGGGCCTGCTTGGTTTGGGGCCGAGGGCCCAAAGGCATCAGGCTGGACAAGATGACCTCACAGGGAGCCCTTCCAGCTTCTGGCTCTTTCCCCTGATGGCAAGGGCTAACCCTCCACCCGCATCCCCCACACTCCACCATGTCTACACCTGGCGGCTCTAGCAGATGGTTATCTCCCCTCCCCCACCCCACGCCTCCACCCGGCCCCGCCTGTCCGTCTGCCAGTCTGCCAACAGCCCCACTCCTGGCCTTTCATCTCATGCCACGGCAGCCAGCCTGATGCTGCAATCCCCCACCCCCGGCTGTCCAGCTCCACAGCCTCTCCTGGGCTTGGGCCCCATAGGAGCCAAAGACCTGGGACCCCCAGGGCTTTGGCCCCCTGCTGCAGACCTGCCCAGGGTGGTCTGGGGGGCATGGCCCCTCCTCAGCCTGTAAACACACACACACAGACACACCTTCCCAGGGTCACGTGAGCACACACCTTGAGGCTCACCCCCACTATCCTTTCCTCCCTGAGCAGCCTCCCTCCATCACCACCCCCCAACACCTTGGGACTCCTCCTGTCTCCAGAGTCCTTTTCCTGCCCTGTCCTTTCTGACTTGAAGGCCCAGGCAGCCATGGGGAGGCAGTGAGGCGGCAGGAGGAGACTTGGCAATCAGAGGCACAGACGTTGCTGGTGGTAGCAGCCATTGTCTTCACCCGAATCTTCTCCTTTTCCTGGGATTGGCAGAGGCAGGCAAGCACTGAGGCAAGGGGATGGATGAGCTGACCCATGGCGAGTGAGGAGGACCAGCTCCTCAGGTGAACAGGCTGCCACCCCAGGCATCGGCCCCCTTCCAACCCCAGCCCCATTCCCAGGACCTTGGGCAAAGTGCAGGCTGAGACCAGCTGGCACTGGTGGGGAGGGGGCCGGGATAAGTTCTCGGTGCTGCTGGTGGTGGCAGCCGCCCACCAGGGGGCTAGGAGAGAAACAGATGATGCTTTGATGAAGGATGCTGAGGCAACAGCTCAAAGTTGCCCTCTAGGACTTGCTGTGAAGGAGGTATGGAGGAGGCAGAAAAGGCTGGAATACGGCCTCCTTCTCTGGCTGGGGGGTGAGTCCTAGCCATGGCAGAAAAGAGCAAAGCCACATCAAGCAGAGCAGGGCAGAGGCTTTGTCCAGAAACCCTCTACCCCAGTCCCACCCCCAGCCTTGGGCACAGATAGTTGGGCCTGGCCTGAGCTCTGCTGGCCACAGCCATCCAGGAGCCAGGCGAGCATGTGTGGGTGTGTCCTCCCCAGGATGGGGGGCCCTGAGGGCAGACACCAAGTCTTCCGCACCTTCCTACCTGCTCCACCACAGTGTTGGAAGGCACTACCCACTGCCAATTACAGCCAGGCGCCTTTCCTGAAGCCCTGGTTCACTTCATTCACAGCCCATTACCATGTACCTACTGCATCCTAGGAGCTTCACAGGGACAGGAGGGGCAGGGAGCATTGTCATCACCCCCAACTGTTTGTGGGTCAAGGAGACCAAAACAAAGACAGTCTGAAGAGGGGGGCCCCTGGAGGCTGGGAGTTCCTCAAAGCTACCCAGAGGAAGTGTGGCTGGAGGAGAGAACAGAGGATGGGCAGGGATTAGGGAAGAGAGGATTCACTGCAGCAGGGGAGGGGGCTGTCATCAAGACACAAGAGCATGAGGGTAGGCGGATGTGCTGACCACCAGCTCGAGACCCACTGCCTGGGGGAAAGTGGCAGGAATAAGGTGTACCTGCAGAGAGGAGGCAGAAGGATTCCTCCTGGGGCAGGAGAGGCCTTGGGGAAGGAATGAAGGGAGAGTCATATTTTACTGTTTCTTTTACTACACTGTTGAATCTCATACAAGAATGTATTACTCGTGGCATTAAAAAAATAATGGTGAAATCTAAATCATGTGTTGAGTTTAGTTAAGAGTAGTGTACTTTTTTTTTTTTTAAGTAAGGGTCTCACTCTGTTGCCCAGGCTGGAGAGCAGTGGCACGATCATAGCTCACTGCAGCCTCAAACTCCTGGGCTCAAGTAATTCTCCTGTCTCAGCCTCCAGAGTAGCTGAAATTACAGGCATGTGCCACCACATCCAGCTAATTTTTAAATTTTTTATAGAGACAGAGTCTCACTCTGTTGCCCAGGCTAGTCTCAAACTCCTGGGCTCAAGCAATTCTCCCGCCTTGGACCTCCCAAAGTGCTGGGATTACAGGTGTGAGCCACTGTGCCTGGCCCAATGTTTGTTTTTTAGCTATGACAAATGTACTCTGGTGATATAGGATGTTAACAATAGAAGAAACTTGGGTAAGGGGTGTATGGGAATTCTCTATTTGCAACTTTTCTGTACATCTAAAACTATTCTAAAATTAAAATATAGGTGTTAAAATTGTATAATAAACACACCAAAAAAATGCCTCACTGAAACTGCTGCCTCCAAGAAAGCCCGTGTGGTTATCCTGACACATTGGTGGCTGGCATCACCTGATGGGTAGGTACAGGGGGAGCAGGCCACCTGCAGGAGAGGGGGTCTTGTTGCAGAACGCAGGTGGGTGGGGACAGTCTAAATGCTTGACCAGTGGGCACCAGGGAGATTTTTCTTGACGTGTCAAGGAAATTCTAGGCTATTGGTAAGCCAGCCTGCTAGCCAATCCAGTACAGTGTGATGGGGTTATGGTGCCAAAATTCAGGAGTTGTGAGAGCATGAAGCGGGGACCCTAACCCAGACATGGGGAGAGGTAACATCTCATGCCTGAAGAATGTTCATTTCACCCCGATGCTTGTACAAAGTCCGTCTCTGCCACTGGTGCGCAGACGCAGTTGCTTTTTATTTCAAACAGAGCAAGAAGCCCCTGACTTCTTGGAGGATAAGGGAGGAGAATCTGCCCTTAGCTCCTTCTGGAGGGGTGAGGGGTGTGGGGTGTGGAGCTCAGGGGAATGGCAGCTCAGGGCCATGGACAGAACCTGGAGTTCAGAGTCAAGCAAACCTGCGGGAAGTCCAGACTCCTTACTCACCATGTCCTTGGGCAAGTCACTTCAACTCTTGGGGATCAATTTCCTCATCCATAAAATGGAGATGATCACTCTATCTGTCCTGCCTGGCTCCCAGAATTGTAAGCGTCACATGAGACAATCATCGCGAAAGGGTTTGGCATGGGGCAGAATCACTCTGGAAAAATGAGCATCGAGTCCATAGTGAGTTGAATGGCAGGGGCACCATCTCTGCCCTGCACCAGAGTCAGCTCTGACCGTCCCCAGTCCTGGATGCAGAGCTCAGAGGAGCTCCTGGAGCCAGGACCCCCCCCCAGGAGCAGGCGCCCTCTGCATCATTGCTGGGGGCAGATGCCAGGCCCTTCCTGAGCCCCCAGGAGATGGGCCAGCGTCCCCCACGGTGGGTGGAGGGCAGGCAGCGGGGGCCTGGGAGAGCTAGCTGCCAGGGCTGGGAAGATGCTGAGGTGGAGATGGAGGTATCTGTGAGGGCTCAAGCCCAGGGGGGAAAAAATTCTTGCTGGAGCTGTATAATTAAAATCCTATTAAGCGGCGCCTGGCAGTCTCCTATCAACCCCCACCGAGGCTCCACCGACGAACCCTCGCAGCAGCTGGGGCACCCCGCTCTCTGGGCAGCAGCTTTGGGGCTGGCTTGGCTGGGGGAGCGCTGGGGGCCAGGCCGGCTTTGGGCAGAGCCAGGGTGGGCCAGGGTGTCACAGGGGAGGGGAGTGTAGTCAGCGCTCCGGCCCAGCCTGCATCTGGGCCCCAGCATCCCTGCCATCTTCCCCTCTGCCCCGTGAGCACTGAACGTTCTTCTTCCACCTCCTCAGCCCCCGGGCCTGGGGCTAAGGCACTGGCTTTCTGGCTTCCCGTCTGCCCTCCTCCACTTCTCTCCTGGGCTCTCAGCTTGCTTCTCTGGGCCCTGGAAGGCAGCTCCTCTGAGCCCTCGCTGAGTTAAGGCAGCTGTCTGAGGAAACACCTGCGCACCCTGCTCTCCAGGCACTGGCTCGGGACTGCTTCGGCTTGGCAGAGCCAGGAGGGCCAGGGTGGGCACCGGGGAGGGGAGGGCAGCCCATCTGGGGCGATTGTCTGAGATGATCGTCTGAGGCGACATCCCTTTCTTCTCCTCTCCTTAGGTTCCAGGTGCCCCTTGCCCCTTTTCCAGGCAGTCTGCCAAGAATCTCCCACCCAAACCCTGTCTACCCTTTTCCCTGTGTCCCACGCCTCAATATTCACTCAGTCTGCACACTGCTGCCTTGTCCTGTGTCTATATCCTGAGCACACGGGTGTCTTGGCTCCCCCATCAGACTGGTTCCTGCCTCCCCCATCACTCTGTGGGCTCCCTGCAAGCACTGTGAGTTCCATGAGCCAGAGGATTGATTGGTCTCCCCGCAGGAGGCGCCCTATCCAGAGAGGCATGGTGTCCAGCCAAAGCACCAGAGTCCTGGGCAGGAGGAGTGGGGCCTGGGCCCAGGGCTCCCCACCCATCCCCTCTGAGTGGCCTGCAGAAGAGCTTCCAAAGCAGGGCTGATGAAATGGAGGCAGGGGAGGAGAATGGAGGAGCTGGCTGGGCCCTGGCCTTCACCCTCTGAAGAAAGAGTCCCAGCACCCCAAAGGATTTCCAGGTCTGCCCCCAGCCTCAGCCTCTGTCCCTTAGCGCTGCCCCTGGGGCCTAAAATGGGGATGGATGCTGTAATCCCCTCAGAGGGGCATGGGGACCCGATGTAATCCCACCTGCCAACCCTCCCCCAGGTGCCAGCCCAGGATGATGATGGTGGGTGAGAGTGGAGGGAGGAGCAGGCAGACGGCCTCGAATACCAGCTGTTGCAGGTGGCCTGGCCCCGCGTGCCCTTCGCAGAGCTTCCTGGACTCCCTCCTGGGTCACGGGGCTGGAAACATTTGAGAGGTCCTAGGGCCATAATACCTGCCCCCACACCAGACTGGTCTCAGACCAGCCCACAATGGATGGGGAGGCTTTCCTTGACTCCCTCTGGCCTCTAGGGGAGAGGGTTTCACCCCCATCTCAGAAACCCTCTAGGATCTCAAAGGACTATCAGGACCATGGCTCACTGCCCTTCTACCTCTCCACTGGGTTCTGCCAGTTTCTCAGGGGCCAGTTCACAACCCAGGATGCCCTTCACCATCCAGAGGGACCCCCTTCCTGCAGGTCTCTGGTCCTTGTAACTGAAGAAATGAGCGCAGCTCACCTTTTAGCCTGAGGAGGAGGAAAAGTGGGAAGGGGAGACCCCCATCCGCACCCCCACCCCTCGATATTCACTGAGTCTGCATGCTGTTGCCTTTCCCTGTGTCTATATCCTGAGTGCTTTGGTGTCTTGCCTCCCCCATCACTCTGAGGAGCTCCCCGCAAGCACTATGAGTTCCATGAGTTCCCCACTCTGGCGCTCCAGCATCAGCCTGGCATCTCAAGGAGTCCAAAGGTGATGGTTCTAGTCTGAACTCTGCTGCTAACCAGCTCTATGGCCTTCGCAGCCATCACACCTCTTTGGGACCCCATTTCATCATCTTGACGGATCTATGGGTGTAGAAACGGACTCATCTCCCCACCGCCCCTGTGCTGCTTTCCCTACTCCACCCCCTGTAACCCCACCCCCTCACCGCTCCATGAGTTAGCCACTCCCCATGCACCCCCATCCCACCAGGTACCTGCCCAACTCTTGGCCATTTCATTTCAACAAGGATTTATGAAGCACACATGATGTGCCATTGATGGGGTCATAGAGACAAAAGCAGGTCTATGGCCATTGCACTAGCTCCCCACTCAGGTCACTTAGGGGAGGAATGAGACCAGAAATCAAAAGAAGGCCACTCAGCAGAACCGTAGAGATTGTTGGATGCTCCATGCAGATTTATGCAAATATGAATGCAAATGAACCAAGGAGGGACAGGGCAGTTTGTGGACCAAATTAGTTTCTGAGTATAGATTTGATGTAATGTTCAAACTGCAAAGGACTTTGGCCATGATCGGGTGAAACTGAGGCCCAGGGAGGGAAAATGCCACACCCAAGGCCTGTAGCACACAGGTAATGCACCAGGACCCGGGCGGGGCTCTGTCACCAAACCAAACAGAAGAAATGGGCCTTCTTGGGGGCTGGGGGTATTCTCCAAACTCCCCCAGAGTGGGGACAGCCAAGAGCATTGTAGCCACCCAGGCTGCATGAGACTGAGCCCTGACACATTGACGCCCAAGCCTTGGGTCAGTTCCGGAGTGGACACATCCCTGCCTTAGAGGTCTGGTGTTCTAGGTGGGGAGTGGGCAGGAGTCCCCGGACAGCAATGCAAGGCATGGGAGCCATGTCCCAGGAATGTGTGAGCTTCGGTGCTTGCTGATGAGGGCCGAGGAAAGAGAGATTCATTCTGGCAGCGGGGACTCAGGGAGGGTTTCCTATAGGGGATATGGACAGATGGGAGGCTCTGTCCTTCTGTGCAGGTTCAACAACACAGACTCCTTTACCCCTGTAAAAGCCACTGTTCCAGTCCAGGCGCCTCACTGGAGAACAGGAGGCTCAGAGAAGGGCAATGACACCCCCACTAAGTCCTGCTACAGCCAGATCCCCTGCCTTCTGCCCTCTCCTTTCTGAGTCACATCATGTGCCCCTGGCCACTGACAAGGAGTCACCAGGCCTAGAAGGCTCTGAAAGACCTGTTGAGGAGACAAGGTGGGGACAGAAGGGAGGGACAGGAGTCAGGCTCTGAGGTCCTGGTTCCCTCTGCTTCCTGACTTCTCCCCCTCCCCCGGCAGCTCTCCCCCTTAGATCTCACTTGAGACCCACCCAGCTGCAGGGGCAAAAGCTCAGCTAGTGGTGGCCGCACACCTGGTGCAAAGCTGTGGTGATGTCACCTCCGGTTTTCCAGAATGTGGGATCTTCTCATGATGACAAAGTCCACAGGCATTTCATTCCATGCTGAGGACAGTGTGGAGGGGGAAGGCTGTGGGATGGATGTGAGAGATGCCCCAGTAACCCAGAGAGGGAACCAGAGGACTGGGCAGGGCAGAATGCCTGCTCATGGATTCGCCACCTATCTCAAAGGCCCTCATCCACAAAAGTGCGAAGTTCTTCCTGAAGTCTGCCTTCCATCTCTGATGCTGCAATTTTAACTCCTGTATGTTCATAAAGTCATTAATACTGAAAAACTCAACTAGTAACCAGGTAAGTATTTCTCTCCTGTCATAGGCCCGGTACCCTATCTGTCAATAGGAGCCATAAGAGAAAGTTACCCTAAGCTCCCAGCACTTGGGAAGGGGACAGCTTAGTGCCCAGTGCATTCTCTCCGTACAGTTCCTGCACTTCTCATCCACTCCCCACTCCCTAGCCTGCCCCTTTCCCTCGGGAGTCCTAATTTCACTGACTGTGTTCTCCAGATTCTCTGCTTTTCCCTCTGCGCTGTGTGATCCCAATTGGACAAACCATTTCCCTCTTTGGACCTCAGTTTCCCAGTCTGTAAGCAGGGGGGCATTCTTCCCCTTTGCTGGGGGGTGTCTCAAAGATCTCACAGCCCACTAAGCCCCAGATGGCCGAGTCAAACAGGGTCAAGGAGCTGGCTTTGCTCCCAAACCACAAAGGGAAGCCTCTGCTTTCCCAAGGAGAAGCTGAGGTTTGGGGTTTCTCTCTGGTCCCGGAGGGCAGGGCCGTCCTAGCTGACAACATCAGGTCGGCGCCCTCCCAAGCCATGCCAGTGTCAGCATCCTCCTCTCACCCCACCCCACTGTATCCCAGCCTCACTCAGGGTGACAGCATCACCAGCCCCTGCCCACAGCGGGGGCCTCTGGCAAGCTGGTAAGCGGATAGGTGTGGGGTCCCTCCACTCCCCAAGTCCTATTACCTGAAGTGCCACCGCCCTGACTCTATAATAATTGGGGGGCTCATTTGCATTTTGCCTATGTGTGATTTCAGAGAGGCACCCTGCCCACCCCTTTCTAGGGACTCAGCAGCTGTTTGCCCAAGCCCGCAGCTTCCTTCCAAGGAAAGGAGAGAAGAGCTCGGGGAAGGCAGGAAGTGGGAGCTGGGGATGGGCACTGGGCCCCCAGGTCCTCCAAGGAAGAGGGGTCTTGGCAGGGCCCTGGGACCTTGTGCCAGCGCTGGCTCGGGAGCCAGGGTGGGGACGGAGGGGGTGACGTCCTCTACCTCCCCAGTCTCAGTTTCCTCATCTGTAAACTGGAGCTAATGACACTTAACGAGCGAGGGGGGTGGGGGGCATGTAATTAGCTCCTGCTGGCTCTGGGCTTTGAAGTGGGTTGGAGGAGGGGGCAGCTGGGCGGGGTGCAGGTGGGACAGAGTTGGAGGCCCCAGTGCACTGGCCTGCAGTGGGGAGGTGTGGGTCCCAGGGATCCTCTCCCATCTAGGGGAGATAAAAAAAGCTGAGATCACACACCTAAGGGAGGCCCTGGAGGGCAGGGGGCAGACAAGTGGATCCAGGGCCTGGGGCACAGAGATCCCCAAGTGTGAACAGAGAGTGCCCCAGGCCACCTAAGAAAGGAGCTGGTGCCCCCCAACCCTCTATTAGGGTGGGACTGCTGGGGTGAGGGGCGAGGGAGTGGGATCCAGAGCCAGGAGCTCTCTCACACTGTGGTTCTTGTATCCCATGACCCACGGTGGCCTGGCACACACCTGGGCACACATAGGGCATGTCTCCATGGGCCGGGGCAATAGCTCCTGCACAGAGGCTCATGAAAGAACGGGGATGGCGGGAAGGAAGGAGGTTATGGGGACTGAACCCAGAGAGGTGAGGACAGGAGGGAGGGAGCCACCACCTCCCACGCCCTTGGCCTTTCCGCTCGCCCCACGACGTCAGGGCTGAGTCACTGGGAGAGGCTGCTGTCCAGCAGGGGTGGGAGGACCCTGGGGACCAAGGCCTGGACACCATCCCGGGACAGGCAATGTGTGGGGCACCTTTGGCCCGGTTGGCGCCGTCCAAATGATGCAGGCTTGAGCCAACCATCCACAGTCCAGCCACCCACGCCTGGTGGGCAGAGCTTTGGATGGGCCCAGGAGGCCCCAAAGGGCCATCTGGGAGGGTCAAGAAGTCATCTCTGGCATCTCCCTGCCTCTGGACACATTGACAGTGAAACCATCCAAGATACACCAAAATATATTGAGACGTCCTTTTTGATATCAAACCATGCAGTGTCGTATTGCAAGCTCCACCCACTGGCTCTTCATCAGGGGTAAAGACCAGGTAGTCACTCTCTTCCTGGGACCCCTCTCTCTCTCATCATGCATTCTCTCTCCAGCTCCTTTTCCAATAGGTGGTGCCTGGAGGTGGTTGAGTTTGGCAAATGGGTGGATTAAATGTGCTCCCACCCACTGCTGCACCAAGCCTAAGACCCCAGGATTAGCGACCCAGTGATTTGTTTGGTGGAGCCCTAAAACCATAAATACATATGCTAATTTGGTCCCCTGAATAGAAATAAGAACTGTTCATTCATTCATTCATTCATTCCACAAATATGTATTGATATCTACTAGGCACCAGGCACCGTTCTAGGCGTAGGGATATGGCAGGAGAGAAGATGGGCAGGAGCCCAGCCTGGAAGGCTCCATCTCTAGCCGGAACAAGAGTGTGGGGAAGGGGCCAGAGCCCTTCAGAGCAGAGGGGACTGTTTCCAGAAGAGGCCTCAGAAGGGGAAAATTGCAGCTGTCCCCGGAAGTTCTGGGTGGAGACTCTACCCGCCATAAATCCCAGAGACCTATCAGTGGAGGTCCTCTGAGACTGGGACACCACAACCCCACTGGCCACCCTGGCCCTGCTGAGCCTGGGACTCGCCAGCTGGAACATCTGGAACAACTGATGTGGGGTTCCTCCCACTGCTCCGCACTCCCAACCCGAGTGTGTGCTGGGGAGGGCGGCAGGCCAAATGAATGGGACGCCGGTCTGTGCAGCTTCGTAAGCCTCCTTGAAAGTCAGGCTTTTTCTGTTTTCTGTGTTGATAGCCCAAAGATGTTTGAGTGAGAGGAAGCTTCCCAAGTTCTCAGGAGCTAGCTCAGAAGTTCCTGAGAGCCGGGTATCTGGGTCTCAGCACACTTTCAAAATGGGGCCCTTGGTCTGGGAAGGTGGAGGCATATCACCCTGCTGGACTGAGTGGTCTAGGCCTGGGCTGCCCCCTTGCCTTGTCAAAGTCTGCAGAGTGTAAGGCCAGGACATTCTGACCTGTGGGGACTACTGAGACCACTCCTCTCCTCTGCGCCGCCCTCCTATACATGCTCATCCCCACCCCACTGGGTGTCTGGCTCCTCTGTCCCAGCGTCTCTAGATAGCTGTGCCACTGCTTTGTCTCTCTCCCGATGCATCTGTGACCTACAGAAAGGAAAATCCTGGAAAAGGCTTTATTAGGTCAATGGACAGAATTGGAATATGAACCTACGGATGATAGATGAGATAAAATATTCTATCAAAGCAAATTTATGAAACTGATAACTATACTGAGGTTAAGGAAGAGAATATCCCTATTTTCAGGAAATACGCACTGAAGCATTTAGTGGTCAAAGGCCATGATAGATGTAACTTACCCTCAAATTGTTCAGGAGAAAATCTATATGTACATATACATGGATGTATATAGAGAAAGAATGATAAAAGTAAATGAGGTAAAATGTTAACAATAGATCAGTCTGAGTGAAAGGCATAGGGTGCTCTTTGTACTGTTTCTTTTTGCAGCTTCTGAAATTGTTTTGCCCTCTCGCTCTGCTTTTCCCTGGACCCCTCCCCTACATAGTCCCTAGTGCTCTCGGTGTCTTTTCCTCATTCACTCAACCCTAGGACAGTGCCTGAGCCATCGCGGACACTCAGGGCATATGGGAGCTGTGCTAGATGCACTCCTGTCTTTCTGTCTTTGCATCTGTGTCAACATCTCCATTCATTTATTCATTCATTCATTCACTTATGAGTAAGCACCCTCATCACTCAGTTTGCATCCCCTTGGTAACCCTGGATCTTTGGGGGAGACAGGAGACCCACTAACAGAGCACATCATGGTGGGTCTTGGTGGTTCTGAGCAGGTCTCTGTCCTGTACCATGTAGTCCCTGACTCCTTGACATTGACCTCCTCGGGGGCTGTGTCACCATCTCCAGATCTTTGTCGGGCCTCTCTGTGGCGTGGGGGTGGCCTGTGCCGCCGGGCTTTGGTGGTTCCTGCCTCCCTGCCTCCCTCAATCTGTGAGAGGAGGTTCTGCCACCTTTTGCCCCTGCTCCTGTAAAGGGCATCCGTGTTCCAAACCCAAGACAATGGCTGTGGCCCTGGTGGGGGTAGCTGGGCTGGAGACCAAGAGTTCGGCCTAGGAAGGACCTCTCTTTTTCCCACTTCTGACCCCTTCTAGTCATCCCTGGGCCCAGCACAGTGCCTGCCATCCTTAGTCTGGTGAGGTGACATCACCAGGGCTCCCCGCACACACACACACCCCACAGCAGCTGTGACTCCCAACAGCATCTCACCATCTCTTCTCTGGAACATCAAAGGCCCAAGCAGCAGCGTCCCCCTCCTCCCGGGCCCCGGGGGGTAATCAGAGCCAGGTATGTGTAAATGCTGGGCCTTCAAATAAATAAATACTGGAACACACGGGGCCTCCCACCCCTCGCTGCTGCTCGGCGCCCTGGGCTGGGACCTAGGCACGGGGCCAGCCCCTGACGAGGTCCTGGGGACCGCCTGGAGCTGGAGGTGTGTGTGAAGAGTTTCGCGTGGGCTGAAGCCTGGCTTAGCCTCAGCAGCATCAAAAAGACTGTGGCGGGGGGAGAGGTGTGTGCAGTGGGAGCTGTGTGGGGAGGGAGGGTCCCGCTGCAAGTTTCCCCCATCTCTCACAACCCCACCAACTCTGCCTCACATGCCAGGCACCCCTCCTTCCACACCTTCAACTCCAAAGCCAGGCTGCCTCTTCCAGCGAGGCCAGATGGCATCCCTCAGCACTGAGGAGGAAGAAAATACAGGCAGTGATTGGAATTTCTGGAAGGATCCCCTTTTGCCAAACCAGGGCCCTGAAGGTTCCAATGGCAGGGAGCAGTGGGTGAGCTGTACCAGGCATCTGTGGGCCATCACTGCTTCCACAGGTGAGAAGGAGGAGGCTGGACTATTTGGTGCCGAGGCTGAAAGAGAGGGTGGTCCCTGGAACCCCTTGTAGGGCAAGCAGCTTTCTACTCCTTGGGGGCCAGTGGAGATGCCAGGAGGGCGGCATGAGTGCAGGGCTCGTGGTACCTGTCTTGCTCATCAGCTGTGTGACTTTCGGCCAGTCACTCAGTATCTCTGAGCCTCAAGTTTCTCATCTGTAAAATTGCGCCCCCCACACTGCCTCTCCTACAGGGGAGCAGAAATGCTCAGTGAAGACCACCTGGATGAGGCTCTCCATAAGCTGTCAAGTGCAGCGTCCCCATGAGGCTAAACAGAAGGCACCTTGATGGGGGTGGGGGTCCCCATGAGTCTTTGACTTATAGGGCCTCGCACAGAGTAGGTACCAAAAATATGTTGTCCAAATAATTGATTTTGAAAAATATGAATGGACAAGTGAATGTTCTAGAAGTGACTTCTTTTTTTTTTTTTTTTTGAGACGGATTCCCACTCTGTCACCCAGGCTGTAGTGCAGTGACGCGATCTCAGCTCACTGCAACCTCCACCTCCTGGGTTCAAGCAATTCTCCTGCCTCAACCTCCCAAGTAGCTGGGATTACAGGCACCTGCCACCACGCTCAGCTAAGTTTTTGTATTTTTAGTAGAGATGGAAGTTTCACCATGTTGGCCAGGCTGGTCTCAAACTCCTGACCTCAAATGATCCGCCCGCCTCAGCTTCCTAAAGTGCTGGGATTATAGCCGTGAGCCACCGTGCCTGGCCTTAGACTTGACTTCTTGACTCTGTTTAAGTTTTTGGCCGTGCCATCCTCACATCGCCAGCTTTTTGGCTCAAGGCCCCTTGGAGAATCTGACAAAAGCTATGGATCCTCACCCCAGACACATGTACACACACAAATGATTTCTGGGATCACACTCCCAGGCCGGGGCCAGAGCTTCTGCCTTAGTGTGGGTACATACACCCCAGCTCCTCAACACCCACTTGAGAAGCACATTCTCCATGCGGGAGCTTTATGTGTACGATCTCCGATCCACCAACAACTCTGCAGGTGTTATCATTCCCTTTTCCAGATCAAGAAACTGAGACCCAGCAACATGAAGGGACTAGCAAGGATCAGCAGCGAGGATGTGCTGGGGACAGGGTTTGCTCAACATGTCTGGCTCCAGAGTTCTCTGGGGCTTCAAAGCCTGGGCTTTTTCCAGGCTTTGCTCCTCAGAAGTTAAGGTTCTGTCTCTGGGTCTTTGTGCCCCCAGCTGGGGCCCAACACATGACAGCACAAAAGGCACGCCCGGCCTTTTCTGAGAGGATGGTGAGTGAGCGGCCCCCAGGTTGAGGTGGACAGAGGCAGACTGACAAATAAAGAGGGTGAATTAGAATGTGAGGCCCAGAGAGAAAGTTCTGATGAGCTTTGACCCCATGCTTGGGGCCAGAGGCAGAGGGCAGAGGGTAGAGGGCAGAGGTCAGGGAGCAGGGAGTAGGAAGCAGGGGTGGGACATTTTGGGAGGTAGGGAGAGGAGCACAAGGAGGCTCTAAGGCCACAGGGCAGGGATGCTCTCTCTGGGAGGACTGCTGGGAGTAGGGTGGGCGCAGGTCACACTTCCCTGAGTGGGTCAGAGCCGGTTGGGGTCGGGGAGCTTGTATATATGAGTCACATTCGCAGGCATGGATGAAGCAGTTGCTCACTGTGCCCCCATGCTGGGCTAAGCAAGTTAAACACTGGGTCCTGCTCCTCTGAAGTAAGAAAGAATGACTGCTGGATGCACTTCACAGAAAAGGAAAATAAACCACTTGCCCAAGGTGAGCCGTCTAGTAAGTGGCTTCACTAAGCACAGAGTATGCAGGAAACATCATCAAAGAAATGGATGCGTGGTGGGATGGATGGATGGATGATGATGGATGAGCAAACCTAGGTCTGATTCCCAAATTGAGCTCTTAACTTCTCCCTAATCCTGGGGGGCAGTAAAGAAGAGAGGGGGGCTAGAGCCGTCCAGGGTACCCAAAGGAGAGGCACCCTGGCTGTTTTCCTTACCCCATCTCACCTGGAATAAAATCAGAAGTCACAGCCACAGCCTACGAGGTCCTGTGCCACCTGACTCGACTCATCTCCTACCACCCTCCCCTCCATTCATCTACTCCAGCCCTAGTGGACTCCTTGCTACTCTCTCAACAGGCCCACTCCCCTCACCTCGGGGCATGTGCACTTACGATCCCCTCTGCCTAAGATATCTTCCCCCAGCTGCCCACCTGGTTCTCTCTTCAAATGTCAACTTCTTGAGAGGCCTGCTGAGATCCTTATTTAAATATCACTTGGTCACTTGGTGTCCCGTTACCCATTTTAATTTTTCTCCTAAGCAATCATAACCAACTAATATCTATTTGTTTGTGTCTGACTTTCCCAACCTCACTCAGGAATAGAAACTGCAAAAGCAGGGGTTTGGTTTTGTTTGCAGCTGTATTCCCAACACCTACAACAGTGCTTTGTACAGAGTCAACATCAATGAATATTTGCCAAATGAATGAATGAATGAATGGCTCTGACAAGTCCTGAAAGGAAGAGCAGGATCTCCTCATAGGCACCACTGGGTTCAAACATGTGCTAAATCTATGTAAGACATTGCCCCCTCCTCCAAGAAGCCCTCCTGAATTTGTACCTTCTTCAGCAAGAAGCCAAAACTCCCAGCATTAAGAACTTGCTGCATCCAGTAGAACACAGTGCCTCCCCTCCTGCCCTCTCGCTCCCCCACCTTGATCTCCTTTCCCTGTGATCTTTCCAGGTGAGCGGAAGGGAGAGAAAAGCCCGGACCTGGGGTGCCCGCTTGGCCAGCCTACAGCAATGGTGCCCCAGCCAGGAGGTAGGAGGAGGCGGTGCCCCAGGCTTAAGGCATGAATGGGGCAGGAGGTGGATGAAAGGCAGGACTGCTCCTGGCCTAACGAACAAAGGGGACCAGAGCAGGTGTGAGGGGGACTGGGGGCCAGCCGGGAGGAGAAACTGGATCTGGAGCTGGAGATCAGTTTCACCTGCAGCAGTGCAGGTTTCCATTAGCTTTCTTTGGCTGTCACTCATGCTTTGGGGACAAAGCTCAGGCTGGAGGTTGAGGAGAGGCAGAGGCCAGGGAGCGGGGGCTCCTTTCTCTCGGGGTCAGTCTCCAGCAGCGTCTCTACTTCCCAGGAGGCAGCCACACAAGGTCAAAGCCCAACAGGAGCTTAGAAAAGATAGTCCAATGCTATCATTTTACAGATGGGACCAATGAAGCCTCCAGGGTACCATGACTCACCAAGGTCACACAGCTACTGGCAGAGCTGGGACCTGAATCCAGGAGTCCTGGCTGTCAGGTCAGCGTTGGGAACTGATTTTTATATGCAGCCTGTCCTCCCTCCTGGGGGCCTCTCGGTATGATGTGATCAGGAAATCTCTATGCGGTTAGACCAGGTCTGGATGGTACATGGAGAGGAGTGGGTAGGCCTGGGTGAGGATGGGACAGGGTGCTCCCCAGACAGGGGTGCCATCAGCAGACAAGTTGGGCAGGCAGGGCTGGGCCTGGCCTAGGAGAGGCCCTGCTCCAAAGAGCAATGTCATGTGGAGGGGACATCTTGCTCCCACACAACCGCCCGGGGCCAGGCTGAACCCCACCCATGCAACAGCTGCATTGCCCCAAGCTACAGAGGAGCCTATGAGGGGAGCCAGAAGCCTAGGCAGGGGTGAGAGGGAGGGGGCCGGACAGGTAGGAGGGCAGAGGGAGGGGGAGCTGGAGGAGGACAAAGCTGGCCTGTGTGGCACCTGGGACAATCCCAGTCTCTGCCCTGTCCCCTCCCTGATCCTGCTCTGGATGGGGCGGGAACAATGCCCCCATTGAGGCCCATACCCCCAGGGATAACATCTCTGTCCCCCATGATGGAAGCCAAGCAGGTGAGCCTGGTGGGGGCTGGGAGCCAGCTCTACAGCAGGGAAGGCAGGACCTCCGCGATGGGGCCAGGGGTCCAGGGGCAGAGGCTTCCCCACTGGAGCCACACTCTGCTCCTTCCTCTGGGGCCAGAGCAGGGGGACGTGGTGGTGGCCTCGGTGGGAGAGATTGGGGTCAGACTCCTGGGTAGGGCAGGGATCACTTCCCAGTTTGGACGGAACCCTTCTCTGCCCTGGGAGGGAATGCAGGAACGCCCAGGACCCAACCCCTGATCATAGGAGCTGCCACTGTGGGAAGAAGGTGCCTGAGAGATGAGGCCTGACCCTCTTCCTTTAGGAGAGACGCCACAGAGGAAGCAGGTGGAGCGTGGGTCTATCCGGGAAGTAACAAGTGCCCCTGCAATGCGTTTTCATGTCAGAAATAGAAATGGCTCATCACCTAGTTGGGGCACCAACTGGGTTCCTAACCCAAAGACTCCAAATAAAAGAAGAAGCTGCATTTGCTATCATTTTTTAAAATTTTGTTTTGTAGAGATGGGGTCTTGCCCCCACGTTGCCCAGGCTGGTTTCAAATTCCTGGCCTCAACCCATCCTCCCGCCTCGTTGTCCCAAAGCACTGGGATCACAGGGGTGAGCCACCAAACCTGGCTGCTATCATTTAAAAAAGAAATCCAGGCCAGGCGCGGTGGCTCACGCCTGTAATCCCAGCATTTTGGGAGGCTGAGGTGGGTGGATCACCTGAGGTCAGGAGTTTGAGACCAGTCTGATCAACATGCTGAAACCCTGTCTCTACTAAAAATACAAAATTAGCCGGGCACGGTGGCACATGCTTGTAACCCCAGCTACTCGGGAGGATGAGGCAGGAGAATTTCTTGAACCTGGGAGGCGGAGGTTGCGGTGAGCCAAGATCGCACCATTGCACTCCAGCCTGGGCAACAAGAGCGAAACTCCATCTCAAAAAAAAAAAAGAAAAGAAAAAGAAAAGGAAAAAGAAATCCAAAAGTGTGGATTTATAACTTTATTGATCATCCATCTGAATTGGGTGGCTGTATGTAGGCTGAAGCCAGCACTGGGTAAAAGGGCTCCTGTGGGGGCCTACCCCCACACTCCTTGGCTGTGTGACCCTAGCAGGAAATGCAACCTCTCAGCTCAGTAACCTCAGCTCTGCAGTGTGGCTGGAGGCCAGAGAAGCCTTACCTCAAAGGGTTTGTTAATGGTCTCTCTTCCCCTGGCCTCCAGAGGACTATGAGGCCCTGCCACTGTGAGCCCCTGGCCTGGAGCAGTGGAGCAGTACCCAGAACATACTAGACACAGAAACGCAATCACTGGAGCCAGGGGGCAGTGGCTCATGTCTGTAATCCCAGCACTTTGGGAGACCAAGACAGGCAGATCACCTGAGGTCAGGAGTTCGAGACCAGCCTGGCCAACATGGTGAAACCACATCTCTACTAAAAATACAAAAAATAGCCGGGTGTGGTGGCGCATGCCTGTAATCCTAGCTACTCTACTCCAGAGGCTGAGGCTGGAGCATTGCTTGAACCCAGAAGGCGGAGGTTGCAGTGAGCCAAGATCGCACCATAGCACTTCAGCCTGGGCAGCGGCGTAAAAAAAAAACTCAATCATTGTCTGCTGACTTAATATGTTCTTTGGGGTTTTTGTTTGTTTGTTTTGAGACGGTGTCTCATTCTGTCGCCCAGGCTGGAGTACAGTGGTGTGATCTTGGCTCACTGCAACCTCTGCTCTCAGATTCAAGCGATTTTCTTGCCTCAGCCTCCCGAGTAGCTGGGATTACAGGCACACATCACCACGCCCAGCTAAGTTTTGTATTTTTAGTAGAGACGAGGGATCACCATATTGACCAGGCTGGTCTCAAACTCCTGACCTCGAGTAATCGGCCCGCCTTGGCCTCCCAAAGTGCTGGGATTATAGGCATGAGCCACTGCGCCTGGCCCTGCTGACTTAATTTAGAACAGAGTTGTGGACAAATGTTTTTAAAGCATTAGTGGTTATAGCAATATTAATAGCAATCCAATGACATGAAGAGAGACTCAGTTCCTGCCCTGTAGAAACCTGCAGTTCAATGAAAGAGTCACTGGGCACAAGGATGACAAAAATAATCTACCATGGAGGTTCAGGGAAGAGTGGAGCTTCCCAGATGGGGGCCCAGGAAAGGTGTTAAGGAGGGAGAAGCACTGAGATGACCTCAAAGGATGGGTTAGACTTGGGCAAGCAGTGATGAGAAGATGGGAGGTCCTCAAAGCAGAGGGATGGAAATTTATTGACTGTTAGTTACATTTGTTGAGCACCTACTGTATGCCAGCTACTGGGTACTGGGGACACAAACATAAAAGGATGTGCCAGGGCTGGGCATGGTGGCTCACGTCTGTAATCCTAGCACTTTGGGAGGCCGAGGCCGAGGTGGGTGGCTTGCCTGAGTTCAGGAGTTCGAGACCAGCTTGGGCAACACGGTGAAACCCCATCTGTACTAAAATACAAAAAATTAGCCAGGCGTGGCGGCAGGCACCTGTGGTCCCAGCTACTCGGGAGGCTGAGGGAGGAGAATTGCTTGAACCTAAGAGGCGGAAGTTGTAGTAAGCCGAGATTGCGCCACTGCACTCCAGCCTGGCGACAGAGCGAGATTCCATCTCCAAAAACAAAAAAAAAAAGAAGAAGAAAGGATGTGCCCCTGCCCTCAAAGAAACCAGCCAGCAACTCAGTCACTGCCTTGCTGAGGGCACCAGCTTGCATCAAGAAGACATTTTCTGAGCTTCAGCTAAAAGTTGCAGTTAAGAGTTCTCCAAGCAAGGTGGTTGGCAAGGGGTGAGTAAGGTGCTGAAGGTGGAGTGGCTTTCATGCGTAAAAGTGGGCTAAGTGCCTGGGGCCCACTCAGAGAAGGCCTTGAAAGGCAGACAGAGGAGTTTGGATGTTTCCCTACAGGCAACAGGGAGCCATGGAAAGCTTTTGAGCAAGGGAAGTCCACGCTTACAGCAAAGTCCTTCAGAGCTATCCCTGGTGGCAGCAGAAGCCAGAGTGGAGGTAGGGAGGCTGGAGAAGAGGGAAATAGAGAAGCCCACGTGGGCCTGGTGGGGAGGAGGGGCAAATTAGAGATGGGAGGGAAGGAGACAGGATGAAGGTGAAGCAACTGACAACTGGAGAGAAAGCTACGAACTTCAGATCCTGGGAGGGAAGAACTGGAGGTGGAAAACCTCCCAGTACCCTAGAGCAGGAAGGACACCTTGGAAGAAATGTAACGGAGCCCCCATCCTGTGTGGGGGTCCCCCCTCATGATAGCTCTCACAACACTTCAGTGAGGGGAAGCTTACCACCTATCAGTGAGGCGAAGCTTACCACTGGCCATTTAGCCCAGTCTGTGGTGGGACAGCTCCAGCTAATGGGTGAGGGCTTCCATAAGTCCTGTTCAGACAGGTAAATGTAAAATGGGTCAATGAATGGATAGATGGATGGATAAGTGGGTGGGTGCAGAAGAACACACAGGCATGGAGGCAGAGGGTTCAAAGAGCAGGTCTCCACATCCCTGCACCCAACCCCGTCGCACCAGTCCTGATCCTCCCTCTATCTTTCCTACCCTCCTCCAGGAAGCCTGCCCTTACCTCCCCACCCATCCAACTTTCTCCTCAATCTCACCTGCTTCCCCAGCTCTCACCAGCTGGGGTGGCCTTCTCCCTAGCTCCTGCCCTCCCACAGCAGCCTGAGAGCTACAGGAGCAGGGACAGAACTGAGGGTCAGGGACAGAACAGGGGCAGGGACAGAACTGAGGGTCATGTCCCCTGGAGCAGCACGGCATGTTCCCTGGTGTCCACACAAAACCCTGTTTCCAGGGGACCTCGGGATGGGGATGTCAGCAGGGGAAATGGCCCAACCTGGTCCTCCAGTCTGTGTCACAGGCATCCGCTTGCATTGCAGGCACGAGTCGAGGGGCGGGTAAGGCAGCCCTGAACACCCACCTAGATGGGCTTTCCTCCCTCGAAGCCCCTCCGCTGGGAGTGGAGGGACATCCGCTTTCAGCAGGTCCCCGCTGGGGCCCTACCCTCACACTTTACACAGCTGAAAAAGGGCTAATGACCCCTCTCCACCAGCTCCCAACCCACAGGATGGACAGAGGAATGCTGGCCAGGGCTCGGCAGGCTTCACATGAAAGCGCACAGAGACCTGTGAGGAATTTCACCCTCCTGGGGATGGGTGTGGGGAAGCAGAAATGTCACCTGGAAACCATTCACCCCTTTCTTCCCTCTCAAGGACCCTCAGCCTTGAATAATTAGGAAATCTAGACCCCCAAAATCAACCATGTCTTTTTGATAGACTTGCCTATACTTCCTGGCCGCTCCTCTTTTTAAACAGTTGTCTCTTGATTCTCCAACTAATAATAATAGCAGAAGCACTCACTGCATGCCAGGCACTGCTCCAAACTCTGTGAACTCTTTCCAGCTCGATCCTATCATTATCCCATGAGCCTGGTACTTATTTCCTCATTTTACAGATGCCAGCACTGGGGCACAGAGAGGTTAAGTCACTTGCCCAAGGTCTCACAGCAAGCAAGTGACAGGGTGTGAGCCTGTACCCTTATCCACTTGCCAAACACCGGGTACCCCACAAGTCATTTCCTTCTGACCCTAGAGGGAGCTGGAACCCCAGTTGGTGACAGGGTGAGCAGAGGGGAAACTGGATTTAGAGCTTGTCCAATTTCATCCACTTGCCTTTGCAACCTATGTCAGAGGCAGCACCCTGAGCCAATTCTTCAATCCAAGGGGGCAAGAAGAGGCCAGAGGCAGGCAGAGAGGGTTTGCTGTTCCAATCCAGCCGGACCCTGGTTAAGGGAGACGGAGAGCCACATACTCAGCAATTGTATCACCAAAGGGAGTGGCATAGAGCTTGAGAGGGAAGGTTTTGGATGCCAATCTCACCTCCACTGCGTACAGCTGGGTAATCTTGGGCACATTATTTCACATTTCTGAGCCTTAGTTCTGTCATCGGTAAAATGGTGAGAGTTACTGAACCTATCTCCTAGGGCTGTGGAGAGGATTAAACATGGCATCTGTTAAGATGCTTAGCCCAGTGCCTGATACCTAGAAGGCCCTCAGTAAAGGTCAACAGTAACTACAACCCAGCTGGCAGAAAAGCTGTAGCATCAACAAGAAGTGGGGAGCGGGCCTCCCTGGGGCTGCTGAGAGGCACCCGCAGCCTTGCTATGTACCCTTGTCCCCAGGAGGAACCCATGCCTTCATGGAATTCTGAACTCATCTGTGGCCAAACCCATGGGTGGGAGCTGTAGGGGGGAGAAGCAGAGTGCATCCACTGGGCACAGACCCCTAGCACCTTACAACCAGAACAGAGCCAGAGTTGAAGCCAGATCGACCCTCTGTGGGACTTCCCCTGCCTGTGTCACAGTTTTCCCCTTGGCAAAATGAGGCTGTTCCACTTGCCTGAAGGCTGGCACTCAGTGATGTTTATTTTTTGTCTTCTCTCTGTCCAGTCTCCTGGATGCCCGCAAAGACAGCTGTCTCCTTAATGGGGAGGGAAGATGGCCGCAGGCTCCATACCTTTGAGGGAACAAGGACAGTCCTCCCCTGGGAGAGGAGCAGATGTTTGCCTCCAGCTGTTTGCTTGTAATCAGTCCTGGGAGAGAGCAGCCGGGGGGGCCTTCCCCCAGGGATTTTGTCTGAGAGTGGCTGAAAGTGGCCTCCCGCCTGGAGCAACAGAGGGCTGAGCAGCTGGAGGAGGGGTGAGGCATAGGAGGCTTTCTCAGAGGGCCATGGCCTGAGCCCTCTTTGCCCTCTGGGCTCTAAGTCCTTAGACACTGGGCCCATGGGCTGGTGGAGAAGGGAATGCACCCAAACCAGACTCCTGTCCTCCCACCTTGCCCCCACTGGGTCCCTCCAATCGTCTAGCCTCAAACAACGTCATCTTCCTCCAAGTGCCCCAGGTAATGCCCTGGAATGGCCACCCCTACTAGCCATCTTGAAATACTCTCTTCCTTTCCTCTTTCTCCTCTGCCCTCTCTTGCCCATCTTCCTCCTCTTCCTCCTCCTCCTCCTCTTCCTCCTCCTCCTCCTCCTCTTCCTCCTCCTCCTCCTCCTCCTCTTCCTCCTCCTCCAGGAAGCTTTCCAGCACCCAGAAGAGGAGGATGGGAGATAGTTGTCTCCATAGCCTCCCTGCCAGGATCCACCCCTCCCACCTGCTGTTTCCCACCAAAGATGTTGAGTCATGACTTAGTGTTGGACTTAGTGGTATGCTGAATCACAGACCCTACGGAGAGCAGGGTTTAGGGACAAAAAGGCTGCAGAGAAGCCACGTGAGCAGATTCTGAAGTCAGGCAGACCCAGTTTGGGCTCCCCATTCCGTGGCTCTCGGGACAAGCTAACTGAACCTCTCTGTGCCTCAGTTCGCTCACTGTGGAGCGGTGAGATGGGCATGTGAAGTTTTGTGACAGTGCCTGATGCTATCATTATGATGACGATTGCTACAATCCCAGCATCTAGGGACCATATCTTAGGTGCTCAGGTTCTTGGGATCACAGGACTGCAGAGTCTTAGCTGCGGGAGCCTCGGAAGTCATGTGGGTCAATTCACTTTCTCACCTGGCTCCCTCCTCCAGCCTGCTCTTTCTGGAAGCATCAGTCCTGAGTTTCTGAGAGCAAGGACACTTCTGTGACTGTTGCCACTCATGGCACCTACCTGGGGGCATTTTGATGACAGATGACCCAGGTGGGTACGTAAGCCTCTTCCTGTCCCAGTCTAGCTAGACCCCAACCCCCTACTCCTAGAGTTCTTCTCCCTGGCCCCAAGCAGATGTGAACCAGTAGAGTCACCTTCAGCCCATGTGAAGCCCGTCAGCTGGGGCCTGGGGCCTGGGGCCTGTAGAAGCCTCAGCCTCAGTGCCCTCTCCCTTCTGCCCAAAGCCCTGACCTCCAAGACCCTAAGGCCGGGCAAGGTAGGCAAGAAGATAGGTCTCTGCCTCTTTCAGGCCTGGCACACTCAGGGGGCTGGAGGCCAAGGATTGCGTGGGTCTGGCTCCCTGCTTCCCCATCCCTGCTCAACCTGGCGGGCTTCTGGCACGAGGCAAGCTTGGGAAAGCCTCTTTCATGGTCTGAGAGGTGTGCATGGCATGTGTGGAAGGCTTTCTGGGCTCTGAGAAGGTGGGGACTGAGGAGCAGCCTGGAGAGCAGGGAAGAAGAGGGCGTCGAGGAAGAGGAGGGAGGGAAGGAGAGGGACAGGGCCAGGGTTTTCCACTAGGAAATGGGGGGTGACTGTCAACAGGGAGTTCAGGGAACAACTGCAGCAGGAGAAACACCTTCAGAGAGCTGGCGTAGCCGTTGGCCTGCATCGGGAATGGAATCCTGTTAGTATTTGGTTGCTAACTAGGAGTGTGATGTGTACGAGGCCTCTGGGCTGTCAGCTTGCTCTCCCCCATCACCAGGAAAAGTGGTGAGTTACCCCACCACCAGGTTCCCAGGCAGAAGGCCAAGGAAGGCGTTGGTCAGGCTAAACGCTTTGAGATCTTCCAAAGGCAAGGAGGTGATCTACAGGAGGACTTTCTCCCCAGGACTCTTCCATCCTGCGTTCCCCACACCCAAGGGAAACCTGGGCCCCTGTCCCCTGGGAGAAGTCATGTCCCGTGAGTCCCATGCCTAGGGATCAGGAAGGCTCCTTGAGCCCGGCCAGCTCTCTGGACAGGGGAGGCCCAGCCCTAACCAGTCAGTTCACTCTGGGCAGTCACCTGTCCTCGCCAGGCTCTCGAGTTATTTTCCCACAGCCTCCTTGCCCTGTGCCCAGCTGGCACTAGCATAGGACATGCCAAGGGGTGAGGGAGCTATCCTGGGTGGGTGGGTTCATCAGCTGCCTGGACCAGGAAAGGAGGTGCAAAGGACAGGCAGAGCCTCTGAGCCCACCCCCAATCTAATTTACCCCAACTCTGAATCTCCAAAGCCGGCTTGTAGATTTCATCCCAGCTGCCAGATCCAAGCACTCTCTGTTACAGGCCTTTGAGAAGCTTTGGGCTCTGGAGGAGGAGTTGAGGGTGGGATGGTGGGGGCAGGGTGCAGTGTTAAGAGATGGGAAGGGGGCTGGGAAGGAACTCTGACAGCCCTCATGCCTCTAGCGGAAACTCCCGCCCTGCCCCTCTGCCTTCCCTCCCTCCTCTTCCTCACCCCTCTTCTTCCCTCCTCTCCAGGCTGCTCCTCAGTCCCCTCATCTGGGAACCCTTACAGAGGCCACTTCCCTCCTGCCGGGCTCAGCTCTCCTTGTTGCCACCAAGTGTGTATGTCTCAGGCTCCCTTCATAGGGACTTGGTACTATAGCCTTTGCCCCCCATACCTGGCTGCCCATTAGGGGCCCCCAGGAAGTAGGGCAGAAACATGTAGCTCTGCCAGGTATGGAGCACATGGCCCGTCCCTGGGCACCAGGCCTGGTAAACAGCCTGCTCCTGCTGATGGAAGCAAAGGGAACAATAAAACCAAGATCCCTGCACCTGGTGCCCGAAGCCCAGAGACCAGCCTCTAGGTACTCAAAGCCTTTGGAAAAAGAACCAGAAACAGGCCAAAGGGAGCGCCCCACACTCCCCAGGGGTGACAGGCATAGGCCCCACCCATCACCCAGAGACTGCACCAGGAGCTGCCACCAATCTGCCTTCCCAGGAGACATGCCACCCAGCAACTGGGCAAACAGCCACTCTCCCCAAGCCACTTCTCCGGCCTTTGCTGAGCTTCTCCCAAGAGGAGACATCTCTCTCCTGTCTCCAAAAATTGCCCCGTTTTGCTCCTTCCCGCCCTGCTCCACATTTCCCTTCTCCGGGAAGTCCACCGTGGTTTCTAGCCTCCACTCTGTTGGCTGCTTTTCTTCTCCTCCAACCCACCACTAGCGCTATGGTTCTAGCACCAGCACACCTGTGTATAAAAGGGCCCGCACAGTGAAGAGTAGAAGGAGGGGCTTATTCTCGTCTTGTATTGCTCAGCTACCTGCAGCATTTCAGTTTTCAAAACACTTTCCCATACAGTGGCTCAAATCATCTTTAAAAATGACTGAAAGAGGTAGGCATTTTTATAGAGGACACTGGAGCCCAGAGAGGGAAGGAGATTTGCCTAAGGTGACCAAGCCTAGTAGCAGAGTCAACCCGGGTTTTCCTGACCTTCCATGACTCAGTGATGCCCGACTTGATATCAGGCTTAGTCTGGGAGGGCCACCTGGAGGAAGTGTGCGCGTGCGCGCTGCCAGGCTTGCAGTCAGCGAGCCAAGAGGCAGACCCAGGTGGAGAAGGGACGAGGGGTCGTGGCCAGCGCTGCGCAGCGTGGGAACCAGCTGAGAGCGCCGCTGGGCCGGAGCTCGGGGAGGGGGCGCCGCGCCGAGCTCACCGCAAGGTTCCACCCCTCGGCGGGCACAGACAATGGGGTCGCTGTGCCGGGCCGCCCCCTCCCCTTGCTCGGCGGCCCGCGTCCGCCCCCTCTCCCCAAAGCTGCTTTCAATTTAAACGCCTCCAACCAGCGGGCGCTGCCCCGGGGGGCGCGACCGCAGCGCCGAGCGCCCCTGTAATTTCCGCAGGGAGCTGACCGGCTCAAACGCGGCACCGCGGTGCCCCGACCGCAGGCCCCGAGACCGGAGACGGCGCCCAGACTGCCTTGCCCGGGTCGTGGGAGCGCCACCGGGGCGGCCTCCTCAGCGCCCAGCCTGGCCCTGCCTCCTCCTCCAGGCAGCCCGCCGCCACCGGGAGCCGCTCCTCCAGGAAAGCTGAGTGCCTTCCCCACACCGCTGCTGCCTCGCGGTTCCTCTCACCTCCGAAAGCCCAGCTCCCTTTTGGAGAACAGGGACGTGGGGAGGAGGCCAGGGCGGGGTTGTCCATTCTATTTGTGCATCAAGTCTTTCCCATCAGACTACAGGCTCCCTGAGGGCAGGGGTTGTGAGGGGAGGTACGAACTCGGGCAGTGCTGGGGAGCTCCCTGAGGGCAGGGTTCGGGTCTCCCTAAAAGAGAACGAGTGAAATGACGTCTGTAAGCGTGGCAGCCTGGTGCTCAGACCTAGAGCAAGCTTTAAAAAAAAAAATTCAAGGAATACTGCTATTGATTACATAATAGTTTCTCTAAGGTAAGGCTGGAGAGGAAGAAGTCACTGTTCTTCCCTCACTCTACCAGTGCCTGCCTGGCTCACAGCTCTCTTCCCCAGAACAGTCGAGAAAGGAGGGGACACTTTCCCCCTTGCTGGGTCTCCTCACCTCAGGAGCCCTTCCTGGAATATGAGTCTGGGGGAACGCGAGGGTTCCATTGGCAGGTTAGAAAGAAGGGGCCCCAGCTTCTTGGCTCCCAGGGAAGGCCCTAGGCTGGATTGTCTCAAGGAGCGGGTGGGTGAGGGCAGGACGCCGGTGGACAAGGGCAAAGCTGTCTGCAGATCCCTCAGCTCTGCAGGGACACAGCAGAGTCAGCGGCTGGACACCAGGAACTGTCTGAGCTGCCAGCAAGGGGGCTCCAGGGTGGGCGTTGCGTTGTGCCAGTAGACATGTCTGCCACAGCCCCTTTCCCAACTGAAGTGTTTGTTCCGTTCACTGTTCCCCGCTCCCCTCTGCCTAGAAGCTGCGCCTAGCCATCCTCCCTCCCAGGAACTGCAGCGGGTGAGAGGTTGCATTTTGAATACCCTTGGGTGAGTTGTTTAAAGGACCTGGTGCCCTGATCACTGCCACTGTGGGCCTGTGTAGATGGACTCCTTTGCAATTTTCCAGCTCAGGGTGCGTGTGTGTGTGTGTGCGAGTGTGTCTGTGTGTGTGCCTGTGTGTGCCTGTACCTGTGTGTGTGTGTGTGCACCCACACGGGTGTGCCTGTGTGTGTGCACCTATGTGTGTGTGGCTGTGTGCATGTGTGCACCTGTGTATGTGCAAGCCTGAGTGTGTGGCTGTGGTGCGCCTGTGTGCATATGTGTGTGTGCCTGTGTGCGCCTGCACGCACTTGTGTGTGTGTGTGTGTGTGTGTGTGTGTGTTCTGAGCTGTGGGGAGGGAGCTCTGCTGGGGTCCGTGGCTTGTCGTGAGTGCTCTGCTCCACCTTGTCCCCTCCCCCACGTTCCAAACACCCCTCTCTTTCCAGCCTGGCTGTTGTGGTGAAGCTAATCAGAGGTAATTACGGGGGAAGGAGGGATCCTGAGAGGGACCCCACAGAGACCACCTCATCCGCCCCAGCCCAGCCCTGGTGGCCCTGGCCTCCAGGGCCTAGGCCAGCTCAGTCTTGCCTGGTGAGGGTGAACCCACCAACACCCCACCCCATGGTCCTCTCTCTCCCGCCCACTCCCCATTCCCACAGCTGCAGGTAAGGTTCACACATCTGGGTTTTCCTCAATCTCCCCAAAGCTGCTCCATATGCACTCATTCATTTCAGATTTTCTGGGCACCTCCTCTAAGCCAAAGCCCACACTGGGCACCTGACAAAAACTGGTCCCTACCCTCATGGAGCAGCTGCTAGGATTTTGGTCAGGGTAGACTTTGCAGGGGCTGGGGGCATAGCCTTGGAAAGGCAGAGGGTCCCTGCAGAATCACAAGCCCCTTCAGGGGAGGGCCTCCCTTCTACCACCTTGCTGATGCCAGAGGAGTGGAGCTTACCAGCCCAGAGCTTCTCGACTTCCACCACTCCTAGCCTGTCATGGCGCCCATCCTCCCTCCCACCCAGTGTTGATGGGTGTCAGGCCACACCCTGCTCTGTCTCCCTGTCCTGACCACCTGTCCTCCTCCTGCAGCTTCCTCCATCCACTTGGGTTCCCCCTGCTTTTCTGCTGGGGTGGGAAGGGGGTCTCTCTGCAGTGCAGAGAGGCTGGATTGAGAGCAGCATCTCTCAGTCACCTCCTTGGGGTTCACGGCCCCAAGCTGGGAGAGCCCTTAGAGACCAAGAAGATCAGCTGTCTCTCACACCCTAGGAAATTGAGGCCCAACGGGATGGGGAGTCCAAGGAGTCAGGGTCAGCGGAATTAAACCCCAGTCTCTGACTCCCAGTCCAGTGCTCTTTCTGGGGAGTCCTCCCCGAGCCTGCATCTGGAGGACAGAGTCCAGGCCTGTTCCTTCTCCCATCCCCTCACTGTGCCCAGAAGGAGAGAGGAGCAAACAGGGGTCCCCACCATCCTGCCTTTCTGTCCTGCCCCACTAGCCTGGGCCCAGAGACAAGGCCGTGGGGTGGGAGGGACCACAGGGGGCTTCGTTGAGGGTCTCTAATTTCCTCCTGCTCCTTGATGTCCAGAGCAAAACAGGCCTCCTCTGCCCAAGAGATTTCCAAGCATAAACAGAGGTCAGCGCCCCCCTTGCCCCGGAGGTGCCAAGGTGGTAATTAGGCTTGGGGGTGCATCCTGGAAGGGTGGGGGTGGGGCGGCCATTATCCTGGGGAGCTGCGCTGGGCAGAGGAGCTGTGCGGTCTGGGCAAATGGGTGGTTTGTAGGTGGTCTGGGGAATGAATGACTGAGTGTTTGGGAGGGAAGCTTGCGGGAGGGAGGTGGAGGGGGAGGGAGCAGAGGGATTGGAGAGTAGAGCCCGGAGTCTTCCCCCCAGTTCACTGGTCTGAGCCCTTGCTCTCATTCTGGAGGCATCACTCTGAGACATATAGGGTGGGGGGTGGTCTTGGGGATGCCGCCTGGACAGTGGAACACCTGGGGCGCTGTAGCAGGGAGCAGGCTCTCTGCTGAGATCAGGGGCTCTGGAGAGTCACCATCTCCCCACCTGCTCCCTCAGCTTCTGGAAGGGTGCAGGGAGGAGGCGGGTGGAGGTGGTTCTTGCACAGGGTCCCTGGCATGCTGCAGGGTGCTGGCTAAAGCACTCCTGTGCTGAGCCTGCTCCCGCTTTGTCCCCACTTCCAGCCGTGTCTAACCCCTCTCACGGTGGGGACAAATTCCTTCTGGGATGAGAAAGACCCTTTGACTCTCAACCCCAGGAGCTGCAGATCCACAAGTCCCCCTGCTCTGACCCCCACAATGCCCCATCCACTGCTGCTCCGGGTCAGGCTGCACCAGGTACACAGTATCAGGGACTTCTTCACCCTGAGCCTTGGTTTGCCTACCTGTAAAATGGGGGTAATACAATATTTAACTGTGAGGACTAAATAGACCAGGGTCAGTGTGTGTGAAATGGCAGTTATGGCAATGACTAATGCCCCAGAAGATGTCCCTCACGTCTGGAGGCCGGGTCTCCTCCCAGGAATGGTTACCCGGAACCCATGACTGGCTGTGACCCCTGGCATAGGGACAAGGACCATGGCTGGCAGAAGGTGGGGTGAGTAGGTCATGGGTAGGGGTGGGGCTGCTGGGACTGTCCACTGGCATCCTGCCCAGGCCCCGGGCACATTCCTCCTCCCCCGTGCTCCCTACCTGCCGGATACCACCTGTGCTGCGAGTACCACCACTCACATGGCCTCTGCAGCAAGAGAGACTGCAGTGAGACTACCAGACACAGCTGCCCTGAGGAAAACATTGAACTAGGGGAGTGGCCCCTATCTGGAAAGCCTGCTGGGGCATCTTAGCCACTGACCAGCACAGAGGAGACGAGCGTCTGTGTCCTGGTTTCATCTTGTGTCCTTCGGGAGTCTGGAAGCATCTTCAGAACAGGGGCTGGGTCTCCACCCTCAGATTGAGTAGTGGTTCCCAGAGGCCAGCTCCTGTGTCCCTCTGTGGCAGGAATTGAGCCCTCACCATCACATCAGATTCTTTTTTTTTTTTTTTTTTTTGAGACGGAGTCTCGCTCTGTCGCCCAGGCTGGAGTGTAGTGGCGGGATCTCGGCTCACTGCAAGCTCCGCCTCCCGGGTTCATGCCATTCTCCTGCCTCAGCCTCCCAAGTAGCTGGGACTACAGGCGCCCGCCACTACGCCCGGCTAATTTTTTGTATTTTTAGTAGAGACGGGGTTTCACTGTTTTAGCCGGGATGGTCTCGATCTCCTGACCTCGTGATCCGCCCGCCTCGGCCTCCCAAAGTGCTGGGATTACAGGCGTGAGCCACCGCGCCCGGCCCACATCAGATTCTTGAATGGAGAGCTTACCCCAAGAACCTGACCCAAGGGGACCGGGCTGCAATTTGATAGGTTAGTCTGGCTTCTTCATGGGTTCAACAGCCACGCCCCAGCCCTTGCTCAGATCCAAAATTCTCCACTGATGGGAAAGTATCGGGGGAAGAGAATTGAATTGGAAACCCTGGGAAATGGCCTGCTGCTGTCTGCTTGGAAATGGCTGCAGTGGGGTGGCGGGGAGTGTGTGTGCGGAGGCGGCCTCTAAAGCAGGGTCACTCCCCAATAAATCTCCCTCCTCCTCCCTTGTCTGCTCAAAGCCAGGCAGGCTAACCCCTTCTTTCCTCTATGCTCTGTTCCTAGGGAGCTGGAGGAACTGCATGGCATTTAGTGTATGGGGGTAGGAGTGGGGGCAAGAAGGACACCTTCCTCCCCAAAACCTACAGTCAGTCCAGTGGAGGAGCAGTCCTGGGTGGTTGGGGGCTCCTGATACCAGGACCACCATCTCCCAGCAGGAAAGAAGCCCCTCCCCTGCTGTCTGGAACAGCTCCTCTCTATGCAAACATGGATCACCTGGGGTTGGGGAGCATTGAGGGGAGGCTGGCTGGGCCAAATGGAATGCTGGTTCATAGGCCAGAACTCGGAAGATTCTCTGAAGCATCTTGGGAGGTATGAAATAAGAGTCACTTAGAGAGAGGACAGAGCTTTCATGAAAGAGGATGACTAGGAGGCTGTCTTGTCCATCCCTTGCTTCTGTGCCAAGCCCCACTATTTCTCGGGAATGTTTCCTGCTTTCAGGTCTATTTCCATGCTCATTCAGCGTGGAAGTTTGCATACCTTCACCTCAAAAATAAAAACACACTTATTAAAGACCTACTGTGCCCCAGACCTACTGTGTGCTGAATGATGGTGTTCTAAGCACGAACGAGCAACCCTCCCTTCTCTCGGTCGCTCACCGTCTAGGGGCTGCAACACATGAGACAGGCTCCAGTTTAAAACAGAATTAAATGCAAGCTAGGTCAGAGATGCCAAGAAATCTGGGGGCACAGATGGGAAGTTCGTTCTGAAGAAATAAGCCCCGCCCCAAGCATTCGAAGTAACAAGAATCCAATACACTGCAGTGCCTCCCATGCCTAGAGGCCTTCTCCGAGTCCCCAGTCTAAATCCCATCCCCATTATAACCTCTCTTTGAGTTCCTAAAGATACGCTGAACTTAGAGTTTGTTAGGATATATTTATTTACGGGATTATGTGATTAATCCTCCTCCCCCACAACACTGTAAGTGCTAGGAACAAGCTTGTCTATGAGCCAAGGTGGTCGGCCATGAAAATGCACAGCAGGTCTGGGATAAGACGAGCCATAGGATGTGGCTGGAGTTGAGGAGATAAAGTACACAGTAGGGACCCAGGCTGGCAAGGTAGGTTGGCACCAGATCAGGGCAGGCTGTAAATGCCAGGCAATGTTGGAACTTTATCCTGCCGGCAATGGGGAGCCATCAAAGGTTTTTGAGCATAAGAGTGGCATGCTCCAACCTGTGTTCTGACATCCCTCTTGGTGCAGTGTGGAGGAGGGACTGGGGAGGGAAGGGAGGACGGGGGTGTGCTCCTGGGAGTCAGGGGAACCAGCCACTATTGCAATAGTCTCAGGGGCTGGTTAGAAAAGGTGTCAACTGAATCAGGAGCAATGGAAATGGAAAGCAAAGAGGGTACCTTCAAACCACTAATGCTGCAGAAAGGATGGGACTCAGTGGCCAGTTGGATGGTGAAGGGAGCGGAGCACTAAGGGTGATTTGCAAATTTCTAGTCTTGTTATATTGGAGGTGGTAACACCTTTAAGCTGTGTAAAGCATACCCAAGGAACTAGTATTCAAGGGAGATGGATATGCAGGTTGAGAAGTCCTTTCTGAGATCTACTCTGCAGTTCTACTGTAGCTAAAGCCTAGATTCTCTTGCCCCTCCTGGAAACTCAGCTTCAGGGTGGTATACCTTCCCCCAGGGCAGTGAGGCTCATAGAGACCACTGAGGAGTGAGGTGGGGGGTGGTTAGGGCTGGGCATGAGGCCGCCTGGCTTCCTGCCGCCTCTTGGCACTGCCTCCTGACTTAGCCTCTGATTTCCTGCCCCTCTTGACACTCCCAGCCCCTTATAGGTGGCGGGGGAGGCTCCCAAGGAGGCTGGATGAGTTGGAGAAGAGATCTGGGAACTCCCAGGCCATGGCCCAATTCAGTGAGGGTTACCGACATGCTTTGATCTCTGGAAGATTCCCTTGCTGTTAGTTAGAGGGTGGAGCGGGGGTGGGGGAGAAGGACACCTGAACTTGAGGCAGGTTTAGCCCCAAGAGCTTTGCCCTCCTCACCTTGCCTACCAGACACGCTTGTACCACTGCAACTGTGTTAAAACAAAAAGTATTCCCTTGGCCCCTGGATTCTTAGAACTCTTAGCAGACCAGAAAGGAGGGTCTGGGAGACAGATGGGGTTGAGGGGAAACTTGAGAGTAACATCACCTTACGGTGTACTGGATCCAGCAACAAAGAAAGTACAGAGGGCGAGCCCAAGCCCCAGGATATGGGCAAAGAATGAAAATTGTCCAGGGCCAATTTTCAGTGGGGAGCACAGATAACAGCACCCAGACCCCGGAAGAGGGAGCCCAGATCTCAGGGCATCACAGAATGCCCCACACAGAGCCCAGAAGATGTAGCAAATGTCCAGGCTGGCAAAGCCCCCACTGAACAGAGATACATCTGCATCACCCAGCAGATGCAGACAAAAGGAAAGAAAGATATCAGAGCCAAAAGGCACCTCACACCATACCTAGCTCTCAAAGCTTTCCAAACTGTGTTCCCTGAAATCCTCCCTAGGGGTTCTCAGGAGATGAGATGAAGATGCCAGAGGGAAAGGGGGACCTCACTCCCAACTCCAACCAGAAACTCTCCGCTTTGTTTGAATTCTATACCAGGCATCTGCCTGAGATTCCGCCTGGGGAAGAAAGGAAGGTTGCTGTGAATACAGACACAAATAAATAACCCCATAGTTTGAATTATCGACCCTGTTATTCTACAGACTGGAAAAACTGAGATAGAGCCCACTTGGCTTTCCCCGTTGCCCAGTTGCCCAGGCTGGAGTGCAGTGTCACAATCACGGCTCACTGAAGCCACGACCTCCTGTGCTCAAGCAATCCTGCCGCCTCAGCCTCCCAGGTAGCTAGGACCACAGCGCCACCACGCCCGGCTAATATTTTATATTAATATTATTCTTATTATTTGGTAGAGATGGGATCTCCCTATGTTGCCCAGGCTGGTCTCAAGCTCCTGGGCTCAAGCGATGCTCCCACCTCAGCTTCCCAAAGTGCTGGGATTACAGACATCAGCCACCTCTCAGCTTTTAAAATTTGTGTTGGATGACTGCATGAGTTCCTGGACTCTCTGTCCAGTGCTCTTTAGCTACAGTGACTCTTAAGGAGGGAGCACATCAGCATGGGAGGTTGTGCCCAGTGGAGAATCCCCGTGGTGAGGTTTATGATGTTATTGGGAGTCCTGTCCCTCAACCATGTCAGCCCTAGGGTCCTAAGGCCAGAGAAAGGGGGAGGGCAGGGGCAGGGGACCTGCACCCACCCGGCAAGCGCGCAGAGGCCAAAGCCGCCCCCTCGTTAGCCAGGCGTGTCTAGACTCCTCTCCTGCCCCTCACCCTCCTGCTCTGCGACCACCCGGCAGCCGGCAGCAGCAAGGGGGTGCGGCCAAGAAAGGGTTAATCTGGCAGCGCCTTTCATCAGCAGCTTGGCGGGCTCCCAAGGCCCACAGGCTGGGTACCTGGGCGCCTACCTCCGTCGGTGGGGCGGGGACGTGACCACAGGGCAGCCCTGCCGTCTGCATTCCTCCCGCGTGAGTGCGTGAGTGACGGCCGCCGCGCCGGAGCCCCTCGCCGGGCGCCCGCCCCGCGGGCCACGCCCGCCTGGCGCGCGGGGCAGGGGGCGGGCCCGCCGTAGAGAGGGTGCCCCTCCAGCTGTGGCCCAGGCTCCGTAGGGAGCCCCGTGCTAGGAGGTGGATCAGGCAAACTCTGCAAGGAGCGAGGACGCTGCCGGGGGACACAGGAGGAGCAGACTGTGGTTGGGGTCAGGACTCCGGAATGGAGTGATGCCCAGGGCTCCCTGGAGGAGTGATAAGACGGGGTAGGCACCGGCAGGCCTAGGCCAAGCACCCTGGAAATTCGGCTGTGTCCCCAGAGTCCTACCCATGCTCCAGGTCTCCACATAAATTTCAGCCTTCTCATTACATAGTGGTGGGACCGGCCATCCTCAATTCCTCTTCCCTGAACTCACCAGCCCTGGCCTTTGATCTCTCCTGGGACCTGTTGATGGAAACAGGAAGTCGCCTTAGGCTTGAAGCAAATTCAAACAGGGTGTACACAGGCAAGCACCGCACCTTCAGGCTTCTTCTAGGGCTGGGGCTGGGGCAGACTCCGAGATGGAGACAGTAGTGCCAGGACAGGGGGAGAGCATCCTTCTCTCTGAGAAGGCTGGGGAATACATAACCCCCAAGCCTGGGGGTTCTCGGAGAAGCCCAGCAGGGCTACAGAGGGGCCTTCCTAGAGGAATACGATTCCTAAAAAAGAGCCTCCCCCAGAAGGAGAGCTCAGCCTATCACCCACTCCTCCTGACTCCTGGGAGACAAAATTCCCTCACACAGGTCCCCTTGTCCACCCAATCCTTCTGGAAAACTGGCAGCCTAAATATGACAGCTAGACAGTCCAGCCCTAAAATACGTAGCTTCTCAAATGCTCAGGAGCTCCAGAGTCCTTGGACTCAGTAGGAAATCAGAAGGGATGAACCCCTCAATGATTTCCCAAGTCTCCCTTCAAACAGGCACTTCAAGCTCAATTTGTATGCAAACTCAGCTCTTGTTTCCAGCCTCTGGATTCTTTTGTTGTTGTTGTTGTTGCTGTTTGATGGAGTCTTGCTCTGTTGCCCCGGCTAGAGTACAGTAGTGTGATCTCAGCTCACTGCAACCTCCGCCTCCCGGGGCCAAGCAATTCTGTCTCAGCCTCTCAAGTAGCTGGGACTACAGGCACACACCACCACGCCCAGCTAATTTTTGTATTTATAGTAGAGACAGGGTTTCACCATATTGGTCAGGCTGGTCTTGAACTCCTGATCTCAGGTGATCCACCTGCCTCGGCCTCCCAAAGTTCTGGGATTACAGGCGTGAGCCACTGCACCCGGCCTCCAGCCTCTGGGTACATGGGCAGAGAAGGGGAAGGGAGAGGCTGAGGTAGGGAAGGGGCCTTTGGAGGAGAGGTAGAGTGAGGGCAGGACAGATGGGGAACCAGCCCCAGCAGCTCCAGGCTCCCAGGACAGCAGGAGCAGAGATCTGATGCTGGTCCCCTTTTCCTCCAAAAGTCCTTTCAGACATTTAAAAATCTTGACTTCTTCGGGTTCCGTCTCCTGGAGGCCAGTTGCTGCTGTGAGAGCAGGTAGAAGTTTGATCTAATATCTAGATTTTTCTGAAGCCTTTCTCTGCCTTTAGAATTCTGCTAGGTTGACCTCCTCCTCCTTCTCCATCCTTAATTATGTAATTAATGTCTGAGGAGTGGGGCTGAGGCCACCTTTCAGGGGAGGAGCAGCAGGCTCGCCTTCATTTGGGGCCAGCATTTATTCCTGACCTGAAGAAAACAGCCACCTTTGCCCGTACAGGAGACTGGTAAGGTGCGTGAGTGAGGAAGGGCTGTGGAATACTCAGGAGACCCTGCTCCATTTTCCCCCAACTCAGGCCTGGGGCCAATGACTCCATCTCAGTTATCCCATCTCTAAAATGGGAATATAATTTTAGCAACCACACAGTGGGTGTTCTGAAGGTGTATCTGTTAATTGGAGATGGGTGCTAGGTGGTCGGCACCCTGGGAGAGCAGGCCAGCCTGGTTGCTGTCATCATACCTCATACCCCAAGCCGTGCAATCTCAGATTGAATGAGACGTACCACCAAGCCACCTGCCCCCAGCCCCACTGCCCTCAACCCCAAATTGGGACATCCTGCCAACATGCTAGGTATTATCTTGAAAAGAAGGCTGAGAATCTATGAATAATAATAAGGCATCAGGCTAAAATCAGGTAAGGACTAAATAAGATCAAATAGGAAATCAGGCAACAGACCTCAAAACAACTGGTTTCTCTTGTCTCCCTTTGCCTGGACCCTGGGGCTTGTATTTTGGTAAGGTGACCAGCTGTCCCAGTTAGCCTAGGACTGTCCTGGCTTTAGCATTGAGAGTCCCACATCCCCAGAAACCCTTCAGTCTGGGGCAAACTGGGAGAGTTGATGATTCGTTCTCAGGACAGGTTTGGAGATTGGAGAGATCACAGATGTCTGATTTCCTTCACTCTGCCTGGTTTTCTGTATGTATCCATGTGGCAATGGAAAAATCCTGGAGACTGGAGAAGGTTTCTCTCTCCACCCCCACAACCATGTGACACCACAACAAAAAGCAGCCTGCCCGCCCTCCACTGCAGTCCAGGACCCCTTCCCCCAGTTATCCCTTCTCCAAGAAGAATTTTCATCTAAGGACTAAGGTCCTGGACCCTTGCCTCCATTCACACAAGCCAGGCAATGGCAGGGCCCAGGAGCTCCTAGCCAACCAGGGAGAACCTTCTAGGAGACAAGCCCCAGGTTGCCATCTGGTGGTAATTCTCCAGGGAGGAGATTTGCCCAGGTGACCCCTAGGTCAGGCTCCTTTAAATAGCCCTTAAATTGTCTTTGACACAGGCAACCTGGGGTCGCTGCTGCTCGGGGAGGAAGACTCAAGGCTTAGCAGACCACACCCCCAAAGGCACTACCTTGAAGCCGCTTCTCGGGGCGAGCCTTCCAGCTGTGCGACAGCCATCTACAGGCATTCCTGAGGGGTAGCTGCAGCAACAGGTCTCTGGGAGGGGTGAGGAAGGGGTGAAGGAAGTGGGGTGCAGGCCCGCCTATTACATGCCCAGCTGTTTTCTTTTAGGAAACACCAGACCCCTGCTTCCTCTACCACCATGCACACACATACAAGTCTCTGTTGATCTTAAAACACAATAATCATTGTGCAAGATGACCAAGGCCCAAGGGGGGCCCAGGTCAGGGAGCCTAGTGAACTGTGCTCCCCAGGCCCCCATTCAACTATGGATCTGTGCACACAGAAGAGGGATGGGACCTACAGGGCCCATACAGGTGCCTGGGCCCTGTTTGGAGCATGGCATCCCCCGTGGCATCAGGTCAAGGGTGTGGGCACACAGCCTGGCCTTGGGCCTCTCACTCAGAGCCAGGCCTCCCAGGCTGGCCAGGGAGCTGTCAAATCCCCCACTACAGAGACAAATGGAGCCGTCAGAGAAAATAGCTTCTAATGGGGAGCAGGAGCCAGGCTGGGCTGGGGCTGGGGGGAGGACTCTGCTGGCCAGATGTGAATTCTTCACTAATCACACCAAATTGGCCCAATTTGTTCACTGACACGCGGGGGGACCAGCTTCATCTTTTCCCACTGAGCAGGCTTCCCTCCCTCCTGCATGGAAGCAGTTTGGCTCCAGGGATGGGGCTGGCCAGCTGACAGCAGGGCTGGGAGGGAAGAGGGTGAGGCAAGATTTACATGCCCTCCCTCCCTGTAGGACCCCAGGAGCTGGCTTGGGTTTGCCTCCTCTCCATCTCTGGCAGCCCCCTGAGCCCTGGGTGCTGAGGGTCACACAGTTTGGGGGAGGGAGGTGGGGAAGAGAAGAGGGCTGGGCCATCTCCTCTCTTGAAAATGAGTGGCACAAGTGGGAAAGGAATTGGGACATTCTTGGGAAGAGTAAGGAGGGGTCTTTGGGAGAGGCTAGGGGACCATTTAAGGCAAAACAACATCACCTCATACAGGCAGCTGAATTCACCGGGTCCCCGTAGGGCCACAACTCCGAGCGTGCTGGTAAAAGAAGGCAAAAGAGAGCCTGTACCCCACCTCTCCAACTGCAAGCCAAACTCACCCCTTCAATGCTTGCTCCAGAAAGAGTCTTAAAAGCTGGGACTGTCACAGGAGGCCTGCCAGTGGGACTTGGAGAAGAATTGCCTCTCACCTTCCCCTTCCCTAGGGCCTCTCTCTCCACGGCTGATCAAGAGGCAATATGGAGATGTGCATCTCCTGGGGTTTGGGGGTTCCAGGAGGTGGGACAGGAGTGCTGATGGCGAGTCAGCCAGGGCGAGAGCATGCACGGAGGTCCCCAGGCTCTGTAACCCTGTCTTCTATGTCCTATACCAGATAGATGCACTCATGCACGTGCAGCTGGGTGTCCTAGCCCACCATCCATGGTCCATCCTTCCCACACAACCTCAATTCCCCTATCTCACGCCTCACCCCAACAGTCACCCTGGGGCCTAAGAGTTTCAGTGGAAGATAGAGTGAAGGGAAAACTGGCGCGGACCCTGACAGCGGGCTCGGGGCTGTTGGGTAGGGAATTCTGAGGTTCTGTGGTCTAGAAAGGGGTAGTGTGAAATTCCCCTTGGTTTCCCTCTTGGGGAGGGAGGGATTTCGCTGAAAGAGAAGTAGAAGAGGGCTATCAAGCCTTAGGGCCTGAGGCAGGAGCCCCAGTGCCCAGCCAAAGAGTAGGTCGATGAGGGCCCCAGTTCCTGCCTGAGGGCTGGGGAGAAGGTGAAGGGCATCCGGGTGCCCCAACCTGGCTAGCTCTGCGGAAAAAAACACCTCCCAATCCCATGTCCCCTTCCCCATTCTTTCTCTCTCTTACCTCAGGGCTAAGCCATTCCTCCCCCTGGGGATGGCCTTATGAACTTTCCCAGGTCACCTTTCACCCCAAATCTCAAACCCACCCAAGGCCCAATCCTGTTGCAATCAGCAACTCCTCCCTTAGGGGAAATTCCACTCCAGGAACCCCGTGGAGGGTGGGGCCAGCCCTGAGGGGGAGATGAGCCACTGGGTGGGTTCTGAGAAGGCAGGGAAGGCACCTGGTGTGGTGTGATAACCTGTGGGACCAGGTGGGGCCTGCTCCTGGAGGGAGAAGCAGGACAGAGCTGGAGGCAAGGGGCTCGAGAGATGGAGGGCAGAGGCAACCAAGCCCTGCGGGGGAAGTCCAGGGCATCCTGGGGAAGAAGAGGCGGAGGGGAAGAAGGAGCAAAGTGCTGAATAGACGTCATCCTGCTCTACCAACAAGTTGATTTTTTTTTTTTAAATAATCCCACCAGGCACAGTGGCTTATAACTGTAATCCCAGCACCTCGGGAGGCTAAGGCAGGAGGATCGCTTGAGCCCAGGAGTTTGAGACCAACCTGGGCAAAATAGGGAGACCCCATTTCTACAAAATAAAAAAATTAGCCAAGTGTGGTGGTGCACACCTGTGGTCCTAGCTACTTGGGGGGCTGAGGTGGGAGGATCACTTGAGCCTGAGAGGTTGAGGCTGCAATGAACCATGATCCTGCCACTGCACTCCAGCCTGGGCAACAGGGCAAAACCCTGTCTCAAATGAATAATAATCCCTACTCCTCCCACTGGCACTTGCCTCCCTGGGTCAAGGTACTTGCCTCTTCTCCTTTCTGGTTTTCCCTGGCTAAGCAGAGTGCTCCCTCCCAGCAAGGTTGTAGACCTGGCTTCCAGAGAGCTGAGCACAGATATTTGGAAGGGAGGAATGCAGGAAAGTCCCTGGATTTCTCTTAGAAACACTCTCTACCTTCCATTTTCTGGCACAATTCCTAGTTGATGTGTGGGCTTCTCTTCACTAACAAGAAGGGCTCTTCCTAGGCCCAAAGACTCACAACAACCGGGGTATGAATTCTAGTTCTGCCACTTACTTGCTCTGTGACCACAACCTACTATTACATAACCCTGAGCTACTATATAACCTCTGTGAGCCTCAGTTTCTTCATCTATGAAGTGGGAACTCTACCTTTGAAGATCGTTGTGAGGACTGCAGTCCATCCTGTAAGCTGTTTGCAAAGTGGTGCCCAGCATACAAAGCCAGTTGAGTCAATACCTGTTGAATGAATGAATGAATGAACGAATGAGTGGACTTTCTCTTTATGTCTTTGCCTGACTCCATTACAGATTCTTGGGCACCATCTGGAACAGGTGTCTGAATTCCCAATAGAACAGGGACTTAACCCCTCTGTGTCTCAATGTCCTCATCTATAAAATAGGACATAATGAAAGTACCTACCTCATGGTTTTATTTTGAGGATTAAATGAGTTAATCCAAGTAAATCTCTTAGAGCACTGGCTGGTACTAAGTAAGAGTCCAGGGTCAGGTGTGCTGGCTTGCACCTATAATTTCAGTACTCTGGGAAGTCAAGGTGGGAGGATCACCTGAGGCCAGGAGTTGGAGATCAGCCTGGGCAACACAGTGAGATCCCATCTCTACAAAAAATATTTTAAAAAATTATCTGGGCAGGGCAACACATGCCTGTAGTCCTAGCTACTTGGGAAGCTGAAGCAGGAGGATTTCTTGAGCCAAGGAGGTTAAGGCTGCAGTGAGCTATGATCACACAATTGCACCACTGCACTCCAGCCTGGGCAGCAGAGGGAGACCCTGTCACCAAAAAAAAAAAAAAAGTCTGGGGAATGTTGGTATTGTTAGACAAAGTCCGTTGTCCTTCTCTCCAGCCCACACCATCCTATTTTCAAATGGCTGAGGAATGAGATGCTCACAGCCCCAGTCCCTCCACCTTAGGGATCAGAAAGTCCTTTTCTCAGTAAGCTCCTTCTCCCAGGAAAGGATACCCTCTCCAAGACCAGAGAAACCTCAGGCAGGTTCCACATCCCTCAGAGCCTGCCTAGCCCCACCCAAGCCCGGGTTGGCGACACCACCCTCCCCTCCCACCTCTGTCTCCAGGACTGATCCTTCCAGTGTCCCTGCCCTGCACTCAACCAGTGACTTCCCTCCTCCCTCCACCTCAGCCCTCCTTTCTTGCCACCCCTCTGGCTGGCGCCTGGGCCTCTCACTCCCAGATGGCATGCCGATGGCGTGCAGACTGAGTCCACAGCAGGCCTTGGGTGCGGAGCATTGGGTGCCAGAGCCAGCTCGTGCCAGCAGCTCAGGCCTCCTCCTGCTGAAACCTGCCACCGCCCAATGCCCGTGGACACACACTCATCCCCTTCCGCCGCCGCCAGGAAGTGCCAAGCTCCAAACACCTTTACCTAGAAACCAACACTCCCTACCTTGTTCCCATCCTGGGAGGGCCCTGCCAGCTTGTCACCAAGGGTGGGGCCCAGGATCTTTGCCTAGGCTCTGGCCCTTCCTGACAGTCCTTCCTCCTCCCCACTGACCTATGTCTGCCCTACAGTCAGTCTGGCATGGACCCCGTCTCCAAATGACAGGAGAAAAAACCCCTGTGGGCTATGGGCAAACAGGATTTCTCAGAGTTTCACCTGGGATTCCTGTAAGAGCAGGGGCTAGGGAGAAGTTGGGCAGGGAGATGCCACCCAAAGCAACTCACTCACAAATTCTTTCATTTCAGGCTCTGTTTTATCTGTTTTATGTTATATACATGCACATTTCACTTCATATTCTCCAAATCTGCTTACTATAAAGCAGACATTCTAAAACATATTCTAATTGAATTATTTTTTCTTCAAAAATACATGCCTGTAATCCCAGCACTTTGGGAGCCCAAGGCAGGAGGATCACTTGAAGTCCGGAGTTTGAGACCAGCCTGGGCAACATAGGGAAATCCCATCTCTACAAAAAATACAAAAATTAGCTAGGCGTGGCGGCACATGCTCGTGATTCCAGCTACTAGGGAGGCTGAGGTGGGAGGATTGCTTGAGCCCAGGGGATCGAGGCTGCAGTGAACCATGTTCATGCCACTGCACTCCAGCCTGGGTGACAGAGTGAGATCCTGTCTCAAAAACAAAATCTCTGGGTCAAATAGACATGCCAGAAAGACATACAATGGCTTTGGTCATCCCCCGGGACATCCCATATGCTCAGGGCACATTAATGCCTCCATTTGAGAAGCTCAGGCTGAGAAAACAAGAAGGGAGAGGAGGAGGTCTAGGGTGGACAGAGTACAAAAGGTAGGAAAGAGTGTTGAGGAAGATTCTGGTAACTGTTCCTTGGGTCTGACCTGACCATCATTTCTTCCCTTCCCTTGCTAATACAAGCTTCATCTGAGACCAGGTTCTCCATCCCTGACTCCCATATGCCGCATTTGTTTCTGATTTTTCCACAGTGGGGATAATCAAGGTTTCCTTCAAGCCTCACTGTTCCCAATTCCAGTGGATCTGAGCCTTTGCTCCTACCAGAGAAGAGCTCTTGGCAGTTCCAACTCTGGGGAGTGTCAAAAAAGAGGCTGGCACACCCCAGCACTCTTCCACACAGCAGCATTAGCCATCTGCCGTCACTCTGAGCCCCAGTTTCCTCATCCACAAATCAATGGGGTTCAATGTAGGTTTCTAAGGATCCCTCCCACAGCAAAAATCTTAATATCCTTCATAGAAACTGGTGGCCTCACTAGAACATCAGTCTGTTTGCTTCTTAACTAATAGTCTTCCATTCATTCCACAAACTATTACTATATGCCCTCCTCTGTACAAGGTGCTGGGGCATATAGTAAGGAAGGATGGTTCCCACCCACGTGAGACTCAAATGTGGGGAATGTGGGGATTTGTACTGTGTTCAGAAGTCTTTCTTTTTCTTCTTTCTTTTATCTCTCTCTCTCTCTCTCTGTCTTTCCCCTTTCTTTTTCCTCTTTCTCTTTCTTTCCTCTTTCTCTTTCTTTCCTCTTTCTCTTTCAGACAGGGTCTCACTCTGTTGCTTGGGCTGGAGTGCAGTGGTGCAGTCATGGCTCCCTGCAGCCTCAACCTCCCAGGCTCAAGCAATTCTCCCACCTCACCCTCCCAAGCAGCTGGGACTACAGGCACACACCACAATGCCGCACTAATATTTGTAATTTTTTGTAGAGGTGGGGTAGGGGGGTCTTCCTGTGTTGTCCAGGCTGGTCTCAAACTCCTGGGCTCAAGTGATCCTCCCACGTCAGCCTCCCAAAGTGCTGGGATTATAGGCAGGAGCCACCACTCCCAGCCCTTTCTATTTTCATTGCATTACACTTAACAAATCTGAAAGTACCAGAGCCTCTGGAGAGCTGGCCAGGAGACCCAGCCCTGCCCCCTTCCCTGTGCTGTGTAAATACTATACACACACACACACACACACACACACACACACACACACACAAAATGATCAGGTGCCCAGGCTTAATGTAGGCAACCTGGTTTGTATCCAGCCTTTGCACTTACCACTTAACTGCTCCATACATCAGTTTCCCCATCTGCAAAATGGATTTAACAACAGTACCTTCCTCATGGACTTCTCTCTACTGCTCCCCACATCCCACCAAGCCTTCTGCCACTGGCAGTCACCTAAGCCCTCTCTGCTCTCACACACTGGCTTTCTTGCTGTGCAATGTGCCAAGTGAAGCAAACCCATCTCAGGGCCATTAAACTTACTGTTCCTCTTGGCGGAATTGCTGGGCCCCCAACATTCAAATGGCTGATCCCTCATTTCATTCAGGTCTCTGCTCAAATGCCACCTCCAGGAGGCCCTCCCAAACACTCTCTGTCCCTTCATGATGCTTCGGGTTCCTTCAGGGCACTTATCACTACCTGACATTAAATATCTATTTTCTTTTTTCCTTTCTTTCTCCTTCATTAGAATGTAAGCCCCAAAAAGGCAGAGATTTAATCTGATTTTGTGTATGTGTGTGTGTGTGTGTGCGCGCGCGCACGCGTGTGTGTGTGTGTGTGTGTGTATGTGTGTGTCCCTATATCTCTAGTCCCAATATCTAGAATAATGCCTGGCACATAGTAGATGCTCAATAAATATTTCCTTGAAATAATCTTGAATAAATGAGATGTGGAGATGTGGAAACTAAACAAACTAAAGAAATAAAGTGCTTTGCACAGTCCTTGGTACATGGTAAGCAACGATAAGTGGAAACTTATTATTAAACATACACCAACAGGCTTGCCTGGAAAAGACGGAGATTTCATGAGAAGAAAAACAAAATTCAGCATAAATTACATATATTGCTTCATGCAATAAATATTCCTATTGTCATTTCTGTCTTCCATCTTGATTAGAAGATGGTTCACTCCACTGTGTGTGTTCTAAAATTTCAGCCTGCTCAGCAATTGTCAAGTCTTAATTTTCTTTGTCCACTCTCAGAGTGAATGATTTGGACCATCAGAGAGGCGTCACTTCCATGGTCACCTTGACCTAACTTGGGGGAGGACCATCCAAAGCTGCTAACCGGTGACAGGGAGGCTGAGACACCCACCACCACCAATGGGAAAAGTTCTCCTTTCCCCAGGGACCCTAAATAAGGAGAGGAGGGTCAAAGAGGCCCTCTCGAAGGGTCTTTTTGGCCAGTTTCCTGCCTCTCATTGGGAATTCTCCCACTCCAACCTCGTGCTCTGTCAACCTAGAGTTCTGGGGAGAACCAGCACACAGGACCCCCCTTCCCAGTCTAACCCCCAATCCCCATGTTGTCCTTCCTCTTCTTGGCCTGCGAGGACAGAAGAGGACACACCCACTTCCTGGGCCTGGCATGGCCTGTAAGACGGAGAGGTCACTCCAGGTCCTCTCTCCTCTCCCTGGCAGGACCCTGTGGGCACAGGAAGGAAGGTGGCAGTCCCTACAAGTTCGAAGGGAGAGACAGGTCCCTGCCCTTCATGGCTACATCATAAGATCACCAAACACTCCCTGGGCCAATCTCCTCTAATACCCTAACTCGAAAGGTGGGGTTAATAGCCCCAGTTACAGCTGGGCAAGCCGCCTCGGACAGGTCAAGTGGCTTGCCCAAGGCCAGAACACAAACCCTCTCTCTGGGACTCTGTTGTTTGGGTGACGCCACAGTGGGCAGAAACAGGAGCTACCTGAGGAGGGAAGGAGGTGTGGCCCTCAGGGCAGGCTTCCTGGAGGAAGAGGAGGAGGCCAGCCTGGATGGAGAAGGGAGGCGGCCAGAGAGACGGAGGAATGGTCGGGTGCGGGCCTGGGCAGCGCGATCGCACTGCGCCCGCCTTGGATTCAAGGACAGGGCAGGGCGGGGCGGGACCCAGCCCGGGAGGGGCCGCCACGCCCGAGCTTGCAACGCCGCATCCCCCCTCCCCCCTACCTCGAGACCCTGGCCCCGCTCCCAGCGGGAACAGGAGGCCAGCGAGTCCCCCGGCTACCCCAAAACTGGCGGGACTAGAGTAGGCAGTGACGGGGCAGAAGCCTAGTTATAAGAGTTCTTCCACCTCTCTCAGGCATTTGGGGCCCTGGGGTAGCGGCGCGAGGCCAGCCTAGGGGCCCGGGGTCTCGGAAGATATCTGCCTGCGGTAGAAATCAGGCGGCAGAGCCAAAACAGGGGGTCGGCTTGGGCCCGGCGCCCGGCACTGCTGGGCTGGGCCGGCGTCGGGCCCGGAGCTGGCTGGGGGAGGGCCTGGCTGCCTAATGGTTTTCGGAGGATGCTCCCTGCGGATTAGAGGTCAGCTCAGGGCCGGGCGGGGCGGATGGGGAAAGGATCCAGGAGCCTGTAGCTCCGGCCTGAGCTGTGCTGAGGAGACGGACTTAGGCTTTAGAGCCGGGTATGGCCAGGGCTCTGCGAGTGCCAAGTCAGGCCAGGAGTCAGATGGCTTTTTTGTGCTAACCCAGCCTGTGCTGCGTAGACAGATACAGGGGCTGCTGGCTGTACACCCGCCAAGGAGGGGTGAAGATCCAGCGAAGGTGCTGGGGCTGTCTTAGAGCTGGGATTGCCCAACACTTTACACAAGACAGAAACGCCAGCCACAGAGCATTGCGTGGAGTGAGGGTGCGGGATGTGTGTGTGAAGATGGTGGGGACTAAAACACCCCAAGCCACCTCCTGCCGATGGGCCATTCAGAAAGGGACAGGGGGCTTCCTCAACAAGTCCCCACCACCCTGGTGGAACCCCTTGCCTGTCACTGAGCTTCTTTAAGCCCTCTCCCTCCATCAGCCCTCCAACCCCTTGCCGGTCCCCACCCCTCACTCAGCCCCCTTCACCTGGGCCTCTGCCAATCCCTGCGGAGGCCAGGTCAAAGCTCCAAAGTGACTGGTGATGTGGGAGGGGGCTGGGACCTCCTGGAGCCAGGCCTGCCCCACCCCCACTGGAACCAGCCCTGGGCAGGAGGAGCTGTCTTCTGAGAGGACCCCATTTCTTTTCAGGGAGGTGACCCAGAAGAGGGGCTGGACCAGGCTGGATGACTTCAAAGGGCGGTGGGTGGGGTTGGCGCCTGGTCACAGGTGCCACTCAGGGTGGGCCAACCTGCCCAACCAGGTCAGGGCCTGTGCTGTACCCGCCCTCCCGCCCAGAACATCACAACACAGTCCTGACAGCAGCCCCACCCACCAGGGACTCCCCCAGGGCTCAGGAGAGAGACCTGACACAGGGATCTGAGGCGAGGCATCCAGGGCCGGGCAGTTCATCCATCCATCCCCCACCCGTGCCGAGAGCCTGTGCACACCTGTTCACCCCCACGCGCGCTCACACACACACACGCACACACCCTGGCTGCGCAGGCACAGAGTTAGATGTCAGGCCCACAAAAGGCTTCACCGAGCTTCGTCCAAAAGTTCTTCCTGCTATCTTTTTCTCCCCCCTGAATTCTGGTTTTTTTTTTGTTTTTTGTTTTTTGTTTTTTGTTTTTTTTTGAGATGGAGTCTCTCTCACCCAGGCTAGAGTGCAATGGCGCAATCTCGGCTCACTGCGACCTCCGCCTCCTGGGTTCAAGCGATTCTCCTGCCTCAGCCTCCCGAGTAGCTGGGATTACAGGCACGCGCCACTATGCCCAGCTAATTTTTGTATTTTTAATAGAGATGGGGTTTTGCCTTGTTGGCCAGGCTGGTCTCAAACTCCTGACCTCAGGTGATCTGCCTGCCTTGGCCTCCCAAAGTGCTGGGATTACAGGCGCAAGCCACCGCACCCGGCCTACCCTCCTGAATTCTTAGGAAATGAGCAGAGGGTAGGCCAGTCTCCAGTCTGGTGCCAGCTCTTTTGGATTACAGACTCCTTGGAGCTGAGCAAGGAGGCCTAGGCCTACCTCTGTACATGGAGACCTCCTCCCCTCTAAGCAGACTACATGTCAGGTGAACATCTGCAGGTTCCCACACACAGCACTGGGTGGGCAGGACCATGCCAGACACTTGGGCAAAAAAAAAAAAAAAAAAAGACTGAGGGCTGGATGTGGTGGCTGACACCTGTAATCCTAGCATCTTGAGGGGCCAAGGCAGGAGGATCACTTGAGCCCAGGAATTTGAGACCAGCCTGGGCAACACAGGGAGACGCCATCTCTAAAAAAATAAAATAAAATAAAATAAGACTGTTTTCTCCTTCAAATCTTGAGCTAATAGCCTCAGTTTGCTCATCTGTAAAACAGGAACAATAATAGTACCTATCACATAAGATTGTTGTGAAGATTAAATGAAATGCCACGTCAAGTTCTTAGCACAAGGCCTGGCATAAAGTAAGTCTCAATAAGTGGCAAGTGTCACTGTTATTAATATTACTCTAGTGGGGAGACTTTGTCTGGAGAACCACATATGCTGTGAACCAGACTAGACTCTTGCAAACTGAGTGGGTCTTGGCCTTGTGTGAATCCAGCGTTTGCCTCTCCCCTCCTCCTCCCCCTGCACTGGCTGCTGTGCCTCCCACTTACCCCAAAGGGACCCCAAGATTCAGACTGACCCATTCGTCCATCAGAAGGGACTCCAAGCCCCCAGGCAGAGCAGGAATGGTTGATGGGGGCACTTGACTCATAGCCATCTATGGTGATGTCTCAGAGAAAAGAGCTCAGGAGAAACGGTCTTCGCCAATCAGGTTCCAGGAAAGCCTCGCAGAGGAGAGAGCTCCCAGAACAGTGGGAAGGAGCAGAGGGCAGTGGTTCTGTGTATCCTGGGTCAGAGGTAGGATAGGGAACAGGGAGTCAGGAGGGTTTCTCCCATGTCTCTTTCCACATCCTGGGCTGGCAGGGACGAGCAGGGTACCAATGAGCCATATCCGTGCGGGATGCAGGGAGCCTGGCTCTTCAGCCAGCCCATGCCTCTGCAAGATGTATTCATCTCCACACATCCAGTTCAGTGCTCTGGCAGGTATGTGGGTGTAACTTACTGGACATGACCAGGCCAGGATGTGTGCCAGGCCCTAGGCATATGGCAGTGACTGAAATAGGCAGGGGCACTGATCCTGGGATGCCTACAATCTGGAGGGCACAGTGACCCCTCAATCTGAGAAGGCCTCCTGGAGGCAGACGTCAGGCGGGACAGGAAGGGAGGAGGAGGAGGAGAGGGTGCTGGTTGGAGAAGGAAGTATGGAAGAGCAGAGCATGCCAACCTGAAGACCCCCCATCACTACCACAAAGGGAAGAAGGGGTGGCCTGGCCAAGTCAGGTGGATCTGAAAGGTCCCAGAGCCTCTGAACAAGTAGGGGAGGGGACCAGAAGGGGGTAGATGCTGCTGGCATTGGTTCCTGGCCTGAGTGGGAGGGGACGTCCTTGGACCCTGCTGGCCCTGGACTCTGGCCACCTCCGACCTCACTCTGTTGGCGTTGTGGCAGCAAGAGCTGGATCTGCCGCATTCCTCAGAGGCCCAGGTTGCCTTCTGACTGGGCTTGGAAGAGCCCCTGGGGGCAGGCAGGTCTCTCCTTGGTCTCAGGGCTGGAAAAACTGGTCTTCCTGCACACCCCCCACCAGCAGCCTAGAGTTCGAGGAGAGGGTGTCAGCAGGAACAGGAGGTTCCCTGCATTCCACCATTCCACAGGGGATGGGAATGGGAGGGGAGCGGGAGGAGAGAAGGCGAGAAGCACATGGGGGAGGAAGCAGGATGGGAACTGGGAGCTTCTCTGACCAGGGAGGAATGTGACTAGACTGAATGTGGGGGGATGACTTTTTTTTTTTTTTTTTGAGTTGGAGTCTTGCTCTGTCACCCAGGCTGGAGTGCAATGGCACAATCTTGGCTCACTGCAACCTCCGCCTCCCTGTTTCAAGCAATTCTCCTGCCTCAGCCTCCCAAGTAACTGGGATTACAGGCACACGCCACCTCGTCCAGCTAATTTTTTTTTTTATTTTAGTAGAGACCGGGTTTCACTGTGTTGCCCAGGCTGGTATCGAACTCCTGAGCTCAGGCAATCCACCCATCTCGGCCTCCCAAAGTGCTAGGATTACAGGCGTGAGCCACAGCACCCGGCCAGGGACAACATTTTTTTTTTCCTTTAAATATGTCATCTTAACTGGAGGCATTTTTAATAGGCTTCAGAAGCAGGATGAGATCCGGGTCAGACCTCTTTCCTTCCCCTGTCTGAAAAGGAAGATAGATAGATGCCTCTTTGTCAGCAGGAAAGCTTGAAGTAAAATATCGAGAAGCCCTTCCCCAGTGGGTAAAATGAAATAGATGACCGTGAGGCAGGATTGAAGTATCCTCCAAGGGAAAAAGGAGAGAGTGGATCTCAGCCTGGGATGCGACCCCCATCTTCCCGTGGGTGGAGGGGGGCAGGGGTGGGGTGCTCAAGATGGGGGCACTGTCCCGCTATCTTCATGGATTCCCCCTGCTTCCTGGGCCCCTAGACTGTGTCAGACCCAAGAAAAGCCCCAGCCACTAGCATTACCCCTATACGAATATCCTTTGCAGGAAGAGAGACTTAGCAGTGTGGAAACAAAGCAATCTTGGTGGCCAAAGCTAAGCTTGATGAGTCCCAAGATGGGCCGAGGGACACAGCAAGACCAGGTCTCTTAGAACGTTCTCACTCTGTCACCTGGGCCCTTTTCCCCTCTCTGGGCAGAGAGCTGCCACCTTCCCCTCCCTGCCTCTCCCCATTCCTCCCCCAGGGCTTGCTGTGATGCTGGTCCAGAGCGGGTGCTCAGCACGGGTGCAGTGGGTTATAATGGATCAAACCCAAGCCCCTGAGGTTTCTCCAGCTCCATGAACCTTCTTCCCTAAAGACAAAACCCAACCCCTTTTGGGGAGAAAAAGACCAGATATCTTCTCAATGTCCTTTCTAGCATTCAGAGATATAGTCACTGAGGTTTTGTGTCTCAAAATATAGGCCATGTATCACCTGCCTGCCTCAGCATTAGAGGAACCCTTGTTCAAAACGCAGATTCCCACAGCGTCCCCACTCTAATTCACTGGGCCCAGGAACCTCCATTTTATACATGCTCTCCACATCAAAGCTTGTCAAGATTCTAAGAAGTTTAAGAATCTTGACTGGGTGCAGTGGCTTATGCCTGTAATCCCATGCACTTCATGAGGCCAGTGCGGGAGGATCACTTGAGCCCAGGTGTTCAAGACCAGCCTGGGCAACACAGGGAGACCCCGTCTCTATAAGAAATAAAACAAAATAGAATAAAATAAGCCGGGCATGGTGGCCACACGCCTATAGTCCCAGCTACTTGGGAGGCTAAGGTGAGAGGATTGCTTGAGCCTGGGAGTTTGAGGCTGCAGCGAGTCATGATGGTACCACTGCACTCCAGCCTGGGTGACAGAGCGAGACCCTGTCTTTAAGAAAAAAAAAAAAAAAAAGGCAGACATGGTGGCTCATGCTTGTAATCCCATCACTTTCGGAGGCCGAGGCCAGCAGATGGTTTGAGCTCAGTGGTGGCGCATGCCTGTAGTTCCAGCTACTTGGGAGGCTGAAGTGGGAGGATCACCTGAGCCCAGGAGGTCGAGGCTGCAGTGAGCTTCGATCACACCACTGCACTCCAGCCTGGGTAACAGAGTGAGACTCCATCTCAAAAAAGAAAAGGAAAAAAAAGAGACCAGGCACGGTGGCCCACGCCTGTAATCCTAGCACTTTGGGAGGCTAAGGCAGGCAGATTATGAGGTCAAGAGATCAAGACCATCCTGGCCAACATGGTGAAACCATGTCTCTACTACTAAAAATACAAAAATTATCTGGGTGTGGTGGTGCATGCCTGTAGTCCCAGCTACTTGGGAGGCTGAGGCAGGAAAATCACTTGAACCCAGGAGGCAGAGGTTGCAGTGAGCCAAGATCGTACCGCTGCACTCCAGCCTGGTGACAGAGTGAGACTCCGTCTCAAAAAAAAAAAAAAAAAAAGAAAAAGAAAACAATCTCTGCAAGGGACCCACCCAATGAGCAGTTCCTCAGGGTGGGGGGGGTGCTCTTTGGGGGTCTCTCAGACACTGTGTTCCCCAAGGCCAGTCATTCAGACCTGATGGGCAGAAGCCTTCTGCAGCCTCTGCAGTATGACTGGAGGGAAAATTTCCCCATGGCGAGTAGCCTGATTACAGAACATCCTTCCCTGATATCGCTATTCCTTTCATTTGACTTTCCCTGAATAACATTTCTTGCAAGCCCGCTGACTGCCAGGCACTGTGCTAGAAGCTGATCATTTCCCATGGGGTCCTGCACGCTTGCCCGGGGGGCGGGGAGCGGTAAAGGATGAGTGAGAGCTGGCATGGAGGCAGGGGAATAGGCACAATGGCCTCCTAAGTTCCCCTGAGGGCCCAGAGGCATCCCTGCCTAGGCCTCCCCATCCCAGCTCTCAGGACAGGGGTTGTTGCAAGGCAAACTAGCCTGGGCCAGGCTTTGCCCTGCCTCCACTCCACTGCATGGCCCAGTCCAGGTGAGACTGGAATATCCTGACAGTGCCGAGCCTCATGGAGGGGATGGCTTCTAACCCTGCAGTCTGACTTCCTTCTAAAACATATCAGTGGAACGTCAGGAAGCTTTACCAGAGCAGAACTAACTGATGGCTTCGTCATTCATTTACACATTCATTTATTCACCAGGTCCCTCCTCTGTTCCAGACTGGGACTTCAAACACGGAGAAGGTATACTCCGTGCCACCAACAGATGCTCACAGCCTCAAGGAAAAGCCGCACATGAAATAGACACTTGCAATTCAGGCATTCAATCATTCGCCCATTCATTCACCAAAGGTATATCAAGCGTCTGACCCTCTCCAGTCCACTAGTGGTGTTATCTGAGGCGGATGATGCAGAGGCCAAGGGCTTTGCAGTCAGACAGTCCTGGGTTCAAATCTTGCCTTCTGGCTCCTGGTGAAAACCAGGAGGGCTTTGCCTCATGGACCTGGGACTTCCCCTGGCTTGTCACAGAGCCAGGAGCGGTGTCAATTATGGGTAATTGAGGTAATAGGCATCAGACCGTAGTGAGTGAGTTTCTAATCAGCAATTTCTCCTGCTGCTGCTTCCTCAATCAAAGCACTTATCTCATTGTGTGGGCTCAGTCTCTTGTCCGTCCCTAGATGCATACACAACACATTCATGAGATGTGGGTCTTGGGCCTGGGTGTTCAGCAAGGGTTTGCTGTGTAAATGGGCGCTCAGAGTGCAGAGATAAGCAACAGCCTTGGGAAGGAATTGGGTGCTGCCCTGAAGGCTCTGGCTTTGACTAGATCTACTGGCTGGCTTTTGGTTCAGAATGCAGAGCTCTGTGGATCAGGTGAACCCACAAAGGGTTAAAGCTGACTCCTCTGACCCTTTTAGTCTCAATAAAAGTATTCCATAGAGGAGATGAGTGTGGAGCCATACATACACACACACACAGAGTGACCACCACACAGTCTTCAAACCTGACCACAGGGGCCGTGAGTGGAACCGACAAGCAACACCAGAGTCAACTAAGGAGGGCCACCTGGGTCCTCTCTGGCCCCCAAGCTCTACCTTCCACTCCCACCCACCCTCCCCCAGGCATTGCAGAAGCCACAGTCCCCTCCTCCCTTCCCAAAGGAAGCCTTTGTATGTATGTGAGAAGTGCTTTGAAATGTCTAGAAATTTCTAGCTGAGAAGGCTTCATGTACTTTCCAGACATGAAGACCTGGGAGGCAGGAAGTGTCCTGAGACCACCACCCCCAACTCTCAGGAAACACTGGTGCTAATTTTCCAGAGCTTCCTTGGTCCTTTCCAGAATTTTCTCTTTTCTGCAGGAAGCTTCCCACAAGGAGAGGAGAAGAATGCTCCCTTCCCTCCAACACACACACACACACACACATACACACACACACACACACACACACACACACACACGATTTTAAGAGAGCAGCTTTTCCCAGACCACCCAGCCAGCTGAGTGCCACCCCAAAGAAGAGGACCCTGCCCAGGGGATTTGGGAAGGGAACAGCTCAGATTCCATTTGAGGCAACTTGGATCAGACTTGAGAAAGGGCTTCCTGAACAGGTGGACGCTGCCCCCAGGATCATATCACCGGGACAGAAGGGAGGACGCCCTCCTCTAAAGGTGGTGGCAAATGCACAACCCACTGAGCAGCAGCTCTCGGGAGGTTTAATGCACACACACGCTGGCGCAGCTGTTCTGTAGGAGCAGTCCTACAGAAGCACACTCACAGGAGCACAAAGGTGCTCGTACCAGCATCCTTGTCCCAGAGTTATCTATGACGATGAAAAATCAGAGACTGCCCAGATGCCCCTTGATAAGAAAAGTTAAGCAAGTTAGAGTTCAGCCACACAGAAGACAGATGCTCTGCAGCCCCTGAAAATGAGATCACTCTGTGTGTACAGATGGGCATGATGGAAAAACAAGTTGAAAAACTATTTGTAAACTCCCATTTGTATTTTATTAATAAAAAGGTTTTTTTTTAATGCTTAAAAGGTCTGGAAGGAAGCACACCAATCAATTACCTCTGATGGGGGGATGCACTTATGGAACACTTTGTATTCTATAGTCTTCTATATTTGAATTTATTTAATGTATTTATTTTTGAGATGGTGTTTCACTTTTGTCACCCAGGCTGGAGTGCAATGGCATGATCTCGGCTCACTCTGCTTCTTGGGTTCAAGCGATTCTCCTGCCTCGTCCTCCCGAGTGGCTGGAATTACAGGCACCCGCCACCATGCTAATTTTCATTGTATTTTTAGTAGAGACATAGAGACGGGGTTTCACCATGTTGCCCAGGCTAGTCTGGAACTCCTGACCTCAGGTGATCCCTCCCTCCCACCTCAGTCTCCCAGAGTGCTGGGATTACAGGCGTGAGCCACTGCGCCTGTCTATATTTGAATTTTACAGCAAGTATGTAGCACTTTTATAACTTCTTAAATGAAACTTTTTTAAAATGAATAAAACTTAAGGAATAGAAGGGAGGGGACAGGGCAGGTAAGGAGGCTTTTGCCCTATCCTCTAGGCAATGAATGGAAGTGATGACTCTGGGGACACCCTTCTCGCCCCAAGGAGAGGTCAACCCCCTTCCACCCACACTCCCATCAGTCCCAACTGAATGTTTACAGAGCACCCGCTCCAGCCTAGGCACAGGATTTAGAGAAGGGGCTTGGTCTTTACCTCAGAGGCTCCCAGTCAGTGGGGGAGACCATGTCTCTGTGGTTCCTGTCCAACCTCAAGCACATCCCCCCACACATATATGTGCACACGTTCACACACACATGCGCACGCGCACATACAGGGGCTGAGGAGGGGTGACTGGAGACCAGCTGTCTGTCTCTGGGGAGTGTGTGTTGTGGGTAGGGGGCTTCACAGAGTTTTGGGAATCTACAGTAAAGAAGCCTGGAAAGGACTCCAGCTAGGACAGGACACACACACACACACACACACACACACACACACACACACACACAGCCTCTCTCACATGCTGATGCTGATACCATATTGTATACTCTTAGGCCCACCGTCAAAATTGCTGCTGTCCCCCCAGACCCTGCTGGGAGAATGCTGGGCATGGGGCAAGGCGGGGCAGATGATGAGGGAGGGGAGAAGGGAGGGGGAGGAAGAAGCCCTCCTTCATGATGTGGCCCCCTGCAGAGGAGCCCCTCTGTCGGGCTCCCCTCCTCCATTCCCTCCCAAGGGCTGCCAAGACAGAGGCTCCTCCTCCCCTTTCTTCCTCGAAGAGGCCCAGGACAGGGAGGGGCAGAGTCCATGACACTGGGCATGGAAGGGGAATGAGGGGCGCTCACCCACCTTGCCCTGAACTGCCCCAAATGTCCCTGAATTGCTTTTTCTTTTCTCACCTGCTGAAGATTTTCCTGGCACACCTATGAATGGGAAGTTCTTCTGGAAATCTAACTGATATAGAAGGGAGGGGCTTAGAGGGGTCTTTCTAAGGTTTTTGCCAGGATCCCCACCACCCCCCGTTTCTGTGAGACCTAGACAATCCGCTTGGCCTCGGAGCTCCAGTGTCCCCGTGTGTAAATGGGATTCAGCAATACTAACGCCAAGTAGGATCACTTCGGCCCTTTGAGTGGCTGTTTCCCTTTTAGTAAATGAAGGTGGCCCCTTTGCGGGGAGCGGGAGGGAGCCGTAAGGCCCGGGTGAGGACCTGTCAGGTATAGGGCCGCCTGGGGCGGTGAGCGACCGCAGCTGCCGAGCAGCACCCAGAGGCCTGCGCGGGAACTGCAGCTGCCCCGTCCGGGTCCCTCCGCGGAGAGGAGGCCGTAGAATCGGAGACAAGTCCCGCTGCCCTGTCCTACCGGGCTGGGTCCTCGGCAGCATTCCGGGGGCGGGGTGGGCAAAGGAGAGGCCAAGAGAGGCGGAGACTGGGTCTTCCATCGGCAGGGAGCTCCCGTCTCAAAGTGGTGTCTAGGCCTGGGCTGCCATAGCCGGGGACCCCAGGACGGGGGCAGGATGGGGGGAGGTGCCAGGAGAGGGCTAGGTCCCGGCTGAGGGGTGGCAGGGAGAAGGTTAAGGGGCAAGGGCAGCGGTCTCCGTAGAGGAGACAGGCTGAGGGCTGGAGACAGGACGGCGGTTCAAAGGGAGAAAAGAGCCGGGCGCGATGGCTCACGCCTGTAATTCCAACACTTTGGGAGGCCGAGGCGAGCGGATCGCTTGAGGTCAGGAGTTCGAGACCAGCCTGGCCAACATGGTGAAACCCTGTCTGTACTAAAAATACAAAAATTAGCTGGGCGTGGTGGCGCACGTCTGTAATCCCAGCTACTCAGGAGGCTGAGGCAGGAGAGTCGCTTGAACCCGGGAGGTGGAGGTTGCAGTGCGCCGAGATGGTGCCACTGCACTCCAGCCTGGGCAACAGAGCTACGCTCCATCTCAAACAACAACAACAACAACAAAAAGAAAAACAAAGGGAGAAAAGAACCGAGATGCTGGGGAGCCATTTTGGCCAGTCCCCTCCCTCCAAGCCCCTCCCAAATGGGATGCATTGTTTTGTTTTTTTGTTCTGTGAAAATCCACCTGGAACAAAGAGTTTCTAGTCTCATCCACTCCCCTCACCCTCGCCCCAGGTTAGGATTCCCCAGGTCCAGAACTTCTTGGGAAGTCACTCGTGGAGGGCCAGCGACCTCAGATATACCCCTCCCCCTGCCCAGCCTTGGGGGAGGGAAACCACTGCTTTAGTCACGCCAGATAATCACCTCTGGTCACTCACTGTCTGGCCTCTTCCTCCAAGTAACTCCAACTATCTCTTAGACATTATCTCACCATGCAGGCTTGGTGGGTGGGTGGGAGAGAGGAAGGGAGGGGGAGGCAGAAGTGAGGAGGCGGCATTTAAGAAAGGAGAAACTGAGGCCAGAAAGGACCAACATGCCCACTGCCCTGATTCCCCACATAAGCTAGAAAGATGACATTGTCATGATCACAGGAGGACTGGAGGGCAAACTGCAGAGAGAATTTCCCAGAGAACTGTGAAAATGACCATTTGAAAGGAGTTTCAGGGGAATCACCAGCGCCCCCGAACACCAGTTATGTGCCAAGTACTGCGTTAAGGGCTTTCCCGGAATTACCTCATTCCTTCCCCCAATGAGATAGACACTGTAATTATTATTCTTGTTTTACAGATGAGCAAACTGAGGCAGCCGCTTGTTCAAGACCACTGGATAAGCCAGTGGAGACGCCAGGATTCAAGTCTAGGGAGCCTGACTCCAGAGACAGTCTCCTGGTGAAGCAATGGAGCAATCTGGAGATGGGGGCCTGCCTGGGATGACCTCCTCTGGGCCCTCCTGCAGGGTTAACAGAGTGACCTGTAGGTTTCCATTAAGACGACAGGTACAGCTCACCCAGGGCTGGACTGTGCCCCTCTCCCAGTCATCGATGAAGGTTCCAGGCCTTAGCAGATCCCATTGTAAGCCTTTTTTCCCAAATGTATATGTGACCTAAGAATTATGCTGGAAGAGGAAAATAAACGAGAAGAGTTTCAATCATTTTCATTTCTCTTGTGTATATGTTACCCTCAGATTTTTTCTAGAGCTAACTTTTTTTTTTTTTTTTTTTGAGACATGGTCTCGCTCTGTCACCCAGGCTAGAGTGTGGTGGCACTATCTCGGCTCACTGCAACCTCTGTCTCTCGGGTTCAAGCAATTCTACTGCCTCAGCCTCCCCAGTGGCTGGGATTACAGGCATGCGCCACTACGCCTGGCTAATTTTTTTTTTTTTTTTTTTTTTTAGCAGAGATGGGGTTTTGCCATGTTGGCCAGGATGGTCTCAAACTCCTCAGGTGATCCACCCGCCTCAGCCTCCCAAAGTACTGGGATTACAGGTGTGAGCCACCGCGCCCAACCAACTCCTTATTTTTTTATTTTATTTTTTTTTTTTGAGACAGGGTCTCACTCTGTTGCTCAGGCTGGAGTGCAGTGGTGCCGTCATGGCTCACTGCGACCTCTGCCTCCTGGGTTCAAGTGATCCTCCAACCTCAGCCTCAGTAGCTAGGATTTCAGGCACGTGTCACCATGCCCAGCTAATTTTTTGTAGAATCAGGGTCTCGTTAATGTTGCACAGGCTGGTCTCAAACTCCTGGGCTCAAGCGATCCACTCACCTCGACCTCCCAAAGTGCTGGGATTATAAGCATGAGCCGCTACGTCCAGCCTCTAGTGCTAACTCTTGAGCCTCCCTCTTCCCTCTCCTGTCAACTGCACCTGCCCCCATACCTTGCCCAGTGCCACAGCAGCAGGGTGGCCTTCCAAGGCCTGGAGCAGAGGAATTCCCTAATTCTGCCCCACTCTAGGCCAGGATCCAGCACATTTAATGTCATGCACCCCCCTATGACCTGGAAAGTTCCTCCTGAGGTCTGACCCAAATCCTTCCTTCTTTTTTTTTTTTTTAGAAAAGGTCTTACTCTGTCGCCCAAGCTGGAGTGCAGTGGCGGGATCTCAGCGCACTACAGCCTCCACCTCCTGGGTTCAAGCCATTCTCCTGCCTTAGCCTCCCTAGTAGCTGGGATTACAGGCACTTGCCACTGTGCCTGGCTAAGTTTTGTATTTTTAGTAGAGACGGGGTTTCACCATGTTGGCCAGGCTGGTCTTGAACTCCTGACCTCAGGTGATCCGCCCGCCTCAGCCTCCCAAAGTGTTGGGATTACAGGCATGAGCCACCTCACCCGGCCCCGGTAAATACTTCTAATGTCCCATCTGTGTCAATGTGTCATTAGGAGCAGTGTCATTTTCAACAGAAAACATGCGGTGCAGACGGCCCTGACATCTCTCAGCAGAGGAGCTCTGGCACAGCCATGGTGACAGTGAGGCTGATGAGCACACTGCAGTTATACCCACAGGAAGAGGGTGAGGGGATTCAACCACATAAGGACCTACCTGTGTACAGAGACAGCAGTGGATGGTCCCATGGGCAGTATGGAAGATGATTTTAGGCTTGATAATGGTTAATAGTGTTCTATTTTAATGTGAGAAAATATAACTGGTGCACCAAACCATAATTTCACAGATGTTACTGTTCAGCAGTATTTGTTTACTTATTCCATTTAACAAACAGAGCGGTTTCTATGCACCCAGCACCCTCTGGGCACTTTACAAATACTAACTCCGGTAATTCTCTCAATAACCCCCTGAGTTAAGTACTACTCTTATCACCGTTTCACAGATGAGAAAACAGAGGCACAGAGAGCCCAAGGGACTTGCCCAAGTCACACAGCTATTAACAGATGGAGCTAAGTTTGTTTGTTTGTTTGTTTAAGAGTTAGGGTCTTGGCTAGGCACGGTGGCTCACGCCTATAATCCCAGCACTTTGGGAAGCCAAGGTGGGCGGATCACTTGAGACCAGGAGTTTCCGACCAACCTGGGCAACATGATGAAACCCCATCTCTACTAAAAATACAAAAATTAGCCAGGCGTGGTGGTGCGTGCCTATAATTCCAGCTGCTCGAGAGGCTGAACCATGAGAATTGCTTGAACCTGGGAGGCAGAGGTTGCAGTGAGCGGAGAACGCACCACTGCACTGCAGCTTGGGCGACAGAGCAAGACTCCATCTTAAATTAAAAAAAAAAAAAAAAAAAAAAAGAGGGTCTTGCTCTGTTGCCTAAGCTGGAGTGCAGTGGCGCCATCACAGCTCACTGCAGCCTCCAACTCCTGGTTCAAGTGATCCCCCTGCCTCAGCCGCCTGAGTAGCTGAGAGCACAGGCACGTGCCACCACACCCAGCTGGAACTAAGTTTTAAAAGTTTCAGGCCAGGTGTGGTGGCTCATGCCTGTAATCCCAGCACTTTGGGAGGCCAAGGCAGGAGGATGGCATGAGACCAGCCTGGGCAACATAATGGGACCCTGTCTCTACAAAAAAAATTTGAAATTAGCTGGGCATAGTGGCACTCACCTGTAGTCCCAGCTACTCAGGAGGCTGAGGTGGGAGGATCCCCTGAGCCCAGGAGGTTGAGGCTACAGTGAGCTGTGATCACACCACTGTACTCCAGCCTGGGTGACAGAGCGAGACCCTAGCTCAAAAATATATATACAAATACAAAATTAAAAAATCAAAGTTTTCAAAGGCATCATCAGGTCATTAGCAGGAACCATAGAAAATGCATCCTTAGCTCTGCTTATAAAGTCAAAAAATTATTGGGTGCCTACTGTGAGTCAGGCTCTGTACTCAGTGCTGGAATAAAGGGAAAAGGGAGGGAAAAGGTGAGGGATCAGATTGCTCATCTGTGAATTCTAACTGGGAAACATCCCGCTTTGCCTACAGCTGAGGTCCCGTCTCACCTAGGAGGCCAGTGCTTTGATCTGTGGGCTCTGTCTGCCCCAGCCCACAGCTCATCCCTGGCTGTATCAGGGGTGGAAGTGCACACTCCTGAGAGCTGGGCCAGGGCAGGCCGGAGGAGCATGCCGCTCTGGGGAGAATGCCCCAGCCTCTAGGGGAGCAAGCAGGGATTAGGGACATGGCGCAGGAGCCGCTGCAGCTGCTTTCATCTCCACCACCCGGCGGGGTGTCTCCCACCATCAGTCGGCCTTGCCTCTCCTGCCTGCAGGCCTGCCTTCCACCTGCCCCACCCCCACCCCGTGGATTTCAATCCTCTCCCACCCATCCACCCCTACCATTCCATTGCCTCCTTGGCACCCCGCCCCTGCTCTTCATAGCCAGCCCCTCCCCTCCTCTCAGCCCAGCTCCTTCTGGCCCTCTTGCTGGAAGCTGGTCCCACCTCCTCCTCACCCAGCACCGGAAGACCCTCTTACCGTGACAGCCATCCCCTTCATGCCTAACATGGGTCCCTCTGGCCATACCCTGAGCCACAGCCAGTCATCAGGAGGGCACAGGAGAAAGTACAGGCAATCCACTCTTTCAGATCACTTTTTCAGACTTTTCCATTTTTGCCTCCCCTCCCCTATCTGACTCAAATGCACATACCTCCTGCCCACCAAGCATGTGCCAGTCATAACAAGAGATGGGCAAGGGCTTGGGCAGCTTGCAAGGCACACTGTGTCTCTGCCCCTGGCCGGCCATAGGCCCATTTCCTTCCTCCAAGCATTATCACCCATTCCTCAAGGAGAGGATGGTGGATGGGGTTGGAAGTTAGTAAGAAAGGAAGAAGGGAGGGGGTCCGGTTAGGAGCCACCAATGCTAATGCAAACATGTGGCACTTCGTTTGTGCCATGTACTGCTCTCTGTCCAAAGTGCCTTAGGCTCCTGAACTCACCTAATCCTTATAACAAGCCTATTAGTTAGACACTCTTTCCATTCCATTTTTACAGATGAGAACATGAGGCACAGAGAGGTTTGGTAACTTGCCCAAGGTCACACAGCTAGGTGTTCAGGGCAAGACTTGGACCCAGACAGTTTTGCTCTCAACTATCACTGTGTAACTGTCCTGCTTGAAAGCTCCTCACTTACAAAATAAACTGAGGCTCACTCCTCTGAAAGGCATTCAAAGCCCTTCCCAAGTTCCAAGCTCTCTCTGCAGCATCCCCTTTGACTATGCCCTTCTCAGAGCCTGACAGCCTGAATCCCACCTCCGCCAGCTTCCTAGCAGTGTTACCTTGAGTAAATCACTCTACCTTCCTGGGCCTCAGCTTCTCATCCCTAAAATGGGGGATAATGATATCTACTCTCAGGCTGATTGAGTTCACCCAGGTAAAGTGCCTATAGGGCCCTGGCACCTCAGGAGGAAGACAGAGGGGAGCCCTGAGGTGGTGAGTTGGGGTGTCTGGGTTGTTAGGTGGGCGTGGAGGGGAGGGGGTCTCTTGCCAGGGGCCATGGTGGGAAGGGGGCTGTCACCCAGAGAGGAGTGTGCTCTGGAGTAGCCTGGCCAATAACTAGCATGGGGGCCACAATGACACTCAAGTACCCAGGGTTAGATGGCAACAGATCAAAGGCTCCCATGCCCACCTCCCACCCATCCACAGAGGGGCAGCCCTGGCTGGGGCCTGACCCAGACCCTGTGCCTCCTATCAGCCCCCTGAGCCCGGGTGCAGCCCACAGGTCAGTGGTTGGGGCTACCAGGAGAGAGGGCTGCTACCTTGTAGAACTTCCCCCAAAGGAAGCCCGAGCCCCTAGGCTGGGAAGGGGATCTGGACGCAGCCTGAAATGGGCCCATCCATCTTTGCTGGCCCTGCCCCCCTGGGCTGACCAGACACAGCCTACCCACGAGGAATCCAAAGGAACCAAATTAAATTGGGTATTTTTTATTTTTTTGTATTTTTTTTTTAGACAGGGTCTCAGTGTCACCAAGGCTGGAATGCAGTGGCGCAACCACAGCTCACTGCAGCCTTGGCCTCCAGGGCTCAAGCAATCCATCCACCTCAGCCTCCTGAGTGGCTGGGACTACAAGCATGCACCCCCATGCCTAGCTAATTTTTTAACTTTTTATGGAGATGGAGGTGGGGGGCGTCTCACTATGTTGCCCAGGCTGGTCTCCAACTGCCAGACTCAAGCAATTCTCCCACCTCAGCCTCCCAAAGTCCTGGGATTACAGGTGTGAGCCACTGCCCAGCCAGGAATCAAATTAGTTTGTGAATGTGAAAAATAAGAAGACAGAGAAGTATAGACAGAGCTGGGGTCCCAGAGCCTAGGCTGGGGTCCAGACCCTTTGTACACTTCCTGAACCACAGGTACAGCTCCTCCTCAATTTCCTCACCTGCAAAACAGGAAAAACACAACCCATCCCCCGCCTTGTCTCATGATTGCTGCCAGGGGACTCCAAATGGGAACAGGTGTGTGAAGGTGCAACTGTAAAGTACTCGAAATCTCAAGCAGCTCTTATCTGAGACGTGCCTGCATCCATCCATTTTAAGTGCAGCTGTTAGAGCAATCGCTACACAAGACGGTGTGTGTCGGATGGAGCTTTCAACATGGGGCAGAGGGCCAGCCCACTCACAGCCCTCCAGAACCTTGATCTCCTACCAAGAAGGGAATGGGCTGGGGCAGGGGAGGTTCTGCCATCAGGATGTAATTCGAAGTCCATCTAATTTGGTCATGCCTACCACTTCCCTCTTCTTGAACCAGTCAGATGGGGGGATACATATACATATCCCCTGCCCCCAAGAGCCCCTCAGCTGATGGGGGACAACCAGCCTCAGGTCTCAGGACCCTCCCCCCTCAGCATCCCACCCTCTCAGTTCTGGAGACAGACCCCAGGCACAGGGAGACACAGCAGCCCTATGTTGTGGGGTGAGGGCTGATGAGAGCAGGAAGTGGGCTGGAACCTGCTCTCCACCCACCCACTCACCTCTGGGTTTCTTTGAGCCTCATTTTTGAGGCTGCCGCCCTGCAGGCTACCTGGGAATTGGTGGGTCCCTGACACCCCTGGAGGCCCCATCCTCCTGATCTTGCCCACTACAGCCTTTTAGCCCAGCGTCTGGGGCTGAACGCAGGGATGACGTAGTGGTTCTTCCCACTGTAGTCCTCCCCACCCCCACTTTGCACTCCTCCCTGCCACTGAAGAGGCTGGGATGGTGTCAGAGAGGAGACAAGTGTGGCAGGCCAGGCTGTGATTTCCAGAATTTGGCAGGGAGGAAGTGGGGCCACAGGGGAAGTGATCCAGACATTGAAGAGAGTAGGGGCCCAGCTGGTCCATCTCTCCCTGCCCCTGAACGACGAGGACCCTGCTTCCTCCTCCAAGCTGAGTGATCTCCCTAAGGAGGGGCACAGAGGAGGGAAATCCCTGGACATGCTCTCTGGGCTGCTGATGGGGCAGTCTCCCCAGAATGGGAGTGGAAGATGGAGGCAGAAAGAGAGAGTGAACTAAGCAGGGAATCTCACGAGGCCTTGGTTCCAGAGTCCTGGAGAGGCCTCAAATACTGGTCAAAGCTGGGCATGGTGGCTCACACCTGTAATCCCAGCACTTTGGGAGGCCGAGGCGGGTGGATCACCTGAGGTCAAGAGTTCGAGACCAGCCTGACCAACATGGTGAAACCCTGTCTCTACCAAAAATACAAAATTAGCCGGGCGTGGTGGCACATGCCTGTAATCCCAGCTACTTGGGAGGCTGAGGCAGGAGAATGGCTTGAACTCGGGAGATGGAGGTTGCAGTGAGCCGAGATTGCATCATTGCACTCCAGCCTGGGCAATAAAAGCAAAACTCCATCTTGGGGAAAAAAAACACTAGTCAAAATAGATGTTAGAGGCCTCAAATGTCCTGAGCTTCAGGGAAAAGGCTTCATTGTCCCTACATCCTGGAGCCCTCAGGAAGCTGCCCAGGCTCCTCACTCACTCAGCACCACCTATCTCCTCCCTCCCCTCTGGCCCTGATGTCATTCTTCCCTTCCTTCCTTCTTTCCTTTCTTTTCATTCATTCATTCATTCATTCAAAGAATTAGGCCAGGCAAGGTGGCTCACGCCTGTAATTCCAGCACTTTGGGAGGCCAAGGTGGGAGGATCACTTGAGCCCAAGAGTTGGAGACCAGCCTAGGTAACATAGTGAAACCTCATCTCTACAAAAAATACAAAAATTAGCTGGGCATGGTGGTGTGTACCTGTAGTCCCAGCTACTTAGGAGGCTGAAGTGAGAGGATTGCTTGAGCCAGGGAAGCCAAGGTTGCCGTGAGCCGAGATCTTGCCACTGCACTCCAGCCTGGGCGACAGAGCAAGACCTTGTCTCAAACAAATGATAAAAAAAAAAAAAAAAAAAGGAATTGAGTGGCCACTTTCTGCCCGGCCCTTGGTTAAACACTCTGGGGGTTCTGTCTGGCCAAGACTTGCGTCCTTATTCCACTGTGTGTATCCGGCTCTCTGGGTATCCAGCGTGTCTTGTCTCTCTCATCAAACAGAAGGGTCCCCCAGGTCAGGGCTGTGCTTCGCCCCTTGGATGGGGGCTCCCCAGAGCAAGTGTCCCCTTCGGACAGCTCCCTCCCACCCAGGCAGTGGCAGGAGAAAGCAGCGCTGAGTGCCCAAGCCCAGCCCTCCCTGCAGCAGAGGTGTGCTCAGACAAGTCTGTCTGGGGTGAGCAAGCCAACCTCAGCCCAAAGCCCTGATTTCTAAAGGCAAAATAAACTCCCTCACTCCTCTAGGCCTTCTCCCCAGCCAAGAACCTCAGACCGCAGGCCCCGCCAAGTTGGCACAGCCAGGAGAAAACGGGCCAAAGTTCTTGAGGTAGGAGAGGGGGTGAGGGCCAGGGAGCCAGGTGTGAGGACCAGAAGGAGAAGACTTCGAAGGTGAGGCATGGTGGCCCAGAGAGGCAGGGACTTGCCAGGCCACAGGGCAGGGAAGGCAGGAGCTGGCACCCAGGGCACTGCCTGGAGCTGCCTCCCTCAGCAACACAGTCCCACACTCAGGTCTCAGATGCTGACACTTAACAACCACTCTCTCTCATGCACATTTTCACCTGGGATGGTGCGGGGAGAGGAGCAGGGAGGAGGCCACTTTCCCCAACTCCTCCTCTGTACCCAGCTCCCAGAGATAGGTGCCATTGTGCCCTGGAGCCTTCAATCCCTACAAGCCCCAGGACCATCCTTCCTGAACCAACCATCCACCCCGGGCTCTGAGGACCCCCTTCTTGCCAGCAAAGGGAGAAAAGGGCATCCCCATTGTGCTTCCTGGAACTCGGTCTTCACAGGGTGGCTGAGCAGGAAGGGGAGAGGGAAGGAAAAAGGGAAGGAGTAAGGGAGGCTGGGATGGAGGAAGAAGGTGGCCAATGCTACAAGACCTAAAGATGAGGAGGAAACCCCAGGTGTGCACACACGCTCATGCATCAGCACACACACTCATGCTCATGAGCACACACTCTCATGCCTGCTCACTCCCGCCCCTTCTCTCACCTTTTCGTGGATCCTCTCACCAGCAGACCCCAGCCCATTCATATGCACACTCAGGGCGCAGCCACTGACATGGTCATTCCCCCTCATTCCCGTTCACTCACATAACCACACCTTCACACACACGTATGTACATAGTCCCAAACCCTCGCTCACATGCACACGTGTGCACACACACAGCACACCTGCAGTCACTCGTGCTGGTGTATACACGTTCACATCTGTACACACAATCCCACACCGCCTCACAATCGTGCACACACATGTACACACACACCCTTGGGTGGCTGGGAGATCCCTCTGCCCCAGGTCTGGCCAACTCAGAGGGCCCCTCCCCCAGCCTGTCCAGCTCCTGATCCCCTCGGCAGCCCCCAGACATGGCTTCTCCTGGGGCCTATCCAGAAATGCTCAGTAAATATTGGATTTCCTGCTGCAGCCCCTCCACTCCTCAGCTCCCACCTACCTGGTGAGCACCCATTTTTGCCACCTAGAACTGGCCAGAACTACCCGCGCCTGAAGGGCAGTGAAGTTCTGGACAGAGGCCTGTGTCCTGCCTGCCACCCACTGTCTGGGGCCTGGAATCCCATGGGGCCCTGAGCCTGCGGCCCAGCCAGCTTGCCCTCCCCCTCCAGGAGGGACCTTAGAGAAGAGCACCTGAGGCACGCCTGATGCCTCAGTGTCCTCATCTGTACAAAGGATATAGACTTCCTGCTTGTGTTGGGTGTCAGGAGGCTCGTGACCAGGAAAGGGCTATGAACTGGAAAGCAGCATGCGCAGCTGAGGGCTGTGTCATGCCTTTCTTACCATCACAGTGCCCTTGGGAAACTGCAGCCCAGGGATGCCAAGGGTCCAGTCCGGGGCTGCAGTGCCAGTGGGGGCTCCCACCCATCTGGCTCTCAGCCCTGGGAGTCTGTGCACAGCCTGGGCTCTCACCACCCTCCAAGGCCCTTGCCCCTTTAAACTAGTCTCTCCAAGAGGCCTGGATCTGCAGCACCAGAAGTCCTGGGCCCGGGGGTGGGGGGCGGTATAAGCCTCTCCTCAGTGGCCATGGGACCCCTGCTCCTGACTGACAGATACTGCCAGAGGTGCCTGGGCCCTGGCAGGGGCTCAAGGTCCAGCCCAAGCTCCAGTGCTCTGTGGAGGGAGGTTTGTGGGGTTCTTGGCTCCCCTATTTCCATCAGGCCACGGAGAGGCTCCTAGGCAAGACCCCTCTTCTCCTGGGAAAGAGAATGGCCATGGTACCGCCTCCCACAGGGCCACGAAGGGGGCACTCTGGGTGGGAGGCCAGGTGAGTCAGAAAATCCAGACCTGCAAAGGGCCTAAAAGATGCCAAAGGAGGGGTGAGAGGGCCCTGAGGCTGCCCCCTCCTCCAGGCCCAGGAGCCCAGAGGGCCCTGACCAGAAAGGAGGCAGAGGGGCCCTGTGCTGGCTTACTTCCTGCCTGCACCAGGACCCAGCTCAATCAGGGAGCAGAGGGGAGTCCCGAGGCCCAGTTTCTGGGAGGGTAAAGGCACAGAAGAGGGCAGCCAACCATGTGTGGGGGTGAAGATCTCCTGAAAAGGGAGAGAGAAGAAAAATAAAAGGAAAGACAGAGATGGATAGAGGAGAGAAGACAGAGAAAAGATGACAGAGTGAGAAAATACACAGAGGTAGATAGAGAAATGGGGAAGAAGGGAGGGGGAAGAGAGAGAGAGAGGAGAGAGAGAGAGAGAGAGAGGAGAGAGAGAGAGAGAGAGAGAGAGAGAGAGAGAGATCCCTGATCTAGACAGAGGATCAGAGACAGAGAACCAAGAACAGAGGGAAGAGATGGAGAAAAAGAGAAGGGGTGAGAAAATGAAAAAAGAATGGAGGATCGGCGCCTAGAGAGCTGGCAGAGCTTCCCTGGAGAGCTGGGAAGAGAGTGAGGGCAAGAGGCAGGGAGTGAGGCTCTAATTATCGCAGGCAGGCAGGGCGGGCGGCGGGCAGAGCAGAGGGCAGCCTGTTTGAAGTCTGTGGTGAGAGGAGCATCAAAGGGCCAGGAGGCGAGGCCAGAGGGAGAGGAGAGACACAGGAGGGGCCACCCTCTGCTCGGGCCACCTGGACCACACAGTCTCAGCCCCCCAGTCCTCCTCCACCCCTGCCCACAGCTGGCCAGAGGTCAGAGCCACCTGCTCACGGGCAGCATCCCCAGGCGAAGGGCAGGCTGCTGACCTCAGGGACTTCTGAGCAAGGCGAGCATCTCTCATGGTTCCTGCAGCCACCACCTCTCTGTCTCCCAGAAAAAGCATCCTGGCCTCTCTCTGCCCCAGGTTCAGTGTTCTGAAGTGGGCTCCAAACTGCTCCAGCTTCAGCATCTTAGGACCAGTCCCCATGATTTGCCTTTCCTTGGGCCGGAAAAACTCCAGCTCTTGAGGTTCGGAACTTCCAGCCAGGCAGGGATGCCAGCCTCTTGGCTGAAAGGGCAGGTCCTGAAATGACCTCTAGCCACCTCCTGCTCTGGTCAGGAAGTCAGCCTCACTGCAGCTCCCAGAAGATGCTTTCTCCAAAGGATGTTTCTCTATGCCTTCCCTCTTCCACCCATTCCAGAGTTCTATACCCCTCTAGGCCAGAAAGTCCTTCTGGTGGTCTCACCCAAATCCTTCATGCTGCCTCTTATTTCAGACAGAGGCTGACTGGCCCCTGCACCAGCCCTGGAAGCCTTGAGGATCCCCATGTGGGCCCATCTCTGGTCCTCTAGCCTTTGCATCCTCTGAAGCCCTCTCCTTCACCTCTCTGATGTGTCCCTCCAGTTGATGCTCCTTGGACCCATTCTCTCCAGCTGGGCCTGGGACTGCAGGGAGGGGGGGGTGTTCAGAAATTAGGGGTGGCATGAGGCAGAGAAGTCAGGCCAACTTGAATAGGAATCCTGATTTTCCAACATCCTGCCTGGGTAATACTGAGCATATCCTTTCACCTTTCTGAGCCTCAGTTTCCTCATTTGTAAAATGGGAGAAGTACTCCCTACCTTGAAGGGATGTTGTGAGAATTAAATGTGACGATGTATGTAAGGCACCTGGCATCCAGCATGTTCTCAATGCATGAGGGCTCCTATAATCATGGGAAACCAGGCCATAGAGTCCCACGAGAGAAGATTTTTCCGAAGGGCAGAAGAGACCAAGAAATAGGCCAACACCTTCTAGACTTTTCCATAGCATGGTTTCTCTCCATCAGTCTAGATGATTGAGAGCTGACCAAAACTAAGGTAGATGTGAAAAACTCATTCACTATGTATAGTCTGTCTTTTAAAGACTCCTCCAGGCTCCCAAATCTCTGCCACGAATCTACTCTCATGCCTATCCACCCACTATCCCATTCGCCTATGCATCCTTCCATCACCTATTCATCCTTCCTTCCTTCCATCCATCTATCCATTCATCCATCCTATTCTTCCTTTCTTTCTTCTACCCATCTATCCATTCAACCATCCATCCATCCATCCAGCCATCCATCATGCACCCACCTAATAATCTATCCATTCAACCATTCACCCTTATATCCATTTACCTAAACACCCACAAATCCATCCAAACATCAGCCGCTCCTCCATCCACAAACCCCACCTGCCCACTCATCCATCCATCCACTTACCCACTAACTCACACATGCATCCTCCATCCACTCACCTGGACATCACCCACTTCTATATATTTATCCACCCACTCACCACTGTGTGTTCCTCTACATTTATAGGTCATCTCTTATTTCAAGACACTGAGCCAGCTCCCTAACCTTCATGGCCTCCCCCAGTCATTGGGAAATCCCAGCATCCTTCTTGGAAGCACACTCCCATAGAAGGGATGGGGCCAGTGCCTCACCACCTCCACTGAAGACCAAACCAAAGGAGACAGTCCTTTTCTGCAGCAGGAGGGGCCTAAACTATGTAATAACTTTTGGATAAAAAAGAATATGGAGGGCTCTTTAAGAACAAAGTAGACCCCAACCCACATAGCAGAAAGAGGAGGATTTCCATAACTCTCTCAAAAGCATGGGATGGACCATAAGAACTGTCTGTGGAATTGGGACCTGATTGCTCAAGGATTGGGTGTGACTCAGGGAGGAGCCAGGTCATCTCATCCAGCTCCCACTGGCCCAGCTCCATTCTGGAGTTTCCCGAGACAGCAGATTCTTCAGGGGTGGAGGGGACAGGTACTGGGGAGGCAGAGGTCTGGTCACAGGAATTATGAAGGATCCAAAGGGTCTCTCTTGACACTTACAGAGCAAGACCCTGGGTTCTCTCTCCGCTTTCTTGCTCACCAGTTGTGTGAGTTTGGATAAATCCCTTAACTTCTCTGAGCCTTGGTTTAAATACCTCTGAAATGAGAAAAGTAGCAATACTCACCCTTTCTGTTGTGAAAATCCAATGAAAATAAACATGAAAGAATTTTGAAAACCATTTCTGGTTTTGCACAATGTGAAGAAAAGGGCCAAACTTTGGGCCTTGAAGTCATGAGACAGTTACTCTAACCATATACTAGTTGCTCTGCTGATGCAGGGGAAGCCACAGGGGACTCTCCTGAAACACAAGTAATAGCCACTCCCAGTGTCATCCCCAAGTCTCCTCCATCCAGCCTTATCCCTCCTGAGCCCGTGGTGAAATGGACAGCTTAGCCTTGAGGGGGTATGCCTAGCTCTCACTGGAGGAAGCCTGCCGCCTTCTCTCCCTCCTGCTCTCAGAGCTCACTGGCCTGGTCATGCCCTCCCCCAGGAATGCAGGGGAAAGAATGGAAGGTCTGAGCTGCAGTCAACAGTGGGGGAGGGGTGAGAGGGCAGGGAATGAGGGATTCAAAGACACAGGGGTGACAACAAAGATGTAGGCCTTCCAAGCACAGGCTGGAGTGACAGAGAAGCAGAAACCAAGGTGAGAGCCTGCCCAGGCCAGCAATGGAAGGTGGTGTCCCAAGACCCGCTTCTCAGGGGCCTGTACCTCTGCTTCCACACATACCCCTGCTGAGCAAGACACACACACACACACACACACACACACACACACACACACACACACTCTCCCAGGCTAGAGAGGCTGCGGTGAGGGCACCGCCCCTGGGCTTGAGGTGTTGGTGCCAGCCGGGTGGGCTGGCACAAGGTGGGGAGAGGGCGGTGCGGGCAGCTAATCCCCCCAGCGTCTCCCAGACGCCCACAGAGACCAGGGTGAGCTCTTTGTCTGAGCGTGGAGACGACAGAGGGGCGGCGGGCAGGCGGGCAGGCTCCTCTTTCTCTCCCCTGCCTCCCGCCTGGGGCAGGTAGAAGCCTGCAGTCTGTGGGGACGGGTCGGAGGGAGTGGGGGTGAAAGGATTAGGAGAGAGACAGGCGCTTACAACTTGTAGGGTTCCCTCCCTCAGGCCCAGAGGGCCTGTGGCTTTGGGGTGGGGGTCCCCGGAAGGGCAAGAGGCCATGAACCTCAGCAGGGAGCAGGCCTCGTTTGCAGTGGCTGATAGGTCTGTGCACGTTTCACACACCCAGCTACACTCAGAATCACAATCACACGTGGGTATGTGCGCACACACACACGCACACACAGAGTCAGAGCCCCAAACTCTCCATCCACACATGTGTTTACTCACAGTCTCACACACAGAGACCAACATCCATGGGGATAATTACACACCCCACAAGATCACAGTCGTACAGTTTAAACTCTAGTCCCTCATCTCCGATCATACTCACAGGCTGCCCCCATGGACAGCATGATGGAGCCACACAATGTCCTAGTCACCCACAGTGGAGCATGCCACGGTCACCCATGGGTCATCTCACACCCACACACCACCAGATCCCAGCAACACAATCCTCCATACCTCATGGGGTCCCAGCCCACCAGCCCCATCACACCATGTTCAGACTACATAGCCCCAGCACATAGTGCTGAATCAAACATGTGCGCCCCTCCTGTAGACCCCAACACACCACGTGGCATGTTGTTGCTGCTCTATGCCTGCCTCTTTCTCTCCTGCACGTGTATATCTGCCCCCCCAACCCTCCCACCTTCTCCAAATATGAACACCCAAACATGGCAGGCAGTCTAGGGTACCCCCTCCCTACTCCTTGAACTCTGCCCCTGCTCACTTCTCCTAAGGACAGGCCCCCAGATTCCCAGGCCAGAGCTAAGCACCAGAGAATAAACCTGACGCTGTGGACATACTAGGCCTAGGCTGGGTCTGGGCTGGAGGGGTAGGCAGCGGGTTATCCCTCTCCCCCACCACCAGGCCTGCCCTCCACTACCTACAGGAGCCCTCCAGCTTACAGGGACATATTCTGAGCATGGCAGTCAAGCCTTGCTTGCCCTGCCTGGCATCACCACTTGGCCCTCAACTCTGGCCCCTGAAATGGGTAGGATCACATTTGCCCCTTCTTCTCCCTGACCCCACTCTCTGCCCTGAAGCCTGCAGCCCAGGAGCCCAGCGTTGGCAAGCTGAGTCCCACTGCGGCCGGCGCCTCCAAGGATGAAAGACCTCTGGCTCCTCCAGAAACCAGGGCTAAATATACCCCTCGCCCGCTTTCTTGTGCCTAACTGGAACCAGCTGGGAAAGACCCACCCTTCCGCCTGCAGGACAGGTCACGGACCATCGCAGTATGGACAGACAGAGCGTCAGCAGGCAGCTGCCTGGGAGCCATGCCTGATAGTACTGGACCCTCAGATTGGAGCCTGAAAATATCCGGGAAGAAACGCATGTCTCTCAGCATCTCCTTCCTCCAATACCTAACAAAGACAAGAATAAGCCTGACACAGGATACATCAACTATTTCTTTTATTTTCTTTTTTAAAGACATGGGGTCTCAGCTGGGTGTGATGGCTCACGCCTGTACTCCTAGCACTTTGGGAGGCCGAAGCAGGTGGATCACGAGGTCGGGAGTTTGAGACCAGCCTGGCTAACATGGTGAAACCCCGTCTCTACTAAAAATACAAAAATTAGTCAGGCGTGGTGGCACGTACCTGTAATCCCAGCTACTTGGGAGGCTGAGGCAGGAGAATCGCTTGAACCCAGGAGGCAGAGATTGCAGTGAGCCGAGATCGCACCACTGCACTCCAGCCTGGGCGACAGGTGACAGAGCAAGATTCCAAGTCAAAAAAAAAGAGATGGGGTCTCATTCTGTTGCGCAGGCCAGAGTGCAGTCCTGCAATCATAGTTTACTGCAGCCTCGAACTCTTGGGCTTAAGCAATCCTCCTGCTTCAGCCTCCCAAAGTGCCGGGATTACAGGCATGAGCCACTGTGCCCAGCTGTCAAATGAACTATTTTTGAGTCTCAATCTTTCTATCTGAGACATTTATAGAGATAAAATAGCACTGATCTCAACGTGCTGTTGTAAGCAGTGAGTTAATACAGGTAAAGCGCCGGAACTGTAACTGGCACAAAGTAAGCACTCAATAAATGCTGGTCATTATTATGAACATTCTGGGCATCGCTCCTAGGGCCAACACTGCCTGAAAGTGCTGGCATTGCACAATCTTTGGATACACACAGAGTTGCAGGCCAAGGACTAACTGCTTCACATCAGTAGGGCTGGGGGCACTGGCAGAGGGATGGGCAGAGGGTGGAATCGATCCATAAGGGGCCCAGGGAGGGGTCTGATGAGCCAAGACACGCCCCCACTCCCAGCCCTGCCCCAGGCCTGGCCACGTCCTGGGATCCCCTCCCCCACCAGGACTCCGCCCGGGCTGTGGTCTCTGCTGTGGCTGCAGCTCCCACGCCGCGGCCCAGTTTAGCGGCTCCAGCCCGCGGCCCCAGGACAGCCCACTCTCCGGCCCAGTCCAGAGGCCTGAAATAGGAAGGAAGAGGGGCCTAAAAATAGCCCTAATTACAGAGGGGCCCAAGGGGGTGGGGGGCGGCGGCTCCTCTCTGGCTCCTGGGCACTGCCACAGCCTGCTGAGGATCCTGCTCCAGCCTTGAGGAAGGGACCCCACCCTGGCCCTCCTGGCCCCAGCCCACAGCCAGCCTCCCAGCGGGACAGGGAGTGAGGGGTGGGGCGGCGGGATGGGCCAGAGGGGAGCTTAGCCCAAGTTAGGGCCAACGCGGTCCCCTCCCCTGAATACAGGGCTGTGACAGCCCCACCTCTGCTCCCCACACATGAAGATCATTGGACAACTCTTAGCCCCATGGCTGTCACAGAGGGCACTACCCTCACTCAGCCTACCTCCCCTAGTCCTGGCCCACCCCTTCCCTGGCTCCTCCAGGAAGCCTGCCTTGAATATCCTCACCTAGCTCAGGCTCAACACTAGCAGGGGCTCCCAGATGGCCGCACCTCTGTCTCCCCCATTCGATTGGCCCCTGGGGCAGAGTTATGTTTTCAAATCAGCCTGGGGGCTCCCAGAGGGCAGGGACCACCTCTTCTACATTTCAACCTCATTAGAAGAGAAAGAGTGCCAGGATACACAGAACAAAGGGGCAAAAAAAGGGAAAAAAAGAAACTGGTTCATGTACAGATGCCTAAATTCTTTTTTTTTTTTTTTTTTTTTTTTTTTGAGACGGAGTTTCATTCTGTTGCCCAGGCTGGAGTGCAATGGCGCGATCTCGGCTCACTGCAACCTCCGCCTCCTGGGTTCAAGCGACTCTCCTGCCTTAGCCTCCCGAGTAGCTGGGATTACAGGCGTGCGCCACCATGCCTGGCTGATTTTGTATTTTTAGTAGAGATGGGGTTTCTCCATGTTGGTCAGGCTGGTCTCGAACTCCCAACCTCAGGTGATCCACCCACCTCGGCCTCCCAAAGTGCTGGGATTACAGGCATGAGCCACCGCGCCCGGCCCAGATGCCTAAATTCTAAGAGGACCCAAGGGCTGAGGTCATCACGAGCACCTCCCTGGGCAGAGGGTTCTGAGTCAGGTCTGAAAGAAGCGGACCAAGGAGACATGAGAGGGACGGAAGTAGGAACAGGGACTTGGTGTGGGAGAGAGCGCTCTGGCTCTGGAGATCCTTGCCCCAGCCCCTTCCTGCCTCACTTGCCCAGGAAGCCCAGGGTTTTGGAACCTGCGAAGCTTGGGTTTGAGTTCCCTTCCGCTACACACGTGCTGTCCTGCCTTCAGCAAGTGGCTTCACTTCTCTGAATTCTGTTCTCTGGAGATGATCACTAGGACCTCACTGGCTTGCCGGGAGTAAAGGCTATCACACCCTCGGTGGGCGTGGGCGGACACCCTGAAGGGAATGGCAGGTAGAGGCTCTCCCCAGGGAGCTGGATGCTCCTGCCCCTACCCTGGCCCTGCTGGTATTTTGCTGCATGTTTTCCTCTGGGTGTAAAGTCCTGGGAAGGCGTTGGACAGGGTGTGGGTGTTGTGAAAGGTTAATCATCTTGGCGGGTGGGGGGGGGACCCCCAGCAAGGACCGGGGACACATGATGCGCTGGTGCCATCTGGTGGCTACAAGTAGCAATAACAGTTACCTGGGCTGAGAGGAGAAAAGCGATGGAGAAAGATCAGGACAGGGGATGAAAAAGAAAAGGAGGAAGACAGAGAAAGGCAAGAGGGAGGAAGGGAGGGCAGAAGATAACAGGAGAAGCAAGATGCTTAAGAAGATCGGACCTTCTCAGATGTTACCACGGACCTAGGTAGGCCAAGAATATTTTTCTGTGGCATCTCTAGGGTCCCAGAAGCCATAAGGGACCCCATAGCACATGGGTCTGAGCCGTGAGGCCTGACGACCAGGGAATCAAACCAGGGGTTACTCCATGGGGACCCCCAGTCCTCAGGCCCAGCCTCATGAGCATTGGGCTGTTGGCCCTGGACATCACGGAGGGGGTAAAATGGTCCCCATGAACCTGGCCAAGTTGGCCCCTGGAAAGGTTGGCCATGGGCACCCCCATGAGTGTGAGTGAAGGGAAGCATGTACCTGTGCGTGTCGCCCGCATGCAGGAGCCCAGCACACACCCCACCAGCCCCTGGGACACCCGTGACATGCACCTGCATTATGTAGAAGGCTTGGGCTGAGCTGCCTGAGGGCCCCCACCTCACCCTCTGCTTCCTCTCAGGGGTGGGAGGCCGAGGGTGAACTTGTTTACCACTTCTGCTCTGGGCAGTGGTGATGAGCTCAGACTGGCCCAGTGCCCTTCAAGGGCAGGGCCAGGCCTGAGTCATGGGGGTCAGATGACTGCGGAGGCTAAATGGGTCCCATCCTGCAGCCCCCAGGAACTTTTGGACACCCCGCCCTTCCCCTGATGGTGGGCCACCCTTCCAAATCATTCAGCATCCCCAGGCCAAACACAGGGTGGAGACAGTTCAGGGTTCAGGCCACCATCGGCCCCTCCCCACAGTTCCATCTCTGCCCAGCCAGGCCCACTCTCCTGAGCACCTATCCCAGGGCCATTCACTGCCCTCTGGCGGCACCACCCTAGTTCAAGCTAACGCCCTCCCAGAATGGCAAACACTCCTCTAGTCACATGCGAGGCCGCAAACATCCTAGAAATAAATCAAACATTGAGGCTGTTACTTCTCCCGGGACCTCAGGCTGCGGCACTGTCTAACGAGGTGGCGAACTGATGCTCTCCGGGACACTTCCCCAGTGACCTCTGCCCTTGGCCTGCGGTGCACATTCCTGGGGCTGCAGTTGACGAAAGCTAAGAGAAGGCCCTCAACTCTGTCCCCCAGCAGACCTATGGGGTCAGGATTATCTGCTGATTGGAGGCCCACACCCTGGCTCCCTTCAGACAGCATGAGGAACCAAGGTTAGCTTTAGACACCCAACAATAATTCCACCTTGGCCAGGCGTGGTGGCTCACGCCTATAATCTCAGCACTTTGTGGAAGGCTGAGGGGGGCAGATCACCTGAGGTCAGGAGTTCAAGACCAGCCTGGCCAGCATGGTGAAACCCCATCTCTACTAAAAATACAAAAATTAGCCAGGTGTGGTGGTGCATGCCTGTAATCCCAGCTACTTGGGAGGCTGGGGCAGGAGAATGGCTTGAACCCGGGAGGCGGAGGTTGCAGTGAGCCAAGATACTGCCACTGCACTCCAGCCTGGGCAACTGAGCAACACTCTGTCTCAAAAATAATAACAATAATAATAATAATTCCACCTTCATGATGGATTTTTGTCTTTCACATCTTTTCTAGTATGCTGGGATATTTGGGTTCCACTGAAAATAAACTCTTAATGGATTTAAAAGCCTCCCCTTTATTTGGAGCACTGCCCAAGCTACAGCTTCTGTGGCACACCTCCCTCAAAGACACTGGCTCCCGGAGGGCCAGTCCACTGTTGCTCCAGAATATTTCCCCGACAGCGCACACAGAACTTCCATCCATGGCTGGGTTTAGATGTGTTTGAGCCTCGTCTCGTCTCCCTCCCCAGTAGGACTGCTGCTCCCTGTGGTCAGGACTGGAGCCCTTCACTCTGGGAACCCCCTTCCCCCCAGGTCCCCACCCTACAGTCCACAGACATTGGCAGAGACCTGGACATGCAGGCAGGTTCAATCCAGGTCCTGTCACTAGACTCACCGGGTGGCCTTGCATAGGCCAACCTCCCCAACTCTGGGCATTTGCTGTCTCCATCTGTGCAAAAACAGGATTGGAAAAGACCCCACAAAGAACCCTCTGAACCCTAAAACTCTGTTTACAACTCACCAACAGGGGCATCTGTTTTTGTTGCAAAACCGAAGGAAGTCTGGGGAGGGAATTAGTGCTAGGGCTCCCTCCTGCTGCCCCAGCTCCCCACCCCCGGCCTTCAGCTGGCACTGACTCCTTCCCACTGCTGCTTTGGCAATGCCTGCTTCCTCCCAGCCTCCCCTGGCTTCACTGATTCCCCAACATGCCACCCCCGGCGGCCTCCTGCTTCAAGCCCTGACAGTGCCCCGGCTCCCCCATCCGCTCCTCTGATCTTCAACCCTGGCAGCCCCTCTCCCCAGTTTGGCACTGCATCTTTCAGCCTGCTGTCTGCCAAGCCTGGGCAGCACTCACTCTCCATGCCTGGGCACCAGGGTTTGGCTTTGGCCTCCCCAAATCTTCAAGCCTCAACATCGTCCTCGCCCACCTGCCCCTGGGCGCCGGAGAATCTCCACTGGAGACTCTCCAACTCTTCCTGAAGTCAGCTTGGTCATCCCCCTGTCTCAGGGCCAACCTACACCTCCGGGAGCACTGGCTGGTGGCACTACTATCACCCCCTCAGGTCTTCCAATGAGTCTCAAGGTGATGACTCCATTTACTCTTTGGTGAGAGAGGAGGACAGCTTCACTCTACCATCATTAACAACATCAAAGAACCAAGGCGCTGCCTCTGAGTCCCAGAGGCAAGTCCCAGAGGCTGCAGGGGCTCTAAGCCACAGGGGAAACCCCCCAGGGGACCACTGGCTGATAATGGGATTTTAGGGCCCTCTGGCCAGGAGGATTCTTCACAGGAAAACTGAAAGCAGGCCCAATACACTGGTGGGCATGCTCCTGCCCCGGGATACCCCAATGTCTCTGCCTCCAGCCCCTGCTTCCCTGTGGGACCTTCTGCTGCATTTGACACTGGTGACTCTTCCCTGTTTTTGTTTGTTTGTTTGTTTGTTTGTTTTAGACAGGGTCTCACTCAGTCGCCCAGGCTGCAGTGCAATGGCACAATCTCTGCTCATTGCAACCTCCACCTCCCAGGCTCAAGTGATCCTCCCACATCAGCCTCCTAACACATGCCACCATGTCCAGCTATTTTTAAATTTTTTTTTTTTTTTTTTTTTTGACACAGAGTTTCGCTTTTGTTGCCCAGGCTAGAGTGCAATAGAGCAATCTCGGTTCACTGAAACCTCCGCCTCCCAGGTTCAAGCGATTCTCTTGTCTTAGCCTCCTGAGTAGCTGGGATTACAGGCGCCCGCCACTATGCCCAGCTAATTTTTGGTATTTTTAGTACAGACGGGGTTTCTCCATGTTGGCCAGGCTGGTCTCGAACTCCTGACCTCAGGTGATCCGCCTGCCTCGGCCTCCCGAAGTGCTGGGATTACAGGTGTGAGCCACTGTGCCTGGCCTAATTTTTAAATTTTTTATAGAGACAAGGTTTCACCATGTTGCCCAGGCTGGTCTCAAACTCTTAGGCTCAAGCAATCCACCCACCTCAGCCTACCAAGTGCTGGGATTACAGGTGCGAGCCACTGCCACCATGCCCAGCCACCGCCACCATGCCCAGCCACCTTCCATGGTTTTGTTTTGTTCTTTTTCGAGACAGTCTCTTTCTGTTGCCCCAGCTGGAGTGCAAAGGTGCGATCTCGGCTCACTGCAACCTCTGCCTCCCGGGTTCAAGTGATTCTCCTGTCTCAGCCTCCCGAGTAGCTGGGACTACAGGTGTGCGCCACCAAGACTGACTAAGTTTTGTATTTTATTAGAGACGGGGTTTTGCCATGTTGGCCAGGCCCTGGTTCTTAAAACTCCTCTCCCCATGGGCTTTTCATATTTCTCTTCTAGTCTTTTTTTTTTCAAAATGGGTGAATTACATAAAGCACATATAACAGTATGGCAAAACCGAATGCTCACTACCCAGCTTAAGGAATAACTCATTTCCAAGAAGAATTAAAACCACCTGTGTCCTCTCCTGACCCCATCCCCCTCCCTCCTTCCCTCCCCATGGGTGAGCTCCCTCCTAAACCCATCAGTTATTCCCATGAATATTTCACACTTTCACTACATGTGCATGGATCCCTTCATAACATGGAGATGTGTCTTTCATGTTTGTAAATTCTACCTAGATGGGCTGGCCTTATAGGTATTCTGCTGCACTTTGCTGCTTTTGCTCAACATTTTATGAGTTGTTTTTTTGTTTGTTTGTTTGTTTGTTTTGAGATGGAGTCTTGCTCTGTCACCCAGGCTGGAGTGCAGTGGCGCCATCTCGGCTCACTGCAACCTCCGCCTCCCAGGTTCAAGTGATTCTCCTACCTCAGCCTCCCGAGTAGCTGAGACTACAGGCGAGTGCCACCACGCCCAGCTGATTTTTTGTATTTTTAGTAGAGACGGGGTTTCGCCGTGTTAGCCAGGATGGTCTCGATCTCCTGATCTCGTGATCCGCCCGCCTCAGCCTCCCACAGTGCTGGGATTACAGGCATGAGCCACTGCACCCGGTCAACATTTTATGAGTTTATATGTTGATACATGCACTCTAACTCATCTATTTTCACTGCTGTGTAATAGTCCACTACCATAAGTGCTTAATCCATTCTCAGGTTAATGGACATTTTGATTACTTTTTATCTGTTTTCAATTGTGGTTTGTTGTTTTCGTTTGTTTGTTTGGAGACAAGGTCTTGCTTTGTCACCCAGACTGAAGTACAGTGGCACAACCACTGCTCACTGCAGCCTTGACCTCCTGGGCTCAAACAATCCTCCCACCTTAGCCTCTGAGTGGCTGGAATTACAGGCACACATCACCACACCTAGCTAATTTTTTATTTTTTATTTTTTATTTTTCATTTTTCGTAGAGATAGGGTCTTGATTTGTGCCCAGGCTGGTCTTAAACTCCTGGACTCAGGCAATCCTTCTGCCTTGGCCTCCCAAAGTGCTGGGATTACAGGTATGAGCCACCACACTGGGCCTTCAATTGCTTTTTAATGCTGCAAGTAATACATGCACATATTTTCACTGTAAAATATTCAAATAATACAGCATATCAAATGGATGATGTTACTTCAGCTCATCTCAGAAGTGTATGCTTCCTGCCCTTATCAGGTGTGAACATGTACATGTCTGTACATATGCGTCTGTACCTTTGTAAGTGTCACTCTCCCTGGTGTCCACACCTCTTCTCTCTCCTGATGCACCTGCCCTTCTAATTCTCCTTCTCGGTCTCTCCCATCCCACCCCCTTGCCATAGCCTACCTAGGTCTCCATGTCAGCCTGTTATTGTTGATTTTGCAGGGTTTTCCTGGTCTCCTCTAGCTTCACCAGCCCCAAACACTGAGTTCCTTAAAGCTCCATGGCTTTGCCCCTGGAGCTCCAGCATCTCCAGCATCTCCCATGAAATTGTCCAAATGGACACTCACAGCCCACCCGCCCCCACCCCGAGCCTGCTCTCCTTCCTCTTCCTCCTCCCAATCCTCCTTCCCTCCAGGTCTCAGATCTACTGGTGCCTGATGCCTTCTGCAATGTCACTGGCCCCAGCCCTCTTCTCCCAAGCCCCAGGTCTGCCTTCGAGGCCGACCCATTTCTTCCCTGGACTATTACAATGACTTCCTCCTAAAAGGCTTCCCTGCCTCCAGCCCCTCCCCATCTCCATTCCCTCCTCCTCATCACCTCTTTGAGGAGAGGAGAGTTTAAGAGCCCTTAAGAGAAATAAAAATCCCTAGGGATTTTATCCGCCTGGATAAAATCCAAGCTCCCCAGCATTGCATTCGAGGCTCCCCATTTCCCAGACAGCCTGTACAGGCTCTCATTGAACTTAAACCCAGTGAGAACTGTCTTCTTTCAAGCCTCAGTACCTTTTTGTGCTGTTCCCGCTGCCTAGACACCCTTCGCTATCATCACTCGGCAAACTGGCATCCACCATTCAATATCTCCTCTGAGAACTTTTCCTGACTCTCCCAGCAAAATTTCCCCTCGATGCATCCATGCTCTGTACAAAACTCTGCTATAACTCCTCCAGACTCATGCTCAGGTTGACCAGAAAACTCCTAAAGTCAAAAACCCCTTTTTGTGAGCCCTGTATGTGTGCTCATACAATGTACACTATGTCCTGATTTGACACTCAAATAAATATGGTTGCCATGCTTAAAGCAATGGTACTATTGTGCTTTGTCTCCAGTCACATGCCTCTCTCCCCCTGCCCTGTGTAAGCTTTCTGGGGCTGTGACATGTCTTGTTCTTATTTCCCCATGCTTGGCACAGGCATTTTAATTAGGGGTCAAAGGATGCCTATTTGGGGACAAGATAAGTTCCATCATCCCCTTTGGATTTCTGCTCTAATATTTCATCATCTGTCCCCCCAGTCTGGCTTTATCAGGGCCTGTGCTAGCCCATAAGGCACATCTGTGTGAAACGGGAAAAGGCAGCCCTTCCTTGAATGGTGCAGGTGAGGCCCAAGCGGTTGGTTTGGTGAAATGAGCAGGGCTGAATTTCAGCCTCCATGATCTGCCTCAGCCAGGCACCTTTGGGCAGTGCTCAACCTGCACAACTGTATAGGGCATCCCTGTCTATGATGGTTTACTTAACCATAAAGGTGGCACTCAGACTATTCCTCTCCTCTGCCCCCTCCCTCTCTCCCTCTCTGCCCGTCCGAGATACATACTTACTCCAAATGATATCTCCAATCCACCTCACTTAGAATCTCAGATCTTCCTATTCAACAAACTTTCCATTTTACAGATGAGTCTCAAAGAGAAGAAAGGTCATGCCTAGTGTCACTCAGAGCTGAAGGCAAAACAAGGAAATAGTGGAGGGAGAAGAGGAGTCTGCAGACAAGTGGAGGGAAAGTACCAAGACATGAAGATCGTACAGCCCCTAAAGGGAAGTTCTTTAAAGGCCCCACATCTAGTGCGAGGCACAGGGCAACTGTGCCCTAAAACTTTCCAGCTGTTTCCATCTGCAGGGGCAGAACTGCAGGAATGGGGAGCCAGCCCAGCCAAGACCGCAGAGCCTAGGGTCCCAACTCCAGACCTGGACGCTTCCTGGGAAGTCAACCCTAAGGACTTAGAGAATCATTTACTTGCCTTCTCTAGCCATCTCTGCTCCCTGATTGAGTGCTCACACATGAGGCCAGAAAGGGACTGGGGTTCTTCCCTCCCCACCCCAAGACTAACCCCTGCTCTCCCAGACCACAGACACACTGGGCAGCCTCTCATCCCCCACAGCTGCTGCCCCCAGCTCCATCAGCTCAGGGGTTCTGGTCCAGCCAGAGAGAGCAGGATGGAGGGTCAATCCCAAAAGGGCAGCTCCGTGCGCCCCTCATACCAAGTCCCCGCCAGCCAAGTCCCCAACCCGTGGGTGCTGTCTCCATGTGGCTGGCTCCAGAGTCCTCCCTGATAAGAGAAACAAACCGTTCTGCAGACACTGGGGTCTGGAGGCTCCACGTGGTAGACAGAGGACAGTGCATTATAATTACATTTGCAATTAGCTGTTCACTTTTCTCTCGCACTTGCTAACCAAGATCCAGGAAGAAAAGGTTGATGTTAATCATAAGCTTCTCTTCTCTCACTAATGGGGTCAGACGCTGGTGACTTGATAGCACACAGGCTTCCGGGAGGAATACGCACTCTGGAGGGAGACTTCTTCAGGGCCACATTTGAGGCCAGGGTCAGGAGAAGACCCCACATGCCCCAACAGAGGGGCTTCACCAGCCTCCCTCAGCCTGGCTCCCTCTGCTTCTGAAATCTACCTTTAAGGTCCTTGTATGCTCAACCTTGTCTAAGAAATAGGCCGGGCACGGTGGTTCACGCCTGTAATCCCAGCACTTTGGGAGGCCAAGGCGGGCAGATCACTTGGGGTCAGGAGTTCCAGACCAGCCTGGCCGACATGGTGAAACCTGTCTCTATTAAAAACACAAAAAAATTGGCGGGCTTGGTGGCTCACGCCTGTTTTCCCAGCTACTCAGGAAGCCAAGGCAGGAGAATTGCTTGAACCTGGGAGGCAGAGGTTGCAGTGAGCCAAGATCGCACCACTGCACTCCAGTTTGGGCAACAGAGCAAGACTCAAAACAACAACAACAAAACAGAACTCTGATCCGCTAGTGGTGAGAATTTCTTTCTGAAACTGGGCAATACCTTCAGGCCCTTTCAGAGACACACGGGGCATAACTGAGGGGCTAGAAATGCCAAGACCAAAGCAGGCTTGGGCCAAACCGCCTGCCACGAATATGGGCAAAGGCATCTGCCCACACAACCTCTGGGCACAGAGGGCAAGGGCTCTGTTTGTTCCATCTACACTGTGGACCTAGAGATCCGCTTTTCCAAACCCTAAGTGTTCTCTCTAGGACAAGTGTCTGAGCACACCCGCATTATCAATGAGGTAAAGGGAGTCCTGGGTTCCTCCTTTTCCCCCAAGTGCCCTGCCATGGCACTTTCCACACTGCGGAAATAGCTGCGGTTTCCAGCCCGTGCCCTGCCTCCCTCCCAGCCTTCCAGACCTTTGGAGTTTTCTCTGCCTTCTTCCCGTCACCCTCTCCTTTCTTCCCCGTGTGCCCCACCTCATCCCCGTGTTAAAATTGTGATGCCTGTTTCTTTTTTCTTTCTCCCTCCCTCCCTCCCTTCCTTCCTCTCTCTCTCTTTCTCTCTCTTTCTTTCGAAATGGGGTCTCACTCTGTCACCCAGGCTAGAGTGCAGTGGCACAATTTCTGTTCACTGCAACCTCCACCTCCCAGGTTCAAGTGATCCTCCCACCACAGCTGGGATTACAGACAGTGAGCCACTGTGCCCAGCCCTCTGTTTCTTTCAACTGGGTTCGCATGCAACTCTCATTTAAAGGTGTTCAGTAAATCCAGAATCAGTGAATGAATGCATGAAAGGAACCTCAAAGACTTGGGGCAAGAGTTGTTTTTTCCGAAGTCTTAAACCATCACAGCGGGAGAGGGCCAAGCGCAGGGTGCAAAGTCCCAGTCAAGCACTCCTGGCTACCTTTACCCACCACCCTCCCCGCCACTAGAAGGGCCGCACTACGTGCCCGAGGACACCCAGGCCCCCTGCCCGTGGCAGCCCTGCCCCTGCTTTATCTCCTGTTCCTCTATCCAGGGACAGGCCTTTCCAAGTCCAGGACCCAGCTCCAGCCCAGCCTGGATCTCGCCACGCCGGCGCTCTGGGAGGGGAAACGAGGTGGTCAGAAGTTTCCACGTGGGGGCGCTGGAGGGGCGCGGGAAAGACTGAAGCAGACCTCCCCCCACCCTTCGTGCGTGGTCGGTGAAGGAACCCAGATCGTCAACCTGCGGCTGCCCCTGTCCCCAGGGTCCCCACCAGGCAGTCATGACCCCCCACCGAGCCCTCTCCCTTTCGCCTCGCCTCCCAGCCCCACGCCCCACTCCCTCGGGTTCGCGCTCCTCAGTCAAGATGAAAGAGCCCGCGAGCAGCAGATAGGTCTAGGTTCGAATCCCACCTCTGCCCCTTAATGGCTGGAGGCCTTCTCCCAGCGCCGGCCTGTAAAATGGGCCCATCACGCACCGACTTTGGCTGGAGGAGGCGTTCAGGAAATGTCAGCTTCCTGCCCTCATCCGCCCTCATCTCACGTTTCCCTCTGCTTCCCCCCTCCTTTTAGTTTTGTTTTAAATCCCTCCCTCCTGCGCCCTTTCTCTTCTCGGCTCCGCAATCTTAGCCAAACCGCAGCGTTTAGCAATCCTGCGCCCACCCGGCGCCCTGGGAGCCTCGCCGCGGCCGCGACCCGCCCCCGGCCCGGCTCCCGCGGGGGCGCCACCGCCGCGACATACCCCGCCGGGGGTCGCACCCCGACTTGCGCACGGCCCTGCCCCAGCCCACCCCGGATCGGCCGGGTCCCTCCTCTGGCGGCAGCGCCGCAGCCCACCCGCCGCCGGGGCCGCGGGGACCGGGCGGAGCTGGACGCACCGGCCAGGGCCGTGCCCGGGTGGCCGAGGGCACCGGGAGGGGCGGCGGGCTCGGCCGCCAGGACTGCCAGCGCCAGCCTGACCGCAGCCCGAGGGCGACGCTGCAAATAGCCGCGGTTTCCAGCCTGTGCCCTGCCTCCCTCCCAGCCTTCCGGACCTTTTGGGTTTTCTCTGCCTTCTTCCCGTCGCCCTCTCCTTTCTGCCCCGTGCCCCCCGCCTCGTCCCTGCTGTGCGCCCACCACATCCTGCCTCATGCAGGACGGCTCTGGCGCTGACGAGGTCGGGACCATGCAGGATGGCTCTGGCGCTGGCGAGGTCGGGAGACTGAGAGGGGGCCAGGAGACCAGCGCTCCTTCGAAGGAATAAAATCATCATCCTCCTCATCATCACAACAATTAAGTTAGGGTTAACTGAGCGCGTGCTGTGTGTCAGGGACTCTGCTGAACGCTTTACCGGCAGGAATTCATGAAATCTTTACTACATACTAGGAGGGTCAGCGTCAATTTGCAGATGGAGAAAACTAAGGCTCAGACACTCAGTAGAGACTAAGGTCACCCCATCTGCATCAGGAGAATGGAAGGCCATCTCCCCTGTCTAGAGGCCCAGGCTGTGATTCTGCCTGAAACCCTGTGGGTAAGACCCCACTGGAAGGTGGGAAAGAGCTGGCTGGGGGGTCCAAGCCAGTCGGCCAATGAATTCTCAGTGTATCCTACAGCAAGCCCGGCCTGCCTCAGTTTCCACACCTGTGAAACCAAGAGGATGAACGCAACATTTTGTTTCCTCTAAGGAAGAACCTGTTAATGACAATGGAAAACCCCAAATGGAGTGTGAGGCTTTAGGTGTCCTGCGCTTGGGGGAGCTCAGTGGGAGGCTGGGGGACTGCCTCCCTGCAGAGTTGGGAGCAACCCACAAGCCAGGACTGGCTGCCTGGGAATTAGGTTAAGCTGGGGAAGCTGCATTTTAGCAAATTTGGGGATTCTGAAGCCTTCCAGTTTAGAACGCACCAAAAAGATTCCCGAAATTGGGTGGGGGGAGGGGGTAGTCCTCCCTCAAACACTCCATACTTACCCTTAATCATCTCTGACTTGGCTGGCCTGGATTCAGGGTGAGTGCAGGTTTCTTAAGGACCTACTGTATGCCAAGCACACATCTGTCACAGCCCTACTCTCAGAGAGCTCATGGCAAAGTCAACAACCACATGGCTGACTAGCAGAGATGCCCTCAGCCCAGCTGTCCCTTTTGGGAGAACTGGAGCCAAGCTTCTTCTTCCAGGGGTGAACACCCCGAGCTAGGCTGCGCAGATCAGTGAGCAGAGCTGGGGATGCGTTTCACCTCCACTGGCCCCCTCTGCAGCCAGCCTTGTGCAGGACACAACCTGCACAACTTCACATAGAGGCCCGTGGGAAGCCATAGAGATCCAAGTGGCAGATGTTGGCAAAAGGAGCCAATTACTTCTTGCTAGAGACAGGAATAGAGACAGAAGAATTCTATGGAAGAGGCGAGTATTAAGCTGGATCTTTAAGAATGAATGGGAATTCACCAGGCGGAAAGGGAGGTCCAGCAGAGGCAACAGCCTGTCCTGGAACAGGGGTAGGGGTGGACTGGGAAGGCGCACGTGCCTTTCCCTTGCTCCCACCGCTACGCTGGCACATGTCAAACCAAACGTAGCTTATCTGCCAACCAGAGGTCTCTGTGCCTGAACTGTGATATGCTACAGGATGAATGTCTTACTCATCTTCTACCACCCACTGCCTCACCCAATGCCGATAACAGTAACAGTAATAATGGTCAAGCCAGGTGCGGTGGCTCATGCCTGTAATCCCAGCACTTTGGGAGGCCGAGGCAGGTAGATCACCTGAGGTTGGCAGTTGAAGACCAGCCTGACCAACATGATGAAACCCTGTCTCTACTAAAATACAGAAATTAACCAGGTGTGGTGGTGGGCGCCTGTAATCCCAACTACTCAGGGGCTGAGGCAGGAGGATTGCTTGAACCCAGGAGGCAGAGGCTGCAGTGAGCTGAGATCACGCCACTGCACTCCAGCCTGGGCAACAGAGCCAGACTCCGTCTCAAAAAAAAAAAAAAAAAAAAAAAAAGTCAGCAGGTGGTAAATATTGACCATCACGCTTTATGCTAAGTGCTCCAGGGCATTCTCTCATTTCATCCTCAAACTTTGGTAACAAGTGCTATTATTAATCCTGTTTTACAGACAAGGATTCTCGAGAAGAGTTAAGTAATGTGCCTAAAGTCACACAACTATTTGGAATCCAGGCCTCTGTGACCACAGAGCCCTTGTTCTAGACCGATGAGTGGATAGATGGATGAATGGATCTGGGTGGATAGGCGAGAGGGAAGAACTAAATGAAACACCATGAACGCCACACTAGGGAGCTTGAATTCACTCAAGGGCAGTGGGAAGACACTGAAAGGTTGTAAGCAGGAGAGACAAGTCAGTTTAGGGACTTAGAAACATCACTTTGACAACAGGGGAAAGATCACTTAGAGCCAATGACGCTTGAAACCTGCAGCCATTTTTCTGGCAAATCCCAATTCCCACTCGTGAGGAGCCTCATTTCTTTAAGCAATGTGTTATTTCTCTTAAAGGAAGACGTGTTCTTTTGCACACACAGGGACTATTGATGGAGGAGAATGCTGGAGAGGAGGGGGCTCAAAGACAGGAAGAGGAGACAGAAAGGGGATACTGCTAATTTCCAGGGAGAGGCCTCTCTGTACAGGGGAGCAGAGCACCAGGTAGGGAGAAGGCATATGGCCCCCTCCCTTATTTCTAAGATGAGAAGGTCCCTTCAGGTTTTCCAGCCTGGAAGCTGCAAGCTCCAGGTCCCACACACTGCCCCACTGTGCACCTGCCACCAGGGAAACAGCCAAAGGTGAGGCAGGTGTTGCATCAGAGTGTTAAGCCCTGGGATCAAATGTTAGGGGGCAGCAGTGGAAGAGGTCTGATCCCTCCTCCTGAGCAGCTCCTAATATCATTGGCCTGTCCAGCCAGGGAGGGAGGGGAGTCACAGAAACTGGCCTGGGGATCAGTTAAGCTGAAGGAAGGAATCAGGAACAGCTGGAAGGACCAGAAAACAGGGGGAGTTTCCCCTATCTACACTCAAGGAGCCAAAGAGCAAACCAAAGCCTGCAGGAGGCATCTTCAAGCTGAGAGGGGCTCCCAGAGATTCCAGGACAGTGCAGGCTCACCATGCTGCCTTGCCTCGCCCTGCTTCTCCTGATGGAGCTGTCCGTGTGCACTGTGGCAGGTGATGGTGGAGAGGAACAGACACTCAGCACTGAAGCAGAGACCTGGGTAATTGTGGCCTTGGAGGTACTTTTGGGGAGAGGCTCTGACGAGGGCAGGGGATAATCGGCAGTGCAGAGGCAGAAGATCCCCTGCATGGCTGCTGGGAGAGCAGGCAGTCTGCAAGGCAAGTTGTCTGACTCTCTACCATGGGTAGATTCAAGGCTATGAGCCCTGGCCTGGCAGACCTCCGAAGTGTGTGTGTGTGTGTGTGTGTGTGTGTGTGTGTCTGTGTGTGTGTGTGTGTGTGTAAGAAATACTTATTTAACACACGGTATATCTCTGGCACTGTCTGAAATGCTTTATAAATATTAACTCAATCCTCCCATCAACCTCATGGGGAAGGTATCATGACTACCCCTCATTTCACAAATAAGGAAACTGAGGCACAGAGAAGTCAAGTAGTTTGTCCAAGGTTGCACAGCTTCAAAAGCACAACTACACACTTTGCCCAAGGTCTGATTCTGTGTATCTGTGCATCTGAGGAGCTTTTCCAGAATTTTCTTTCAAGGGGATCAACTTAAACAGGACCACTATTTGGTCTCACATGTAGAAATGACCCAGCATCTGCACTACCCCCACTCCTGCCTGACAATCTGATTGGGGAGGCAAAGATCCTGACCTCAGGCGTTCCCTAATCAGACAAGGGACAGATACCAACAAGCCAGAGACAAAGACGGGTAAATAAGAGGCCAGTGCTCAGGGAAGGCTTCCAGGGGGGCAGACAGGACAAGGCTGGGCCTGACTCCTCCCATTCCCAGGATGGTAAGGACACTGGGGTGGCCTTGGCTTGCGGTCCTGGGCCACGATGAGGTCCTCGGAGGCGCTTAGAAATGGAGCCACGGGAAGAGCCATCACATGGACAGTCCTGCATGGTGGGTTTCCTTTCCGGTTTGTCTGAACCTGGAAGTGTGTGCAGTGAGGAGAGGGCAGCAGGGCTAGGAGTGTCTCCACTGATGCCTGCTTCTTTCTGGACATCAGTTTCCTCACCTGCAAAACGGAGGAGGGAAGTGACCCCCCAAGGCTTTTCTCCAGCTTTGATATGCTTTTATAGTCAGTGCCAAACATCAGGGTACCTGGTCTAGAGACAGAAGCCTTGCTGGGTGATGGGCCTCACTACGCAGCCCCATGGGAAACGTTAAAAACTTCAACTAGTGCTGCTGGACTGTTTCCCAAAAGCACCTCATCCTGCAGCTGGGTCTAATCCTTACTCTCCTTTCACTCTCCTTTAATATCACATCCCTCTGCTTCCCAAAATACAGGGCTTGGAATATGGGAGGAGACTGGGTTAGAAGTCAGGAAGAACTTACAAATGCTGTGGGATGCTAAGCATAACATAAGTGACGGCCGGCTGTGGAGTCTCATGCCTGTAATCCCAGCACTTTGGGAGGCAGAGGCAGAAGGACTGCTGGAGGCCAGGAGTTCAAGATCAGCCTGGGCAACATAGAAAGACCCATCTCTACAAAACATAAACAAAATTTGCCAGGCATGATGATGCACATCTGTGGCCCCAGCTACTCAAAAGGCTGAGGCGGGAGGATCACTGGGACCCAGGAAGTTGAGGCTGCAGTGAGTCGTGCTTGTGCTGCTGCACTCCAACCTGGGCAACAGAGCGAGACCCTGTCTCAAAAAAAAAAAAAAAATGAGGTAACAGGAATGGGGCATGATCGCATCACTTACCTCCCTTGCTCTCGGGGCTCCCCCAACCTGTAGTCATCCCTGGAGTTGGGGATTTGGGTTAAATGGATATGGAGGGCTCCGGCTGGGGGCAGGAGTCCTGTCGGAGTGAATGGGAAACCAATGTCTCCGAATGCCCCCCCACCAGGCACAGAAACCCAGTGGGGGAGAAAGGTCAGTCCTATTGAATTCATAAGTGGCCATTCTCTCCAGCTTGCACCTGAAGGCTGCCTCTTACCAAGGCAAAGTGGTTTTCATGAGCTTTTCAGAAATGGGTCCAAATCCCCAAAGAGACTTTTCCAGTTCTTGGCCAGGCTGGGTGACTCCAGCTCAAGATAGATGCCCCAGCCACTGACGTCCTGGTGGGGTGGGAGGGAAGCAGATGGGAAGTGAGTGAATTAGTCCAAGGCTTAGAAAACAATCCATTCCTGATCCTGAAAGGTGCCACAACACAAGTTGTGAGAGACAAGAGGGTTTATGTCGTCCCTAGCCAGGTTCCTGCTGGTCCCAGGAGCTCCAGCGCTACCCCTAGGGAAACTGGGGATGGAAGAAAGAGCCTCTGATCCAAGCCCAGCTCCCAGCTCCTGGCAGGCGGCTCGCATTACTCTAGGGCTCTGTTTGTCTATCTTTAGCTTTCCTGGAAAAGGGGACTCCCCAGCCCCCTCCCTATTCCCAGACTCTCAGAGAAAGGACTCCTCATTTGGCATTCTGTGTCCCATGTGTGCTGGGCTCCTATGTGTGCAAGGCTCAGTGCCAGGAGCTGGGGATACAGACATGTGAAGACAGTCTAATGAATGTTACCCACTGTCACTCTCTCAACTAGGGAGCGACTCCCTTTCAGCAGAACTGAGCAAGCCCCAGTTCAGAAGTTCAGGTTAAGGTCAGAGAGGGAGAAGGCTTTGGCCAAGGTCACAGAGGCTAATGGAAGAATGAGAATGTCAATCCACAGTCCTTGGTTGAGGATGCCATCAGCACAACGATTAAAATGTCTTTGCCCAGGGTAATAGCCTCCACCCCCAGACCACATGCCACTTCCTTCCGGGAGGCCCAGGCTCTAAGGCAAGGAAAATCTGGGACAATGGGGGAAGTGCCTGGGGAAGAGAGGTGAGTGGGGATAAGGAGGGGAAGCAGTCCTGCCTTGCCTCCTGGGGACCCACCGTGAGTTCACTGGCTGCCCTCTCCTCATCTATGTTGGAGACACTTCCCATGATAGAGCAGAACCAGTACTGTGAAGTCAGACTTTGAATCTTGGCTCAGCCTCTTCCCGTGTGACCTTGGACAAGTCACTTAACCTCCTTACATCTCAGTTTCTCCATCTGTAAAATGCAGGGGCCGGGGGAAATCATAGTTTCTACTAGTTATGGTGGTTGTGAAGATTAAATGAGATTATGACTGCAGTGTTTCAGACCAGCCTTTGAGCCTGAGTTCAACTTCTGGTTCCACCTCTCACTTCCCAGCTGGGTGACCTTGGACAATTCTTTCTTTTTGAAATGGAGTCTTGCTCTGTCACCTAGGCTGGAGTGCAGGGGCAGGATCTTGGCTCACTGCAGCCTCTGCCTCCCAGGTTCAAGCAATTCTCCTGCCTCAGCCTCCTGAGTAGCTGGGATTACAGGTGTCTACCACCATGCCCAGCTAATTTTTGTATTTTTATTAGAGACGGGGTTTCACCATGTTGGCCAGGCTGGTCTCGAACTCCTGACCTCAAGCGACCCACCCATCTCGGCCTCCCAGAGTGCCGGGATTACAGGTGTGAGCCACTGCGCCCAGCTGAACAATTCTTTAACCTGTGTCTCGGTGTTTTCATGTGTAAAATGACAGTAACAGTACTTAGGGTACTGTTTTCCTGGTGTTTTGGTGAGGTTTAAATTAGTTACTAGATCAACGTGCTCAGAACATAGTAGGTGAAATGTTAGCTATTATTACAAAGATGTGCAGTACTGTGTAAAATATGCTGAGGTGCCCAGTGCCAGTGCACAGCAAGTCTCTGCTGACCACCAGCTGTCACTCCTGAGATTGCCATTGCCCAGGCTGGCCTCCCGTCTGCTGGACAACCTCCCAACTCTAACACTAACTCTCTGCTTCTTCAGGAAGGCGCTGGCCCCAGCATTCAGCTCCAGCTGCAGGAGGTGAAGACGGGCAAGGCAAGCCAGTTCTTTGGGCTGATGGGGAAGCGAGTGGGAGGTGAGTGACAATGACAATGGAGCCCAGCAAGCAGGGGTTCTGAGTGGGTTCTGCAACATAAAGCAGAGGCCCTAAGTCAAAGCCCAGTAACTGGGGTCAGGTACTCCAGTCCAGTAGGGGTCGCTCATGAGATGGGGTGGCACAGACTGTCCATAGGAATTATCATCCAGGCTGGGGGGCAGTGGCTCATGTCTGTAATCCCAGCACTTTGGCAGGCCGAGGTGGGTACATCACTTAAGGTCAGGAGTTTGAGACCAGCCTGACCAACATGGTGAAACCCCATCTCTATTAAAAATACAAAAATTAGACAGACATGGTGGCACGTGCCTGTAATCCCAGCTACTCAGGAGGCTGAGGCAGTAGAATTGCTTGAACCTGGGAGGCAGAGGTTGCAGTGAGCCAAGATCATGCCACTACACTCCAGCCTGGGCGACAAAGCGAGACTCCATCTCAAAAAAAGAAATTAGCATGCAACCAGGACACTTTGGGGAGTGTTAGTAATTACGCCAGGCAACAAGTGTAAACAAGGCTGTTCCCAACAATGGGGAGCACGGGCACCTGAAGGGTGGGGGCACAGGCTCTGCACCCTGAGTGGTGCCTTCCATGCTCTGGATGACTCTGGGGAGTGGCAGTGAAGCTAGAGACCAGTCTGGATGTGGGCAAAGCCACAAGCCAAGCTTTCTAGTCAATTTTCTTTGGCTGAAACAAAATTACTAACTTAAACCTGTGTTCCCTGAAGGCACTTTCAACTCAGGAGTCCTGTCCTTGGGGGACCAGGAGAAAATACTCTGCACACAGAGCAGTTTTCTCTTATTGTCAATATTACATTTTTTAAGTGGTAATGCTCCGTGTTGGCTTGGTGTGAAAAAACTGGCACTTTTACACTGTCTATTTGGAGGACACGTTCGCAATATCCAGGCAAGTTGGAAATGTGCTTACCTTTCTGACCCAGAGTCTCGCTTTTCAGGCAGACATGCTGTTACTACATGAGCCCTGAGGGTATTCACTGCCAACATGCTTGTAATAGCAAGAATTCGGAAATAACATAAACACCATCAATCAGGGAATGGTCAAAATCTATTACACGTATCCTTAACCCTTGTGGCCATTAAAGAGAATGAGGCAGACCCATAGAAAGATGTGGAAAGATCTCCAAGATACATGGTTAAGTGGGAAAAAGCATGTTACAGATCAATATTCAAGAGGAGCCTACTTGTTTTTAAAAAACGACATACACACAGATATGCAAATGCATGGGGAAAGTTCTAGAAGGATAAATATCAAACTGTAAACAGTGGTTACTTCAAGGACAGAAGTGGAGATGAGGGGGGAGAAAGGGAAGAGAGACTTTAAATTTTACTTGTACAAACCTTTTCAAAATAGTGGATGTATTCAAGGACTGCTTTTGTAATAAAAAAAAAATACACATATAAAAATAGAGAAAACCAACTTGTGACCAAGCACTTTTGGCCTTAGTTTCCTCTTCTACAAAATGAGTTCTGAACTGAGCCATTTCAAACTTCTTTTTTTTTTTGAGATGGAGTCTTACACTGTCACCCGGGCTGGAGTGCAATGGCGCAATCTCAGCTCACTACAACCTCTGCCTCCCGGGTTCAAGCAATTCTCCTGCCTCAGCCTCCCAAGTAGTTGAGATTACAGGCATCAGCCACCATGCCTGGCTAATTTTTTGTATTTTTAGTAGAGATGGGGTTTCACTATGTTGGCCGGGCTGGTCTCGAATTCCTGACCTCGTGATTCGCCCACCTCAGACTCCCAAAGTGCTGGGATTACAGGTGTGAGCCAACGCGCCCGGCCCATTTCAAACTTCTTTTCCAAATCCAACAACTCATGAAGGATGGGGGATGGGAATGTCAGAGAAAATACTTCTTGAGCACCTACTATGAGGCTGAGGTGGGAAGATCATGAGGTCAGGAGATCGAGACCATCCTGGCTAATGTGGTGAAACCCCATCTCTACTAAAAATACAAAAAAATTAGCCGGGCGTGGTGGCGGGCGCCTGTAGTCCTGGCTACTCGGGAGGCTGAGGCAGGAGAATGGCGTGAACCTGGGAGGCGGAGCTTGCAGTGAGCCGAGATCGCACCACTGCACTCCAGCCTGGGCGACAGAGTGAGACTCTCAAAAAAAAAAAAAAAAAAAAAAAAGATTAAATCTCCACAATAATATCCCCCTTATCACAAGCGGGGAAACTAAGGCTCAGATAGGTTAAGCACTTTTCCCAAGGATGCCCACCCAGCTGGCACCAGGTGCCAGTGACCCCAAAGTCTGTGCACTTCCAGCCACTCCACACTGCCCCCTACCAGCACATTCCTACTGCCACAGAGGATAACTGGGGATGACTAGAATTCTACTGAAGACCCACCAATGCACCAACCCTCAAAGAACTGGAGCCTTTTCCACCTCACCAAGCCCCCAGGGAAGCAGTGCAGTCCGTAGTCCTCATTCCTTCTCCTTCCCCCAGGAAGACCTCTGATCCAGCCAAGGAGAAAAAAAGGTAAGTATTGCCCAAACCTGCCTTCAACATGCCCCCTAGGGAGGGCTGAGTTGTCCTCAGCACAAACAAACCAGGTGGGTGAGGGGAGATGCTCTGGCCAGGGGCAAGCCAGGCTGGCATTGCTGTGCAGAGGTGGGGCCAGTGTGGTTTGGCCATGCTAGGCTTTCTGGTTGTTTCCTTAAGAGGGGTGGTCCTAAGGAGCGGCTGCAGGGATAGGAATAGACAGTGATGGATCTAGTTCGACCAGCGTTTCAAAATTACCTTACGTCTAAAGCCTGGAATTAGAAAAAAAAAAAAAAAAAAAAAAGTCAACCACTAGAGATAAGAGTGCTTAAAGATCACCAGATGATCTTAAAAGTGCAAATCTGGACCAGGCAGTGGCTCATGCCTGTAATCTCAGCACTTTGGGAGGCCAAGGCAGCCAGATCACTTGAGGTCAGGAGTTCGAGACCAGCCTGGCCAACATGGCGACTAAAAATACAAAATACAACTAAAAATGCAAACATTAGCCCGGTGTAGTGGCAGGTGCCTGTGGTCCCAGCTACTTCAGAAGCTGAGGCTGGAAAATCACTTGAACCCAGGAGGCAGGGGTTGCAGTGAGCCGAGTCCAGCCTGGGTGACAGAGGGAGACTCTGTCTCAAAAAAAAAAAAAAAAAAAAAAAAAGTACAAATCTAAGAAGCCACTACTCTGCTTAAATCTTTCAGTGAAAAGCGAAAAACAAAATCAAAAGAAAATATACCAACTGGCCAGGTGGGTGTGGTGGCTCACGCCTATAATCCCAGCATTTTGGGAAGCCGAGGCAGGTGGATCACCTGAGGTCAGGAGTTCGAGACCAGCCTGGCCAACGTGGTGAAACCCTGTCTCTACTAAAAATATAAAAATTAGTCCGGTGTGGTGGCGGGTGCCTGTCATCCCAGCTACTCAGGAGGCTGAGGCAGGAGAATCGCTTGAACCCGGGAGGCAGAGGTTGCAGTGAGCCGAGATCACGCCACTGCATTCCAGGCTGGGCGACAAGAGCGAGACTCCATTCAAAAAAAAAGAAAGAAAGAAAAGTAACCAACCTGTACCCTCCACTCCCTCAGCGCTCTCAGGACCAAGTCTAGTCCCCTAATGCGACTCACCGCATCCTTCAGGCCTGCCTCACTGACCTGACTCCTAGCCCCATCCTAACCAGCTCTCCTTCCCTGACTGCCTGCCGTACACAGACAGAGCTTGTCTCCATGGCCTAGTGCGACCCTGTTCCTGGCACACTGCACTACACTGTCTTGCTGGGTCACATAGCTGGCTGGTGTCCCCAGACTGGAAGCCCCCCAACAGGCAGGCATCAGGTCTGCTGTCGCCTCTGTATCTCCAGTTCCCAGCAGTTTCTGCCTGTTAGAAGCACCACCAGGCGTTTGTGAAGGGAGAGCAGAGGGAGAATGGAGGAGGGGGAGGAGGGAATCAACGAATGAACTAGTGAATAAATTAATCAGTCCACGGTGTTTCCTCGCCTCTCGGGATGACAGAGAAATGATCCCATTTGCAAGGCCCCAGCCCTGGCCCCGGCCCTCGCCCTGGCCCTGTCCTTTGTCCTTCCCTGGTTCCCAAAACAGCCTACCTCTGCTGCCTCTCTCCTCTACCACTTCTCTCTCCCACCACCAGCATATCAGCTGGAACACACGTTCCAGGGCCTCCTGGGCAAGAGAAGCCTGTTCACAGAAGGTAGGCAAGAGCCGCTGGTGGTTGCAAGGGCATCATGGGAAAATGGCCAGACACTTTGCTGCCAGTCTGCAAGATGGGGGCTGGGCAGCTAGACAGACAGGCTCCCCACAAGCCATCATGGGGAGGCCCCCAGGGGAGGCAGTCGAGTGCAAGGAGGTGGTCCCAAGATTGAAATCGCTATGGCCCAGAAGCTGCACCCTCCCCACCCATGACACACCCAGGCACACTCTGCCCTGCCCCCACCCCTGCCCCTCAGGGCCAGCTGAAACCACAGGGACTGATGCCTAGTTTTCCAGACCTTGGAACATCCCCCATTCCCTCACTGTTTGCAAAGCTCTAATCGTTGATCGTTACACTAATCATTGATCATTAGAGGGTCATGCCTTTAGTCTTCAGAGATTTTCTGCCTTCAACCACTGTAAATAAGTGCAGATCACTCTGGGAGGAATAACACCATAAGCAGTTATCAGTTCACACTTTCTAGCAGAGGCCACGTCCCCAAATGGTTTCAGGGGACCAGGCATGAAAGTAGATAAATCAATCAGGTTGGGGAAAGGTCACAGCTCAAGTGAGCGGGCAGTGGGCGCCCCGGCAGGTCACAGACACTGAGCTCCAGTCTGCCTTCCCTAGTGCCTAACCTCTTCCACCGGAGCTGCAGACTTCTGGACCCCTCGCCTCCCTAGCACCCCTGAAAGAACACCTGCTCGACTCATTCCATTCAATAGCCATGGAAGTCACCTCAATAACAAATAGAGATGAATGTTCCTCCATGCATGGTGTGGGCAGGAATACTAGGAGTCAGTCATCATTTTTCAGAGATGGAAAGCTACTGGCCCAAAGTCACACAGTGAGCCGATAACAGAGCCAGGACTAAACTGTGTCTCCTGCTTCCTAGTCCATGTCACCCGCCATGTTCCCAGGACTCTTGGATAGCCTTCCCCACCTTTAAAGAGGGTAACTGAGGGTGGGCTCCATCCATGCTCTGGAGACATTAGCAATTGAATAATGGAAGATATGACAGATGAGCCTGTAATCCCATTGCCCTAGATATCTCCAGAAAGGAGAGAGGGGTTAGGAAGATGAAGGCCTTCAATGCAACTAGGGAAGACTTCTAAGGGTGGAGGAGCCAGACAAGACCCCCGACTAACCATGGTTCATATACCAAACTCTCCCCAGGCAGAGAGGATGAGGCCCAAGGTTCAGAGTAAAAGCCCCCACCACAGACTTCCCAGAGGACACGGTGCCGCTTCTTCCTACCTGGATGTCACAGCTGACAAGCCGGCAGGCCAACTCTCTTCTCTGTGTCTCCTGTCCTCATCGCTGGCACTTCACACAAGGCCCACACTGAACCCACTGGGCTTCTTCCTGGACTCTCAGTGTCAAGCAGCAGTCCTGCATAAATGCACAGCTTCGCCGTAGCAAGCTGCACTGACTCTGCCCTCCCTCACACTCAGAGTTGGCATCTCACTGCACAGCAGTGAGGAGACTCGCACACTCTGTATCCTGTGCCTAGCACACAGTAGGCACTCAATAAATGAGTGACCAGTGAATGGCTCCTTCTCTGGTGCACAGCAGAGGGCAGGAATGGCCTGGGCTCTGTAGTCTGTTCAGTGGCCTCACTGGTATGTCAACAGGCCAAGAGCCCTTTTGCAGAATCGCAGAGAAATACTGAACAGCCCTGGTCCTACCCCCAGGTGGGAAAACAGGCTTGGGACACAGGTAAGAATGACAGAAACAGGAAAGAGCCCACGACGGGATGGGAAGGTATTGCAGGCATTTTGGAAGGGAAGGGATTTGAAAACAAGGGGTCTTTCTTCCCTTTAGGGTCCTCTGAAGCCCCAGCCTGAAAGAAGACACCCTCTCCCTACTCACAGACATGATCTCAAGGGCTCAAATCCATGTGTCTCCTGACTCAGAGAACAGGGTCCCAGGTTATTCAGTTGTCTTGTATAAGGTGACCCTTCAACTAACTGCCTTGTGATTAAGACACAGCCCCATTCTTGAGCACCTTAGAAGAGCAAAACAGCTCCCAACCTCAGGGAGCCCCAGACTGAGGAGGCAACTGTCCCTGCACTAGCAGTTTATAGGCAGGTGGGACACAGAGGACCCCTTAGAAAGCAGCACATGAGCCAGCATGAAATCCTGGAGGCAAACCTAGGTCCTAAATGTGGAGGTGCTGAACCAAGGAATGCACTGGGAATTGTGTGTGGGTCCAGCAGTAAAGGAGGCTCATTAATCCACTAGGCTACAAAGCATTTAGCTTCTGTGTCCCTCTCTCTAAAAAAAAAAGAAAACAGGTTAGGAGTTTTTCTGGGTGTTTGATTCTTTGCAGGCAGGTGGAGGGAGCTGGGAGCTGGGCTATGTTTAAAAGGAAGGGGGCGGGGCACGGTGGCTCATGCCTGTAATCCCAGCACTTTGGGAGGCTGAGGCAGGCAGATCACGAGGTCAGGAGTTCGAGACCTGTCTGGCCAACATAGTGAAACCCCATCACTACTAAGTATATAAAAATTAGCTGGGCATGGTGGCGTGCACCTGTAGTCCCAGCTACTTGGGAGGCTGAGGCAGAAGAATCGCTTGAACCCGGGAGGTGGGTGTTGTAAGCCAAGATCGCACCACTGCACTCCAGCCTGGAGGGGGAAGCAGGCGTGCTGGTACAGAGGGCAGGACCCTCCTGTGGGTGCCAGAAAAGGCTTTAGAGACAACAAAGGTGGCTGCAAGGAGGAGGCCAAATGGCACCAGCATAGGCAGGAAGAGTCCTTGCACTTAACCTGTAGTGAGGTAGTCTCTCTCCCAAGACTGACTATTCACTGTGAGACCCTAATAAACCCCAGGGCCCCGTTTTCTCCATCTTCACACCTTACCATCATGTCCAGCAATGAATATGGGAGTGGGGGCCAGTGCAAGCCTCCTCCTTGGAACTCTGACACTGCTGCAGAATTTTCCAGTTAATGTACTTCCCATCTCACCCACTCCTAACCTCCTAACCCACCAGGCATCCCCGGTGCCTGCCCCACCCCACCCAGCCACCGGCGAGGTGCCAAGAGGTGGTTCACTGCAATAACCCAACTCAAAGCACCAGCAAAGAGGGCTGAAGACCTCATTCTTGTGTTTGAAGTCGGGGACATTTAGGAAAAAAGTGAACTCACCAAACAGTTTCATCTATGTGCCAGCATTTCACTAGGAACTCCGATGGGACTGGGGATATGAATGAAGTGTGAGATTGGAATTTGCCCTTGAAGACCTCACAGTATTATAGGAGAGCCAAGATGTACTAACGGACGCAAATTCCGCCTTCTGCTCCCCAGTCCTATCTTTCTCAAGCTCACCACGTTCACTCCTGCTTCTGGCTTCTGCACATGCCATTCTTTCCATCCTGGTGAGTGAATTCTTTGCCAAGATCCATTTCTCTGTAAAGGTTTTCCAGCCCAGGAAACACTCGTCCATTCCCTCCTTGGCATTCCCGAAATGCCTTACAAGTTCTTTCATTCAGCACTTCCTGTATGTTACAATGTTGATGTTATAATTAATGATTTACCTCCCCTGCAAAACAGGGTTTCGGAATAACACAGACCACATCTTATTATATTTGTGCCCTCAGCGCCAACAATAGTGCTTGGCACATGAGAGGTCCCTGGAGAGCATTGTGACGGACTCACATTTCCTGTCCTCAAGGAGTCTCGTTAGAGAGCCAAACTTAATACAAGTAACTGAAATAAATAGTAGCAGCTGCTACTTACTGAACACGTCCCAAAGTTCTCACTCAACCTGTCCATACACTGAACTGTTGATCCACTGCCCCAAAACTACTCCTCACCATCTTCCGCATCTCTACAAACGGCACCTCCACACACCCAGCTACAAACCTGGGAGTTCCCCTCAATTCCTCACACCTAACTCATTATCCCCTAGCTGATGAACCTTCCACAATCCATCTTGAGTCCACCTACTACTTGCCATCTTGTCACTGTTGGTAGCAGCCACCCTCCTCCCTTGTCTTGGAGGGCAGTAGCCTCCTGGCAGACCTCCTTGCTTTCCACCCTCCTGCCAGCCAGCCACCCCCAGCGTTTGTCCACCAGAGAGTGACATTTTAAAATGGGAAATAGGATCGCGTCCATTCCTTGTCGGCCACAGTCCAACGGTGTCCTAGCATACACTTGACATTCTTGCAGAAACCTCCAGGGCCCCGTGCTCTCTAATCCCTCTCCTCTGTGTTGTCACACTCGCCACCAGGCTCTCTCAGACACACACACCAAATGCTGGCCTGCTCTGGGATCTGGACACTGCCCCAGTCCCTCTACTCCATATTGCCCCCATCCTGCTAACTCATCTTTCAGCTCCCATGATAAAGGCCCTTTTTTAGACAGGGCTTACCACTGGTTCCCCAGACTCAACTAATTCCCACCTTAGATGGTGGACACAGCAGAACTTGTTTACTGACTACATGAATGAATACATGGCAAGCACTGCAAGAGAATTTTCCACAATTTTATCCCCATTCTGCCAATGTGGATAAGCCATTTGCTTGAAGTTACAAAGGAAATGACAGCCAGGATTTAGGCTACGGTGGCTTGACTTCACATACATCAAGCCCCACACTTGGTCTATGCCATGATAGTTCAGACAAGTCTCAAGCAGAATTAGGGGCCTATTCGGGTGGGAAAGAAACATTTCCAAAAGCCCTACCCAGGACACCAGTCCAAGAGGCTCCTTCCAGATCAAATCATTTTAGGAAATGTTACATCCTGTGTCTTCTTGGAAAACTCCAACACCCATTAGCCTACTGAAGGTTTTGGGAAATCTTCAAGTCAAGAAACATACTGGTATTATCTTTATTTTTTTATTTTTTGAGACAGGGTCTTGCTCTGTCACCCAGGCTGGAGCACACTGGTGGGATCTCAGCTGACCACAGCCTTGACTTCCTGGGCTCAGGTGATCCTCCTACCTCAGCCTCCTGAGTAGCTGGCACTACGGGTGCACACCACCATGCCCAACTAATTTTTTTGTAGGGATTGGGTCTCCCTATGTTGCCCAGGCTGGTCTCGAACTCCTGGGCTCAAGTGATCCTCCCACCATGCCTGGCCTGATACTAACTTTGGAAACACTCTGTGTTTTCCAAATTTATTTGACCACAGAACTTTTTGCCTATACTTTGGTATTTAATGGAACACACTTCATGGAACGTTGAAGTGGAGGCTTTCTCAGTAAACACAAGAAAGGGAATAATAGACTAATCCTGTTGCACGTTGAGGTTATGTGTAAGGGAATGATGAAAGCTATGTAGGTTGAGTCAGCTTACGGAAAGACTTGAAAGCCAGGATAAACATGAACTTAATCCATTGAGCAATGAGAAGCCACATGAATTCTGGAGCAGGCAGGTGATGAGCAGTATCTCGACAGCAGAAGAAGGTTGGGCGCAGCGGCTCATGCCTGTAATCCCAACACTTTGGGAGGCCGAGGCAGGCTGATTGCTTGAGCTCCGCTTGAACCAGCCTGGGCAACACGGCGAAACCTCGTCTCTACTGAAAATACAAAAAGGTAGCCGGGCGTGGTAGTGCACGCCTGTGGTCTCAACTACTCTGGAGGTTGAGGTGGGAGGATAGCTGGAGCCTGGGAAGGCGACGCAGCAGTGAGCCGTGATCGTACCACTGCACTCCAGCCTGGGTGACAGAAGGAGACCCTGTCTCATAAATCGATCAATCAATAAATACATACATACATACAGAAGGATATTCTTCAGTTTTCCTGATCCGCTTAAGGAGGTGGCTAAGAATTCCAAGGCCAGCCAGTTATCTCAGAAGCAATTTGACTGACAGCGAAGACACGATAAATAACCAAATGAGGTGAACTGAGGCTGCCATTTACACGGAACATAAACAGTGTCCCCTGGAATTGCACAAGGTGGTAGCCTTCCTCTAGGCACATCTGGCTTCCAATCAACCTACAAGGCAAACTGAATTCCAGCCCTTTAGTTTCCGAAGTCCCCTTGTTTCACTTCTCCATTGCCATGTATCAAACCATTCCAAAACGTGTGGTTAAAACAGTATTCTCATAATTCTCTGGGTTAACAGGACTCAGCTAGATGTCTTTAGTGTCATGTGGTACCAGCAAGGGCCACTCATGAGGGTGCGTTCAGCTGGGAGTCTGGCGGGGTTGAAACCTTCAAGAGACACAAGTCTGGGCTTTTAGTGCTGTGACTAGAGCACCTTGGTTCTCCTATGCATCGTCTCTCACCATTCAGTAATTTAGCCCAAGCTTCTCGTTTGGAAACGTGTCAGCTTATTTTCAAGAGCAAAAGTGGAAGCTGCCAAAATATCACTTCCATATCCTATTAGTCAAAACAAGTCACAAGTTCAGCCCTCACTGTAGAAAAAAATAGACCTTATTGGAAATAGCACGTGCACAGAGGATGAGAGCAACTGTTGGTGGCCATCTTTGGAGATGATCTACCACACCTCTAAATTTGTGAGATAAGAGTGTAGGTTTCTGATAACTTTGGAATTGAATGTATGGTAAGCTGTTTGCAGAAACAAATGTCCAATTAAGAACAAAGACTGGTTTCTTGGAATGAACATGACTTGTCGAGGATAAAGATGTTTATATCTCACATGGAACATTTGTGAGGAGCCATGGAGCCAGAGTTGTACAATAGTACAGGTTATTTTCTCCATTCTTGGGCACAAGTAAACAAATCCGCAAACCCCCAAATGGTAACAACATGACCTGGACTTAAAGGTATTGCACAAGAGGTTAGGGGCAAACTGATGTTTTGGCACCAGGGACATTTCTCATCGCTGGGCAATCCTTTGTTTCCTTCTTGGTGACATTCATTGGGATTTTGTTGCAGATACCACACAGGAAGAAGGCTATTAAACTGCCCCTATCAGCAGGAAACAGTCTGGAGGAGGCAGTCACACATAATTTTGTGAAAGAAAGTGCTGAGGCAAAACCAGCTGAGGTCCGATTCCATGATCCCAATGAACAGCAAAGCAAAGGGTGGCTTCTAGAAGTCCTAGCACACATCACATACTATCATTCAGCAAAGTAGTTTTCATATTTTATTCTCATGACATTCAACACTTTGATATGCTGTACATATGTGCACCTGTGAGACACAAGAGGTAGAGGAAACTAATGCTGAGAGCCTCAGTGAGCCAGGCCTTCTCCCTGCTGCCATTCTTTTCACTTGATGGGATTGGTTATTTGAGCTTGAGCACACTAAACTAGTTGAGGGTTGTATGGTAAAAGGATTCCTGCTGTCTCACTGGGGCTTTTTCTCAAACCAGGGTTTCTTAACTCCATGTCCAAGAATGGACTTCAACGGCACAATTTCCTCAACTATAGACAAATGTGTGCATATTTACAAGGGTGATTTTTAAAAATCCAGTGCTTTAATTAGAGTCTCAAGGACAGAAGAAAAAAGTGGTAAAAGGATCATGGCTGAGCTGTGCTGCTTGATCCTGGTACAGCTCGAGACTTTGTTTTGACCCACCCCACCCAGAACTATAGGGACAAATCAGTACAAATCAAAGTTGAGGACAAGTCAAAAGCATCACCTTGTCATTTAAAGGTTATACCACACTGTTAAAAGTTACTTGGCTGGGCGCAGTGGCTCCTGCCTGTAATCCCAGCACTTTGGGAGGCTGAGGTGAGTGGATCACCTGAGGTCAGGAGTTCAAGACCAACCTAGCCAACAGGGCAAAACCTCATCTCTACTAAAAATACAAAAATTAGCCAGGCGAGGTGGTGGGCACCTGTAATCCCAGCTACTTGGGAGGCTGAGGCAGGAAAATCGCTTGAACCTGGGAGGCAGAGGTTGCAATGAGCCTAGATCACGCCACTGCACTCCAGCATAGGTGACAGAGTGAGACGTCGTCTTAAAAAAAAAAAAAATGGCTGGGTGCAATGGCTCACGCCTGTAATCCCAGCACTTTGGGAGGCTGAGGCGAGTGGATCACGAGGTCAGGAGATCGAGATCATCCTGGCTAACACGGTGAAACCTCATTCTACTAAAAATACAAAAAATTAGCTGGGCGTGGTGGTGGGCACCTGTAGTCCCAGCTACTCGGGAGACTGAAGCAGAAGAATGGCATGAACCCGGGAGGCAGAGCTTGCAGTGAGCCAAGATCGCACCACTGCACTCCAGCCTGGGTGACAGAACGAAACTCCGTCTCAAAAAAAAAAATTACTTAATATGACTCATTATCCCCAGATAAGAAATGGGAAAATAGCATGGAAGCATCAGGTGACCAGACCTCATAACAATGCCAAAAGTATGGGATTTGGACTCAGGGAAGCAAGGCTCTCTCATTCTATTGCTATGACACAGCAGCAAGACCACTATGAGCCTCAATTTTTCATCTAGAAGAAGACTATAATATCCACCTTACTGTGCTGTGGTGAGGAATGAAGAAAACCATGGAAGTAAAGGGACAGTGCTTACTGAACAGTTTATTCCTAAATCAGAAACAATGCCAGAATGAGGCACATCTTTTGCTTCCTGGTTTAGCTCTGTAGCCCCCTAAACTTGCTGCTTCTAAAGCCAACTAACATCAATCAATTCTGTTTTTTGTTTTTGAGACAGGGTCTCACTCTGTCACCCAGGCTGGAGTGCAGTGGCATCATCTCAGCTCATTGCAACTTCTGCCTCCCAGGTTCAGGCGATTCTCGTGCCTCAGCCTCCCAAGTAGCTGAGACTACAGGCATGTGCCCACGTCTGATTTTTCTATTTTTTGTAGAGCTGGGGTTTCACCATGCTGCCCAGGCTAGTCTCGAATTCCTGGACTCAAGCGATCTGCCCGCCTTGGCCTCCCAAAGTGCTGAGATTACAGACTATTACAGAGCTATCACAGCTGGCTTAAAAATCAGTCCTTTTTACTGTAATGAGTTAATTTGGTTAATAATTAAAAAATAATAAGAAAAAATATAAAAAGAAAATCCTTTTGCCTGAAAGTTTTCACCAGTTTCATTATTATCCTTGTAATGGAAGCCATTAGAAACAAATCCAACTAGAAGGGAGAGGATGATTCATCATTAAGGAATCAAAAATAGTGGAAGAAAACGGTAGAGGGGAGGGTGCAGGCTATCAAGGTAGACAGACCAGAATTGAAGTTTCTGGCTTTGCTGCTTACTTCCACCTTGGATTCCAGGTCTCCTTTGGCAAACCAGTGTACCCATCTACTGTACAGGGCTAATATGAGGGTCAAATGAGGCAGTATGAAGGTACAGTGACAACCATATGGGAAGCAACCAATAGAGTAGGTACTTCCATTGAGCAGGTTTCAGGAATAATTTCAGACTTTTGCTCTTCTAATAAAGGAGCTTAAGCAGCTAAGCTTCTGTTATGCAGATAAGAGGGAGTTAAAAGCTGGGTGCAGAGGCTCACGGCTGTAATCCCAGCACTTTGGGAGGATGAGGCGGGTGATCACTTGAGGTCAAGAGTTTGAGACTGGCCTGGCCAACATGGCAAAACCCTGTCTCTACTAAACATACAAAAATTAGCCAGGTGGCCTGCACCTGTAATCCCAGCTACTTGAGAGGCTGAGGCAGGAGAATCACTGGAATCCAGGAGGCAGACATTGCAGTGAGCTGAGATCATGCCACTGCATTCCGGACTGGATGATAGAGTGAGACTGTCTTTTTTTAAAAAAAAAAAAAAAAAAAAAAAAAAAAATAGGTCGGGTGCAGTGGCTCACGCCTGTAATCCCAGCACTTTGGGAGGCCAAGGTGGGCGGATCACCTGAGGTCAGGAGTTCGAGATCAGCCTGACCAACATGACGAAACCCTGTCTCTACTAAAAATACAAAAATTAGCTGGGCATGGTGACAGGCACCTGTAATCCCAGCTATTCGGAAGGCTGAGACAGAAGAATCACTTGAACCCGGGAGGCAGAGGTTGTGAGCCAAAACTGCGCCACTGCACTCCAACCTGGGCAACAGAGCCAGACTCTGACTCAAAAAAAAAAAAACGGAATGAAATGGGATAGTCTCATGCAAAGTTGCCAAGGCAAGTGAAACTCTGTTTCCACACCTGTGGGGGTTTAAATGAGATAATAAATCCTTTTATTTTTAGGGAGTAAAGTGGGATGGCAAAGCGAGTGGAGACCTGGGATCAGGACTGTGCAAAAAACTTCAACTGTATGGGTTCTCACCACTACTGGTCACAGTGAGTGAAACCATTCCAGCACATACAATTCCCAGCCTCCTCCTTTCCACCATACGGAGGTTAGTGCTCAGCCACCCTTTTCCTGTGCTGGGTATATCTTACATGAAAATGCAGCTATTTTCAAAAAGAATAATTTCAACCTGCGAGAGAGTCAATAATTAGAGGTGACACTGCTCAATACTGGTGAATGAGCTTGGAGATGAGAAGGAATGTCTGTTCCCATCTCCTACAGGCATCAACTGTACCCCCATATATCCTAATTTCCTATTGGTTCCTTTGCCCCTAAAATCAGTGGAAAATGGCACTTAGTGAAAGAATGGGTAATACTGACTAATCATTGCTACGTATACTGATTAGCTGGAACCAAAGTGAGGCAGATCAAATTTGTGCCACCATCTAGAGAAGTTCAGAGTGAGCACTCCCTTGATCTTTACAGACAGCCTGTATCACAGGGAAAAACATTCCATAGCCACAAACCACATCCCTCAACAGTTTACTGCTAGGGAAAGCAAATCCCAAGTGCATTTACTATTAGTAGCAGATCGTGTGCATCATTTTCATATATAAATGAGAGCCCCCAGATGAAACAGACTTGAGCAGAGAACATGCTTTATTGAGGAGTAGATATAGAAGAGCACATTCTACCACATGTGGGGAAGGGTTTAGCTTCTGTAAAAGGCCTTTATCCCTTAAGAAAACCCCTAGTGAAGTTGCTTTTTGATAAATTTTAACAGTGACACTGAAACTGGAGGGGAGCTGCCACTGAACATGCTTAAAATTAGCTCCCCCAACCCACAGTGAATATAAGTAGTGTACAGAGATGACAAGAGAAAGGCACAAATGACCGGAGTCAGGGATTGTGGTGAGGGCTCCACATGAAGACAGCATGTTGGAGGAGACCAAGTTGGGAAGGGTGACATGTCATACATCAAAAGTTGCCCCAAGATAGCAGGTTATAATGGGCTAGAGAGAAATTAGAGGGAACATCTCTTCCTTCACTTGAACAACACCAAAAATAGAAGACCAGAGAATAGAAGGATGGTGACAAATCCCAAAAAGGAAATGGAGGAGGAGTTCGTGGAAGGGCAGAAGCACTTTAATCCTAGAGGGAGGGTGAGGCACTGTTGAAAAGAGAAGCAAACTTTGGCAGGGGTGGCCATTCTGCCTTGCTGAGTCATGGGCTGAGATACGGAAGTCACTTTCAATCATTTTCTACTTCTCCCAGGGCACTCAGACAAAATCAGTGCAAGGTATATGGAAGTACAGATGTACTGTATCAGACTAGTGGAGGTGAAAAGGTTTCTGCAGTATAATTAACCAGTTAATATGCAGCATGAAAGGGAAAAGTGGACATTACTTTGGCACCTGCAAACGTAAAAAGTGGGAGTAAAGAGAGAAGGAAATATTTACTAGTGAGTACTTTACGGTGAGGCAAAAAGTAGTATCCGTTCCCTTTCACCAAGACACTGCCCACTGCCCACTGCCCACAGGTGAACTCAAATCAAACCCAGAACCACCACCCCTTCATTCTTCTCTCCATCTCATTCAGATCAATTATATGCTATTACCATGACTAGTCCCTGGGAAACTCTTCAAAAGTATTTGGCTCTGGTTAGCCCAATACAGATCAAAAAGAGGTCTCTTAATCAAAATGAAGAAATTTAAAGCAAGATGGAACCCAAAGTGAATGGACCCCCTGCCAATCCACACACACTCACAAGTGCCACCTTTTCCCTGCCCCTCCATAGAACACACATATAAGGAGTAACTGGAAAGGTCCTGGTGGTGGCAGCCATATTTGGAGGTCTGGTGACCAGGTGGCAAGCACTAGTACCACGCTTAGAAGACACAACACAACCTCATGGGGCGAGAGGACATGAGGAGAGAACCAGTGACTGGACAGGTACAGTACCATAACAGAACTCCTTGGGTCAGTGCTGAGAGACCTGCACTCAAGTCTAATACAGATCCCATCCAGGCAACCTCACTGAGGCCGAAACAACAGTTCCTCAGAACCAGCGTCTGCAGTGTACACAAAGGTCGGAGCCAGGACAGTCCTGAGGGGGATGGCCTTCCCAAAGGATACTGTACTTGCCAATCACAAGAGCAACAGAGAAATGACAGACAGATCCCTAGGGTACGGATTCCTACTGCTGGGGTTCGCTGGCTCGGAATGACAGGTCACTTTAAGTGCCCTTGGGAGGGGTCCATTTTAAGCAGCTGGGATCCATGGTTTTATTGGAGTTGGACCTTTTGGCCTCTTTGGCTATCCACTCATCAATCAGGTCCTGAGGGAGAACAATGGGAAAAAGGATTACATACTTTCAACTCAAGTGCCTTTACATAGATTCCAAAATAACTAACCGCCAAGAAGGAATTGCCAAAGGTTTAACAACATATTAGGGTATCAAAAAAAATACTATATTTTGACTTATAAACTGCTTTCCTATCTAATCCATTCTTCCTACTTTACCCTCAGTGAGAAATGAAAATCATCGCTCACCGACCTTTATTGTATATATGAAATAATTTAAAAAATTAGATGTGAGTTTGAGTTGAGACAGCATTTGTGAAGATTCCTCTACAGATGGGCAATTTCCTCCCACCTAAGAAAAACATCAAATGACAGAAATGCTGTACAACATAAAGCTGCTTAACTGGAGCTGCTTAACTTGTGTCATCCAAATTTGAGACAGGAGCTTATCAAAACCTTCTGATAAGGATAAGGCAACACAGGCATCACTGCCAGCTACAGAAATGAGACCCAGTAAAAGGGGCGTGTAGCCCAACTCCTTTAAGGGAAGGTTCTCCAGTCTTAAGGCCCATACTTTGCTCTGCTAAGTCTTGAAGGACATCCAGCAATGAGCAAGCCCCTGATGAGAACCTTACCTGTCTCTTTAAAACTAGGTGTTTTCCCTTCCAGTATTTGAGCATCTGAAGGGCTTGCAGAGTGCTGACAATGTCCACAGGATTCACAGCCGTCTCCTGACTGATTTCTGAAACAGAAGAAGTACTGACAACCTGGCCAAAGTGCAGGTTCCCACCCCTTTGCCCCCAACCAAGGTCTACTTTCCCTTAAAGGAAATCCAAATGGACAGAATCTTCTGTACTCAACCCAATCTGTTTAGAAGGAGTTTACAAAGTATTCATTTGACCAGTCCAAATAACCACAAAAGGATATTACAGCAAGAAGCTACTCTTGGCCCCTTAGAAATCAGGATCAAATATAGATCAAACTAAATTGTTCCACCCTTGCATAAATACACAGGGATGTCTTTCTCAGAAAGATGAACCAAACGATCTGAAGTTTTGCTTCTTGACTTTTATAAGAATTAAAGTGTTGGCAACTCTGGATTTGAGAAGCCAATTAATAACCATTCCCAGGGGCCAAATGCTTTGGATTCCTAGGCAGCTTTAGTGAGGGTCTCCGCAGTGGTCCATATTCAGTGGGCCTTCCGTTCTCACATTCAGGGGAAACACAATACCCAGTAGAGTTAACTTCTTGGGTAACAATCAACCATTCCAAGGAGTCAAAAACCAACCTTTGATAGAAATCTCTTTGCCTTGAAAATTATGCAGGTAGCGGAGAAGTACTTCTTTCCAGTAACTGCGATAGCTTATAAGCCCCAGATCTGAGAGTGGACGTTCTGGGGAGCCAACTTTTTCTTCGACTTTGGAAAGCAAATAACCTGCCAGGGAACAAATACAGACTTTTTCTAGCAACACTCGATCTTATCCTAATAGCAAAAAACTGTGTGCCAACATGGAAGAAGGTTTAAGAAGCACAGTCCACTCCATTAGGATTTAGTCATTCAATGGAATACTGTGTGGTTAACTATAGTATACTGCCTTTGTATAAACAAAAGGGGAAGAATGTGTATTTGCATTTACATGACACAGGAGTCCCCTCTTATTCACAGGGAATGTGTTCCAAAACTCCCAGTGGAGGCCCAAAACTGTGGGTAGTACCAAATCCTATATATACTATGTATTTTCCTATCAACACATATCTATGCTACAGTTTAACTTATAAATTAAGAACAGGAAGAGAGTAATAGTAAAACAGAACAATTATAACAATATACTGTAATAAAAGTTATGTGAAGGTTGTCTGTCTCTCAAAATATCTTATTGTACTGTACTCACCTATTTTTGGACCGCAGTTGACTACAGGTAATTGAAACTGCAGAAAGTGAAATGGCAGATAAGGAGGGCACTACTGTAATAGGCACTAAAAGAACTCTGGAAGCCTTCACCATTATTTTGATAATGAATCTCTGTAGGTGTGTGTTGGAAACAAGGGAGATGAGAAACAAAAATGTGAAGCCACTTCACTACCTAGTTTTTAAGTATTTTTTAAATCTTTGAATGGTAAGAACAGATTAGCTCAGTACCACCTATGAGATAGTGCGGGGTGTAAAAAACCCAAATGATGAAGCCTCTAGTTGTAAAGTCTAAACACCTAACATTCAATTTATACAAAATATATAAAACAACACTATGGAGATGCAGTGTGCAAAGTTCATAATCTGGGGAACCCTTTTAGACAACTAACCTGCTTTCTTCAACAAAAACACAGCAAGAAAAAAATGATGGGAGTGGAAAGTTTTAGACTAAAAGTGAATTATGAGCCACATTTCTCAATCCCACTATCAATTCTACCTGGATCTGAGTATTAAAAAAATAAAAATAAAAAAAAGAACAAAATCACACCAGGGAAATTTGAATATCACAATTTATGACATGAAGGACTTTTTTTTTTAAGGTGTAATAGACCTTATCTTTTAGAGATACCAAAATAATGGCAAGTGAAAATGTAGGTAAAACAAGATTAGCCCCCCAAAAAACGGTAATTACTGAAGCTGGGTGATGGGTATAGAAGCATTTATTATACTTTTGTTAATGCTTAAAAATTTCTATAAAATCAAGTTTATAAGAACAGTGTTACCTATTCAAAGATATATAGTTCCCCTCTTATGTCACTTCCCAGTTCATCTCTTCTCAGGTGACTTAAAAATGAAAGAAGGTGGCCGGGCAAGGTGGCTCACGCCTGTAATTCCAGCACTCTGGGAGGCTGAGGTGGGCGGATCACCTGAGCTCGGGAGTTCGAGACCAGCCTGACCAACATGGAGAAACTCCGTCTCCACTAAAAAAATACAAAATTAGCTGGGCGTGGTGGCACATGCCTGTAATCCCAGCTACTCGTGAGGCTGAGGCAGTAGAATTGCCTGAACCCGGGAGACGGAGGTTGCAGTGAGCCAACATTGGGCCATTGTGCTCCAGCCTGGGCAACAAGAGCAAAATTCCGTCTCAAAAAAGAAAGAAAGAAAGAAAGAAGGCTTGGAAGGCTAATTCTAGGAATTCCAATTTTGATTACAATATACCCTGTCCTATGACAGTGGACATCAAATATAGAATAACACACAGTAGAGTCTTGTTATTCACAGCAGTTATGTTTTATAAAGTCACTGAGAACCTGAATTAGTGAATATTGAACCACTACTCCTACGGGAAATACAGGGAGGGTTAGGTTCCTGCAAGCCTCTGGTCACATATTGGTCAACCATCAATACATAAACTTATTTTATGTTTCTGTTTAAAAATGCCTTATTTAATATACACTGTTGATATCATTAACATTGAACTCACTGCCAGCAACTCTCTAATTCACCTGAAGAAAGCTACCTAACCCCTGTAAGGTACCCCAGGTATTCCTGAGATTAGGAACACCAGACACATCAGTACTACTCATAGGGGCCATTTAAAATCAACAGAAGGCGAAAACCATGTGGCATTCCCAGACTGAAAATGAACTTGTTTACAGTGTAAGAGCTGAAAACTCTGAAGTCAGCTGGGAATGTGTGCATCCATGACTCTTACTTTTTGCTGCTCTGTGCATGTTCACGAATGACCACAAAAATGTTAAGATTGATTTTGGGGTTACAAATAAAATTTAGTGAGTAAGCAAATTCACAAAGACAGAATCCACAATTAATGAGGGCAGAGTATATTATGCACAGGGTCCATTGGGTACATGGATTACCTCTAGACAAGTCCCTACAAAAGTGAAATCCCTAGCATCAAGGACCAGATTTTAAGCCTCATGCATGTATGTGCTGTTTAAAAGTCTCAAACTGGGATAATCCTAAAGAGCTTACTTTATCATCCTCTGTACCTCCTACTCATTAAGGAGGAGTCCTGTACTCCTTCAATGTTCAATGTGTATTAGGCAGAATGACAATGTTCAGGTTTTTCCTACTTGTTCATTCATTTACTAAATATCCATGTACCTTCACTATATTCCAGGAATTGCAGAGACCACAGGACAAAAAGACAAACAATATTCACATGGTCCCTGCCTTGTGGAACTAATGACTTAGCAGTTTCACTTACTGAAATCAATAAGCATCTTGCCATAGCCCTGTCTCATGTACTGAGGCATAGTAAGGATACAGGAGACGTTGTAGTTGAGGAATGAATTCTTTTCCTAAAATCAAGAGCAAACAGATGAACACGTCATGAGGATTTGAAACCAAAGGTTTCAGCACTTCCACAGATGCAAAATAAGGCTGCTTGCAAAACATCTGGCTAACCAGTCCCAAGGAGTGGCTGCCAGGCTCACAGCTGTTATAACCACACCCTTTATCATGGCCAAAGCCATTAATCATCCCAGGATTTCCCTAGTTGAGACCTCCAGTGTCATTTTAAGGAGGCTGACTCTGGGCTCCTGACAGCCACAGAGTAGGGCAAGAAGTTTAAGACTGCTGACTCAGTATATAGAAGCCCACTTTAAACGCAATTTTTGAAAAGGAGCTGCCTACTGGAAGAGAAGGGAAGGAAACACCACTGTAAGTCCCCATTCTGCAAAGGGATTAAAAAAAAAATCACATTGAATCAAATCAAAATGTGTGATTCCACTTGTAGGAAACGTCCAAAATAGGGAAATTTATAGAGAAAGAAGAACTGAGAGGGATTGAGTAGAAATAGGAGTGATTGCTATCAATTTCTTTTCAGGATAATGCAAACTGGGTTGATTGCACAACTCTGTGAATACACTATAAACCACTAAATTGTACCCTTTCAGTGCGTGAATTTATGGTATATGAATTATATTTCAATAAAGTTGTTATACTAAAAGTCATAAACTTTTATGACTTAGGCCGGGCGCAATGGCTCACACCTGTAATCCTAGCACTTTAGGAGGCTAAGGCGAGTGGATTACTTGAGGTCAGGAGTTCGAGACCAGCCTGGCCAACATGGTAAAACACCATCTCTACTAAAATCACACAAAAAATTAGCTGGGCGTGGTGGCAGGCGCCTGTTATCCCAGCTACTCAGGAGGCTGAGGCAGGAGGGTCACTTGAACCTGGGAGGCAGAGGGTGCAGTGAGTCAAGGTCATACCTCTGTACTCCAGCCTGGGCAACAGAGTGAGACTCTGTCAGAAAAAAAAAAAAAATCTGGCCTTGGGTCTTTAAAAGGCGCAGTAGTGTTATCACTGAAGGCACTGTGCTAGAAGGAGCCCAGCTAAACAATCAGGCAAAAAGAGTATATTCCTGGTTTTAAGCTAATAACATAGAGGCAGGCAAAGCCAGCAGAACTGGTTTGACTACAAGATGTGGGCTTGTGAGTTACTAGGGAGGGCTCTGGCCAGTTATTAATAGGCAGCTCCAGTCCACAATTCTAGAAATGAATGAACCAGAAGCTTTTAATAAAAACTGCATTTTCATTAAACAATCTTTGATACATGGGTTTGCCTTTTTTTTTTTTTTAATTTAAGGAAGGGGTGTCATCATTGCCCAGAGTACAGCTTCTTCCTGTCAGTGATTTGAGCCCCCAACTGCGAACATGGATCACCCTGCTCTGGCCATTGGCTTCTTAATCTCCAGATCCTGCTTACCTTAGAAAAATATCCAATCAGGTGACAGCCAGTGTTGTCCGCCTCTGTCATAACATAGAACAGGAAGGGCTCCACATCATAATATAATGTCTTGTGGTCCAGAAAAAGTTTGGCCAACAGGCACAGGTTTTGGCAGTAGATCTGGAAGCAGAGAAACAGAGTTCATGTGTGGGCCACTGATTCCTAAACAGATAAAGGCCTAAAATTCACAAACATACCATAATTATTAATGAAACACATTGTGTATTTTGGCAAGAGAAGAGTTCTATGTCCTTCACAAGGTGTGATGGAGAAAAAACATATGCCTTCTGAAACCTGTGAATATACAACATTTCAACTCCTTTCTAAAGTCACCACTTTTTACCTTGTTTTTCTTGCCATCCACTTCAAACACAGAGATTGAACCTTTGCGATATATCTCATCACCAGGTGGGTGTTTCCACACACATTTGGCCTGCAAGACAATGAAATTCACATCAGGGAACCAAAGCCTCCCAACAAGACTGCTCCTCAAAAGGGAAAAGGAATGACAGGTCAAATGTGGTTAACTGAGCTACCGGACAGTTGGACAAGCTGAGAACATACAGCAAAACAGAGATTTTATTTCCATAAAACAAAGGCTTCCAAAGTCATTTGAATATATTTATGACACTTTTATAGCAATCTGGAACAAGTATTCTGGATTACATTCTGGCACTACTTTAGCCCAGGAGATTAAAATCACCCACTACATAAAGGCCAAATAAATAACAATACGCTTGCTTATTACCAAATGCCTCAAGCCAACAGGAAATTCTTAAGCAGCTTATTTCCAGCAGCTTAGGGTGGCTAAGTACTTTACTCTCACCTTTACCCATAACTTCTCATTACCACCTAACCATGATGGCCTTCTTTGTTCAGATTAGAAAACCCACTCACAATGATAAAAACCATGTACCACTACCTGTCTGCCCTTCTCCCCTGCAAGTGCATTCCCTTTGTTATATAAGGAAATTAAGAGAAAGTCCTGTGGCAAAAAAAGAAAAAAAAAAAAAAAAAAAAAAGGCAAGCAGCCTAGCTGAGCAGCAGGAAGCTAGGGTCACTTGGCCACAAGGGAGCACAAAGTACCCCCTTTTCCTCACCCTCAAGTGCTTACTGTTTTAATGCAGCCAGCCAGCCAGCCATCTGCTGTTAGGTGAATTCTTCAAAAGGTTTACATTTTAAAATGTTTAAGGCCTGATGCGGTGGCTCACGCCTGTAATCCCAGCACTTTGGGAGGCTGAGGTGGGCAGATCACCTGAGGTCAGGAGTTTGACAGCAGCCTGGCCAACATGGTGAAACCCCGTCTCTACTAAAAATACAAATATTAGCCAGGTGTGGCAGCGGGGGCCTGTAATCCCAGCTACTCTGGAGGCTGAGGCAGAAGAATCCGGGAGGTGGAGGCTGCAGTGAGCCGACATTGCACCACTGCACTCCAGCCTAAGTGACAGAGCGAGACTCTGTCTCAAAAAAAAAAAAGAAAAAAGTGTTTAAAAAGTATAGACGTATAAAAAAAAGTTTTTTTTTTTGAGATAGGGTGTCACTCTGTCACCCAGGCTGAAATAGCACGATCATAGCTCACTGCAGCCTCGAACTCCTGGGCTCAAAAGATCCTCCCATGTAGCTAAGATTATAGGCGCATGGCGCCATGCCTGGTTAGTTAATTTTTCAAAAGGGTTTTGAAGCAACAGAGTCTCACTATTTTGCCCAGGCTGGTCTCAAATTCCTGGCCTCAAGCAATCCTCCCACTTCAGCCTCCCAAAGTGCTGGGATTACAGGTATGAGCCACCGCACCTGGCCCATGAAACACTTTCTATTAAGCAAATTTACTGCAACTCTTTTTGTCAACTCAAGAAGCATGTTCCAATTTGTCATATGTAAATCCAAATATTTATTAACTGGAATCCATCCAAGAAAATTCCATCTGTAGTTTGTTCCTATCTCTACCCCTTTACTCATGCTGGCTCTTCCCAACAATAACCAAACTCATGTAACAATTATTATTTGTTCAGAAACAGAAGCCAAGCCAAAGGAAGATCATTTCATTTCAGTGATCACACCTGAAGCAACGGGAATAAGAACAGGCATGGAATAAATTAGGTATTTCCTGAAATCTGATTTTTATATCATATAATATGGAAGATTTTCAAATATTCAGAATGTTTATTTGATTCTCAGATTTATTCAGACTCTTTGTTTTCTCCTTCTATTACTATTTCTTGCCCTTTTGGCTATTTCATTGGTTTGTGTCACTCAACAACCAGAAACGAAAAGGAAAAAAGGCATAAATGGTAAGCAGTTCACATCAATAAAAATACCCGCTTTCACACAGTAAAACCATTTTACTTTATCTCCACGGCCTGCCATCTGTATCAGTGCCCCACCTTCTGACCCCATTATTTCCTGTGCACTGATATTTCTACCAATCGCCGCCAATCACCTCCCCTCCATGACTCTAGCCCTATGCAGTCAAGTGTGCCAGGGTCTGGAGAACCTGAGTCAAAGCAACAGTTCTGGGCCCTGAACTTACAGACCACATGCTCCTGAACTGGGAACATAAAAAAGCAGTTATCACCAACCAAACTGGGGAGAAGAGTATAATGACAGAAATCACAGGAAACCTGGGTCATAGATGCTCAACATATGGAAATCCTGGGAAATAAAAAAGGAAGGGGAAGGAAAAAGAGACACCCCAGAGGCCTTAGAGCCAAATTATATTGTGATTATGAGAACAAGGGCTGGGCACAGTGGCTCATGCCTGTAATCCCAGCACTTTGGGAAGCTGAGGTGGGTGGATCATGAGGTCAGGAGATCAAGACCATCCTGGTCAATATGGTGAAACCCTGTCTCTACTAAAAATACAAAAATCAGCCAGGTGTGGTGGTGTGCGACTGTAGTCCCAGGTACTCAGGAGGCTGAGGCAGGAGAATCGTTTGAATCTGGGAGGCGGAGGTTGCAGTGAGCCAAGATCGCGCCACTGCACTCCAGCCTGGTCAACAGAGCAAGACTCCCTCTCAAAAAAAAAAAAAACAAGAAAAAGTCTTCTCTGCCTGAAAGGCTAATCTCTACTCCTTCCCCTGTTCCGCACCCTTGCTCCATGGCAGAAATTCCCCTTAAGACAAAGCTTATTCTGTAACAGAGCGGGGGAAAAATGGCTTTTTTTTTGAAGCTGCAAAAAATCTAGTAAACCTATTTGTCAACAATAACAGATTCAACTCCTTATACCTGTTTTATTAGGAAAAAGAGGGGAAGGCACCAAAGGACCCACTCTGCTACTTTCATAATCTGTCACAGGCTGATCACTATTAAATATTAATAAGTACCCATTCAACATATACTTCTTGGGCATCAGTTGTCCACACTAGTTGCTAGGGATATGAAGGTGAGCCATGCTGTCTCTGCTGTGCCTAATGAAGTCTGTATTTTCATCTAGTTTGGGACACACAAAACCTGTGGGCAGAGGTAATTCATATTCCAAGGAGGAAATGAAGAGCAGTAGGCAGCAAGAACAAAAGACAAGAAGATGTACATGACAGGATGTGGGTAAGGGCCCTCAGCTGCTTTGGGTGGCACCCAGCACAAGCCATACCTCAGGCTCTATACCCCGCCTTAAGCTGTGGCCTGTCATTTCCTATGCCTTCATCCCACTGCTGAGGACCACTGAGAAGGTGCCTGAACAGATGCCATCGCTATGGCAAAATCTAGAGATCCTACAGCTTATTGCCATCATGGTCAAGGCAGAGGAACCCAAGACAACTCACCATGTGCCGGCGGAGTATCGTTTGGCTCTTCATATATTTTAAACAGAATTCACACATATAGAGACGTCCCAGCCGTGCATATTCTTCAGGATATGGAGAATGATACCAGGTATCAAGCTCATAGCGGCCAAAAGCAATTGTTTTAATCATGTTGCTTCCCTCTGTGATTTGGCCTTGCAGCCTTAACTTCTCCTATTGCCAAGAAATCAAAAGTCAAAGGAGGATCAGAATTTATTATCTTTGCTTTTAGACAGGGCACAGTGGCTCCTGTAATCCCAACACTTTGGGAGGCTGAGGCAGGCAGGTCACTTAAGGCCAGGAGTTCGAGACCAGCCTGGCCGAAATGGCAAAACCCCATCTCTACTAAAAATACAACAATTAGCAAGGTGTGGTGGCAAACAATTGTAATCCCAGCTACTTGGGAGGCTAAGGCAGAAGAATCGCCCAAGAGGCAGAGGCTGCGGTGAACCGAGATCGCACTACTGCACTCCAGCCTGGGAGACAGAGCGAAACTCCTTTTTAAAAAAATAAATATTATCTTTGTTTTTAAAAGTGTGTGTGCATGCCACCACGCTAGGCTATGAAAAAAATCAGACAGATTTGGCTTCTATCCATGAGAATTTACACTAAAGAGAGCTACATGAAAAATCACACAGGTGTACAGAAAACTTACTACCCATACTGCCCAGAGCACAGGTCTCAAAAGAGAGGTTTCTCTGCTACCTCCCACATTCTGGGCCTCACCAGAATGATACCTTGGAAACTTCATTTTTATCAGCCTAGACCAAACTGAATTATAAAGAAAATCATCACAGATACAAACTCCCCACCCTTATAAAGTATTCTAAAACTAAACAAAAAACTTGATTTAGAATCTGCCTTACTTATCTGCAGAAGCTTTTATAAAGCTATATGAATCTCCGTGAAATATATCCACAATGGTCACTTAGAAAAAAAAACAGGCCCTTTAAAAAATATTTTTGAAATGTGCATGATAATTCTAGAATCTAAACTCTAGAAGGCAGAAAATATTTCTGGGATGGGTGTAGTGGCATGCCTGTAGTCCCAGCTACTCAGGAGGCTGACGTGGGAGAATCGCTTGAGCACTGAAGGTCGAGGCTGCAGTGAGCCATGATGGCACCACTGCACTCCAGTTTGGGCAACAGGGCAAAACCCTGTCTCAGAAAAAAAAAAAATTCGGATATCCATCTCCATTCAGTGGCTCTGAGTTGGCTACAAAAGTATAATTTGTAAGCATAACCAGGTGTAAAGTTGTAAAAGGCTAGCCCAGGAAATGCTCCATGCCAGAATAGGATAGAGAAAACCAGCAGCAGTAACAGCCCATCCCAGCCAAGGGTAGCCAGCAAACCCTGCCTCTGCCAAGTTTTCAACAAGTCTAGTATTTGATACAATTTTTTTTTAATACAAGGGGGAAGGGGGTGAAGACGAGATTCACTTTAAAACTGAGCTTCCCTGAACACATTTAATCTGTTATATCAGAGGTAAACTCAATCACCAGAATTTTCTTCAAGCAAAGTTGTTAAAAATTCTGCCTAGGACAGCAACTCAGTATAAACTAGCTCTAAATAAATATCAGAATGGAAAACCAATGTATCAAACTTGGCTGTGTCAAAGATTAATTCTAAAACATCTGACAACAGCCTTTTCCATTATTCCTCTTCACTGTTATTTTCATTCTTAGTGCAGAGGAAACCTAGCAAAAGGGGAGTTCCTGTTGGGATTAAGAAAACAACAGAGATGAGTCTCTCCTAGGCTACAGGTTCTCAGAATTGCAAATTGCCCAGCTGAGACAAAGGGGCGCCTATGGTTTTATCCAGCCTCATCAGCTCTAGCCAAACTGGTACTTCCGGGAGCCGAGGTGGAAAGCAGGGAATAAAAAAAGGAAGGGAGGAGGGGTGATTCATTTTAAATCTGAAAGGGAAGGCTAGTCTCCAAAAAGGGACAGCTGGGAGACAGGGAAAGAGATTCCAGAAGCAAGGTACATTTAATTCCCATCAAACTGATTTGCAATCATTTTTCCTGGCAACTCTAAGCACCTTTCACAAGCGGCCTTCAGTTTGGAGGTTTTAATACTCACCAAATCCTCTGAAGCCCGGGCTTGTGCTCTTCGGAAAAGATCCAAGTCATACTCGCTTGTCAGGTTTTCTAAAAGAGGTTCCCGTGTGTTCCCATAGGTCTGTCTGTGTTCCTAGGAAAATAACCAGAGCGTGATACTCTGATACTCTCTGCTTCTAAGAACTTTTTAATCTATTTCATTTCAATCCATGCAAACCACACAACCATAAGCTATTTATTTAGTGCCTACATACTAGGTGCTAGGGATTGAGCACAAGACATACTACTTATCAGGTTAATGCCACAAGACTCCCACTACCCACCCCAGTGATTCTGGAGAGGAAATGCTCCCACAGCTCCAGAAGGGAGCTTCATTCTTCTATCTCTGAAAAGATACACTTTGTGGATCAGAACGCTGTTCCTTCATGTAAAAATTTACATGACAGTACAAATAAATAAAGTACAACAAACCCAGAGACACTACAAATTCCCAGAATCCTGAGATTTGGAAGGAGCTTTGGTAGATACTCCCCGATTTAAAAACAAAACAAACAAAAACCAGATTTTCTAAGCCTTAGTGTCTAAGATTTTAGACTCAAAAGAAAATCTGCAGGAAGGGAGGGGCAGGGGCAGCTGGATGAAGCAGTCCTTTGTAACTTCTTTCACTTGAATTGCTCCAGCCACCATTATGCTGTCTGCAAAAGGCGTGCTACCCTCAAACTCCAGTCCACATACACAGAAAAATAGGCTGGACTCTCTAAAAATGACTTACTAAATATTAAGCAAGAATAAGACAGGTGAAAGCCATAGAAAATTAAAAGCATGAGAATAATCCAGTCTTAAATAATTCCCTAATCTTACCATGGCAGTCACTACAAGAATCCTTTCCAGGAAAGAGATTCTACAAAGGAAACTTCCCTTTTAAGCCTTTGATTTCAGCCCTTCCCACTCTGTTGTAGGCTCCACCTCCCATCCAGAGAATAGGAGATAATGGTAGTTAAGTGGAGTGGATGGCTTATCTCAGGAAAACATTATAGATTTCACACACATATTACCATATGAAGAGACCATTCATCAGTATCTTTATCCCTATTAAAATTTCTTCCGGTTAATCTGATTCCATCTGCTGTGAATCTTTTTAAATTTGGACTCTATCATCTAAGATTTGGGTTCTACGCATTAGTTATTTCTTCTATTTTGAGGAACACTGGAAAAAAAAAAGCTTGAAAAAAGTCCTAGCCAGCATTTTAATCAAGGAGGTTGGGTCCTAATAACCTATCCCAAATTACTAAAAAGCAGAGCAGATGTTTGTTAAGGTTAAAAATTTCAAGAACTTTTACTTCAGACACTCTTTCTGCCTGTATGATTTTAGGTAAGTTACCTCTCTCAGTCTTAGTTTTCCTGTATATAAAATATGGGAAATATCACCAATCATACTGGACTGTTAAAAGATCAAAGGAACGTCACAATCACAGTGCCTAGCACTAATCACTCAATATACGGTATCATTGTCTTATTACCCTTCTAACAAGTTTGCAGATGGAAACAGTGAACAAGACTGGGGCAAGCAAACAATCTGGTACCCTATAGCCCACTACTAAAGCCCTCACTGTACAAACCAACACAGTCTGGTGTAAAGGTCTAACTACAAATTCACCCCACAACCCATCTTACATTGGCCTATGTCCATGTATTCATAAAATTAGCATTTAAGACAGTGATGACTGTCAAAAAAGTAAATACAGGCCAGGTGTGCTGGCTCACACCTGTAATCCTAGCACCTTGGGAGGCCGAAGTGGGCAAATCACTTGAGGTCAGGAGTTTGAGACCAGCCTGGGCAACATGGTAAAACCCTGTCTCTACTAAAATTACAAAAATCAGCTGGGTGTGGTGGCCCACACCTATTATTCCAGCTACTCAGGAGGCTGAGGCAGGAGAATTGCTTGAACCCAGAACCCAGGAGGCAGAGGTTGCAGTGAGCTGTGATTGCACCACTGCTGCACTCCAGCCTGGGTGACAGAGTGAGACTCTGTCTCAAAAACTCCGCCTCAAAAAAAAAAAAAAGGAAATACAGTCATCTCTTGATATCCCTGGGGGACCAGTTCCAGGAACGCCCCCACAACCTCCCTGCATATAACAAAATCCATGGATGCTCAAGTCTCGTATGTAAATGATGTCATATTTGCATATAACCTGGGCACATCCAGCAGTATACTTTAAGTCATCTCTAGATTACTTATAATGTGATGTCAATGCCATGTAAATAGCTGTTAACACTACTATTTCAGAAATAATGACAAGAAAAAGTCTGTACACATTCAGTACAAACCACATTTTTTTCCCGGAATATTTCCGATCCGTGGTTGGTTGAATCCACAGGAACAAAATCCATGGATACGAAGGGTCAACTATGCATAGTCTGGCATATTTTTGTCTTAGTGAAGCCATGCTCTGACTAAGTATTCACATGCCCTATGTTTAAGAATCTATCCCAATGGCTGAATAAGAAAACATTCCAATTCTATGAAAAAAACTAAAATGTCAGAAAAAAATCTAAAAGAGCAGCCATAAAAAAGAATGAAATCATGTCCTTTGCAGCGACATGGATGCAACTGGAGGCCATTATCTTAAGCAAATTAACACAAAAACAGAAAACCAAACACAGCATGTTCTCACTTATAAGTGGGAGCTAACCACTGGGTACAGAGGGACACAAAGAAGGGAACAATAAACACTGAGGATTCCAAGAGTGGGGAGGCGGACAAGGGTTGAAAAACTACCTATCACTATGTTCACTACTTGGGTGACAGGATAAGATCATTAGAAGCCTAAATCTGAGCATCACACAATAGATCTATGTAACAAACCTGCACATGTACACCCTTATCTAAAATTTAAAATAAATAAATTTAAAAAAAAAAAAAAAAAAAAAAAAGGCTGGGTGCAGTGGCTCATGCCTATAATCCCAGCACTTCGGGAGGCCGAGGCGGGTGGATCACGAGGTCAGGAGTTCAAGACCAGCCTGGCCAACATGGTGAAACCCCATCTCTACTAAAAATACAAAAATTAGCCGGGTGTGGTGGTGGGCGCCTGTAATCCCAGCTACTTGGGAGGCTGAGGCAGAGAACTGCTTGAACCCAGGAGGCAGAGGTTACAGTGAGCCAAGATCGCACCACTGCACTCCAGCCTCCAGCCTTCAGCCTTGGTGACAGAGCAAGACTCTGTCTCAAAAAGAAAGAAAAAGAAAAAGACTGTGAAAGAACACACATCAAAATGTTAAGCAGTGGTTTGTATCTTGAAGGACAATTTTTTTTTATTGGAATGTTTCTTCTCTATATTTTTGGTATTTTCAGTAGTAAGCATGTATTAATACATTTATAATAAAATCTTTTCCTAAAAAAAGATGTTTAAGGCCGGGCATGGTGGCTCACGCCTGTAATCCCAACACTTTGGGAGGCCGAGGTGGGCAGATTACCTGAGGTCAGGAGTTCGAGACCAGCCTGGCCAACATGGTAAAACCCCGTCTCTACTAAAAATACACAAATTAGCTGGGCGTGGTGGCACATGTCTGTAATCCTAGCTACTCGGGAGGCTGAGGCGGGAGAATTACTTGAGCCCAGGAGGCAGAGGTTGTAGTGAGCCGAGATTGTGCCACTGCACTCCAGCCTGGCCGACTGTCTCAAAAAAAAAAAAAAAAAAAAGATTTTTAAGCGAAAACACAGAATTCAAAGTGCTACATACAGTAAGAAGGTAATTATGTAAATAAGAGATTGTGAAAAAGCTAGGATATATCCAAAAACACTAACTGTGGCTATTTTTAGGTAGTAGGATTTGTTTTCTTCCATATACTTTGCTTAATCACTCTAAATTCTCTTACAAATGTACATTACTTCTAAAGTTAGAAAAAAATGTTAAAATACTACAAGAAGGTCTATTACAGAATATTCACCCAATTAATACCTTTTAATCATGGAGGAAATCTATTTTTCCATTAAAATAAGCAGACTACTATTAAGCTTGAATATTTTTCTTCATACAGACATTTCCAGTGCCATGGCATGTGTTCTAGCGGGTAAATTTAACCCTTTAAGATGAAAGTAAAATTTATGAACAACTAGAGGATCAAATTTTTTAAAATTTAAATTCTAATTGTATTTCATTTTCCCAAGACCTCCTGTTTCCACTCTCAACAATTCAGTTTTGGGGGATGAAATAAACTCTAAGTGCCATAGAAGAGTCAATTGGTATTCACATGTGGAGAATACTAAATGGCAAATCTGAAAGGCAGAAGCTCAGAAAGCAAAAGGAATCAAATGTGATAGCAGGAGTTCATGCTCATTAAATATTTAACTTTCCCTCACCATATATTTCTCTTTCTGTTCTTTGCTCAGTCCAGAATTTCTTTTCTTCCTGAGTTCAGCCACTTTTTCCTTATATCGAAGCTGTCTCTCCGTTGGTGCCTAAAAGGAAAAAGGAGAAAACTGAGAGAAAACTCCTTATAAAGCTAAGCTTCAAAATGAAAGTGCCAAGGCCCGGCACAGTAGCTCACGCCTGTAATCTCAGCACTTTGGGAGGCCAAGGCAGGCAGACCACCTGAGATCAGGAGTTCAAGACCAGCCTGGACAACATGGTGAATCCTCATCTCTATTAAAAATACAAAAATTAGCCAGGCATGGTGGTGCACGCCTGTAATCCCAGCTACTCGGGAGGCTGAGGTGGGAGAATCACCTGAACCTGGGAGGCAGAGGTTGCAGTGAGCCAGTCATGCCACTGCACTCCAGCCTGGGAGACAGAGCGAGACTCTGGCACAAAAACAAAAAAAAAAAAGAAGGTACCAAAACATGTAAAAAAATTTTAAAGAGAAAAAAATGCCAGAAATTTTCTAGCCACAATGCAAATCATATGGCAATTTTATTTTATTCATTTGTATTATTTTTGAGGCAGGGTCTCGCTCTGTCACCTAGGCTGAAATGCAGCGGCACGATCGCGGCTCACTGCAACCTCTACCTCCTGTGCTCAAGCCATCCTCCTGCCTCAGTCTTCCATGTAACTGGGACTACAGGTGTACACCACCACGCCCAGCTAAATTTTTCATGAATATGGCAATTTAAAAATTCCAAATCAGGTTCTCATCACCCACCACCTTTACTGCCAGTTAAATATAGGTTCAGGAATACAAACTTATTTTACTACTAACATAAACTAAGGATAGACGTCTCCACCAAAGCAACAAGAATAAAATTAAGATCATTTCAACTAATCATTTATAGAATGCTTACTGTTTTCCAATTAATGCTTATTGATCTGATCAACAGTGGTACAAAAATTCATTTATATGTATTAATTTAAATAGAAAAACTGAATAAGAATAAAACCCAAGGTTGGGCACCGTGGCTCATGCTTATAATCCCAGCACTTTGGGAGGCCAAGGCAGGTGGATTACTGGAGGTCAGGAGTTTAAGACCAGCCTGGCCAACATGGTGAAACCCTGTCTCTACTAAAAATACAAAAATTAGCTGGGCGTGGTGGCGTGCCCCTGTAATCCCAGCTACTTGGGAGACTGAGGCAAGAGAATCACTTGAACCTGGGAGATGGAGGTTGCAGTGAGCTGAGATCACACCACTGCACTCCAGCCGGGGCAAAAAGAGTGAAACTCTGTCTAAAAAATAAATAAATTAAATTAAATTAAACCTAAGATAGACAACGAAGAAAAGTGTAGTTACCACTTATGGAGTGCTTTTTACCTGCCAAGCACTGGGTATAGGTACTTTACATACATAATTTAGCTGACTCCCCTGCCAGGTAGGCATTATTCACCTCTTCTTATTAACAAAGAAATAGGTTAGTTGACCTGCCCGGGACAACATAGCTAGAGTTAAATAATCAGTATTCAAATTCACATCTGTTTGGCTCCAAAGTCAAACTTCTTCCTCATCACCATATATCTCTGCTATCCAACTATAATCTAACTGCAAAAACAGACACCTAAATGATGAACAAAATATAATATGTCACAAAGGCTAACATTTTGAGAGCACTACAATGGGAATACATAAGGAAGAAATTCCTTAACGGTGGGAGAGAATTTGGGAAAAATTCCTCCAACAGCTGAGAACTGCACGGGCCTTGAAAGAAAATACCATCTGTTCTTGGTACAGGTATAGCGTTCCAGGCAGGAAAACAGGAAGAGTGAAGACCAAAGGCATTTAGGGAAGAACAAGGAAGTAAGTGAACCAATGTGGCAGGAATGTTCAGAGAGGCAGGAGGAGGTTTAGGACCAAGCCAGGATGCTCCCTACAAACCAAGGGAAGAGATAAGTAGAAGACAAATAACACAGTCAGCAAGTGTCAAATGCTGGGGAAAAGTCACTGGTGGCCTTGGAAAGGTGCTAGCAGAGTGGAGAGGTTTGAAAGCTACAATAGTCTTAAAGGATGCGAAGTGAGGAAATGAAGCAGCAAGTGTAATCTTTCAAATAATCAGAATTATCTACTACTACTACTGCTACTACTATTACTACTACTGTAGATAGCATGATTCCTTCATTCATGAGGTAGAAGTGTTTGTTTTATGAAAATTTACTGTTTGAAAAACAAACATGATTCTAAGTTTACATCTGGAAGATATACCACAGGAAATGAGGCACAGACATGCCTGAAGACAATTATAGAGGAGATCCAAGAAACGGACCTCAAACTATGAATGGCCAGTGCTTTAACAAGGCCCATACCTGGTGCCTGGTTGCATGCCTGTTGTTGTCATCTTGCCTGTGAGACAGCATCCTTTCTTCTATCTGCTTATCCCGGCTCTGTGCTCTCACCTGCAACCATCAACAACGTCAATAAATCCACCTGCTTCTAAGACTACGTTTACTTAAAGCATAAGAATACAATGATAATGCCTTGGATTTATGTTGTACTTTACTTTCAAAGGGTCTTCACACTTATTGTCACAATCTCTACAAGAAAGAGATAATGCAAGATTCACATTCTGCCTTCTCAGCCAATAACAGGATCAGAGAAGTTGAAATGATCCAGCTAAATGATGGGATCACTAAGGTTTTAATCATGTCTGATGACTCTGAGCCTGGACTCTTCTCAAAGTACAATAAATAAATTAAAAAAGCATGAGGAAGTGCAAGAATAGAGTATGGAAGTACAAAGAAAACATTAGAAAACCTGGGTTTGGGCTGGGTGTGGTGCCTCACGCCTGTAATCCCAGCACTTTGGGAGGCTGAGGCGGGCAGATTAGCTAAGGTCAGGAGTTTGAGACCAGCCTGGCCAACATGGTGAAACCCCGTCTCTATTAAAAATACAAAAAATTAGCCAGGCATGGTGGCAGGCGCCTGTGATCCCCGCTACTCGGGAGGCTGAGGCAGGAGAACTGCTTGAACCCGGGAGGTAGAAGTTGCAGTGAGCCGAGATCGCACCACTGCACTCCAGCCTGGACAACAGAGTGAGACTCTGTCTTAAAAAAAAAAAAAAAGAAAGAAAGAAAGAAAGAAAGAAAACCTGGGCTTGGCCACATGCAGTGCCTTATATCTGTAATCCCAGCACTTTGGGAAGCCAAGGTGGGCAGATCACTTGAGGCCAGGAGTTCAAGACCAGCCTGGGCAACATGGTGAAACCCCGTCTTTACTAAAAATACAAAAACTAGCCAGGCGTGGTGGCGCACACCTGTAATCCCAGCTACTTGAGGCTGAGGCATGAGAATTGCTTGAATCTAGGAGGCTGAGACTGCAGTGAGCTGAGATTGCACCAATGCACTCCAGCCTGGGTGACAGAGCGAGACTGTCTCAAAAAAAAAAAAAAAAAAAAAGAAAACCTGGGTTCAAGTCTCCAGGGAAACTTAATTCTGTAGTTACATGACCTCAGACAAATCACATCAGCTCTCAACAGTTTCTGTTTCATAATCTGGGAATTGGGAACTGATATCCAACTGCTTATTCCACTTCACCACTAAAACTCAGAATGGTCAAAACAGAACGACTGGCATTTCTCCACAAATCTGCTCTACCCCAAATCTTCCCAGTATTAATAAATGGCAATACTGTCTAAATAGCTGATCCAGTCAACAACTTGAATGTTATCCTAGATTCTTCTCTTTTCTCACACCTCACATCAAATCAATCAGCAAGCCTAACGGGTTGCTCCCCTCTAAAACGTATCCTGAATCCAACCTAGTCTTAGAATTGCTGCCGATACAAAGCTAGTCCAGTCCACCAACTACTGCCTGAACTTCCATGCAGTTTCCCAAGCACCCTATACCCTGCATCAACTCTTGCCCCCACACTCCATTCTCCACGTTAACAAGTCTTCAGTTTTCAAAAGCGTGCCTGAAATCCTGTCATGCCTTTGTTAAAGCCCCCCAAATGCTTCTCATTCTATCAGAACAAAAATATACTCCTGTGCCAAGGTCCACAAGGTCCTTTATGATCTGGATCCAGCCATACACGGCCTACTTTCATTCAGCCTCTCAAACCCATCAGTTTAGCCGCGCCTCATGGCCTCTGCACTTGCTGTTGCTTCTACTTAAGATATCTTTTCTTCTAGATCTTTACACAACTGCTTCTTTGCCATCATTCACGTCCCAGATCAAATGCCATCTCCTCAGGAATGTCTTCCAGGACCATCCTGGGAAAAGCAGTGCTATCCCTACCCTCACCCCCGAAACAGACTCTCTCTATATCATTCGTCTTTTTTTCCTCACAATATTTATCACTACACAAAATTATTTACTTATTAATTTGAAGGTTTATGTTGCCTCCCCCTGTGAGAACATGAGCTCCTTAAATGCAGTCTTTTATTCACTGAATCCTCAGATACCTGTATTTGGCACATGCAGCTACAGAAATATATGACTGAATACAAATGTAACATCACTGATCGCAAGGGTGTCCTGGGAAACTCAAGAGCAATCATGTATATGCAGGTTCTTCAAAAACACTAGAGCTGTTAATAAATGTGGGGAATTTGTCTAATCTTTCCACTTAGGGTTCTAAATGTAATAAAAATATATCATCTCAGAAATTCTCCTGATCCTCCATGCACATGTTCCAGTAGTAAAGATGGATTATTCTGCGCCTAATGCCCCTTGCAAAGAAGAGAGAACAAAGAGGATAAATTCAAGATAGAAATGTTTTCCTTTGGTCAGAATTTTCTTCACCAAACTGAAATTTTTCTTTTTCTAAAATAAACTGCTTAACGTTACATGGTCATATTGCTACAAACTAACAATTTCAAAAGCAAAAGACATCTCAGGAAGATTTTTATGTAAAACCATCCATAGTATCAGATCATTGTATTTAGAGACAAGTGGTAGAGGACAACTCTCAAAAAGCAGGGATCGCAGTTATTTTCTGAGAAAGAAGTACCTGAAGCCTTTCCTGCTTCTGACATAGATGTGGGCACAGCTTTTTCTGTTTTGATTTAGTCCCAGAATAATGGGAGGACAATGGGAAGATCTACAACTCACTTTTACACAGAGCAGAAGGAATTGCCACTTATAAAATGATTTGGAATGAAGAAAAATAAGAGTAGGGTCATTGACCTTAAAATCCATATAAGCACGGAAAGTACACTACTTTGCTGAAAGACTAACCACACAAAAGAAACTTTCACCCCTGCGGTCTACCTGTAAATAAGAGAACAAATTCTGAATCAAGGAAAATTAATGTTAGCTAGGGAATCTAATTTTCCTCACAATGAAATTGGCTCAGACAGGAATAAACCTGTGACCCTGGTGTCACTAGCAAAGTAACAACAAAAACAACAATAATACTTTGGTCTAACCAGCTTAGATAACCTGTCCAATACTACTCAAGCAATCCATTTAATTAATAACATTTTCCACTCTTGCTTCCCCATAATTAGATCTTCGGTTCCATCCTTGGGAACAGCAACCCACACAAGAACGCACAAATGGGATCTGAGCTTCTACTTAAATACATTATCTCAAAATCCCAAAGGTTATTTAGGAGCTAGGTTTCAAGAATTTAAAAGATGAATTAGCCAAAAGTAGGTGTGACTGAGAGTAACAAAAAGTATTTCACAGAAATGGACAGAAAAAGGAACAAGAATTATGAAAGGTTTTTAAAAGCAAAATGACTTCATAGATTTATGAGAAGAGAACCGAATGCATAAATATTAAGATCACATATTTATGCAAGTTATTCCTTAGTGCAATAAGTCCCTAGCAGTCTTCGAAGCCAATTTTCAACAGAAAATATCAATGCACTAGTGGCTGATGTTCCAAACGTTTCATAATCTCCTTGTTAACTTCTCTCAAAGCACTCATTACATATTACAATTCTTTTGTCTGTTTAACTAGTTTTTTCTAAAAAAGCACATTGTTTTTTATGTTTCCTCCACTACAATGTAAGAACAAGGACCCTACCCATCTTGTTGGCCACTGTATCCCCAGTGTTCAGCAAAGTGCCTGGCAAACGGTAAGCACTCAATAAGCATGTGTTGAATAAATGAGAGCACAATTACCTTGCATTCGTCAGCTGAGAGGTTATGATACAGTGGGCATCCTGAGATGGAGAAATGTCTCTCATGTTTTCCTGTAAGGTGTCCTGTTAAAGGAGGGAAAACTTAATCTCAAGAAAGAAGACAAGCTTAGAAAGTAGTATGTTTCTCTAAGACAAACCTGTTTTTTTGCTACATCATTTTTATCAAATATATGTCTGATCAGACTGAATCCACCAAACATAAGGCTGGTAGGGCTATAACTTACACTCATTCTTTTCTTCCACAGGATGGATCTGGCAGTCTTTGAACATGCTTATGTATGATCAATATAAACTATAATTCTTTCTGCTCTTAGACTTCTCAAATCTCAAAATGTCACGAAGTCAACATTTGTAATTAAAGCCCAAGACTATGAACAGGAACACTTTCTTTTGGTGGAATGTAACTCTCCTATACTAAATTAATCAGGTTATATGTAGAATAAGTGTACTTTTCTTTCTACTGTGCAATGTTATCCAACCTGAATTTAACCCCTTTCAATACTCAAATTTATGAAAAATGGAGAAGCGGCCTTTTCTATCATATAAGTAAACATACTTACATAACTTTAAACCAGATTAAATACTTATTTTTTGGAGGGAGAACTGAGTTTTGCTTAAAGATTTAGGATTCTTCTATAATCAGATTTTTTTACTTTAAAAAATTTTTTTATGTCACCTAGGCTGGAATGCAGTGGTGCAACCATGGCTCAAAGCAGCCTTGAACTCCTGGGCTCAAGTGATCCTCCCACTTCAGCCTCCCAAGTAGCTGGGACTACAGGCTCACAACATCACGCTGGGCCCATTTTAAAATTTTTTGTAGAAACGGGTCTCAGTGTTGCCCAGGCTGGTCTTGAACTCCTGGACTCAAGCAATCTTCCTGCCTCCGCCTCCCAAAGTGCTAGGATTACAGGCATGAGCCACGCCTGAAACAGGCAGTAACACAAGGCCTTCTGAAGACGTAAAAATGTTAGGAATAACAAAACACGAAAGCTTGTTTTATTTAAATGGGTATCTCTTCATTCATGTATTTTTCTTTTTTTTTTTTTTGAGACGGAGTCTCGCTCTGTTGCCCAGACTGGAGTGCAGTGATGCGATCTCGGCTCACTGCAAGTTCCGCCTCCTGGGTTCACGCCATTCTCCCGCCTCAGCCTCCTGAGTAGCTGGGACTACAGGCGCCTGCCGCCACGCCCGGCTAATTTTTTGTATTTTTAGTAGAGATGGGGTTTCACCATGTTAGCCAGGATGGTCTCGATCTCCTGACCTCGTGATCTGCCCGCCTCAGCCTCCCAAAGTGCTGGGATTACAGGCGTGAGCCACCGCGCCCGGCCCATTCATCTATTTTTCATTTGGTTTTTTTGAAAACACACAGGGAATTGAACATTATTTCCTTTTTATATATTTCTCTTCAACCAAAAGGTTTATAAAACACCTAAGATTGAAAGGGGTCATAGGACAATGCTAATGAGATAAAAAGTTAGCTAACCTGAATAGCAAGTCTACAAAAATCTTCATCTTTCATAAAAAAAAAAAAAAAAGACATTTAATTTGGGGTAAAGAAGAAAGTGGAGTTTAAAGCTTACACAACATAATTTATAGAATAAACTTTAAAAGGAAAAAACAGTCCAAGTACTGGTGAATGGGTGATTTTAGGACATTCAGGCCATCATTTCTCCGGGACTGTATTATTAAAAATGCAATTTTAGGCCGGGCGCAGTGGCTCACACTTGTAATCACAGCACTTTGGGAGGGCGAGGCAGGCGGATCACGAGGTCAGGAGATCGAGACCATTCTGGCTAACACGGTGAAACCCCGTCTCTACTAAAAATACAAAAAATTAGCCGGGTGTGGTGGCGGGTGCCTGTAGTCCCAGCTACTCGGGAGGCTGAGGCAGGAGAATGGTGTGAACCCGGGAGGCGGAGCTTGCGGTGAGCCGAGATTGCACCACTGCACTCCTGCCTGGGTGACAAAGCGAGACTCCATCTCAAAAAAATAAAATAAAATAAATAAATTTTAAAAATGCAATTTTAGGGCCAGGCACGGTGGCTCACACCTGTAATCCTAGCACTTTGGGAGGCCGAGGCAGGTAGATCACCTGAGGTCAGCCTGGCCAACATGGTGAGACTCCATCTCTACTTAAAAAAATATAAAAATTAGACCAGCATGGTGATGCATGCCTGTAATCCCAGCTACTCAGGAGGCTGAGGCAGGCAAATCGCTTGAACCTGGGAGGCAGAGGCTATAGTGAGCCAAGATCACATCATTGCACTCCAGCCTGGGCAACAGAGCAAGATTCCGTCTCAGAAAAAAAAAAAATGCAATTTTAGAGGTCCGCAAAATTATCTTGAACACGAAAAACCATCCTCACTGATCAAATACCATACATACAATGTAGCATCAGCTGGGCTCAGTGGCTCACACCTGTAATCCCAGCACTTTGGGAGGCCAACACAGGAGGACTATGTGATTCCAAGAGCTTGAGGCCAGCCTGGGTGACATACATAGTGAGACTCCATTTCTACAAAAAGAAAAATAATTAGCCAGGCACGGTAGTCCATGCCCGTAGTCCTGGCTACTCAGAAGGCTGAGGTGCCAGGATCACTTAAGCCCAGGAAGTCAAGGCTGCAGTGAGTCATGGTCACACCACCATACTCCAGCCTAGGTGACAGAGAGACCCTGTCTCAAAAAAAGTAATGTCATTAATACTGCAAGACTTGCTTTTCAGATACTATGTATCCATACGTCTTTTTTTTTTTTTTGAGATGGAGTTTCACTCCTTTTGTTGCCCAGGCTGGAGTGCAATGGCCAATCTCAGCTCACTGCAACCACCACCTCCCAAGGTTCAAGCAATTCTCCTGCCTCAGCCTCCCCAGTAGCTGGGATTACAAGCGCCGCCACCACGCCTGGCTAATTTTGTATTTTTAATAGAGATGGGGTTTCACCATCTTGGCCAGGTTGGTCTCGAATTCCTGACCTCAGGTGATCTGCCCACCTCGGCCTCCCAAAGTACTGGGATTACATGCATGAGCCACCGCACCCAGGCATATCCATACTTCTTAGTAATTTATTCAGGGCATGTTTTCTTTTATATGTTAAATAAAACCAATCTATTATCTACAGTAAAAAAGGAACAGCTGATCTATTGACCTAAAAATTCCACTGCTCTGAATTTATCCTACAGATTTGCTAGAAAGACACCAAAATATGTACATACAAGGCTACCCATTACAATATTGTTCAAAAAAGCTAAAAATGAGAAACAATCTAAATGTCAATGAGACAATTTAAATAATTTATAAACTATCAATATAATGAAATTCTCTGTATCTTTTAAAAAGACAAGCCTCTAAATACAAATATCCAAGATGTACAACGAACAAATGTATCCTATTTTCCGTTTTATGAATAATCACAAAAAGGAAATATGTGTACATATACGTGTGCTTATATATGTAGAAAAACTTCTTGGAAGCATTCATAGAAAACTGCAAACAGAAGTTTTGTATCTGTGGCACAGTTCTGCGGGTATGAGTTAAGGGCAATTTTTACTTAATGCACTTCAAACTTTCCTATAGAGTTTTAATTTTTCACAAGTACATAAAACTCTTAAGGAATAGACTAGGGTCAAGAATATTTTGGGGCCCGGTGCAGTGGCTCACGCCTGTAATCCCAACACTTTGGGAGGCTGAGGTGGGAGGGTCACTTGAGCCCAGGAGTTCAAGACCAGCCTGGGCAACATGGTGAAACCCTGTCTCTACAATAAATACAAATATTAGCTGAGCATGGTGGCATGTGCCTGTAGTCCCAGCTACTTGGGAGGCTGAGGTTGGAGGATCAATTAAGCCTGGGAGGTGGAGGTTGCAGTGAGCTGAGATTGCACCACTGCACTCCAGCCTAGGTGACAGAGTGAGACTCTGCCTCAAAAAAAAAGGATACTTTGGAAGCTCGGGTTCATATTTTTCAAAGTTCCAATACATTAAAACCAAAGTCAAAGTAAACTTTTTCACTTGAGCCCAAGAGTTTGAGACCAGCCTAGCCAACATGACAAAGCCCTGTCTCTACTAAAAAATACAAAAATTAGCCAGGCGTGGTGGCACATGCCTGTAATCCCCAGCTACTCAGGCAGCTGACGCATGAGAATCACTTGAGCCCGGGAGGCGGAAGTTGCAGTGAGTGACCACGCCACTGTACTCCAGCCTGGTAATTATAGAGTGAGACTCTGTCTCCAAAATAAATAAATAAACAAATACAAGTAAACTTTCCTCTAATACAACATATTTTTTATTTACCCTATGGTCTACCCCATTAAGAGGTTAACTCCTGGGCATAAATAACACAATCAGGCCCCATTCTGACCTATCTCCTCCTCTCCGTTCTGGTCATTCTGCCCCAGGTATATTGGCCTCTAAGTGTTCCTCAAACTGGTTAACTATTCTCTTGCCCAGAGCACTTGCTGTTCTCCTTACCCATAATGCTTATTCTCAAATATTCCAACAGCAAGTCTCCGCTCAAATGTGACCATATCACAGCAGCTTTTCCTAGCCAACTACATATATATGTCACATATACATACACATATGTATGTATATACACACACAATATCCTACCCTCAGTACTCCCAGTTTCATTTTCCTTCACAGCATTTATCTCCAGTTGATATATTACACGTCTATCTATTTGCCTTTCTCAGCTAGACTATAAGCTCCATGAGGGCAGAGACTTTGACTTGTTCATAGCTACATCCTCATAACTTAAAACAGTATCTGGCACATGACCAATATTCAGTAAATATTTGCTGCATGAATGACCAAATATAGTACATAAAATTAACAATTTAGCAATGCATGGTTAGTAACAAGCAGAAGCAGAGGAAAATTCCTTTTCTTGATGCATGGCAAGCAGATCCCCTTAAACTCTTAAAGCACATTAGCCATCATATCATCTACTAGTGTAATATATTGTCTTTCTTAGTTTTTCTCATTATTTATTCCAAGGAAATCAATGCAGGCCTGAAACAATTATCTTCGAGTGACAACTGGTATGGAGTTCAAGACAACTTTGCTGTATTTATTCCGATGGTTTGAAATTATCTGAGAAACTGCTGTAAGACCAGGAAATGGCCAGGCGTGGTGGCTCATGCCTGTAATCCCAGCACTTTGGGAGGCCAAGGCGGGCGGATCACGAGGTCAGGAGATCGAGACCATCCTGGCTAACACGGTGAATCCCCATCTCTACTAAAAATATAAAAAATTAGCCGGGCATGGTGGCAGGCGCCTGTAGTCCCAGCTACTCGAGAGGCTGAGGCAGGAGAATGGTGTGAACCCGGGAGGCGGAGCTTGCAGTGAGCCGAGATCGCGCCACTGCACTCCAGCCTGGGGGACAGAGCGAGACTCAGTCTCAAAAAAAAAAAAAAAAAAAGGCCAGGAAACAATCCAAATTAATTAAACACTACAGAAAACCACTGGGCATGGTGGCTCACGCTTGTAGTCCCAGCTACTCAGCAGGCTGAGTGGGGAGGATTGCTTGAGCCCAGGAGTTGAAGACCAACCTGAACAACACAGCAAAAACCTCATTACTAAAAAACAAGAAAAAAAAAAAAAAGCCAAGCTTGAAAGCCACGTGCCTGTAGTCCCAGCTACTTGGGAGGCTGAGATGGGAGGATCACTTAAGCCTAGGAGTTAAGGCTGCAGTGAGCTATGATCATGCCACTGCACCTCTGCCTGGGCAATAAAGTGAGACCCCTGTCTCTCTATAAAAACAAACAAAAGGCTCATGCCTGTAATCCCAGCACTCTGGGAGGCCAAGGCGTGCAGATCATGAGGTCAGGAGTTCGAGACCAGCCTGACCAACATGGCGAAACCCCATCTCTACTAAAAATACAAAAGTTAGGTGTGGTTGTGGGCATCTGTAATCCCAACTACTCAGGAGGTTGAAGCAGGAGAATCGCTTGAACCTGGGAGGCGGAGGTTGCAGTGAGCCGAGATCACACCACTGCACTCCAGCCTGGGCAATAGAGCAAGACTCCATCTCAAAAACAAACAAACAAACAAAACACACTACAGGAAGTGTACTGTTGGCCTGCCAAGCAGCAATTTACTCTGTTCTACGGTTTTTCAAACTTGATAGCCACATGCAAAGGGTGAATTTGAGAAGTAGACCCAGTAGTGAAAGGCCCCTTACCTCCCAATCAGCATCTTCCAACTCTAGACAAAACCTTAAGCCCAATATTTGCACCTCAGCTCACTGAAGGTGCACAAATAAGGTTCAAACCACAAGAATCTCTAAAGTAATTCACTAAGGGGTAAAACTCATAAGAATATAATAAGATACTTATTTATCACAGAAGAAATATTTTATCTTGTTCATACTTACTAAGTACACAAAGCAAGGAACCTAAGCTACTAAAGTTACAGAAGGCCAGGGTCTCATGTGTACTCCTAATTTCACAGCCTCTTGACAGGAAATGTTTTTCTCATTTCCTTAACAGCTATGGCCGTGCAACCACTATTCTGCACTACCTTATCCTTAACTAGTCCTCACTGAGTACGAGCTATGTGCCATGCAGTAAGATATCTGCAGATAGTCTTTTTTGCTTTTGCTAGGAAAATGAGGGAATTTTTCACTGGGAAAAGCTCTAGGATAAACTGAATGGCTCATCATAGTTAATTTCCTTACAACCAGATCTATTATTATGGACCATCGGCCAAGAAGATAAATGCTTTTATTCAAGTGAGCAACTCATTATCACTCAGCACATGACCACTGAAGAGCCTAAGAAGCTAAATCCCAACAGAACACAAAACATTTCTGGATGATCCTGGGAGAGAGAACCACAGAACAAAGGATGTCATGAAGCTAGGGCACACTGACCTAGAGAGTTACAGCCTGGTGTAGGACACTTCATATTGAAGTTGTAGCTTTCATGGAAGCGACGGCGCTTGGGGCGATGAGAGAGATCACTGCCTGAGTCCTTCAGGGACATGTCCTTGGCAATGCTCTCATCGTGAGATACATTGGGGCTGGAGATGTCTATGTCAGACTCAGAAGAAGGCGCATTTCCAGTTGGAGTTCGAGGCGGTGACTCATCATGATCAGCTGTATTTTTAGTTTCTAAAGCAAAAGCAATTGGTAGAAGTTATGAGTGGAGTTCATTTATTTAGAAGTTTACTATTCAGAGTTTATGGGCTTCCCAGGTTCTTTTTCTATGATTTAACCAGTAACTTTCAGCTATTCATCTGCTAGATGGCTAAATGGAAAATGAAGAGGCACTTCTACACCATCCATTTTGTGCAACTTTAAATTCTGATTAAAATTAAATTTGTACTTCATCTATTACACCTATCTGTATTTCTCCTGAGTTGCTAATCATGGATAATCAAAACTAGATGGAAATACGTTTTTAAAACATTACTATCCCACTTCCCTTCCAGGAGATACACAGGACAGAAGATAAGTGACAGTGATTATCTTTCTGGATGACACTGAACAGGCTTGGTGTAAGATGTGAATGGACTTAGAGTCTTGAGTGAGCCTGTTTGTAGTCTAACAATTCAATCTTGAAATTCCAGACTCTAAATCAGGAATTGCAAACCAAATGCCTACAGGGGCTCAGCAAGGCCAAAGAGACAGCTCATTGTCCATCTAAAGGGGACAACTACTATTCAACTCCAGCCAATTATTACTATGGGTGATTGGCCGCCCAGTGTTCCCAGATCTTTTCATTGTTTAAAATAAACTATTAATCCAGGTTTTTATATGAAATCATTGTGTTTTCAAATACTAGCAACAAATTTAAAAAATTTTAAACACTGTGCAAGCAAACCAACCAACCATGCGGACAGCTAGAAGTAGTTCACCAGTCTGTGACCTCTGCATTAAGAAATTTGGAGATAAATGGACTGAGAAGTATGGCTATAAGAAAAGTCTGCTTCAAGCCCTTTTCAAATGTGGTTAAGAAGGGCCCAGTCTCTTTTTCCTATTACAGGTACGATTTAATATACTCCAGCTACTCTGGACCTTGAGAATATTCTGATATCAAACTGTCCTCAGCAATGTATAAGAAAGGAGGCTGGGCATGGTGGCTTATACCTGTAATCCCAGCACTTTGGGAGGCTGAGGCGGGTGGATCACGAGGTCAGGAGATCGAGACCATCCTGACTAACACAGTGAAACCCCGTCTCTACTAAAAATACAAAAAATTAGCCTGGCGTGGTGGCAGGCGCCTGTAGTCCCAGCTACTCAGGAGGCTGAGGCAGGAGAATGGCGTGAACCCGGGAGGCAGAGCTTGCAGTGAGCCAAGATTGCACCACTGCACTCCAGCCTGGGCAATAGAGCGAGACTCCGTCTCAAAAAAAAAAAAAAAGACATAAGAAAGGAAGCAAGCAAACAGCATTCATCTAGCTGAAGTATTAGGCATCTACCTGCAGTGGCCCCAAGCCCTCCTTAAAAAGAATTTCACCCAGATGCTCTGTAATAGGTCTAAGTCATACCATACCCACTCACCTCTATCTGAAAAATCAACCACTTGCTCAGTTTCTGAACCAGATGAACGAGTCTGCCGAAGAGGGTATTTTTTCGGTGTCACTGGGGTAGGCTGCTGCTGACTACGGGTCACTCTTCTGGTAGAGTAAGCAGGCTCCTCAGTGCCAAAAGACTGCAGATTTCGAACAGGACTGGAATCTGATCCCAATTTTAAAAGAAAATAAAGAAAAAAGATGGAAATCTGTTTTACTTCCTATCCATATAATTTATCAGAATATCGCTCCTCCTCCTCTTCATATTTCACAAAATCCAACAAATCCTTAAAATATCTATTTAATTAAATAAAATATAAGCAAAAGAGCCTAGCTCAGGTATACAGATGTAATGTAGTACAGCATTAATAAGTTTAGGTTCTGGAATTAGGACTGAACTTGATTCAACTCCACTCCACCATACCAACTAGCTGTGGCATCTTGGGCAAGTTATTTTCTCCAAGCCTGTTTCCTGACCTATTGAAAAGGAAAATACTAGTAGCACATTCCTCATAACACTGTGGTGAGGAATAGGTGAGATAATGCATGTGAAGCACTTAACATGATCCGTGGTACAGAGTGCTTTATAAATATTAACTGCATCCTCTCATTCTTCCCTTTTTCTAACCCACCATAAAACAGATATTCTATTACCAAAGATATAACAACAAACAAAACGATTTCCTTTCTTAAGGGGCCGATTTTTTTTTCTTTCTTATTACCCTCTCTGGCACTGTCATAATAGATTCATAAAGGTAAAGCAGGAATGCAGCATTTTAAGTTTTTTGGATAGAAAAACCTATTCTGAGGCACTCAGCAGCCCTTTTATATCTCCAACCTGAGGACAAAGGAAATGAAGGAAAATTCAAAGCTGAAATTAAAGCATTTTTAAAAAATATATGTAGATATGTTTTAGTTTTTTTGTGCTTTTTTTTTTATAAAGAGACATGTTTAATCATAGCTTGCTCTTCACAGAGATGACTACAGAGACTTTTAATCTATAATCCAGGAGTATATAACCATGCAGTACAGACCAATTAGCCAAATGTAAAATAAACTAGATTCTTACCACAACTGCCCTATAAACATTGCAACTATTCTTTGCAAAAGGACCCTACATCTTATGTGAAAACACCTAGTGTAGGGGAACCAGAAACCTAGCTATGTGGCCAAAAGTAAAAACCAAAGGAAAAAATAACAATTCAGTGGTTAATTGGTGAAAGCAGGAAATTTGTGCCCTTTACTGTGCTGCTGCTTTGGTCTTCTTACTTTTGTTCTTTTTGTCCCTTTTCTTCAGCCCATCCATGTTAGCACTCGGTAGGTTTGAATAAGCCATCTGAAACTTATTCACTTGGTTGGAGCTCACCACAGTGCTGACCTTCTTTTTCCCATCGATAGCTCTTAACAGACACTTGTCTGAGGGCTCAAAGCCCTCCACAGAACCTTTCTTTGGAACGGGTTTGGTTCCACCACCATACTTCTTCAAGGTGATATAGATGCTGCCCGATGTCCAGCACTTCTGGAAAAGTCTGGTCAGCTCCGTCAGGAACTGCTCACTCTCCAACAACACCATCGTGGTGATGCTGGCTCAATTCCCTCCGTGTAAGCCCCTAGCAGTCTTAGTTTTGTTTTAATTGACATGTAAGTGTACATATTTATAGAGTATACTGTGATGTTCTGATAGACGTATACATTGTGTAATGATGAAATCAAAATAATTAGCATATCCATATCTCAAACACTTGTCATTTCTTTGTGGTGAGAACAGTCAAAATCCTCTCTAAAGTATATTTTATTTTAATTAATTAATTTTTTTTTCAGAGGGCGGGATGCACAGGCCAGGGCGCGGTGTCAGCCTCACTCTCTCACGGCTGCACCCCCCAACGTATATTTAAAAAAAAAAAAAATCTGAAGAAATCTTATAGATTCTCTAAAGAAGAAAACTGAAAATTTCCAAACTTTCGGGTGAGAAAAGTTAGCACAGAGCAAGGTTATCCATTTGTACATCTCCAAGGGGCCTCCTTTCACAATATGATCTACCTTGTGCTCTAGGGAGGACCACCTTACATTGCTGACATTGTAAATGGTACCCCTGGAGTTGTGCAACTCTGTGGTCATGAGGTATGATAACCAGAAAGAGACTCAGTGCTTACGCATTTCCTAGCTGTTTTGAATATTTAGTTTTCAGGTGTCTAGGGCATGGTCAATTATACTTCCTACAAACATTATGTCTTTTCCTTAGCATATGCTGTTCCATCTGCCGAGAATAACATATTCCCATCTTTCAACTTGTAAATTCCTATCAGAGCCTTTAAGACATCTCAGTGTGCAGCTGGGCACGGCGGCTCACGCCTGTAATCCCAGCACTTTGGGAGGCCGAGGCGGGCAGATCACTTGAGATCAGGAGTTTAAGACAAGCCTGGACAACACGGTGAAACCCTGTCTCTACTAAAAATACAAAAAATAGCCAGGTATGGTGGTGCTCGCCTGTAATCCCAGCTACTTGGGAGGCTGGGGCAGGAGAATTCCTTGAACCCAGGAGGCGGAAGCTGCAGTGAACCAAGATCATGCCACTGCACTCCAGCCTGGGCGACAGAGCGAGATTCTGTCTCAACAACAACAAAAAAGACTTCATCATTGTGGGAGTGCTGCCCTAAGTTGGCTGTCCCACCTCTGGGCTTATGTAGTACTCTATGCAAACCCCTCTCACAGCCCTTGCCATAATGTATTCCCATGATCAATTTTCATATCTGTATCTTGCACTGAACTGTAAGATCTTTGAGGACAGGAACTATGATTTTTCTATCATGGTTCCTAGTACATAACATACTGCTTGAGTTATAGTAGCTATTTATCCATAGTCTCATTGTGGTAAAAATTTAAAGCTTAAGAAATCAAGAGACAATAGCAATACTTTAGCTGAAATCCTAAATTCAAAAATAAAGTTAGGAACAGTTGTTAAAGAGGATATTCCCACTTTCTTGCTTGAAAAACTGATGGTTTTTCTCTCATTGTGCAACATACTCATATAAAAGTGACCAAAGCAGCAGGGCGCGGTGGCTCATGCCTATAATCCAAGCACTTTGGGAGGCCAAGGCAGGCAGACCATGAGGTCAAGAGATTGAGACTATCCTGGCCAACATGGTGAAACCCCATCTCTACTAAAAATACAAAAATTAGCTGGGCACGGTGGCGTGCACCTGTAGTCCCAGCTACTTGCAGGCTGAGGCAGGAGAATTGCTTGAACCCAGGAGGCGGAAGTTGCAGTGAACCAAGATCATGCCACTGCACTCCGCCTGGCAACAGAGCTAGACTCCATCTCAAAAAAAAAAAAAAAAAAAATTAACCAAAGCAACACTGTTGAAGTGCTCAAAACATGTTAAAGTTTTTTTCCCTTCATCTATTATCACCTGTTGATCATCGGCTTTCTGTATTAGCTGCAACCTTCTTTCCTCCTCAGGGAATACCAGAGCAGAGCCAGGAGGGTCAAGGGTACCCTCCAAATCTAACCCCAGATGCCTAAATGCACTAGAGATAGTTCAAACTACCTTCCAACCCCAAGATTCTCAATTCCTTATTACCAAAGCAAAATTCCATTATTTCCACACTGATATTTTGGTACAACTATTAATATCTATCAAGTGTTTATTGGATTACATTCCAGAGTTAAACATGGTTTTAGAAGTGGGCCTCTGCCAAGAGTAAGTCCAAGAGACTACAGATGCTCCTTGACTTGTAATGGGGTTAAGTCTCAATAAAACTATCATAAGTTGAAAGTATTATAAGTTAAAAATGCATTTACAGGCTGAACATGGTGGCTCACATCTATAACCCCAGTACTTTGGGAGGCCAAGGTGGAAGGACTGCTTGAGTCCAGGAGTTTGAGACCAGCCTAGACAACATAATAAGACCTCATCTCTACAAAAAACAAAGAAAACTAGCTAGGCATGGTGGCGTGCACCTGTAGTCCCAGCTACTCAGGAGGCTGAGGTGGGAGGATCACTTGAGCCAAGGAGGTCAAGGCTGCAGTGAGCCAAGATCACACCACTGCACTCCAACCTGTGCAACAGAGCACAAGACCCTGTCTCCAGAAAATAAAAAAAACCGCTATACACCTAACCTACCGAGCATCATAGCTTAGCCTAGCCTACTTTAAATAGGCTCAAACCACTTACATTAGCCTACAATTGTGCACAATCATCTAACACAAAGCCTATTTTTAATAAAGTGTTGAATATTGCATATAATTTATTAAAGACAGTACACTGAAGAGTACTGGTTTACCCTCATGATCAAATGGCTGACTGGGAGTTACGGCTCACTGACTGGAGTTATTATGGCTCATTGCCACCACTCAGCAACATGAGAAAATATTTGGCCCACATATCACTGGCCCAGGAAAAGACCGAAATTCAAAATTCTAAAAGTTTCCACTGAATGCATATTGTTTTAGCACCACTGTAAAGTTAAAAAAAAAAATTAAATCAAGCCACCATAAATCAGATACCATCTGGACTTCAAGTCCCTAAGCCTCAAACATTCAAACAGAAAGTGAAGGGATAACATTCCAATTTTACTGATGGAGACACTGCGATCTAAAAAAACAAACAAACAAACAAACAAATGACTCAAGACATACGTGTGTCTCTATCCATTATACCATCCGCAGTTCCTTTGGGTCTACAGATTGGATAGTAGCCCCCCACAGAGGCATTGTTAAAGACCTGACAACTCTGCATTCACTCTACATTTTACCAATCATCTGGTGCACTGTCATCTACACCAAGCCAAGGGGCCAGTTTCCACATTAACTAGGAAAATAATGTGATGGGCCAGTCAGCCAGATGTGAGGAGTGGTAAGGAAAAATGAAGGTTTTTTTACCTTGAGAACTCTGGCTTAGCCTGGCTGAGGAGCGGGTGACTCGAGCAGATCGTCGGGATGTGCCATCACTTTCTGAACTGTCTGTGTGCTCGAGATCTGTAGAAAAATCGGAATCTTCGGTTCCATCTGAACTACTGCCTGCATTCCTCTGTAATACCATAGATCCAGATATTAGCACAGAAGCATTTGGTCTGAGAGTTTGCATTAACATTGAAAATAAAACAAGCTGTGACACTGAAAACCCCAAGTTCAAACCTAAATAAGGATTCCACAAGCATTTCTCATCCTCCCACCCCCTCAGGCAACTTCACTTTATTTAGAACACTTAAATGGAACAACCTACAAATAGGGAATTTTGTTAAATAAATGAAGAGCTTCCGTTTCATTCGCTCTCATTGCCCAGGCTGGAGTGCAAGGGCGCAATCGTGGCTCACTGCAACCTCCGCCTCCCGGGTTCAAGTGATTCTCCTGCCTCAGCCTCCCGAGTAGCTGGGACTACAGGCGCCCGCCACCATGCCCAGCTAATTTTTGTATTTTTAGTAGAGACGGGGTTTCACTATGTTGGCCAGGCTGGTCTTGAACACCTGACCTCAGGTGATCCACCCGCCTTGGCCTCCCAAAGTGCTGGGATTACAGACGTGAGCCACCACACCCGGCCATGAAGAGAATTAATTCTTACTGTATTAGTACTAAGTATTAACCAAGACCATTTGGAGATCAATATCACAAAAAAAGGTCCACTGTAGTGAGAAAATCGTTGGTGCTGGACCTCATTTAACTTAGAGTAGCTTTTGTTCAATGTCTCCATGAAAAGCTATCACATTTTTTAAAAACCATACACTATCTCAAAATATCATGGACCACAACTCTAATCCCAAAAGAATTTAAGCAGAAAAAGATGAAAATTGTTAGTGCGTATGCCATCTATCCTTGACGTTTCTCCACATGAAAGCCATCTATCTTCCAAAAAGGCAGCTTGCACATGAAGACTCATGGGTATTCAAAAACAGTTGTTTTCAAAACCATCTTTTCAATGAGCAAGGATTTGTCAATTATTATCCTCCTGAGGAGTTCTTTCTTAGCCATAAAGATAACTTTTATCAATTAAGCACTAACACTATACCCTTTACAAAACCAGAAAGGAAAAAATATTTACTGAAAACAATACAAAGATTCACACTGTAAGTCCCAATTATTTATTCAAAACCCTGAGGGCCAGTTGTGTTTAGAATTTGTAATTGTTTTGGATTTTTAGAAGGGGAGTACTTTGCATGTATCCTGCAAATACCACCCAATAACAAAACATAATAGTATTTCTGCAGCAAAAAATATAAACAGTCACACTAAATGAGACACACAAAAACCATAAGTAGCCTCAGGACAGATTAAGACAGGTTTGCCGCCAAACAGGTTACTAAAAAAATGTACATTTTCAAGTAACTCCCGGTATTTGGGAAATTAAGAAAGAGGACTGTGGCCCTATTTCAAGGCACCAATATTATTCCTGCATTTGGTGAGCCTTTACATACATACCACCGGCCGGGCGTGGTGGCTCATGCCTGTAATCCCAGTACTTTGGGAGGCCGAGGCGGGTGGATCACCTGAGGTCAGGAGTTCGAAACCACCCTGACCAACATGGTGAAATCCCGTCTCTATTAAACATACAAAAATTAGCTGGGCGTCATGGAATCCGCCTGTAATCCCAGCTACTAGAGAGACTGAGGCAGGAGAATCGCTTGAACCCGGGAGGCGGAGGTTGCAGTGAGCCAACATCACGCCATCGCACTCCGACCTGGGCAACAAGAGCAAAACCTCGTCTCAAAAACAAACAAACAAAAAAACACATACATACCACCCACCAGCTGAGGTCATTTTAGGAGACATTAAAAAGTGTACATTTTCAACCTGAAAAGCCGCTGTGAAGAGAAAGATTTCTATTGATATGAGCAAGAATACCACCCAGTTTTCCAAGTATCTTAAGGGTAACCTGCCAGGAAATGAGCAAGAATCACAGAAAACGGCTGAAATGAAGGGGGAATCTTAAAAGTCACCATTATAGTCTAATTACCGAGATATTTAAAGCCTTGACGTGAGACTTATTCCTTCCTGGCTTGATCCTGGAACTCAGCTCTTCTCTGTGGCTTTTACCAATATATCTCCCATTGTACTCCAGGGCAGACTTAACTGCTCCTTCACTTCCTTCCAGCAACACCTTGTATACACCTCCAAGCTGAGAACTTACTAGATCCTTCTAAGATTATTCATGTCTGTTTTCTCCTATCGGGCTGTGACACCCTTAAGCCAGGGATCACATCTAATTAATTTCTGAATCCACAGCAACCACCGCGCAGAAAGTAGTCAATAGACATTTGTTGAATTGAGTTAGATTTGTTCTATATTCTGGATCTGCCACTGCCTGAGTGGCTTGCGGCACTCCATGGGCCTCCGTTAGTTCAGCTGTAAGAAGAAACGACGGGGCCATTCCTGGGTGATCTTCTAAGTGCCTTCTAATTCTAGAAGTTTTTAGTTTTTACCAACTGCATTTTCTAGGCGCTGTCGAACTAGCAAATAAGGAAAGAGGCAACTGGCCTGAGAGGGATCCCCTGCGAGTGGGCGCTGGCTTCCCACCACCCAGTCTTCTGCTTTGTTGTGCCCCTCACCTGGAAGGTAACGAGGCCTCCAAAACCCCGCCTCTGCACCTATCAGCGTCCCCGCTCGGAAAGGCGGGGATTCGGGCCACCCAATCGAGGTCCGCCTAAGCCGCGCCCCCACAGGACAGACTGCCAACCTCGACCAATCAGGAGAGGAGGGATCGTTCTCTCCAGCCAGTGGGAGAGCGCTGGGGCCGGGGCCAGACACCGCCCCCGCACGCGGGGAGGTGACCGTTGAGCCCAAACAGGCGGCGTCACCAGCCAATCAATATGCTTCCAGACGTTTCAGCGACCAATTAATAAGAACGCCTCCGATCCAGGCAAGCAGAGGGCGGGAATAGTTGCAAGCATAGGCCGAGGCCAGGGTCGGGCCCACATTTTTCTGTTGGGTATGGACAGAAGAGAGGGTAGCTGAACAAGGTTCGGGGGAGCGGAAAGTTGGGACCCAAGCACTGTGAGGCGTGGCCAACTGCGTCACGGTGCTCAATCGACTGTCCTTAGAAACCCGCCATCCCTCCTCTCCCGTTTCTCACCTTCCTTCGCGGCATTGCCGGCGGCTGCGGCCCGACGGTTCCGATTCGGGCAGCGGCGGCAGCAGCAGGAACGGTGGCTCCGGCGGGCTCCGTGGCGGCCTCTGTATCAGTCCCAATCCTGCGGACGATCCCTAGTGCCTCCTGCCTCTCAGCGTCTGGAGCGTTCTGCGCAGGCGCCGCGGGCTGAAGCGCTTTTTCCTTCACTTCCGGCTGGGTCTCGCGTCACCTGACGTTACGGGCCAGAGAGGGTGCTGGGAAGTTCGATCCTTTTGGTGAAGCTAGTGGGCGCCATTTTGAAGTTGGGCAGAAAGTGACTCCAGTGGTGGAACCCGGAGCCAACCATTTTTAGTTACGTGAGTGGCTCTGTTTGTGGGCGTGGGTAGCCATTCTTGTTTGGGGCAGAAGCCTGACAGTTGATGTAAACGGTTCTCATCTTTACCTTGGGCAAAATTTCGTTTTAATTTCTAGAGTCGAGGAAGGAAACCCCCCAGAATCCATCAGGTTGCTGAGATTAGATTTAACCCCTTCGTAGCCTGATTGTTTAAAGGACGTTTCCGTTTATTATATAAACTCAAAGTTGCGGAGGGATGTTTTGTAAAAGAAACTTTGTATTTTAAGAAACATCGTGGTCTCGAAGGGGTGGGAATGGGGAATTGAAAAAGGAACTAACGGATAGCGTCCGCCATCAAGTTTCCTGTCTGGTAGAGGAGACATTGTCCTTGCCCTTAGCTAACAGCAAGTGAGTTAGTTGATGTCGCGGGGAGGAGGCAAAACCATTCTCCAGAAGCTGCAGGTCAAATAATTCCCAATTTAGCTCTGTGGCGAGTGCCCACTTCCTAACCGCACTGTGTTTGGGTTTGAGACCACTGGGGGCCCTGGGGTGAAAAATGTGATTTGAAAGTGGGGAATGCAGTACCAGAGTCAGAAAAGCTTTGAACCCCATTTAGCTCAAATGACCTCTGGCATCCAGATGCTTGAGCAGAGAGTTACGAGGCGGAGGAAGAGGAAGGAATGTTTTTAGTGAAGTTGAAGCCCCCAAAAGAATGGACATTTAAATAATAATGAGAGGGCCTAGGAAGGAGAAGTTGGTCACAGATACTAGGCTGAAAGAAGAGCCTTAAGAAAAGGCTGGAAAGTGGAGAGCAGGCGTTGAGGATTTAACCTCTCCGGAGGAAAGGCCTTGAGAGGACCAAGTCTTGACCAATTGCGACTGGGTGGAACCCAGGCACGCTCAGTCATTAAGTTAGGATCCCGAACCCCAATTTCAAACTGAGGCCCCGTTAAGATGGAGATTTCCCCCAGGAGCAGGGCTAAAGAACAAAGAAGCAGAAGGTAAATATCTGATTGATGTGCTAAGTAAAGAACTCTAAAGATTTAAAGTTCCAGACCTTTAGCCAGCACTCTCCTTGGGGATGTCCTGGGCCAGTGTTGACACAGGCAGCTTTTAGTATTTAATACTTAGCTTTTAGTGCTTAGTATAAATACCTTTGATAACCTACTTAGGTTGAACTGCACGTAAGAACTTATTTGAAAATGGTTCACATTACTTCTCACCACTTAAGCATTTAATTTCATGTAGCCCCTCACCACTTAAGCATTTAATTTCATACATTACTCTGTTATTTTGCACTCACGGATATGTTCCTGAGGTTACATTTGAATGTTCTGGCTCCCCAACTGGTGGTAAGGATCTCTTACATTAAGAGCATATCTCAGTTATTTCATACCATCCTACTTTTTTTCTCTCTCTTCTTTTTTTTTCTTTCAAGACAGAGTCTTGCTGTGTTGCCCAGGCTGGAGTGCAATGGCTGGATGTCAGTTCACTGCAAGCTCCACCTCGTGGGCTCAAGGGATTCTCTTGCCTCAGCCTCCCGAGTAGCTGGGACTGCAGGCGTGTGCCACCACACCTGGCTAATTTTTGTATTTTTTGTAGAGACAGAGTTTCACCATGCTGCCCAGGCTGGTCTCGACCTACTGAGCTGAACTACTGTCTCGGCCTTCCAGAGTGCTGGGATTAAGGTGTGAGCCACCACTCCCAGCCATACCAGCCTTTCTTTTTTTTTTTTTTTTTCTGAGACAGGGTTTTGCTCTTGTTGCCAGGCTGGAGGGCAATGGCACGAGCTCGGCTCACCGCAGCCTCCGCCTCCCGGGTTCAGGCGATTCTCCTGCCTCAACCTCCCGAGTAGCTGAGATTACAGGCGCCCGCCACCACATGTGGCTACTTTTTGTATTTTTAGTAGAGACAGTGTTTCTCCATGTTGGTCAGGTTGGTCTTGAACTCCTGACCTCAGGTGATCCACCCGCCTCAGCCTCCCAAAGTGCTGGGATTACAGGTGTGAGCCACTGCGCCTGGCTCATACCATCCTTTCCAATGGTGCTCAAACCTCGTTCTTCCCACAGTAAATGCTTGCTACTCAGTAAGAATATCATTACTGTTTTACAGTCTCTGAATGTATAGCGCTCAGAGATGGTGAAGTTATCCTCCCTGGAAATTAGTGTTTTAGAATAAGATCTTATCCTGACTTGCATCCGTCACACAAATACCAGCATTACAGATGTTCGACGTTAGTTAATTTCTTATGCTAGATTCCCTAAGACTGCAGCTGACACTAAAGAGTTTACAGTTTCATTTAGATATGGTTCTTGTCCTTGGAAAGTGTACACTCTGGCAGAAAGATGAAAAAACTAACACCAGTAGGATAGAAACATGATCATAAGGAAAAAAATGTGTATAGTACTTGAAAGTAGACCAGCCAGGTATATTTAGAATGGGGAAGGGGAGGATCTTAAAAGCTTATTTCTTCTTCTTTTTTTAAAAAACCAAATATAATATTTACTTTGAGAGTCATGTTCATCACAACACAATTAGCTTTCCAAGCAGGAACTGATGTTGATTTCAATGCCTCTGACTGGTTGCCCCCTGGCTATCCTCAATCACCAGACTTCACGTTGACACTCTCGACAGTTCTCCTTGCCTTTCTATTTTCTCAGGCTTTTCTTCCTGCCTGGATGCATCTCCTAACCCTCAATAAAATTTTATTTTTTCAGAAAATCTTTTCCAATTCATTCTTTGTAAGGTAGTAGGGCGTAATGATATGTTATTTTGCACTTAACTGCTGGATTTGTTATTTTCCTTGTACAATTTGGTAGATAATTCTGTTCATTTCCCTTCCCAAACAGATAATAGAAACATAGATAAATCATGTTTATTGTATCATCAGCTGTACTAGTGTCCAGTACAGGGCTTTGATGTCAGATCTGAATTTTAATCTCCGCTCTGCTGCTTCCTACCTGCATTACTCTTGGACAAGTTTTTGTTTTTGTTTTTTGTTTTTTAAGAGACAGTGTCTCACTCTTGTCACCCAGTCTGGAGTGCAGTGGCACAATCATAGCTCACTGCAACCTTGATCTCCTGGGCCAAGCGATCCTCCCACGTCAGCCTCCCGAGTAGCTAGGACTACAGGTACACACCACCATGCCTGGCTAATTTTTAAATTATTTGTAGAGATGAGGTCTTGCTACATTGCCCAGACTAGTCTCGAACTCCTGGCCTCAAGCCATCCTCCCATCTGAGCCTCCCAAAGCACTGGGATTACAGGCATGAGCCATGCCCGGCCTTGGACAAGTTTTAAATTTGTTTGTGTCTCAGTTTTCTCACCTGTGATGTGGGGACATTAATAGCCACCTCACAAGGTTGTAAGGAATAAAGAAGATGAGTGTTGTAAAGCTCTTTGCACAGTTCCTGACATGGAGTAATTGCTCAATAAATGGCTATTGTTATTTATATTTCCAGTCACTCTAATCATGGCTATAACATTCTAATGTTAGTGACTATATATTTACATGGTCTCAGTGATTGTTTGCTTTTATCTGTTCAACCTCTTTAACTCTGTTCAACCTCTGTTCAACCACTTTAACTGAAGACATACAGAGTGATTACCCAGGCATTAATCACCCAGGTACCAGGCACTGAGTTATACCCCATGGACAAAACACCAACTTTCCCCTAAAGGAGCTTAGAATCCAGTAGGGAAGACAAGCCAGTGAGCACACACTTACAAAACACTGTAGAGTATTACATGGGAAAATAGGGAGATAAGCAAGGTTCAGAAGTGCTACAGAGGAGGAGGTAGAGTGTTTCATCTGGAAAGTTTAGGAAAGGATTCATAAAAGACGTGAAGCAAGAGTGGAATTTCACAGGATGAATGTTTGCCAGTAAACAAGGACAATATAAGGGTTTTCCATGCAAAGAAAACAGAATGTGCAATAGTAGAGAGGTGTGGAGGAGCATTATCTATGGGTGCCGGGGAGGGTACATAAGAGGCATGGTTTTGGGAACCAGTTCATGCAGAGTGTTCAGCACCCTTCTGTGGAGACTGAACTGGAAGTGGTAGGCAATTTCTGAAAGTCCTTAAGCAGAGGAGGCCGCCAGTCAGACATGCATTTTAGCAATCTCTTTCTGGCAGCTGTGAAGGGCACTGATCAGAGTAGGAGGGAGACCCAAGGCAGGAGACCAGTTAGAAGGCTGCTGAAATAGCCTTAGCCAGAGACAAGGAGAGACTGAAATAGGCACTGGGAGTGGGGGCAATCTTTTGTGTGTATGTGCTTGTGTTATTTCCTTACTTGTATCAGTCTCTTGCCTCCTCAGTTTTGTAAGCTGCCTAAAAGATCCCTTGATGTCCTTTAAAGTGTTTCCTTGACAGTAAAATTATAGGTACCATATTTCAAATACAAAATGTAGTTGTTCATTGTTTGCTTCTTCCAGAGGTTAGGAGCCTTGCCTGGATGGCCACAGCATCTCCAGCTTCTCCCTTGCTGACTGGCACCCAAAAGGGCTTAGTAATTGGGGTGGCACCAAATTGAATGTTTCTCACCCCACTGCCAGTTGTTGACTCAGCTAGGAAAGGCTTGCACAGAACCAGCCATGCTCTCTCCTCTAAGCCTCTTTCTGACCAGTGAGGTGGCTAGTAGGGGTTAGGGATAGCCATTTCCTCTGTGTGCAGTCTTGTAAGGTGGGGGAAGCATGCCTTGGCCTTTTAAAGACAATGCTAGTGTAGCCAGGTCAATCTCATAACTTCTGAGGCAAAGTATTGGCTTAGTCTCTATCCTTTTGGGAGAATCTCAGAGGTTGCTGATGTGACCGTAATTCCTATTAAAATATTTTCATTTGCAGCTGCCTTAAAAATGGTCAGCACAGTCACTAATAGGCCCTTCTTCTTTACTCTTGCTGGAGATGGCCTGGAGCTTCTCTTACATTCTGGCCACCTAATTTGGATCTTGTAGCACCCTTAGCCCCCACCCGCAGCCCCACCCTGGGAGAAGTTATTGGACAGATCCCAGCAGGCTCAGGCACAGCTCCCTGCCTCTGCAGCTGGGGATATAAATAACCACCAAAGCTAAACAGTCAAATAACCACATTTTGAAAATCGCTAAAAAAAAAAATCACTCTGATCTTGATTCAATAGCAGTTCTTCTCCCACCTCTGCCCTTCATCTCCCCCCCTTCCTCCACTTATCTACCTCCCTTCCCTGATCCAAGCTCCCTAGGGAAGTCAATCTGAGCACAAAGCTGTCTTATGATGAAGACATCCTTTTCCATATTCTATGGGGCCAAAGCCCTCCAGGGCTGTAGTTATAGTTACAAGATGTTGTTATGGCAGCAGAGGCCTCAGGGCAACATATGTTCCACAATGGTAATTGGGTTTTCTTTAACAGACTGTCTCTCCTGGGTTCTCCATGCCCACATTCACTTACCAAGAAGACCAGGGAATTGCCATTATGGATAAACCTTCATTTTTTTATTCCAGCAAAACCAAATTGCTCTATTTGCCGGGGTGGAAAGTACCCGGTCACCATGGGCTGAGACATTTAGACTGCAGGCATTTTCATTTATACATTCAACAAATGTTTATTTAACACCTGATAGGTGCTAGGCATTGGCCAGAAGCTGAATAAGCAGACATGGTCTTTCCTCTCTGTCAATTTAGGACAAGTATGTACAGGAAGGGGCTAGAGGAGCACTTTCACCTGCCCTCAACCCCCTTCCACCATTTCAAAATGATTAACACAGTGTAATAACACTAAATGAAAATTTGAGGAAAATAAAAGACATCCTTAATCTCATTGCCGCCACAAAGGGTTTTTTTTTTTTTTTTTTTTTTGAGACAAAGTCTAGCTCTGTCACCCAGACTGGAGTGCAGTGGCATGATCTCAGCTCACTGCAACCTGTGCCTCCCGGGTTCAAGCGATTCTCCTGCCTCAGCCTCCCAAGTAGCTGGGACTACAGGTGCGTGCCACCATGCCCGGCTTATTTTTCTATCTTTAGTAGAGACAGCATTTCACCATGTTGCCCGGGCTGGTCTCAAACTCGTGGTCTCAAGTGATCTACCCGCTTTGGCCTCCCAAAATGCTCGGATTACAGGCATAAGCCACCATGCCTGGCACAAAGCTTTTTTTTTTTTTTTTTTTTTTTTTGAGACGGAGTCTCTCTCTGTCACCCAGGCTGGAGTGCAGTGGCGCAGTCTTGGCTCACTGCAAGCTCCGCCTCCCAGGTTCATGCCATTTTCCTGCCTCAGCCTCCCGAGTAGCTGGGACTACAGGCGCCCACCACCACACTGGCTAATTTTTTTTTGTATTTTTAGTAGAGACGGGGTTTCATTGTGTTAGCCAGGATGGTCTCGATCTCCTGACCTCGTGATCCGCCCACCTCGGCCTCCCAAAGTGCTGGGATTACAGGCGTGAGCCACCACGCCTGACCCAACTATTTTTATTTTTTGTATATTGCCTTCCATTTTTTCTCCTCATGCATACATTTTATGTGCATATTTTAACATAGATACACTCATTATTTACATGAAATTTTATTTTATTTTTTTGAGACAGGATCTTGCTCTGTTACCCAGGCTGGAGTGCAGTGGCACAATCACCTCTCACTGCAAACTTAACCTCCTGGTTTCAAGCGATCCTCCTGCTCAGCCTTCCAAGTAGCTGTGACTACAGGCACATGCCACCATACCCCGCTAATTTTTTATTTTCTGTAGAGATCGGGGTCTCACTATGTTACCTAGGCTGGTCTCAAACTCTTGAGCTCAAGGGATCCTCCTGCCCCAGCCTCCCAAAATGCTAGGATTACAAGCCTGAGCCACTGTGCCTGGCTGAAATTTTATATTTTGTACATCTTCTCAGCATCTTCTGTGTTTCCCTAGAGTCCTCATAATTGTAACTATACTCACTGTGTGACATTGCACTGTGGTGCTATGATGTAATGTGCTCTCATTCTCCTGTTGTGGAGTTATTAAAGCTCTTTTATGTCAGATAATGCTGCAGTGAGTGTCTGCATGCATCCATAGCTCTCTCCTGTTTTTATTTCTGCCACTTATATATTGCTTCTTTCCTTTCCTTAAAGACTTTCACAATTTACAGTGTCATCATCAGTGCAAGGGTGCCAATTTAAGTCATTGTTTCCAGAACTAAGTGTTACCACTTTTTAAAAATCTTGTCATTTTAATAAAAATGAAAATGGCACCCCAAATGTGCTTTCGATTTTATTTCTACTGAGGATATACTTCAGTCTTTCATGTGTTTATTTACTAGGTCTGTTTCCTCTTCTGGGAAACCCTATTCATTACTAATTTATCTTGATGATTTTCTTAAGTTTGAGTGAGAGAAAGAGATGCTTTGTCTGAGCTACATTCAGTTATGGGTCAGTGTTACTGTTACTAAGAAGGCAAAACATGGCCAGGCATGGTGGCTCACGCCTGTTATCCCAGCACTTTGGGAGGCCAAGGTTGGGTAGAGTTCGAGACCAGCATGGCCAATATGGTGAAGACCCGTCTCTACTAAAAGCACAAAAATTAGCCGGGCATGGTGGTGGGCACCTATAATCTCAGCTACCTGGGAGTCTGAGACAGGAGAATCGCTTGAACCCGGGAGGCGGAGGTTGCAGCGAGCCGAGATTGTGCCATTCCACTCCAGCCTGGGTGACAGAGCGAAACTCCATCTCAAAAAGAAAAGGCAGAACGTTTGCTTCAGAATCATGTCTTTAGTATTTTCTCCTCACCCTTTCCCCCTGGCATCCCAATTACATCTAGTGGTGAATGCTGTCAAGATCACATACTACTGAAAAAGGGTGAGATTGTAAACAGAATGTGTACATGGCATGGATGAAAGTGGTGAGGAGAGGCTGGGCGCGGTAGCTCACGCCTGTAGTCCCAGCACTTTTCGGAGGCTGAGACAGGCAGATCACTTGAGGCCAGGAGTTCAAGACCAGCCTGCCCAACATGGGAAAACCCCATCTGTACTAAAAATACAAAAAATTACTGGTGGACCTGTAGTCCCAGTTACTTGGGAGGCTAAGGTGGGAGGATTGCTTGAGCCCAGGAGGCGGCGGTTTCAGTTAGCCAAGATCACGCCACTGCCCTTACCCCAGCATGTGTGGAGGGGCCATTATAAAAGCCCTAGTCAGTCTTGCCCACTATAAGAACCATGAAGATGATTCTGTAGACACTACTTTCCTGGTGACCTGGGAGAAACTAAAAAGTTTCCCAAACTAGTCAACCTCAGGAGGATAAAAAAATGACACTGCATTTTGCCATTTGTAAAATGTGGGTCTTTTTATTTGTTGGGAGATGCTTTCCCAGGCATAGGGGCTAGGAACGGGTTCCTCTGAGTCATTTATACATGTTTGCCCAATCTCCCTTGTGATTAACTGTACCCAAATATGAATCAACTGACCAATGGGAGGGGTATAAGCCACAACTAGGAAACACATTTTCTCTATTTAAGGCAAACTAGCCCATACATAGTTCAGACCCACATCCTTGGACATCTTAGTCTTGCTCTTGCCAACTGAGGTTACTGAGCCCAATCCAATCTCAGAAGTTAAGAACGATTTTCTTGCTAGTCTGGAAATTACATGAGGATGAGTGGACATCCAGTCATTGTATTATGTGCCTAGCCTTGCCAGCAGATGTCACTACACCAAACCACATTTTCCAAAGATATGACTGGAAGGAAAGGACTGGCTTTAGAAAGGCTGAGTCCAACAATTGTGACCCTCTTCTCCAATGGCTTCCATTAATACCCCTGGAAAACTATCAAGGATATGTATATATCCATGGTTCCCAACAGTCCTGAGGCCTAAACTTAGCAGGTCAAGACCCAAGTCTCTGGGCAGAGTCAGAGTTCTTATCCAGGGACCTTCTCCAGATTGGGTGGGGAGCACAGCTGCTGTAGGAAGGGCGGCAGGCCATTTAAATGGGGGGTACACATGATAGAGTTATCTAGGAAAAAGAGCCATAGTCTTGGGGCTGTTCCAAATGTCATGCAGAGCTGAGATCTCAGGCAAAGCACTCCACCCACCCTCCACCCTGCCCCTTTGTCCACATGGGTGGGGGCTATCCCTTGCCTGAGGGCTGTAGGCTAGGGCTGATCCATGGGTTCTGGGGGCTCCCCAGTGACAGCCAGGCATAGCCACACCATGTCAGGATGCTGGGAAGTTCCTAGCAGCTTAGACCGTCATGACTGTTCTCCTTCCAGACAACTGTAAGTAGCATTAGTAATCTGGGAGAAAGAACCATTGGCAGCTCTTCTTTAAAGACCTTCATTCCATGTGCCTATCCATGGAGGGGTAAAGACAGAAATCCTTCCCTGGCCTTCAGTGTCCTGCCTGGTCTGTCTTCTGGCTAACTCTTCAGGCCCATCTCACACAAACCTGCTTCCTTCTCAGTGCCGCAGCTTCACTGGCCTTCCTGCAATTCCTTAGGAGTGTGCAGGTTTCTTCCTTCTCAGGACCTTTGCACATGCTCTTTACTCTGCCTGGAATGTTCTTCCCCCATATTCTTCTTTGCCTATTTTCACTAATCCTTCAGATCTCAGCTCAAATACCATTTTCTCAGGAAACCTTTTCCTGAACCCTCCAGGCTAGATCAAGGCCCCCACTGCCATGCTCTTATTGCACACTGTGCTTTTCTTCATAGCACTTGTCTCAGTTTGTAATTATACATTTATGTGTGTGTTATTTGGATTCTTTACTTTCTGTCTCCCCAACACACACCCCAGACTGTAAGTTCCATGAGGGCAGTGTCCATTTTACTTACCATTGCATTCTCAGGACCTGGCAGAGTGCATGGCACTTAGTAGGCATTCAATAACTATTGGATGTATGCATGAATGGCAAGTGGGTAAATGAAGGAAGTTAGAAAACATAGTGTTACTCTTGTACACACATTTATATAGTATTTGCATGTGAAATATAGCGCCTAATTCTGGTCACTCTACCTGCAAAGGAAGATATATCAGAGTCGGGGAAAGTAATCTGAATTGATCTAAATGGAGACTACTATACCAGGCAAAATGTTAAAAGATTGTGAAAAGATAGAGGCTGAAATCATGATCCATGTATATGAAAATATAAAGGAGATACATGCAGATTTGTTTTCAAAATCCCAAAAGTCAACACTAAGGGTCATTTTTTAAAAAACAGACTGTGGATTCTCCAGAGGAGGGACCATGTGTTATTTATCTGCATATCTCCAGCACCTAGCATGATGCCTGGCACTTAATAGGGACTCAAGAAATGTGTTCTGAACTATTTTTGTTGTTAGCTTAAAAGAGGTAGACTTGGGTGGAAGGATAAATAAGGTAGTATGCAATTATTCACTTGGGAAACCCCAGAGGCAAAAAAAGAAAAGTATGAATAGGGTCAAGAAGGGTTCCTTTACATGTATAGACAATAGCTACACAATGGACTGTTTCAGGGACATTAGGGCTATTCAAGGCCCATCCGTTGACCTTTTGAGATCACCCTTACGAAGGGCAATTACCATGTGCTCCCACAAAGTGCATCTTCTTCCCGCCAGGAAGGACCAAATTCTAAGCTGTATAAGTCATTGGTCTCACCCTATCCCAGTGCCTCCATGTTATCACCTTCAGTGCCCTCCACTCTTGGGCACAGACCCTGTTGGTCCCTTGGCATATTCTACTCTGTTTCCCACCAGAGAAGGGAAAATCCCGGAAGGTGGTGCCCTTCAATCAGAAGTAAAAATGGCTGCATCTCTCAGGGCAACCAGTGCCTGGGCCTGGTATTCCTGAGCCCACAGCAGGGAGGCCATTAGCCCCGGTCCCAAGAATCCCTGCAACCAGCATCCCTGGCATTTAGCCTTCCATCCCTGGCACTTAACCCCCTGGCCCCATAAGAAGGGACATTTCAAATAGTTTTTCTTGGAGCCATGGAGGGTTCAAAAGAATTCTTGAACATTAAAAAAAAAAATCCTCCAAAAACAGCTATTAAGCTGCTTGGCCTCACTTATTTCTTCCCTCTCCCAGCAGTGTGGAGCTTAAAGAAAAGGTTGAGGATTTGGATGTGTGTCCATTAACCTCATTCCAGCCAGTTCCATAGGTCTCATACAAGATACTACCAGAGTCTCAGGCCCCAGGAGGGATGAAGGCTGCATCCTGTCCCAAAGCTGGGTCTGAAGGAATAGGCATCAAGAAAAGAGATACCTTGACTCTTGTCAGTGGTGCACTGGTGCCTCATGGAAACTAGGCTTGGGGCTTCCCTCTTTGCTTCCCACCCCTCCCCTTCCAGCAGCCTATTAATCACTGAGTATAAAATACTGTCTGGAGGACCCTATTCCCCCACCCCTACCCTGAGGCTCCCTGCCAGGCAGAAGGCTGCAAGCTAAGCAGGGAGAAAAGAGAGAATGGGCGGCAGGCAGGGGTGCCCATCATTTATCAACCAAACACAGCGGCCAGCCACTCTTTCCAGCAGCATTCTGGCAGGCTGGGCAGGCGATGCAGCCAGTGTTTTCTGGCAATGGAGAGCACAGTCCCACAAGAATTCCCCTTATTTGGCTGCCCCACCCAAGAGGTGGGGAGACAGAGTCAAGGAGTGAGTCTTTTTCTCTTTTGAATTTTTGGTGGTTTCAGAATCCACACACGCTTCTGGTCCTGCATGGATTCTTACCTCCTCTTCCACCCTCTTCCGTCAAGTCTCCCCTAGGGCCTCCTCTTGCAGCTTCCCTTTTGACCCCACAAAGAGCTTTCCTACTTTCCCTGGCACACTCTTGAAGTGTCTTAGGAATCCCGGTTCCCTAGCTTTGGCAGGCTTTCTGAAAGGGCAGCGCCAGCCTCCTCCTCCTTTAATCTTCTGGTTTCTCCTTCATGGAAACCCCCCAGCTTTCCCCATCTTGCTCTCCTCCCCCAAAGTAGGAAGCTTGGAGAGAGGGAGTGGATTTGGTCCTAGGCTAGTCCACTGGAGGCAGAGACATAATAGTAAATAATAATCCTTTCGCAGAATAGTTCAACTCCTATACCAGGAGCAGCTAGAAACCTCTAGACGCACCTCCATAATTTCTTAGCATTATAAACAAAATCAGAGCTCTAGAGTCTTTAGGGCTGTGGAAGGTGACAGAGAGGCAGGGGAATGACTGGTCTGGCCTGTATTTCTCACTTGTCTAGGTCTGGGTCTCTCTGACCTAGTCCACTGAGCCCCTCAGTAGTGGTTGTGCACAATCTTTGAAAGCAGTTGGACCTTTCCCTTCTAGCTATATAACCATCAATACATTTTTTAACCTCTCTGTGCTTCAACTTCCTCACCTGTGAAATGGGGATGATTATACCAACTGTATAGGGTAGTCATGAGGATCAAATGAGACCATGTGTGTAAATTGCTTAGCCTGTAGTCAGCGCCCAGCAAGTAGAAGCGCCATTCTTCTGTGCTGTGAAGCAGGGGCACATGGCCGGTTACATCATGGCTGTTGGCTGTGTTACTTCCTTCCTGGAGCCTTGATGTTACTATCTCCACAGGCGTATGAAGGGAGGGGGGTGGTGCTTTTTTGGCATTCCGAGGAATGCAAACCCACCATTGGTTCAGGAATCCCCATGGTTTCTCATCAGGAGAAGAATTCAGAATTGGGTGTACAGGGCCAAGAAATTGACAGGATTGGTATCTAAACCCTAACTCAACATTCTGGGCAAATACCCAGGAGGCCAGAGAGTTGGACAGAGCTTTTGGGTGGGACTTCCAGGGAAGGTGCCAACTTGTGTGATATTATCAGAGTGGCAAGGAAGAAGCAAGGCCAAGCTGCTTCCTACCCCAGCAGAATACAGGCTACTTTGTAGACTACCAGGCCTTTGCCAAAGTTGAATGGAAGCAGGGGTCACAGAGGCCACTGGTGGAATGTACTGGAACATTCCAGGCCCTTCCGCTGCACAACACAACTCCTCGAGGCATTGAACCATCAGGGGCTTCCAGAATTGGGTACAAGTTCCTCACCTTCAACCATGCACAGCAGGAGAAACCGCCTGCCGAAAGGAGCACTGTTCTAAGAGCCACTAAGTTACTAAGTGGGAGGAGTGTCAGTCAGCCCTTTGGGACTTTTTCATCAGCTAGAGAGACTGCCAAGGCCATTTTGTTGAGCCAGGGCCGTCTTGTGGAATAGATGTGTTGGGTACAGGAAATCCACAGTAAAAACCAGGAATAGACACCAAATTCAGTCAGGGTTGAAGTGTTGGGTGGGATGTAACTGGGCTTCATTCCTTCCGTCAGAAGTAGATTTACAGTGCCGGGCGCAGTGGCTCATGCCTGTAATCCCAGCACTTTGGGAGGCCTAGGCAGGCAGATCACTTGAGGCCAGGGGTTTGAGATCAGTCTGGCCAACATGGCAAAACCCCGTCTCTACTAAAAATACAAAAATTAGCCGGGCATGGTGGCACATGTCTGTAATCCCATCTACTCAGGAGCTGAGGCAGGAGAATTTCTTGAAACTGGGAGGCAGAGGTTGCAGTGAGCTGAGATCGCGCCACTGCACTCCAGCCTAGGCAACAGAGGGGGGCCAGAGGGTGGGGTGAGAAGTAGATTTACAGTAATGCTAGTGAAACTTAGGGAGTCAGAGCCCATTACTCGCACAGACCCCTTCCAAGGCACTGTACCTAATTCTATGTGTATAATTTTTTAAACTCTTTTACTTAATGAGGAACCCCCAAAGTAATTTTTTTTTAAGAAGAAACATCAGACCTCACAAAATCTGGAGCCTTTCCCACTATCAGCCTGCAGGACCGTTAGCATCAACTTTCAGGAGTGGATCAGGAATATTAGTTGGAGAAACAGTCAAATACTTAAATAACAAACACTGACTCAACATTGCTGGATGCACTAGCTTGTGCTAGTTGCTGACAAGGAATACCAGAGTTGACAGAGCACGGTGGCTCACGCCTGTAATCCCAGCACTTTGGGAGGCTGAGGCGGGCAGATCACGAGGTCAGGAGTTTGAGCCCATCCTGGCCAACATGGTGAAACCCCGTCTCTACTAAAAATACAAAAATTAGCTGGGCATGATGGTGCGAGCCTGTAGTCCCAGCTACTCGGGAGGCTGAGACAGGAGAATCGCTTGAACCCAGGAGGCAGAGGTTGCAGTGAGCTGAGATCACGCCATTGCGCTCCAGCCTGCATGACAGAGCGAGACTCCGTCTCAAAAAAAAAAAAAAGACCAGCCTGGGCAGTATGACAAAACCATGCCTCTACAAAAAATACAAAAATTAGCCAGGTGTGGCGACTGCCTGTAGTCCCAGCTACTCCGGAGGCTGAGGTGGGAGGAGGATTGCTTGAGCCTGGGAAGTCGAGGCTGCAGTGAGCTATGATTGCACCTCTGCACTTAAGCCTGGGTAACAGAGAGAGAGTGAGACTATCTCAAAAAAGAAAAAGAAATACCAGAGTTAATGAGTTCCTTTGCTTTCAGCTGTGGAGAAAAGACAACCATATTTAAAATGACTTGGAGAAATTATAAAGCTACCTTAAGGCTAGGCGCAGTGGCTCACGCCTGTAATCCCAGCACTTTGGGAGGCCAAGGCGGGCAGATTGCCTGAGGTCGGGAATTTGACACCAACCTGACCAACATGGAAAAATCCCATCTCTACTAAAAATACAAAAATTAGCTGGGCGTGGTGGCGCATGCCTGTAATCCCAGCTATTCGGGAGGCTGAGGCAGGAGAATCGCTTGAACCAGGGTGGTGGAGGTTACAGTGAGCCGAGATCGTGCCATTACACTCCAGCCTGGGCAACAAGAATGAAACTCAGTCGCCAGAAAAAAAAAAAAGCTACCTTAAGCTACTACAAAATTATTATGGGCTACAAACTGAACACCTAAGTCCTGAAAGAATTAGTAGCTGATAAGGGTAGATGAGGAACACTTGGAGAAAGCGAGGTCTAATTTGAAGCTAAAGTAAATGATGGTGAAGATGGAGTTGCAGGGCAGGGTGATATCTCATTGACCAAGGCACAGAAAATAAAATTTAATAAGAATCTGTGGTGATATTTTGTAGTTATGTACAACAATTTATATCTACAATATAAATGATATTTTTCTTTCTTTTTTTTTTTTTTTTTGGTTGGAGTCTTGCTCTGCTGCCCAGGCTGGAGTGCAGTGGTGTGATCTCGGCTCACTACAACTTCCGTCTCCCGGGTTCAAGAGATTCTCCTGCCTCAGCCTCCTGAGTAGCTGGGATTACAGGTGTGTGCCACTACGCCTGGCTAATTTTTTGTTTTGTTTTGAGACAGTCTCACTCTGTCGCCCAGGCTGGAGTGCAGTGGTGTGATCTCGGCTCACTACAACCTCCGCCTCCCAGGTTCAAGCAATTCTCTGCCTCAGCCTCCCAGGTAGCTGGGATTATAGGCGCCCACCACCACGCCTGGCTAATTTTTTGTATTTTTAGTAGAGACGGGGTTTCACCATGTTGGCCAGGCTGGTCTTGAATTCCTGACCTTGTGATCCACTCGCCTCAGCCTCCCAAAGTGCTGGGATTACAGTTGTGAGCCACCACGCCCGGCCAATTTTTGTATTTTTTAGTAGAGACGGGGTTTCACCATGTTGGTCAGGCTGGTCTTGAACTCTTGACCTCGTGATCCTCCTGCCTTGGCTTCCCAAAGTGCTGGGATGACAGGCATGAGCCACCGCGCCTGGCCATAAATGATATTTTTCAACTCTGAAAATAAGCTCTGGGGCCTATGCCCTGGGTCTAAAGGAAATCAGACCATAGACCACTTTTCAAATTACTCATCTCTTCTGTTATATTTTCATATCTTTGAACTGGATTTTTTTTTTTGACAGAGTCTCACTGTATTGTCCAGGCTGGAGTGCAGTGGCATGATCTCGGCTCACTGCAGCCTCTCCCTCCCAGGTTCAGGCGATTCTCCTGCCTCAGCCTCCCAACTAGCTGGGACTACAGGTGCCCACCACCACACCCGGCTAATTTTTTTCTATTTTTAGTAGAGATGGGGTTTCACCGTGTTAGCCAGGATGGTCTCGATCTTCTGACCTCGTAATCCACCCGCCTCAGCCTCCCAAAGTGCTGAGATTACAGGCGTGAGTCACTGCGCCCGGCCAACACCTGGCTAATTTTTGAATTTTTAGTAGAGACAGGGTTTCACTATGTTGGCCAGGCTGGTCTTGAACTCCTGACCTTGTGATCCACCCACCTAGACCTCTCAAAGTGCTAGGATTACAGGCATGAGCCACCGCACCCAGCTTGAACTGGATTTTGATGATACTTTTTTTTTTTTTGAGGTGGAGTTTCCCTCAGTTGCCCAGGCTAGAATGTAGTGACACAAAATTAGCTTGCTGCAGCCTTGATCTCCTGGGTTAAGCAATCCTCCCACCTCAGCCTCCCAAATAACTGGGACTACAGGTATGCCCCACCATACCTGGCTAATTTTTTAAATTTTTACTAGAGACCAGGTCTCACTGTATCATCCAGGCTGGTCTCAAACTCCTGAGCTCAAGTACTCCTCCCACCTCAGCTTCCCAAATTGCTGGGATTACAGGTGTGAGCCACCGTACCTGGCCCTTTTGATGATACTTGTTGCCTGATTTGGTGCATGGTGTGAAGGGAAGGGAGTGGGAGTGGATGTAGAATCAGGTGGAGAGTGTCAAAGATATATTGTAGCTTATTTGCCCCCAGGGACAATTGTAGTTTTGAGGCAGACTTGAAGAAGATAAGTGGGAACAGTGGAGAAGAAAGAAATCTAAAGTGGGGCATGAAACAGATCTTTTGGTTTATACACAGTCTCCTGGGAATGTACTCAACCAGCATCCCCTCTCCAGAGACTTTCCTCTGGGAGGGGGTGCCTAGGAAAGTCAGGTGTGGAGGATGCAGACTGTTCCTGCTAAGGCACTGCTCTAGAAACCAGCTGGTTTCTCAAGGTACCCACTTGACACAGTGGAACTAGAGTAAACTTTAATTCATTTTTCATGAAGCACCATCTGCATGCCGGTTACAGTGCTAGGTGTTATGGAGAGATGACCAAGACATACCTGCTCTCCTTAGGAAGCTTATATATTTTAGTGCAGGAGGACATTTTTTTTTTTTAATGAGAAATACCAGCCTGGATATTCCATAGTCCAAAGAGCGGCATCTTCTGTCTGTCACAGTAACTCTTTAGGGATATCATAAGGGCAGGTATATTTGTTTCCTAAGACATTCCCCTGAAAAGATTAGCAGGGTCTCCCACACATCATCAATCTCTCAGAGATAAATGTATCTAAATCCTTTTTGTTTTTCAAAACAGCTTGATTGAGGTATAATTTATAAACCATAAAATTCACCCATTACTCATGTATAATTCTATTCTTTATTTATTTATTTATTGAGACAGAGATCTCGCTCTGTTGCCTGGGCCGGAGTGCAGTGGCACAATCTTGGCTCACTGCAACCTCCACCTCCCAGGTTCAAACGATTCTTCTGCCTCAGCCCCCTAGTAGCTGGGATTACAGGCACCTGCCACCACACCCAGCTAATTTTTGTATTTTTAGTAGAGATGGGGGTGTCTCCATGTTGGCCAGGCTGGTCTCGAACTCCTGACCTCAAGTGATTCACCCACCTTGGCCACCCAAAGTGCTGGGATTACAGTCATGAGCCACCATGCCCAGCCTATTTTTATTTTTATTTTTTTGAGACAGGGTCTCACTCTGTCACCCAGGGTGGAGTGCAGTGGTATGATCATGGCTCACTGCAACCTCCACCTCCCAGGCTCAACAGATCTGCCAGCCGCAGCCTTCCGAGGAGTTGGGACTACAGGCGTGCACCACCACACTCGGCTAATTGTTGTATTTTTTGTAGAGACAGGGTTTCACCATGTTAGCCAGGCTGGTCTTGAACTCCTGGATTCAAGTGATCCTCCCACCTTGGCCTCCCAAAGTGGTGTGATTACAGGCGTGAGCCACCACGCCTGGCCGATTCTATTATTTTTAAGTGTATTTATAGAATTGTGCAACCATCACAACATTCTAGCATAGAAACATTCCCATCACCCCAAAGAGTTCGAAAAAGTGTCCATTGGCAGGTAATCCCTGCTCCCACCTCCAGTCCTAGGCAATCACAAATCTGCTTGCTCTCTCTATAAATTTGCGTTTCTGGACATTTCATATACATGGAATCATATAATATGTAGTTCTTTGCGCCTGGCTTCTTTCATTTAGCATAATTTTTTCAAGGTCGATTCATGCTATAGCAAATATCAGTAGCTTGTTCCTTTTTGTTGCTGAAAAGTACTCCATCTAAATCCTTTTTTTTTTTTTTTTTTTTTTGATACAGAGTCTTGCTCTGTCAACCAGGCTGGAGTGCAGTGGCGCGATCTCAGCTCACGGCAACCTCTGCCTCCTGGGTTGAAGCAATTCTCCTGCCTCAGCCTTCTGAGTAATTGGGATTATAGGCACGTACCACCACACCTGGCTAATTTTTGTATTTTTAGTAGAGACAGGGTTTTACCATGTTGGCCAGGCTGGTCTCGAACTCCTGACCTCGTGATCTGCCCACCTTGGCCTCCCAAAGTAGTGGGATTACAGGTGTGAGCCACCATGCCTGGTCCTAAATTCTTTTAGAAGTTATTTATGTTTTGAGGCAGCACTGAACGGGATCCAGAAGTCCTGGTCCTTTGCTTGTCTCTGATTTGCTGAATGGCCTCTGACAAGTCCTCCCCTTGTCTGGGCATCTGTTTCTAGGTCTGTAATGTGAGAGGCTGAATCACATATAGTTTCTACTGTTTCTTCCAATTGTTTGTTTAAAATCTACCTTGTATTTTTCTTAGAGTACCATTAAGTCCAATATTCTAGAGTTTTATTTATTATTTATTTATTTATTTATTTATTTTTTGAGACGGAGTTTCGCTCTGTCGCCCAGGCTGGAGTGCAGTGGCGCGATCTCAGCTCACTGCAAGCTCTGCCTCCTGGGTTCACGCCATTCTCCTGCCTCAGCCTCCCGAGTAGAGTAGCTGGGACTACAGGCGCCCGCCACCATGCCCGGCTAATTTTTTTTGTATTTTTAGTAGAGATGGGGTTTCACCATGTTAGCCAAGATGGTCTCGATCTCCTGACCTCGTGATCCACCTGCTTCGGCCTCCCAAAGCGTTAGGATTACAGGCGTGAGCCACCGCGCCCGGCCTATTCTAAAGTTTTAATGTCTCTGATCCTACATTTACCCTTTACCTGTTTGAAAACTTCCACCATATCATATATTGTCAAGGATGAGAATCTTCATTTTATTTTATTTATTTATTTATTTTTGAGATGGAGTCTTATTCTGTCACCCAGGCTGGAGTGCAGTGGCACGATCTCGGCTTACTGCAGCCTCCGCCTCCCGGGTTCAAGGGATTCTTCTATCTCAGCCTCCCAAGCAGCTGGGACTACAGGCGCGTGCCACCATGGCCAGCTAATTTTTGTATTTTAGTAGAGACGGGGTTTCACCATGTTGGCCAGGCCGGTCTTGAACTCCTGATCTCAAGTGATCTGCCCGCCTCAGCCTCCCAAAGTGCTGGGATTACAGGCATGAGCCACCACACCCAGCCAAGAATCTTCATTTTAAAAGGGCTGCCATTTAGCAAGGAAAGTAGATGGCCACTGAGAGCAAAAGGAGACTGAAGGGGTGAATGTCAGCCAGTCTGAATGAAGAAGGAACAAGTGAGAGAGCTAAGAAGACAGCATGTCGTGGGCCACAGCAAGGGACAAAATGAGTCAGAGAAAGTACTGAAGGTCAAAATCCAGGCCATCTGGCTACCCTGAGAGTAAGAGGGAAGGGACGCAGGGAGAGGGAGGCACCAGAGTGGGAAGAGATGCTGAGGGCTAGGACCCCCCTCCCTACTCTGTTCCCATAACCTCATTCATTCCCTCAACCCTCCTTCCCAATCCCTCTCAGGCTGCTTTGCTCCTTCAGTTCTGACCCCATTTCCTCAGGATCTTGTTCCCTGAGGAGCCAGTCCTGACATTTCAGACAGAGGCTGAGTAAAGGAGGTAGGTCGGAAAGAGACACAGTGTATCTGCGTCATCTTATTTTCTGTTTTATTATTTTGGAACTTGGAGTGGGGAGCAAAGACGTAAGCACTTAGAATTTACTAGGAAGTTCAGAGACCGTCTTCCAGGTACCAAGGAATACCAAGACTTCTCTAGCCCGCTGAATAATTGCTACTGGGTGTCATATTTTGAAGGGTAAAAATGGTGATTTGAAACTCCCATTCTTGTTGGTTCCTGTGGCATAAATGGAGGCACAGGGTGGAATTCAAGGTGCCCTGGATGTAGGCCCAGCGAGGTCCTTCAGGAGTGGAAAGTTCCTCTTGATTCAGTAGCCAGCAGGGTAAGGCTTCCCTGCTGATCCTCTGATCTGCCAGAAGTCCCCACAGCCTTTTGCCCTTGGTAATCTCTTAGACCCTTGCAGCTTTTAAGACTTGAAACCTCATAGGGACTGCTTGGGGAATGGCTATATCTCTGACTTACACCTGTAGGAAAAATAATGCCAATTCTCATTTATTTCTGACATTTAGCTGTGGACATCCCAAGAGCATGCTGCAGTCAACAGCATTTGCTGTTGGAAACCCATAAAGCAAATAAGTCTCTTATAGATTAAAAAAAATTATTGATACACTTAGTATCTATAATCTTCTACTTTTTTTTTTTATTATTATTTTTAGACAGTCTTGCTCTGTCGCCCAGTCTGGAGCGCAGTGGTGCAATCTTGGTTCACTGCAGCCTCCGCCTCCTGGGTTCAAGCAATTCTCTGCCTCAGCCTCCCGAGTAGCTGGGATTACAGGCACCTGCCACCATTCCCGGCTAATTTTTTGTATTTTTAGCAGAGACAGGATTTCACCATCTTGGCCAGGCTGGTCTTGAACTCCTAACCTGGTGATCCACCCACCTCGGCCTCCTAAAGTGCTGGGATTACAGGCGTGAGCCACCACACCCAGCCAATCCTCTACTTTTGATGTTTTTGAATGTCATCCTCTGACCCAAAGTCTCTGAAAGCAGGAACCAGGTCATGTATCCCAAATGAAATAGCATCTAGCCCAGGGCCACTTCTGCATACAGGCTTCAAGGCCTGCTGGCTTGTGAACTTCAGCATAGGGACAATGTCTCTGAACATTATTGTCATTCAGAGCTCAGTGCCTAGCTCAGTGTCTGGCACATAGTGTTCATTTCAATAAATTTGTGATGAGCTAATTAATTAATGGCGATGATGTTGATAAGCATGACAGTAAGGGCAGTGGCAAAGGTTTTGTTGCAAGTTAGATGCTTTGTAATGAATGCAAGTCATCTCCCCTTAGCAGTGCACAGCCTCCCCAAAGCCAAGGCTTCCTTCATTGGAGGAAGCAGACGGATTAATCTTCAGATGTAGTCCTTATCCTCCCATCATGCCCATGCCAGGAGAAGCTATCAGTGATAGAGAAGAGAATAAGAGACAGCTGGTTGGACATGATACCTAGTAAGGAGAGGACCAAATTGTCCTATGCATGCCTCCCTTCTCACTCCTCCAGCTAGGATCAACTTTAGTGTCTTGCCAGCAACTTATCAGGAAAGACCATGACTTTCTGGACTCAGAAGATCCATTTCTTTAGCTATACCACCTCCACTGCCTCTTTTTCTACCGTCCAGGTTCTTAATTTCTGGTACCTTGGCTTTGGAATAAAGTTTAAACACAGTATCCATGGAACCATGCACATTACTCCTCTCTCTGAGGGAAGGAAGCATCTGTACGATAATGTGTCGCCTTATTTTTAGAACAAGTCTGTGAGGTTGATGGAGCAGGGATGATTCTGGCACAGAGAGAGGAAGCCACTTACCCAAAGTGTTTCAAGATTCTCATCCTAGGGCTTTACTTCTAAACACACATTGTCTGGCTCAGCCAATAAAAACCACTCATCATCTCCTAAGATTGAGAATTTACATGTTGAGGGGTCCTAACACAGTATAAGTTGTCAGACAAGAAAAGCTTTCAAAAGACCAACTAGTCTACCTTTTGCCTCTCAGGCAGGACCAATGATCTAGAAGTTGAGTGTTGGTTGGGAAAGCATTGAATCTGGAGTCAAAAGACCAAGGATGTAAGTCCTAGGTCTGCCATTTACTAAGATGATCTTGGGCAAGTCACCTAGCCTCTGTAGGACTTAACCTCCTGAAGAATGAGGACAATAATATCTACATTTTCTGCCTTACATGCCTATTGTGATAATTAAATGAGATAATGTATGTGAAAGCTATAAAACACTAGACAGATGTTAATTTTAACATCTTAATCAGATTTGCATCTTTGGAGACCCTTTATGTAAGATGTGAACAGTAATCCTGTGTTCTTAAGAAAATTTTACACTCATAGAGATCAGGAGCTCAGCTCTGGAGTCAGGCTACCTGGGTAATCTTGGGCATGTTACTGTATTTCTCCCTGAAGTCTCAATGAAGAGGAAATAATACCCATTTCACAAGTGTGGTCTTGAGCAATAAATAAGATAAAGTATGCATGGTACTTAACATGTACCTAGCATGGAGAAAGGAATTCAATGAATATTCGTTGCTACCATTACTGATTTTATTAATGAAGATGTGAGGCAGGGTGGTTCAATATGATGTGTTAGAGATCTGAGCTAGGAATCAAAAGGACTCACTTCTTTGGACTTCAGTTTCACTACTTGTAACATGGTAAGAATCCATGTTTTTCCTTTTCCAGATTGTCATGAGGATTTCTTAAAAGTACATGAAGACTTTGAACTACTTGAAATTGAGGAACAATATAAATGCAAGATATCTTTTTTCAACTGAGTTAATTAATCTTATAAAGACTGAGTTTTTAATCAGTTCATCAATTTTTGTTTATTCTTCTCTGTCTTTGATTAGATTGTCCTCTTCATGGAAAAGTAGTACAGCATTTCTTCAATCAATTAAAAAAACAGTTCAAATGTCAGATCTTGAAGTAAATCCTTCAAAACTGCAAGAGTACACTCTTTGCAAAGAAAACCTTTCTTCGGTATGTTCCATTGCCTCAATTCATTCAGTGTATGTAGGCTAATTTTAATATTCAACCCACTCTTGAATTTCCACTTTGGGTATTATCTACTTTCAATATTTAATCCCAGAATGACTTCTCTTTGCCTCACAGCAGGCTCCCAGATTACCTCTTTTTCTCTGATTAGTTAGTATGGCTTCAGGGAATATCTTCTTTTTAACATTAAACTGGGCAAAAACAGAAATAGAAAGAAAAATCTGTAGCAAGATCAAAAATAGAATTCACAGCTAAATATAAATCTGGAGGGAATTATTCAATTATTTGAATGGTCCCCAATCACAGACAATCCAGGGTTGATTGACTTTTGCTTTTTCCATATGTAGAACAAAATGGTTAACAAATACCAAGAGTAATATTTTTTTTCTTTTGAAGCATAATACTTTTTAATAGTATCTTAAATGTTATTTTCTTTCCCAAATCCCTTTATATTATTATATCATGTGCTTTTCACAACTGCATGCATTCTCTTTGGGGACCTTCCAGTCTCATTCTGACTTGTAAGTCAGAGAGCATTGATCTTGGAAGACCAGGATTTGTTAACGGAGTCGCGGTGCAAACTTGGGCAAGTTTTTCAGTTGCTTTGTTCCTTTCACTCTGCTGAGCTAGACTTGGAGTGGACGACTCTGAAGGGAAATTCCCTGCTTCTTTTCAGAGTCCCAATTTAATTTACAGGCTAGCAATTGTTTTTTTAAGGTTGGATCAACACCAAGTAGGGACTTGGAAACGTGGAGAAAGACAGATGTAAGTGTCACACGAGGCAAGGTCGCCATTAAATACACAAATATAATGCAAATCACATGCAAATGATATGCAAACCTTGCATTAATTTGTAGGATCTTAGTTTGGAGCTTGTAAGTAGCACTGAGATCCTATAAGGATTTAAAACTAATGTTTTTTAGGTTAAATTAAATGTAATACTTTTTGAAGGTATCGCTTTCTCTGTGATTCAGGGACTCAACTGTGTAAAGTTTGACACTGCTCCCTACTCCCGCCCCCAAAAATTATTTCACTAGTGTTTGACTCCAACCTACACCCAGCGCCGCGCCCACTCTCCAGCTCAGCCTGACGTCACGTGACATTATATTTGCATACTACCTGGGACTGGGTGTGACGCTCCCCTATTCTGCGTCTTCTCATTGGTGGCGCTGGAGAACCAGCCCTCTTCTGTACAGGCCAATCAGCAGCCCCTGGGATGTTGGAAAACCGAAGGGGGCGGTGTGAGGGTGGGGTCTTGGCTTGGATCGCTAGGCTCATCGACCAATCATCCTCAGGAAAGGGAAGGCTAAGCTGTGGATTGGCTGGGGTGGAAGGTCTGGGTTTCCGCAGTCCAATGACAGCTCTAGGATGAGGGGGCCGGTCCCCGCCCCGTACAGCAGATAAGCAGCGGCCTCGGGGGTTGGGGGGCTGTGTGAGTCTCGCAGTGGGGCTGAGGCAGGCAGCCGGGAGAGCCATGGCGGGGGCCGCAGCGGGCGGCAGAGGCGGAGGTGCCTGGGGGCCGGGGCGCGGAGGGGCCGGGGGGCTCCGGCGGGGCTGCTCTCCCCCAGCCCCCGCCGGCTCCCCCCGGGCTGGGCTGCAGCCGCTCAGGGCCACGATCCCCTTCCAGCTGCAGCAGCCGCACCAGCGCCGGGACGGGGGTGGCCGTGCAGGTGAGCCGGGCCTGGAGCGGGTGCCGTGGAAGGAGCCATTGGGGGAGGGGGGGCGCGTGACCGCGGGAGGGGGACGGGGAGAAGTGTGAGGGGAAAGTGGATGGGGGCGAGGGAAGAGAAAGGGGGCGTTCAGAGTCTATGAGGGCGGAGGGAGCAAGAGCGAGGAGCCGTGAAACGTGGGGAGCACCGCTGGGACGGAGTGTGCGGGGAGTCGGGTCCCGGAGGTGAGGGGAGGGACCTGGCAGATGGAGGCTGGCTTTGGGGGCGTAACCGAAAAGTGGGCAGAGGTGTCGTGTGGGGTGAGTGGAAGATGCAGGGGGTGGGAGCGAGGCGTGAGGAGGAGTGGCGCGTGGTGGGGGCGCCCCGTGCGGATGGCTGGCGCTGGGAGCAGGAGTCGGTGGGCGCTGGACTATTGCACGGGGAGGGGGAGGGGCATGGAGTAGAGCCCCGTGCAGCCGTGTGTTACTTCTCCAGCTTGAGTTTGGCCCCAGCATCCCTCTCAACTGCGCTGGAGTTCCATTCTCCACCACTTCACGTGCGCTTCCCTTTATGCCACCTCCTGGAACTGATTTCATCTCAGCCCGCTGGACTAAGTTTAACGGCTTTTACCGTGGTGCAAATGCCCAGCTCCCTGCATTCTTCTCCCTGTGTCCCAGAAGTTGTACGTTCCCAGATTCTTGACCTGCTTAATATGGCTGTCTCATTCCAACCATCGTTTGTGTACGAGCGTGTGTGTGTGTGTGTGTGTGTGTGTGTGTGTGTGTGTGTAGCGGGGGGGAGACCTGGGCAGTTTTGCCCCCTACCTTTCTTTCTACTCCCTCCACCCCTCTACCCACCAAGGCTGTTTTGTCCGGGGCATTGCAGCCAACGTGGCAGTGGGGTGAGGGCTACAGTCAAGTGCATGGTGGCAAGTACCCCACTTTCTGAACAGCACTGAAATGGGTTCTTAATAACAGCTTGATGTGGTGGCTGTGGGGAAACTAGGGAGAAGCAAACTTAACCTTGCTTTGATACTCAAATCTGTGAGGATCCCACAAATGCAAGTACTTAGGAAGGGGAAAAGGAACCTACTTGCATGAGGAGGTTGGCAATAAGTTGAAAGTGAGGCTTGCATTTGATTCACACCAGATGTGAAAAGATCATTGCACACTTCCAAAGCCGGAGCCTCTACCAAATGTACAAAAATCATGATTCCTGCCGTCTTAACGGTTAATGACATTCTCTAAACCAGAGTCTCTTGAGCTTCTGATGATTACCAAGCCTAGTTACTGCACATCTCCTTCCTGCTTCTGCAGGGCTATTACAGAAGTAGTAGCTACTACAGGGCTACTCCTTGCTAGGTAGGAATGGGCTTAAGAGGATCTCTGAGATAGAAAGCCCCCAAGTCTTTCTGGACTTTTCACTGTATATGTTAGCATCACATCTTGGGATGCAGAAACTTGGTCAAATCTGGTAGCAAGATGGTGACCAAGTAGTAAAAGTATGTTTAGAATCCGGTGGTGTAGAGTAAGGCAATGCCCAGACTAACTCATGCCTATCATGAGTTATAAAGCAAACCACAAGACTACAAACCTGTTGGTTTTGTTTGGGCTTCCTTGAAACCCCGGGAAGTTGGTAGAACAAGAACCGGAACCTTAGTCACTTTTAGTGGAAAACAACAGAAAGCCTACCTGTATAGTAGCTGGAAACTGATTAGCAATCATTTTAAGATCAGTTATTTTGTGTCTATTATAGAACTAATATTAAAAGGACAATTGCTGGTGGATGCTGTGGAAGGGGGAAGAACGTAGGTTTGGATGTCTGGGTTCATTACATGGCCTGCTCCTTTTATAGAGCCAGAGGCCCTGGGATACTGGTAGAAATGTAGGAAGCTAGAGCTCTGCATAATTTGTCAGGTGATTTAAGGCAAGTTGGGTGGACTCTTGCTTATAGATTGGTCTGATCAATAATTTGTCCACCTATTAATATCTTAGAAGTGTTAATAAGGCATTCGCCTAGTTGGTAGTTGGGGGGATTATCTGTAGATTTTCAGTATGGCAGGAGAGGGGAAAAAATAGGAGAAGAAAGTGGCCAGGCATTAGGGGAATGTACCTGGCCTCTGTTTTGGAGGCACATCAGGGCTTTTATATGTTAACTTCAGCCCACATACGTGTTCACATTATTTCCATTCCTTGGCCTTGGAAAGCACCAGAGGTGGTTTTTTCTAGGACAGTAGAGTATATGGGATAAAAGGAAACCCCTTGTAGTCATAAACCTTTAAGAGATTGGCACTGGGAGCTGGAATGCCTGGGTTTTAAATCCAGGTTCTGCCATTTACTAGTTGTGTGGCTTTGAGGAAGTTCTTTCTGTGTCTTAGTTTCCTCATCTGTGGATAATAATATCTATATCATAAGAATTAAATGAGTTAATAGATAGAAAGTGCTTAAAACGTGCCTGGCACATGAGAAGTGCTATAAAAGTGTTTGCTGCTGCTTATATTATTATTCCCTCTGCTCGCCAAGGTGAGAGCACTGTTGGCCAGAGCCCATTGCCTTTTCAGGCTTCAAAGAGCAAACCCAGATTGATCTGAAACCAGTACTGCAGGTTTCAGAATTTCAGGGCCTCCTCTTGCATTTTTATTCCCTCATCTTTTAAAATGAACTTTCTAAACAGAGCTCTGAAACCCAGCTGTTTAAAAAGGCATGTGAGCTGTGACTGGGCTTCAGGAACAATTAAGGGTCGCCACTGTTTCTCTTGCCCATCTCAAAGTGATGTAACGCTCAGGGCTCTGCAGTTATCTCCCCACCACACATCCTGCTGTGTTCTTGACAAGATATATTAGACCTCGTGAAAAGGGTTATGGTGTAAAGAGCAGGATTTGCCTTCTGCAACCATTCATCATAAGGTATGTCTTCGTAAAATGAGGAATGGCTTCATTTTTATGAACCTGGGCTAGGAGTGAGGAAGGCTGAAGAGAGTGGAGAGAAAAATGAAAGATAACTCTAAAAAAGCTAAGAGCCATTATTGGGTAGTAGAAACCTAAGATAAACTTCTCACTGCAATTCTCCCTTAAATTAAATTCTCTTTTGTGTCTTAATGTCAGTTAGAGGCCGCTGACTTTTATACTCTTCCAGGACCATGATGAAGGACAAAATAGGACTAGGAGGTGAATTGTTCTGGGTTCCAGTCTTACCTATCTTGTTTAGCGTGTCTGTCTGTATGTCCCTAAAATGAAGATAATGTTTCATCTAGGTTTGCAAATTATTTCTCCAGTGGACCAGCCCCACTGGGACCAGCTGGGTGCTAGGGAAGCTAAATACTGCCTTGGAACCTCCTCTGACCACCAGAACCTTCTTTAACCAGGGATTGGCAGTTATGGTCTACAGGCCATATCTGGCCCTGGGCCTATTTTTGTAAATAAAGTTTTATTGGAACCAGCCACACTGCTTCATTTAAATATTGTCTAGGGCTGCTTTTGTGCTGTCGGTGGTGGAGTGAAGAGTTGTGATAAAGACTGTAGGGCTCACAAAGCCTAAAATATTTACTATATGTCACTTTACAGAAAAGTTTGCCAACTCTTGTCTCAAACAGTGTACCTGTTTTTCCTATATAAAGATCAGTTTCAAATGTGTGTAATATAAACCTCAGAAAATTCTAAGGGGGTAAAGAAAACGAACAAGCCTGTAGTCCCACTCTATTTTAAGGCAAAAGAAAAGAAGGTCACCTGCTTCCAGTCAGTTCTCAATCTTTGTAGAACATCATCATGTGTGAATCCAGCCTCTCCACCCCCACCATTGTCAGGTGATGTGTTCAGTAGACATAAGCTAATTTGAATTTATATAAAAGCTTAACTGTTAGGCAAATTTGCCCCCTCTCCTCTCTTAACCCATTTCCCCCAACCTGACAACCCAAAACTGCGGTGAACACATTTCAAAATCAGATGGAAATTACTTTAGGCTTATCTCCTGTTTTGAATTTTTCTCATTACCTTTTATTTTTGTGAACAGATTATGAAGAGCTGGCAGTAGTCATGGTTGCCCTAAAATATTGGCTTCCCCATGGGGATATAAGAAGGGTAATTTATATCAAATGTCGATTAGGTTCCCCAGGATGGCTGTTTCGTGAATACGAGGCTGCAGTGCTTATATTATTAAATTGTTAAACTCCTTTCTTTGCAATGCTTTGAAAACTTATTTCTTGGGGGATAGGTGTTTAGATAGGTCTGGAACCATAAAAAGGAGGTTGCATATTAGAGACCCTAAGAGAAAGCCCTCAGCAAACTGGTCCGTGTGGCTACTGGTGCCAGAAACAGCCTGGAGATTAGAAGAGATTTCCAACCGTTCTATGCCAAGGCATCATCTTGCTATAATGAGGCCTGGGGGTGCAGTTAAAACCCTTTAAGAGCTACAATTCCCCTTCTAAAACCTGTGATTGAGGCAGCTTCTGTTTGGGAAGCATTAAAACACCAGACACTTCCTAGCCCAACACTGCTAACTGTTGCTTTTGACAGCTTTGCCAGCACCAGGCACATACATGGTCAGCAAAATGCACTGCTGAAGCATCTGGCTCTTAAATGTTATCACCAGTGATGACATCCTTGAATTTGGGGACTAGCTGCTTAACTGCTTTATCTCTTTGGTACCCAAAGGAGTGTGAGTCCATGTGTTCTTCGGTATTTTGGATAGCAAAGGATTATATAGTACGAGAAGGTCTCACTTATATAACATAGAGCTAAGAGATCTTAAACCATTTGAGGTCAGTGTCAGAGGGGTGAGAACAACAGTGGGCTGTGATGGCAAGAGGACTTTGTTCTCTCACATTCTAGACATAGATAGATCTTTAGAAAGTTGCAAGCAGTAATGCAAAACTTTCATAGTGATGGTGCTAATTTGGGTGTTACCACAGTGGTTGGTGGGCTTTAATAGCCAAGAGAACACTATGCCTTTATTTTCTGCTGAATTCAGTTTATTTTGAATGGTGTGATGGGCATCAGGGCCACACTATTCCTTGATCTTAGAAGAACTGTTAGAGCATCTTCCTCCAGATTCTTAGATGACTCACATAGAGCCTTCCTGCTAAAGGATTCAGGCTTTTGGGTGTGGCATCTTCTGAGGGGCAGGTCTGGTTATGGAGTTCTTACTGACACTATCACGTTTGACTCTAGCTCAAGTGTTCTGACTAGACCTGCCTGGGCTTACCGTTACTCCACAGACAGTTTGGAGCCCTTTTATTTTATTTATTTATTTATTTATTTATTTATTTATTTATTTATTTTATTTTTTTTTTTTTTTGAGACAGTCTCGCTTTGTCACCCAGGATGGAGCGCAATGGCACGATCTCGGCTCACTGCAACCTCCGCCTCCCAGGTTCAAGCAGTTCTCCTGCCTCAGCCTCCCAAGTAGCTGGGACCACAGGTGCCCACCACCATACCCGGCTAATTTTTGTATTTTTAGTAGAGACGGGGTTTCACCATATTGGCCAGGCTGGTCTCAAACTCCTGACCTTGTGATCCACCCGCCTCAGCCTCCCAAAGTGCTGGGATTACAGGCGTGAGCCACCGCACCCGGCCTATTTATTTTTTGGAGACGGACTCTCACTCTGTCACCCAGGCTGGAGTGCAATGGCATGATCTCGGCTCATGGCAACCTCCACCTTCAGATTCAAGCGCTTCTCCTGCCTCAGCTTCCCAAGTAGCTGGGATTACAGGCACGCACCACCATGCCCAGCTAATTTTTTTGTATTTTTATTAGAGACGGGGGTTTCACCATGTTGGCCAGGCTGGTCTCCAACATCTGACCTCAGGTGATCCACCTGCCTTGGCCACCCAAAGTGCTGGGATTACAGGCGTGAGCCACCACACCTGGCCCTGGAGCCCTTTTAAAGCAGTGGAAAGGAAAACTTTGGGTGTCGCTCCCAGTTCAGAGCAAAGGTAGATGCTCACTAGAGAGTGAGTTAGTGAGAGTGGACAGTCTCTTCTTGGGTTAGTAAGCTCTGCCATCCTTTGAGATGCATGTTACCCTTCTTTGTCACAGAAGTGGGAACAGGGAAGAGTGGAAGCAAAGAAAGGATGGGTGGGAAATCTGGTCAGTTTCCCCCCTTCGTCTAGGTTCAATCTTCACAGAGGGCTCCATTATTTGGTTTGCAGGGTATGAATTAACCAAACATTAGCCAAATCTACTCACATTATTAGGTCAAAAACAAATCCTGATCTCAGGGAAGAGTTGTGGATGATATTTGAAATTTCTAAGTTATCTGTGCCCCCATTTTCTCCAGTCGTGTGGAGCTCATGAAGGGGCCGTTGTTGTTGGCAACAGCTGGATGGTGGGAGGTTCTCGTAACAGCTGGCTGCTAGTGTTCGGGCTCAGCTTGTGGTCCCCACCAAACCTCCTGGTTTGGAAAACTCTGCCTGGCACTGTGCTTTCCCCTCAGGGTCACTACAAAGCTGAATGCCAAGCCTTGCAGTCATTTAAATGCTTCCCCTCAGGCCCACATATGCCTTGATCGACCCTTACTGTGTGGGAGCACTGCAGCTAATCAAGGGTGGCTTTAATGAACTTAAAAGAATGCTATCCAAGTATTTCATAATAGAAAAACTTCAAGTCCAGGCCCTGGGGGACCTGGAACTGAAGTCCAGGCCATGTACAGACATTTACCCTGCCCTGCTCAGGCATACAGGTTTGTGGATTTGCTCAGGAGCCCCCGAGAGTTGCTGGGGGGGTGGAGGACAGATGGAGTGCCTTTAGCTCAGCTCTGCCTACACATTAGCAGTTTGAGCTCCCAGCTCCCCAATAAAAGGGGTGGAGGCTGGGGGAGGCCTGGGAAGACTCGGAGGGTTTTGGTTGCTCTGAAGCAGCTGGCCTGTGATCAAGGGTTGAGGAGTTTTCTCTCAGAGACTGTCTGAATGTGGCTTCTTAGAGGATGGATGGTATTTGACAGAACAAAGCTGTAGGTTTGGGGTGCCTCCTCTTTCTCTCTCTCTTTTTTTTTTTTTTTTTTGAGGCAGAGTCTCATTCTATAGCTCAAGCTGGAGTGCAGTGGCGTGATCTCAGCTCACTGAAACCTCCACCTCTCTGGGTTCAAGCAATTCTCCTGCCTCAGCCTCGCAAATAGCTGGGACTACACAAGTGTGCCACCACGCCCAGATAATTGCTGTATTTTTAGTAGAGATAGGGTTTTACCATGTTGGCCAGTCTGGTCTCGAACTCCTGACCTCAAGTGATCCCCCTGCCTTGGCCTCCCAAAGTGCTGCGATTACAGGTGTGAACCACCACGCCTGGCCTTTGTCTCTTTTTTTTTTTTTTTGAGAGATGGGGTCTTGCTTCATCACCCAGGTTGGAATCCAGTAATGCCATCATAGCTCACTATAGCATCCTGGGCTCAAGCCATCCACGGGGTGCCTCCTTTCTGACTCTGAACTCTCTATCTTGTAAATGAAGGATCACTTTTCCAGGGAAGCCATGTTTGTTAGGGGGCAGCCTAGTTCACCCCGAGCTCTGCCACTTGAGTCTCTTATTATCTGATCCTAAATGAAGACATGCAGGAGAGCACCAAGGTATTACCTCCTCAAAGGTCAAAGGAAGGATTAATGTGCAACTCTAAAAGTAGATTGCTAACACATCCATAAGTGAATAAAATATAAATTCAAGCTGGAGTAGGCAAAGAATGAAGAAATACTCAGTGTTTGGTGAGGTTAATTAGAGAAAACTACTGGGATGTTTTGAATAGGCTTTAAAAAAAAAGTGTCAATATATTATTCTCCCTAAGGTTAAATTAAGTTTTTACTCTCTCCTTTCCTTTCCCTTTCAAAAGTGACATTGTTTCGCCTTGTCTAGTCAGCTATATTCCTTATTTTTCTCAAACCTCTTGAGTCCCTTCTGCCGTATACTGGAAATTGTGTGCCTGCCTTTTTAAGAGTAGGCACCTCACGTTTCAAGTTCAAGTGCAATGGAACTCACCCTGCAGCTTGAACAGATTTGAGTGTTTTTGCAGAGGGAGGACCAGGGCAGATGGGGAGTGTCATGCTCAATAAATACTTGTTGGATTGAGTTGCTGGGAAGGCAGCAGAGTGGGGAGAGTAAGCCACACCTCCCCCAGGCTCACTCAGAATGGTCTTTCCCACTTCTGGTCCCCACATACTGTTCCCCCTCTATAATACCTCTCTTCAGCTACTTACAAGGCAAAACCCCCCGAAGTGTTAGTATTCTCTCTTTCTTTAAATCACTGGTCTCCTATTCATCCTGGTCATTGGGCTTGAAGCCCAGTTGGTGGCAAAGACGTGGCATTTCCATAGATGTCATTGCTAGGCCTGTAGGTTCTTTTCCCAACACACTTATAGCTAGAGGGTGAGCTTGGGCAGTTACCAGGTCGATCCATGGAAACAGCCAATGTGTAGGATTTTGTTATGATTTTGTTAAAAAGCCAGACTGCCTGGCTTTAGGCTTTGAAGTGGATATGGTGAGAGGCCAAGGAGACCAAGATGAATGCTAACTGTCTTTTCACTCCAGGTAGATTTTTGCCAACTTCCTAGTAGTGTTCTGTGTAGCAAGAAGATGGAGGAAAACAAAATCTGGATCAGTGGCTTTTCTAGGCCAAGGAGGAGAATTATCTGTTGGCCCTAGGATGGCTTCAGAGGTGTGATCAGGCTGAAAGCGCCCCTCTCCCAAGCCAGCCACCATCCTGTGATAGCAGGCACTGCTATTTCTTCTCCCACCAACCACCAGATAGGGAAGTGCAAGAAAGAGATGCTTGTTACCACTTCGCAGGCCCTGGACACTTACACTGTTGTCCACAGAGTCTGTGTTCCTTGCCTTGAAGGCTGCCAACCATGTGTCTGGTGGCTTAGTGAAAATGGCTTTTTTTTTTTTTTTTTTTTTTGAGACGGAGTTTCACTTTTGTTGCCCAGGCTGGAGTGCAATGGTGCGATCTCGGCTCACCACAACCTCCACCTCCCGGGTTCAAGCGATTCTCCTGCCTCAGCCTCTCGAGTAGCTGGGATTACAGGCATGTACCACCATGCCCAGCTATTTTTGTATTTTTAGTAGAGATGGGGTTTCTGCATGTTGGTCAGGCTGGTCTCGAACTCCCGACCTCAGGTAATCCACCCGCCTTGGCCTCCCAAAGGGCTGGGATTACAGGTGTGAGCCACTGCACCTGGCCGAAAACGGCTGTTTTAACCTGCCCAGCTGGGTGTAAGTTTGAACAGAGTGAAAATGTGATTGGGAGCATAGGCAGCTTCTCTTATCCCCTCTTCCCTCCCCTTCTTCTCCTCTCTACCCCACACTCCCTTCCCTTTAAGAGTTTGCTGTGCTTGGCCGGGCACGGTGGCTCACGCCTGTAATCCTAGCACTTTGGGAGGCTGAGGCGGGTGGATCATGACGTCAGGAGATCGAGACCATCATGGCTAACACAGTGAAACCCTGTCTCTACTAAAAATACAAAAAATTAGCCGGGCGTGGTGGTGGGCTCCTGTAGTCCCAGCTACTTGGGAGGCTGAGGCAGGAGAATGGTGTGAACCCGGGAGACAGAGCTTGCAGTGCGCCGAGATGGCGCCACTACACTCCAGCCTGGGTGACAGAGCGAGACTCCATCTCGAAAAAAAAAAAAAGAGTTTGCTGTGCTCTGTGCATGTCTGGTCGCCCACGTGGCTTTGGGAAAACCACTCCTGATAACACGTGCACTCCCTGCCCCACAGCTGCAGGCTGGTGGAAAACTTGCCACACAGCCCCTGTTTGGGGATTGTCTTCTTAACTCCTGCCCATCAGATATGACATAAGCCAGGGGTGGGGTTGGGGTGGGAGTGGATAGCATTTGGCATGATAGAGGGGATGCAGCCAGAGGGCTTTCACAATATGACATAGTCTGGATTTAGCAACTGGGGAGAGAAGGGCTATGTGAACCACATCCATGGGGGGTGTGCACATCTTAATGCTGAGAGCAGCATCTGGACTCTTTCTTATTGGAATCTGGAGTAGTTCCGTGTTCACAGAGGAAGACAAAAACAGTTGCTTCTGTAGAAAGAAAGAGTCTCTGAATCTCAACTCTAAGAGGCCCAAAAATTCACCTGTATTTTTCAGGGAAATGGAGAATATAGATAGCATTAGGTTTTTTGTTTGTTTGTTTGTTTGTTTTTGAGACAGAGTCTCACTCTGTTACCCAGGCTGGAGTGCAGTGGCACAATCTCTGCTGACTGCAACCTCCACCTCCCAGGTTCAAGTGATTCTCCTGCCTCAGCCTCCCAAGTAGCTAATTTTTTTATTTGTGATAGAAACGGGGTTTCACCATGTTGGCCAGGCTGGTCTCGAACTCCTGACCTCAGGTGGTCCAACCGCCCCAGCCTCCCAAAGTGCTGGGATTACAGGCGTGAGCCACCGTGCCTGGCCTTCATTAGTTTTGACAATATGTTCCATTTGTTTAGCTCTGTGGTGCTTCTGATGGGAACTCTCAAATGTTTTCGTGCATCTTCACAACAGTCCTGCAGGTGCAGGTGGCATTTCATTGTTTTTGCAGATAAGGAAACTGAGGCCCAGAAAGGAAGTTCTTGTCCAACACCAAATGACTAATAAACCCCTTTTGCTTAATTAGGCAAAGGGCATTTCCCACATATGCAGAAAAAGTCCGTTGTGAATTTTGTCTCAGGCTGGCATCCACTGCCACCTGCCCAGCACACCTCCAGCATTTGTTTCTTCTATGTTTATATACCTGTATTCCAGGAGCAAAGATTCATTTGTTAAGCTAAGCAAAAGAGAATTGGGGCCGGGTGTGGTGGCTCACACCTGTAATCCCAGCACTTTGGGAGGCCGAGGCGGGCAGATCACTTGAGGTCAGGAGTTTGAGACTAGCCTGGCCAACATGGTGAAACCCCATCTCTACTAAAACTACAAAAATTAGCAGGGTGTGGTGACACCTTCCTTTAGTCCCAGCTACTCGGAAGGCTAAGGTAGGGGAATCACTTGAGTCCAGAGGCGAAGGTTGCAGTGAGCTAAGACTGCACCACTGCCCTCCAGCCTGGGTGACATAGTGAGACTCTGTCTCAAAAAAAAAAAAAAAGAATTGGAAACTGGGCTGCAAAGAAGTCCGTTTCTTCCTTTAGCACCCCAAGGTGACTATCCACACCATAAATACTCACTTGGTGTGAGTAGTTGGAAGATGATGGTTACTATTAATACATTATTATGTGTGTGATATGGTGGCGGCTTTTGAGTGTTTCCAGCTGGTTTGAGATATGCCATTTCCATGTAGAATGAGTGGCTAACCAGGGACAGATAGGACATAGGAGGCAGACCAGATTTTTCTGCCTCTGTGGGGTGGTCATGGTTACTGAGCTTGGGGCAAGGCCATGTTAGGGAGACATGCGAAGATGGATCTTACAGGAAAAGGATTCTTATGTGTGATGATGTGAAACCCAGAAAAGCACCTGGGAATACATGTGGGTGATGCGTTCCTATGGCAGGGGTGGGGGTAGATGCAAGTGGCATTGTGCCATAATAGCTTAGTCCTCTCTGTAAGGGACCCCTGGTGTAACCATCCCCCTACTTCTAGTGGGAAAGAAGCCTGGGGGGCGCAGGATCTGTCTGAGCATGTCTCCCTCTCCTAGCTTTAGGTTAACTGAAAGTGGAGTCATTGTAATGTATGATAGTGCTCTTCCGAGACAGGCATGTGCCCAGTAAGGGAAATAGCAAGGCCTTAAACTCTGGGAGAAAGCTCCATCTAGGGACTATGTATCACGGATAATTGACTTCTTGGAGGTTATCTAACCCTCCCAAGTAGATTACAAGCCACTCTTACCTCCAAAGCATACTCTGTATAGAATTTTTTTTTTTAATAGAGATGGGATCTCACTATGTTGCTCAGGCTGGTCTCAAACTCCTGGGCTCAAGTGATCCTCCTGCCTCAGCCTCCCAAAGTGCTGGGATTGCAGGCGTGAGCCATTGCATCTGGCCTAGAAGTCTTTTTTTTTTTTTTTTTTTTTTGAGATGGAGTCTCACTCTGTTGCCCAGACTGGAGTGCAGTGGTGCAATCTTGGCTCACTGCAACCTCCATCTCCCGGGTTCAAGCAATTCTCCTGCCTCAGCCTCCTGAGTAGCTGGGATTACAGACACCCGCCACCATGCCGGCTAATTTTTTTGTATTTTTAGTAGAGACAGGGTTTCACCATTATTGGCCAGGCTGGTCTCAAACTCCTGACCTTGTGATCTGCCCACCTCAGCCTCCCCAAGTGCTGGGATTACAGACGTGAGCCACTGTGCGTGGCCCAGAAGTCTTTAATATTCTAATAACCATATGCTGTGTGAAACCTTTCTTTCTTGTTTGTTTATTTATTTATTTATTTATTTTTGAGACCGAGTCTCACTCTGTTGCCAGGCTGGAGTATAGTGGTGCAATCTCGTCTCACTGCAACCTCTGCCTCCCTGGTTCAAGCGATTCTCCTGCCTCAGCCTCCCGAGTAGCTGGGACCACAGGCGCATGCCACCATGCCCAGCTAATTTTTGTATTTCTTAGTAGAAATGGGGTTTCACCATGTTGACCAGGATGGTCTCGATCTCTTGACCTCGTGATCCACCTGCCTGGGCCTCCCAAAGTGTTGGGATTACAGGTGTGAGCCAGCGCGCCCGGCTTTTTTTTTTTTTTTTTTTTGGAGACAGATTTTGCTCTTGTTGCCCAGACTGAGTGCAATGGCGTGGTCTCACCTCACTGCAACTTCCGCCTCCTGGGTTCAAGCGATTCTTCTGCCTCAGCCTCCCAAGTAGCTGGGATTACAGGCACACACCACCACACCAGGCTAATTTTTGTGCTTTTAGTAGAGACAGGGTTTTGCCATGTTGGCCAGGCTGGTTTTAAACTCCTGACCTCAGGTGATCCGCCTGCCTCGGCCCCCCAAAGTGCTGGGATTATAGGCGTGCGCCATTGTACCCAGCCGAAACCTTTCTTTCCTACTTATTTCCCAACTTCACAAGGTAAAATCCCATTACAACAAATATTACAAAAATGCTTCTGTATGATAAAGCTGTTTCCATGGTTCATATAAATGCTTTGTTGTTTTTTGTGGGGTTTGTTGTTTTTAAAAAAGTAGTAACTAATAATCTTATATACCAAGCACTTTTTCTGGTACCTGTTCGTGTAATAGCTCATCTTTTTTTGAGATGGAGTTTTGCTCTTGTTGCCCAGGCTGGAGTGCAGTGGCACAATCTTGGCTCACTGAAACCTCTGCCTCCTGGGTTCAAGCGATGCTCCTGTCTCAGCCTCCCAAGTAGCTGAATTACAGGTGCCTGCCACCATGCCGGGCTAATTTTTGTATTTTTAGTAGAGATGGGGGGTTTCACCATGTTGGCCAGGCTGGTCTCGAACTCCTGACCTCAGGTGATCTGCCTGCCTTGGCCTCCCAAAGTGCTGGGATTACAGGCGTGAGCCACCATGCCCGGCCAGTAATAGCTCATCTCTAAAGCAGGAACACCTGAGTGCTTGCTGTTTGCATTGTTGGCAAAGAAAAAGGAACAGAGCTGTGGAACCATCACCAAATAGCATGCCTCCTTCGCTTTCTCTTCATCTTGATCCTCCCCTCCTCCAGTAGTTCCCTGTTCTTTTCAAATAGAACACCACACAAGGAAACTCAATGAAGGAAAGTGTGTGTGTGTGTGTCTGCATGTGAGTATCTGTCTTGCGTGTGGACATGTGGGCGTGTTTGAGCATGTGTAAGAAAAAGTGCATGTGAAGAAAGCAAACAGTAAAGCAAATGGGGCAGCTGTTAATAGGCGAATCTGTGTAAAGATTATATGAGTGTTCTATGTACTGTTCTTATTCTTGCATCTATAAATTTGAAGTTATTTCCAAAGAAGATACTTAACACATGGATATATGTGAGACTAATTTGACTGCACTAGGAGTTCTCTGGAATGGAAATTTTCTTCTACATCCTGATAACATATCTTACTCTCCCCATTTAACAGATGGAACAACTGACACCCAGAGAAGTTAAGTGATCAGTCTGAGTTCACATAGCACATTGGGGTGGAAGCAGGATGTGAGCCCAGGTATTGACCGTTATAGTAGGCCACCTCTTAGGAGACCATAGCTGGTCCTTACTACTCTAGCTGGACCAGGTTGGCATCAGATTCTGAGAGCTGATTGGGTGCCCACTGCCGTGTGTCCCAGCCCAGTCCACGCCTCACATTGACCCAGCAGTGGAGTCAGCAGGGTTGCAGCTATATATATGCTGAAGCACACTGAGCATATTCAGGATGGCCAGGAACTTTCTAGAGAAAGTGCTTCCTTAGACTAAGAAACACTCTCACTGTGTTCTGCCCTCAACAATCTCCATTTTTTTTTTTTTTTTTTTTTTTTGAGACGGAGTCTTGCTCTGTCACCAGGCTAGAGTACAGTGGCGCGATCTCGGCTCACTGCAACTTCTGCCTCCCAGATTCAGGCGATTCTCCTGCCTCAGCCTCTCGAGTAGCTGGGACTACAGGCGCGTGCCACCATGCCCGGCTAATTTTTTGTGTATTTTAGTAGAGATGGGGTTTCACCATGTTGGCCAGGATGGTCTTGATCTCCTGACCTTGTGATCCGCCCACCTTGCCTCCCAAAGTGCTGGGATTACAGGTGTGAGCCACTGCGCCTGGCCTTCATTTCTTAAAATACATGAAAATGGAAGGCCCTGCTGCACCAGAGCCATGAGGGACTATTACCTCATATATATATAGTCGAGATCTGAGGGAAAAAGGAGTGGGTTTGGTTTACAAAGTGATGCCAGGTATACGCCTAGGCCAGAGAGCTTTCTTCTGCTACGTACCAGTCGATTGTTTGTACCCACCGCCTTGTGAGTGAGCAGGTTGCGTGGTTCAGTGCAGCACATTGTATCAAGTAGGTCAGGAGTTACAACTTCATGCACAAAGAGATGGCTCATTTTTAGTCAGTGAAAACCTTTCATTAACCACAGGGCCCAAGGAGGGGTGGATCTGGTAATCATTGCTAAGCAGACAGAGCTAGAGGTTCAGACACTGCCGCTTGTGTGCCGGCCCCTTTCCTCTCACACCAAACCACATGTTATGCACCTGTTTGTACTCCTTGAAGGCCCTTGAATTATTCTTGTCATTTTTGCTTACTGATGTTTTCCCCCAGCTGTCAGAGTTGGGGGTAAGTGAATGAATGTGTCCCACTCAAATTCTTAACATAGAGAAAACATTTTCCTGAAAATCTTTAGTTTTAGAGTGCATCCTTTATCTGAAATGCCTACCTGTAGGTACCTTAGACTTAATTAATCCTGACCATGGTTAAGTTGTCATCAAAATATTTTTTTTCAGGGGCCCAGCTAGTTGTATGAAATAGATCCATGAGCACTTACTATATTGTTACCCCAGCTTATATACTTAGATTTTTTGTCCTTAGGCAGTGATGAAGTTATACACACTGCCCCCACCATTCTCTTGATTCCTCAGGCTCTTTCCTCCTCTAACGTAAGTTTCCGGTAGTGGCCAACCAGAATCAGGGCAAGATGCAGGAGGATGCGAAGAGGCTGCCCTCAAATTCCTGTTGGGTTGTCTGAAGCTTAGAGGTGTGTGTTGGAGCTGCTGTGCAAATGGCAATGCTGTCTGCTCAGAGAGGACCATCATAACTGAGCCTGGACCTTCTAGTTCTTGGAGGTTTGGTTAGGACTTATTGGTAATTAATGTACCAATGTTTCCCTGGATCAATTTTTTGCTTCATGAGGTTAAGCCTTTTTACTTAAGTATAAAAGAAGGTGACATTACTGTTAAGCATCCCTGATTTCAGAACAGATCTAAAGCCCATCATATACAGGGGAAGAGGCTATAACTTACCTTCCAGTGGTGTTGCCACCCACTCCTCTGCATCTGGAAGCACAGGAGAGGCGACCTCATAAGTATCCTTCTGATATGAAGCTGTCAGCATATATTGAGGGTAGGAGGAATCTTTCCAATGTGATATCTTCAACACTCTTTCTGGAAGGGCCATCTAATCTTGCTTTTCAGACTAGGTTTACCCTGGAGGCACTACATAACCTTTGAGCTTCCCTTAGGAAATCTGAACAACCAGCAAGACCAGGGCTTCAAAACAAGGTCTGCCCTGGAATGTTGCCCAGTGCACTTTGGGGTTCTTTCACAGCTAGAGCTCAGCATGGGAATTTGCCACTGATTTGAGGTTTGTTCCAAAATATCAGGGCCCGGGCAGGGAACCACTAGATGGGATGTTGTGGTCTCTAAGGTATCTCCCCTTTTTGAAGCTGGGGGCATGAAGTAGATAGAGCTTGACTAAGGAGTTGGAGATGATCAGAGAAGACTTTCTGCAAGTGGGTTGAGATGGTTCACACAGATTTTCAAGGATGCGGGGGGTAGAGAAGAACAACTCTACTAGGATCTTTGATCCTGAAGGCAGAGCAAATTCTATTACTGTGACCTTTCTAGCCCTGAGGAACTTGAATAGTTCCTTATAAGTGCCCCCCAACTTCCTCCCCATAGCCCAGAGCAAAATGAATCAGTCAGGGTTAGGAGCAGAGGGTCCTGACAGAGTCCAACCTAGTGAGCTGTAGCGAGAGAGCAAACCTGCCCTCTGAGTGTTCATGTCTACTTGATGGTTACTCCCAGCTTGCCCAGTCATGTGACCAGACTTCTGCTTGTGGCTAGCCACAGGTAAACTGAGTGCTATTTATATTCTCCTGTGTGGTAGAGGAGGTGGGAGAGATCATCTGGGAGCCCACAACACAGCTGTTTGATCAGCCTAGGTAAGGCAAATCTTCCTTTGAATTTGTGCCTTTTTTTTTTTCTACTTATCTTGCCCCAAGTAATAGCATGGGTTCTGAGCTTTCAATTTAGCTGATTGATCAGTAGCCATCTCTTATTTACCCTTTAATAGTTGGGGAATTCTAGAACTAGAGGAGGCCCAAACTCATCTGCGTACAGTTTCCTGTCTTCAAGGGTAAATAACTGAGACAGCTGGGGACGTGTAATGATCTCTTCCTGGGGCTGTTCAGAGGCGGATTCTAGCCACCCTCATTCAACCTTTTATCTATCTAGCTAGACTCCCTCTTATTCTAACTAAAGCCTTTTTACTGTCCTTCATGTTTGCACCTGCAAGGAAGACTACCGATAAATTCTAATTCATTTTCCTTCCCCCTTGGGATCAAGCTACCCTCCGTTTAGCTGTTTTTACCTCTGTCTCTGGGATCTCTCTGGTTTCTGCATTCCTTTTGAAGAGCAATCATGACAAATGGATGCCGAGGGGCCACTTGGCTGTGTATATCTGAGGTTATATCCCACTCCAGCCATGTTTCTGGACTTATAGGAAGCTCTTAATTCTGCCTATAGTCTTGGTCTTGCTCCTGGGATGACATGACACTTCTTAATTTAGTTTAGTGTCTCTTTCACTTAGTATCTTGATTCTACCTTGCATTAACTTACATCTTGTGAGTTTCAGTTCCTTGCCTCAGCCTTATCCATGCTTTTATTCCTTGCCTACCTTCAGTCCCCCAAATTAGAAGTCTAGTGACCCAGTTGAATTTGGCTATAACCTGCCAATGTTGAAATGCTAAAGGGTTTAGGTCCTTTCTGAGGAGTGATTTGAATTTGTCTTCCTAAATGAAGCCAGTATTTTTTTTTTCTTACAACTTTATTTTGGAAAATTTCAAACCTACAGAAAAGTTAGAAGCACAATGTCTACCTATTTATCTTTCACCTAGACTCATTGATAACTTTTGCCACAATGGTCTTATCTCTCTTTTCTCCTTCTGTTTATGTATATGTGTGTCTAGACATACCCACATATGCACATATATACATCCATATGCACTTTTTTGGGTGCACAATTTGACAGTAAGTTGCAAATATCATGACATTTGTCACTTCATAACAGTGGCATCTCCTGAGAATAAAAACATCCTTCTCCATAATCATAATACCATCATTATACCTAATGAAATGACATCATCTATGAGGTTGGTACAAAAGTAATTGTGGCTTTGCCAAAGGCAAAAATGGACTAGAGATGTCATTTAGTCCATTTTCAAATTTCCCCTTTGATGGCTCTTTTGTTTTTGATCAGAACCCAGCCAAAGTCCCCTTTTGGTTATGTCTGTTTTAAAAGTCTCTCAATCTGGAACTACTTCCCATTCCTGTTTCTTTGTTTTGCTGTATTTGTTTTTTGAGACTAACATTTTGAAAACATGTCAATTGTCTCTGGTTGTCCCACACTGGATTTTTCTGTTTCCTCATGGTGGTATCTAACTTGCTCCTCTATCCCCTGTATTTCCTGTAAATGGGAAGTTAGATCTGGGGCCTGATTAGATTCAGGTTAAACATTTCTGACAAGAACATCTCATGGATAAAGCTATGTACTTCATAAAATGTCACTTTAGGAGATACATAATGCCAGAATGTCCACTGCTAGTCAGGCTCAGTTGGATCACTTGAGGTGGTATGGTAGCCCCCAGGCTATAAAAGTACATTATTCTCTTTGTAAGTGGTTTCTGGATAATACTTTGGGATTATATAAATCTTCTGTTCCCTATGACCTTTGGCCCAGTGGTGTTGGCATCTGTTGACAACTCTTCCTGATAGAGATATTACTCTGGGAGTTGCATAAAGCCAGTTCTGAATTAACACTAATAGATGTGAGTGTTGACATGAGCAGTTCAAAAGAAGAATAACCAAAAAATTGTCTTTTGGCCTTTGAAATCACTGGAGGGAAGGCAACAAAATGGGGCCATCAAATTCTGTCAACGTTTGTAGGTTTTTAACTTGAGTATCAGTTGCTAAAACATATACCATCAGCCCTCTGTATCTGTGGGTTCTGTATCTGTGAGTTCTACCAACTGAGTATTAAAAATACTTGGAAAAAATTGTACAGACTTATTTTTTCTTGTGTGTGTGTGTGTTTTTTTTTTTTTTTTTTTTGAGACAGAGTCTCGCTCTGTCTCCCAGGCTGGAGTGCAGTGATGCGATCACAGCTCACTGCAGCTTTGACTTCCTTGGCTCAAGCAATCTTCACACCTCAGCCTCCAGAGTAGTTGGGCCTACAGGCACATACCACCAAATTTTAAAATTGTTTAAATTTTTTGTAGAGATCTGGTCTCTTTATATTGCACAGGCTGGTCTCAAACTCCTGGGCTCAAGTGATCCTCCTGCCCCAGTCTCCCAAAGTGCTGGGATGACAGGTGTGAGCCACCATGCCTGGTTTCTTGTCTTGTCATTATTTCTTAAATAATACAGTACGACAACTATTTATATAGCATTTACATTATATTAGGTATTATAAGTAATCTAGAGAGAAAGTGTGGGATTGCAGGGAGGCCAGGCAAGGTGACTCACACCTATAATCCCAGCACTTTGGGAGGCCAAGGCAGGAGAATCGCTTGAGCCCAGGAGTTCAAGACCAGCCTAGGCAACATAGGGAGATCCTGTCTTTACAAAAAATTTAGAAATTAGCTAGGCAAAGTAGTTCTCACCTGTTGTCCCAGCTACCCGGGAGGCTGAGGTGGGTCATGCCTGTAATCCCAGCACTTTGCAAGGCCAAGGATGGAGAATCACTTGAGCCCAGGAGTTTGAGGTTGCAATGAACTATGATCATGCCACTGTACTCCAGCCTGGGCAACAGAGCAAAAACCTGAATCAAAAGAAAAATAAATAAACAAATAATAAAGTATTCGGGAGGATGTGCATAGGTCATATGAAAATACTACACTATTTTATATGAGGGACTTGAGCATCCATAGCTTTTGGTATCTGCAGGAGGTCCTGAAACCAATCCCCCATGGATACCGAGTGATGACTGTATGCTGCTGTCTGGCAGTTTGTTTTAAGTTAGGGAGAAGGCAAGCTGAATGGAGCCAAAAATAAGTCATGGTTTGTTCATAAAGCAGAAATTATTTTGATTATCCGAAAGTTATCTCTAATCCTGTTCTGATTTCCTTTTCCTTCTTTCACTTGCTTTCTACCTTCCTCACTGGAAAAGGGACGCCCCCCCCAACCTTTTTTTTTTTAAGACAGGGTCTCACTGTCACCCAGGCTGGAGTGTAGTGGCACAATCATAGCTCACTGCAGCCTCAACCTCTCGGGCTCAAGCAGTCCTCTCAACCTCAGCCTCCCAAGTAGCTGGGACTAACAGGCATGTCGTGCCACCATGCTAGCTAATAAAACATTTTTTCTTTTTTGTTTTTATTTTTTATTTTTTTATTTTTTTGAGACAGAGTCTCACTCTGTTGCCCAGGCTGGAGTGCAGTGGCACGATCTCGGCTCACTGCAAGCTCCACCTCCCGGGTTCATGCCATTCTCCTGCCTCAGCCTCCCAAGTAGCTGGGACTACAGGCACCCGCCACCATGCCCAGCTAATGTTTTGGTATTTTAGTAGAGACGGGGTTTCACTGTGTTAGCCAGGATGGTCTTCATCTCCTGACCTCGTGATCCGCCCGCCTCAGCCTCCCAGAGTGCTGGGATTACAGGCGTGAGCCACTGTGCCTGGCCTTTTTTTTCTTTTTTTTGGAGGTGGAGTCTCGCTATGTTGCCCAGGTCGGTCTCAAGCTCCTGGACTCAAGTGATTCTCCTGCCTTGGCCTCCCAAAGTTCTGGACTTACTGGTAGGAACCACCACTCCTGGCCAATCCCTGATTTTTAAATTGTTCTCTTCCTACCTTGGCCCACCCAACATGCCCAATGGGTATACTAGTGTTCCTGAGACCCAGGTGTGATCATCCTGGTTTCTAGCAAGGGAAAGGAATAGACCCTTCCAACCCACGGAGTAGTTCCTGAACCAAGGGTGCCAGGAGGTCATGACATAGTTGAGTCTGATAACAAAACACAGGGTAGGAAATGTACTTTCAGAAATCTTCTGTTTGGGTAATAAAAGGTCTCAGTTTTTTCTATGACCTTGGAGAAATCAGTTCACCTGTCTACATGGGGGTGTGTCATAGGCCCTGCATCACCTTGGAAGCTCAGCCCTCTCTTCCATAAGAGAATTCATGAGCTTGTGGGGGTGCACATACCCATAACAGAAATCAGAGTACAGTTTCAATCATGGTTGTCCTCTTGTAGGATTTTTTGTCTTTGAACTTCCCTAATGTTTGTTTTTCCTTCACCTTACTTAAAACACTACCTAAGAGCTGACTGGGCTTCATGATTTCTTTCCTACTTGATGGAAATCAGATTCCTGTGAGAAGTGAAGATTCAAAGGGTTTATGCCTGTCCTTTGAGTTTAAAACAGCCCTCCAGAAACCCATCACTCCCAAATAACCATGGAGTAAGGATTTTTTTTTTTAGAGATAGGGGCTAGGCTATGTGCTATTTATGCTATTCTTGCAAAGGCCATGTAGATCCCAAAGGAAAGTATGTTCCAATCAGTAACTGCTAGTGTTTTGTTTTAAGGATGTTGAAATCCTGCAGAACTCCTCTTCAGAGAATTCAGATAAAAGGTGAAAAGTTCACACCACTTCCTTTTCTTCTAACTGCAGCTTAAGAATTGAACAAATGTCTAAGTAACTGCTGTCTACTCTTTTTATATACACACATAGACTTTGGGTTCACCCTTTTTCTCCTTACTGTTACAAAGAGCCAATGTATTCCTTATTTTTTTTCCCACAATGACATCTCCAGAAGGGTTTCTCTTGGCCTGTCTCTCCAGCTGCCTACAGATATGGTCTGCATCTTGGGAAGTCGGACACACAGCCAGAAATGCTTTCAGTGGCTCTCACTTAAGCTGTACACTTAAATATGGAGTCAGTAATTAATTGAGAGCCTGGCTGAGAAGTTTTTCATGTGTGTACAAATATCGTCGCTCCTTTTTTCATTTGGGGTAGTCTTATTGGTAGGGATAACATGGGATATTATCATTTTTCTTCTTTCTTTCTAATGTAGTTTCTTTAGTTTCTTCTACCTGTTAAGGATAGCTATTGAAAGAAGTGTTGTTTAAAGAAGTGTTTGCAGCTCCAGATTTAATTTTTTCAGCTGGGATGGATGGGGTCTCCTTGGGCTTTCCAAGGAGGGCTTCTAACTCTTGTACAGTCATATTGGAAATTTCAGTTTCGCCACAACTTCCCCACAAAACCCACCCATCCCTAGTTAAGCAGTTAAGCAGCACTGGACCACAGGGAGCTCAGAAGACGGCCTGCCCTGTTTAATCCCAACAAATGTGCTGAAATAGAAAAATAATCCCTGTGAGGCTGCTAGGAGGAACTTCCCGTGCTTACTGCAAACCTGTTATTGGGGAAATGTTTAGAAATTCTGAATTCCTGTTTTACTTTGCTCTTCTAACTCCAGATTAACATTTCCCTCTAACAGAAATGCTGTATCACAACTAGGACAGGACAGGACAGGATCTGTTCCTCCTGTGTCTAACCACACTGCTCTGACCCTGCCTGCTTCTCCTCCTTAAGTGAAGATCACTGACTGAAAAAAAACAGGTTGTAGAAAAGCATGTATAATATGACCTCATTTTACTAAAAATACATATGCAGGCTCGTGCATGGAGAGAGATCAGGATTGGTGAGCAAAGTGGTGATCTCTGAGTGCGGGCATGCATAGTTGGTCATTTTCAGTTTTTGTTTATCTGCATTTTCTTCTTCTAACATGTGCATAGTTTCTGTTATAAGTTATTTTCTCTTTAAGGGGAGAGGTGAGATCAAAAAATCAAAAATAAAAACAAAAAACAGGGGAAATGAGAAGACTAGTGCTAATAATGCTTCAAGTCTTGATGCCATGAGAAAATGACTCATAACTTGTTTGTTGAACCAGCTAGTTGTTGAGTTTTTGCCATGTGTAAGATCTCGTTGGCTGCCTCTCTCATTTTCCTTCTGTAGTCCTTCTTGGGTATTTTGGGATAACTACGATGGGTGGAGAGTAGCCCTGTCTTTATTTCACAGGCTTTTCTCTCCTATATCACCCCAAAGATAGTGAAATAAGTGGAGCACGTCCCCTAGATGCCCAGAACCCACTGGTCAGGGGCTTGTTTCCCCTTGTAAAGTGCTAAGCCTCTACCCCACAGTCTATCTCTGGTCACGCTGAGAAGAGCAGCCACAATGCCTCAGTTCCTGCATTATCTACTGTCTTTCCTCTAATGCCATTCCTGCCCTTCTTCTAAGAGCTGTCACCCTTCTCCTTTAGGTACCTGTTGGGGAGATATGCTGGTGTGGCCAGGCCTGAGCTGATTTTCAGCAAGGGATATTGGGAATAGCAGAGACAAATTGGTGGTCCTTCTGAAAAAGCATTTCCTGGGGGAGTATCCCCTGGGGGTCTTGCCTGGTAGCCTGGCACTTAGAGAGAATTTGCATCAGCCTTGCTCACTTCAATCTCATCAGCAGGTTCTTGTCTTACTCCTCCAGTGTTTATCACAGACAGATGGCTCGTAGTGAGTGCTCAAAATCTGCTTACCAGGCTGGGTGCAGTGGCTCACGCCTGTAATCCCAGCACTTTGGGAGGACAAGGTGGGCGGATCACAAGGTCAGAAGATCAAGACCATCCTGGCTAACACGGTGAAACCCCGTCTCTACTAAAAATACAAAAAATTAGCCGGGCGCGGTGGTGGGCGCCTGTAGTCCCAGCTACTCGGGAGGCTGAGGCAGGAGAATGGCGTGAACCCGGGAGGCGGAGCTTGCAATGAGCGCCGAGATCGCGCCACTGCACTCCAGCCTGAGGGACAGAGTGAGACTCCCTCTCAAAAAAAAAAAAAAAATCTGCTTACCAAAGGCATCAGTCTGCTGCAGTGTGCCAGGCCCATCTTTTGCTCTTGGTTCATTGTCTTATCTGCCGTTTGTGTGCCTTCTGCCATGTTGACTTTCCCCCAACAGGCAGATACTTGACCGCTGGCCCTCTCCACTCATAGCTCCCTCTCTCTAAAGCCATCCTAGTGTAGCAGTTGTGAGACAGGACCAAGTGGCTCTGGAAGATAGCACCTAAGGCTTCTTATCTCCTGTGTGTGCTGTTTTGTTTTGTTTTTTCCATTTGCCGTTGCTCAAGAACCAAAGCATCCGCCACTGCTCAGCTGCATGGTGAAATGGCCTGGCCTGGTGCCAGGGTGCTTCACCAGGTGGTTGGGCTGTGGAGGCTGCTGCATGTGATGGGCTGATAATACCCCACGGTGCTGTAAACAGGACACTCCACCCTCCTGCAGCCACCCAGCCAGTGCCCCAACAGCCTGCTGCTTTGTCATGGCCTGTCATGATATGGGCTTCTCTTCTCTGATAGGGAAGCCTATTGTCGTATTTCCCTCCCCTATTTCCTAAATCTGAGAGGGGTACTTTCCAGAAATGAAACCAGTTCATCTTCCAACCACAAGCAACCGTTGTGACTTCTCAATGCTGCTTCTCCTTTAACAATAATCACACAAGTGCAGGGCAGAACCCGATGCCCAGATCTTTCCGGTATGCCCATGGAGGATAAACCCAAGAGCCTCTATCTCAACTAGGCTCACCTAGAAGATTTCTTAGGGGACGTTCTCTATTGAGGTCAATCTCATTGGGCAGCAGAACTTAAGTGTTGACCTGAAGCTGCTGATGCTCCGGTCTGCAAGCAGCTTTGTATTCTACCCTGCATCACTTATTCCTGGGTTAGACTGTCACTAGTAAAGGAAAGGGCTTTGACATTAAAAATGGGCATCTTCCCAGGGGCCCAGGAGAGTGTAGGCCTACGGATAGAGGGGCTAGGGCTTACTCTGCACGTCTTTGGGTAGTCTCCTCTTTCCGGACTCCTTCACCTACACCTTCAATCCTAAAGGACATGAATTGATTTGACATAATCTTTCTAACTAAGGCTTTAAAGTGTATTTGCATCTCTTCATAACATCCCTCAGAGGTAACTTAGGCCAGAGGGAGAGCCAGCCCAGTGAGGCTGGGTGGCGTTGGCTGTAGTCAGACCTACCCTCCCCACCTCTTAGCTCCTACTAGATATCTGGGGTGGCCATGCTGCACCAGCCTGCAGCCCCTTCAAGGGTGGCACGAGACATGTCATTGTCTCATTTTGGCTTTGGTTTGTGTTGCATTTGGGGGAAGTTTGACACCTTGGTTTAGCCCTTAACCAATTTTGATGTCCAAAGAAGCAGGTGCTTACCAAACCACTTGCGATGAGGTTTGTGAAATAAGTGGTAGTTTTTTTTAAACTATTAAAATCTAATTTTTAAAAAAAGTCCCCTCCCTTATTTCCTAGGCTTAAAGGAAATATGGTATTTTCGTCTCCTCAAAAGAGCTGGGACATGCCAAGAATTTGGAGAGTTGGGAGGGTAGTGGACCTTGCTAAGGGTTCTGAGACAGAAGGTAATTCTGTCATCTCATGGCCAGTGAGGCGCTGTGCCAGCACCCTGTGCCAGGATGTGGCCTCTGTGGAAATAAGGCTGAGGCCCAGCTGTCTCTTCATTTAAGGAAAAGAAACTGAGGCAAGTCCTCCTGTTTGATTTAGATGTAGTAAGATCCTTGCATATCTGCCAGGGGAGAGGGAGTCAGGGGCTGCAGATTCTGGATTGGGGGTTCCTTGGTTTCTCCTCAATCCTTTCCCCTCCCTCCTTTTTTCCCCTTTTTATTTCTTTTCTGCTATTTGTGTGACATTTTTTTGTATATGGAGGAACAAGTCAGGACCCACTGAGTCCTGAGTCTTAATGGATAACTGGTCAGAGGGAGCCGGAAAGAATGTAGAGTTTACCAAAATGCGTTGGTTGGATTCTCACATCACATTCCAGGAATTTGGGTGCTCCCCAGCCCTGTGAGTACTGGGAGCAAAGTACCACCTATGATTATTGTCCTAGAGATTGGATTCATTGAATAGGGTAGGATATGAAGAGTGATGGAAACCAATATAAAATGGGTTAAAGTTATCCCTAGGAGATAATAGAGTCCTTTACTTCAAGTTTCAAAGGCTTCCTCAAGAAACAAACAAAAGCAAAACAAAAAATAGGTCATTGGAGACAATAGGATTGGGCCTGCCATCTCCTCCATTAGGTGCTAAAAAGAAGCTATTAATACAAAAGCAATTCATCCTCCAGGTGTCTAGGCAGGTGTCCCAGCAGCCTCAGAGGGTGTCCCTGATAGAAGAGGGATGTGAGCCTCAGTGAGTAGTTGGAAGACTGATTTAGGAGGAAGGAGGCTTGGATTTAGATCTGGGACTGCTGCTGACTTACAGAGTGAAGGAGTCTAATCAGAGACTAAGCTTCTTTGTGCCTTAGTCTTCCTTAACAGTCTTTCCCTATCCCCTTTTACAGCTGACAGGAGAGTAAAAGATTACAGCACACCAAAGTACTTTGTGGGGATGGGGCAAAACTTGAAAGCACAACGTAAACACGAGATAGCTTTAGGGTCCCAGTAAGGAAAGAATCTAAAAGAGATTTTTGCAGGGACTTCAGATGAGGGCATGGGAGAAGCAGCTCCAGGAAACCTTTCTCCTGTCACTTATCCCTCAGCCTTGGAGTCCTACTCCTTTTCCTTCGAAACAGTGATGAAGCAGCCTTTAGGATTATGAGATCCTACCCCTTATGCCAATCACTTGCTCGTCCGTGGCCCATCTGCCTCTTTGGTTATCTGTCATGTAATTTTGTAAATCCACTTTCCAGAGTCCCTGCCTCGTCACTGGACTCTAATAGACAGTTTTGGAGGCCCGTAGGACAGCATTTTGGCCTGAGCTGGCTGCTGATGTGGGTCAGAAGCTCCCAGAAATATCTGGATTGCTATCTTTTGATTTTAAACCCAGGTTAGGAAAATGAGTCTTTGAAATGCTGGTGTAGAGATAAAGTTGTGCCTTGAACCCAGTGTGCCTGTCACCAACTTACTAGGCAACAAGGTTGCAGGAAGGGTAAGAAAGAGGTTGGGCCTTCCTGAGCCTCAGAGAGAGAAAAAAAGACAAGCAGCTATGGGATCTTTACTCCAAGTGGGTGTGTTGAACACACATGCAAAGTCAGAACCCCTGGTAAAAGTAGAGCCAGTTGACCCTTCTTGTGAAGGTTTTTCAATTTTATTCAAATATTAGATGCCTGCCAATTGCCAGCCCTATGCTTTAGACATTGTGGGGGATACACAGAGCCTGCCCTTGGCCTCAGGCTGTTTATTATCTAGGAGTTACAAATACCCTATTCCTCAAGAGAAGGTGCTCATTACTAGAAGAGTACAAAGTACTGAGGAAACAGAAAATTCTAAGACATTGCTTCCAGGGGATTCCAGTGGATGCAGAAGGCTTGGTGGAGTGGAGGCAGTAAAGCTGGCCCTGACAGATGAACAGATTTTAACCCTGGGCCCATGCAAAATCTCAGAGGAGGGAAGGCTTGGGACATGGGTGGGAAATGGTATGCAGTATAGTTTGTCTGAGATTTAGTGACCTTAAGGAAGAGTGAGGTATAAAGGACAGGTAAGTGGGACCAGAACATGAAGGCTTTACCTCCGTCTTTGAAAGAGGGCCTTTGGGCCGGGTGCAGTGGCTCACATATGTAATCCCAGCACTTTGGGAGGCTGAGGCAGGCAGATCACGAGGTCAGGAGATCGAGACCATGGTGAAACCCTGTCTCTACTAAAAATACAAAAAAATTAGCCGGGCATGGTGGTGGGTGCCTGTAGTCCCAGTTATTTGGGAGGCTGAGGCAGGAGAATGGTGTGAACCTGGGAGGCGGAGCTTGCAGTAAGCCGAGCTTGTGCCACTGCACTCCAGCCTGGGCGACAAAGCGTGACTCCGTCTCAAAAAAAAAAAAAAGAAAGAGAGCCTTTGAAGAGGTTTAACCTAGGAATGTTAATATCATTTAAAATGATGTGTTTTATGTCAATATATATTGATTTGGAAAGATGTTTATAAGGTAAAAACATAACAAAACAATACGTACAGTATAATCCCATTTTAAATTGTAAAGCGTATATATACACACACACATACACACACACAGAAGAGGTAAGACCTGTAAGTTTATATTTCTCATAACATTGGTTATCTCTGGGTGTTGAGAGTTGAGGGTTTTTTTCTGTTTGTTTATATTTATATATTTCCTGACTTTTCTACAGTTCACACTTACTACTGTTGTAGTTATAAATTATTCACTTGTTTTAAATAAGCACATATATGATGGCTGAGTGAGAATGATCTAGAACTATGCCAGGGATTAGATAAAAACACAGAGTAAAAGTTGGCCATATAGTAACATTTTTGATGTCCAAATTGGAGAGGAATCCCTCAAATGTTCAAAAATATAGGAATGGGTCGGGTGTGGTGGCTCATGCCTGTAATCCCAGCACTTTGGGAGGCCAAGGCAGGAAGATCACTTGAGCCCAGGAGTTCAAGACCAGCCTGGGCAACACAGTGAGACCCTGACTCAAAAAATAAAAAGAAAAGACAAAAATACAAGAATGGCTAAGCAAACTAGTGTACATCAACCTGGAGGAATATTATATAGTCTTTTAAAATAACAAATATGTAGATTGTTAATACATGGGAAAAGGTATATGAAATAGGTGGAACCAAGCAGAACATAATATAGCATATTTCCTACTGATTACAACTATGGCAAAATGTATGTAAATGCTTCAGTGAATTTGGAGAGTGGAGGTAGTATTGTTAGTGTCTTTTTTTTTTTGAGACGGAGTCTTGCTGTGTTGCCCAGGCTGGAGTGCAGTGGCGTGATCTCACCTCACTGCAGCCTCCGCTTCCCGGGTTCAAGCAATTCTCCTGTCTCAGCCTCCCAAGTAGCTGGGATTACAGGTGTGCACCACCACGCCCGGCTAATTTTTGCATTTTTAGTAGATGAGGTTTCACCATATTGGTCAGTTAGTGTCCTTTTTTTTATTGTAGTAAAATATATACTCACTATTTTAACCATAAAAGCTTATGTTCACTGGCATTACATACATTTACAATGTTGTGCAACCATAACCAGGGTCCATTTCCACAACCTGAATTTCATCATCTCAAACAGAGACTGTGTATCCATTAAACAATAACTCCTACTCCCCCTCCTCCTCCTAAGCCCTTGGTAAAGTCTATTCTATTTTTTTGTCCCTATGAATTTGCCTATTCTAGATACCTCAAGAAAAACAGAATATTTGTCCTTTTGTCTTGCTTACTTAACTCAGCATCATCTGTATTGGAGTGTGTGTCAGAATTGCCTTCCTTTTGAAGACTGAATAGTATTCCACAGTATGGATGTGCTGCATTTGTTTATCCGTTTCTCCATTCGTGGATGCTCGGGTTGCTCCCACCTTTTGGCTATTGTGAAAAATGCTTCAAGTCCCTGCTTTCGGTTCTTTGTTGGTATATACCTAGGAGTGGAACTGCTGGGTCATATGGTAATTCTATGTTTCACTTTTTGAGGAACTGCCAACCTTTTAGTGTCTTTTTATTTTTTTTAATTTTTATTTTTATTTATTTATTTTTTGAGATGGAGTCTCACTCTTTCGCCCAGGCTGGACTGCAGTGGCGCTATCTCGGCTCACTGCAAGGTCTGCCTCCCAGGTTCACACCATTCTCCTGCCTCAGCCTCCCGAGTAGCTGGGACTACAGGCACTCGCCACCAAGCCCGGGTAATTTTTTTTTTTGTTTTTAGAGACGGGGTTTCACTGTGTTAGCCAGGATGGTCTCGATCTCCCGACCTCGTGATCCGCCTGCCTCGGCCTCCCAAAGTGCTGGGATTACAGGTGTGAGCCACTGCGCCCGGCCCTAGTGTCTTTTTAATATAAAGTTCTTCAGGTTTATTTATACCTACAGCTCCCAGTTCTTTTTGCTGTGCTAAATACATGTGAATTATTAAGGGATTACTACAGATGTGAAAGTGTTTTGTTCTGTTTAAATGCAACAGCCTTTATAGGTCTTTTTTTTTTTTTTTTTGAGACAGAGTCTCGCTCTGTTGTCCAGGCTGGAGAGCAGTGGCGTGATCTCGACTCACTGCAAGCACTGCCTCCTGGGTTCACACCATTCTCCTGCCTCAGCCTCCCGAGTAGCTGGGACTACAGGCGCCTGCCACCACGCCTGGCTAATTTTTTTGTATTTTTAGTAGAGACGCGGCTTCACCGTGTTAGCTAGGATAGTCTCAATCTCCTGATCTCATGATCCACCTGCCTCGACCTCCCAAAGTGCTGGGGTTACAGGCTTGAGCCACCACGCCCAGCCATAGATCTTAAGATAGTAGAGTGTTTTGAATGTGGCCATGGAAAACAGGGTCAACTTAGATGATTGCAACTTCCAAATGATTCCAGTACCCTTACATTTTATCCACAGTTTCAACTTTTACCTCCTTCTAGAAAGCTTTAACCAAAGTAAAAATAAATGAATGGATTTATTTATTTAATTTATTTTTTGAGACAGAGTCTTCCTCTGTTACCCAGGCTGGAGTGCAGTGGTGCGATCTTGGCTCACTGCAGCCTCCACCTCCCAGGTTCAACCAATTCTCATGCCTCAGCCTCCTGAGTAGCTGGGATTACAGGCACCCTCCACCACGCCCGGCTAATTTTTGTATTTTTAGTAGAGATGGGGTTTCACCATGTTAGCCAGGCTGGTCTCAAACTCCTGACCTCAAGTGATCTGCCCACCTCCCAAAGTGCTGGGATTACAAGCATGAGCCACCACCACCCGGCCTATGAATGGATTTATAATTGCTTTATTTTTGTCCCATTTAGACAGAAGTCAGAGACAGAGGAGAGAACCAAAAAACTTGGATGTTTCCGTAAACTAGATTCCTCAATCCTCGATAATTGAAAGTAGTTCCAGTATGTCAGCCACCGGGGTTCCCTGGGGAGCTAACCAGTCCTGAAGGAAGTATGAAGAGGAAGAGGAGGTCTTCAGTTAAGGGGATGAATTTGTGCAGTGCCTAAGCCCTGCAAAGGTGCTGGAGGGAGGAAGAAGGGCAGGAGATAAAAGATGGAAGAAAATTTGTTTTTTATCCACTTAGAGTTTTATCTTTAATGATGGGAAACAGTGCTGCTCTCAGGAAACTCAGTGTGGAGATCTAGGAGTTCACGGTTCATAGTCCATTAGGAGCAGGAAAAGGATAGAGGACATTTATAAAGTAACATCCAAGTCCAAAGTAAAATGGTATAAATTGTTTCCCATGATAAAGGCTGGCTGAGTAGGTCAGGAAAGGTCTTGTCAGACCATATGTGCTGTTTCAGGCTGCTTCAAATTCTTTTAGGACAGTGGTGGATATGAGTGAAGACGGGGCAGGCAGGCCACATCTCTTAGAAGAGGAAGGTGATTGCCACGTCTCCTTCCTCCATGCTGATGGCAAGGCGTGCGGGCTGTGTTCTCTTGCAGCCAGCGTCCCATGCTCGGTGGCCCCAGAAAAGTCAGTGTGTAGGCCTCAGCCACTTCAGGTCCGGCGTACATTCTCCCTGGACACCATCCTCAGCTCCTACCTTCTGGGCCAGTGGCCACGAGATGCTGATGGGGCCTTCACCTGCTGCACCAATGACAAGGCCACCCAGGTAATGAAGCTCTCTCCTGATGGGATAAGGGATAAGGATGGGGCGGGAGAGCTGGCTGAGGAGGCCTTTGGTCTTCCTCAAGTCATTGCGATGATTTGTCTTGGGTTTTGGTCGTACATATTATCCATGTAATGTTTTATCTTCTTAAGACAGAGTTTCCTTTTGTCACCCAGGCTGGAGTGCAGTGGTGCGATCTTGGCTCACTGCAACCTCTGCCTCCCGGGTTCAAGTGATTCTCGTGCCTCATCCTCCCAAGTGGCTGGGATTACAGGTGCCTGCTACCACGCCCTGCTAATTTACCACCGTTTTTCTTTGTAAACTTATATGGAAATGAGTTTGCATTCCACCTGCCTGGTGGAAGAGAGAAGTCAATCTGGGTTTTTCAGTTTAGCTTTGAGTATTTGTGTCGGGGTAATCAACAGCTGACTTTAGAGTTTATTCTAGCTTTTTAAAAAATGAGATTTAGGCTGGGCGCAGTGGCTCACGCCTATAATCTCAGCACTTTTGGAGGCCTAGGCAGGCGGATCACCTGAGGTCAAGAGTTTGAAACCAGCCTGGCTAACATGGTGAAACCCCGTCTCTACTAAAAATACAAAAATTAGCTGGGCGTGGTGGTGGGTGCCTGCAGTCCCAGCTACTTGGGAGGCTGAGGCGGGAGAATCGCTTGAACCTTGGAGGGAGAGGTTGCAGTGAGCTGAGATCACGCCATTGCATTCCATCCTGGGTGACAGAGCAAGACTCCATCTCAAAAAAATAAAAAAAATAAAAAATGAGATTTACCTTGCTAAAATTAAACCAAGGCCAACATTCTATTGAGTTTGTATTTCCCAAAGAAGTGGCCAAAAAGTATGCTGAGCCAGAATAGATCCCACTGGAGCCATAGGAATGGGAAGTTCTCAGATAATGGAGAATTCTTCCTTGCCAGCAGCCCCGACTGGGATTTCAGTGTACCCATTCAAGGACTGGGGAGCCAGCTTCCTCTCCTTCAGTATTTTCATTAAGACAGTCTTTTCATTAAGAATCCCAAGCTCGGAAAGAATCTCTGCAGATCATCCAGTTCATTTACCAATTTTTGGATAAGCTAGCACGAACGTATCTCATATGTGAAATTATACAGACATTTCTTAATCTGATTCAGGACTTCATTCTTAGCAGCTAAGTTGTTAAGAGTCAAATCTCCCTTTTGATGCAGTTTAAACGCACTCTTGTTCATCTTCAGAGCAAATGAGTTATTTCGAGATAGGCAGAAACAGGGTGGCTAGGACATGAGGGTCCGAGTCAGCCCTTCACCCTGGGGGACATTGGGCAAGTCAGCTCTTCCTTTGCAAACTGGGTGGAGAGTGCGTGGTCTGCCTCTGTGTAGGTGGCATGATGGCCAAATGACACATGAAAGTGCTTGGTACCTCTTCTGACCACATCATGTCAGTTTCTTTCCTTTATTTATTTTGTTAATGCGATCCATTTTCAAATGTTGTTAGTGAATGTTTGAATGCCCAGTACTGTTCTTGGCATGTTGGAATGAAGAATAAGGAAATGAGGACAAGATTTGGCCTCCATGAGTCTGGATTCCAGTTCTATGAGGGCCAGTAAACAGACAGCCAAGGGATGAGATGGAGCCAAATATCTGGCAAAGTTTAAAGAAGGGGAATTCTCATGGGAATACCCCACCTTGAATCAACAAGAATTTGCTGCAGTTAAAATCATGGCCCTCTTTGGATCTACAAATAGACTGTGAAAGGAGAATACCCTCCAGGAAGGAGAGAGAGTAGGCTTCCTTCCTGGGAGCCCTGGGCACTGCCATTCCCTTTATCCTTTGGAAAAGGCAAGTAGGATAAATTATGCTTCCTCCTCACAGGCCTGGGAGCACACATAACTTTGTCTTTTGATAGGAGTGCTTAGTTCAAATATGTTTGTAGTCAAGGAGGGCTTCCTGGAGGAACAGGACTTGAGATTCCTTTGAGTGTGTAAGCTCATTATTGCATCCCTGTTTGTCAGATGGCAGGCTTCTGTGTAGCCCACCTATTTCTGCCTCTGTCATTTCCTGCTTTCAGCCTTCTAGGAAGTCACCATCCCACTCCTCAGATAGCTTTCTCTTTGTCAACTGAAGGCAGGGTTGGCCTCAGATGTTCCCTGGCTGAGTTTAGAGGCATGGGCCCTAGGCTGTGTGTTTTTGCTCAGGCTCCAGCTGTAGGCCAGATCTTTTATATAACAAGTCTGGGCTTCTTGCCACAGCAAGACAGAGGTCAGCGATGAGCCTCCGTGGGTCTGGCAAGGCCAAGCCATGCAGCTTTCCTCTTTCCCTGGGATGGGCTCCAGCCCTCGAGGAACTCTTAGCAACCTGTCAATATTGTGGCCGCAGTCAGGAGGTGGAGAATGCTGATCAACCTAGGCATCCAAACCAAAATATGCACTCTACCCATCTTTCATTCCTGGTCTTCTGGGAATTTGCTGCTTCTAGGTTTTGGGCTCCATTCAAATTCCTGCTTAAGCCCCCGGGCCTGGTCCAAGCTACCCTCTTCAACACTGGTATTACACTGTGGAGGTCTGAGGCTCACCTGACATATTCCTAAGTAACTGGTGTTCCTTTCCTATTGAGTACTGGGATATCACCCAGAAAGGACTGGAGAGGAAGGAGAGGTTTGACTGGGAAGACATGAAGGTGTCTGGAGAGGGGAAGAGGGAAGGGAGGGTGGCAGGATCTACCAAAGTCCTTGAAAGCTTTTAAGCTGTTAAAAATGGACTAATATGGCCAGGCATGGTGGCTCACGCCTGTAATCCCAGCACTTTGGGAGGCCGAGGTGGGCAGATCACAAGGTCAGGAGGTCGAGACCATCCTGGCCAACATGGTGAAACCCCATCTCTACTAAAAATACAAAAATTAGCTGGGCATGGTGACTCACATCTGTAGTCCCAGCTACTCGGGAGACTGAGACAGGAGAATCGCTTGAACCCGGAGGCAGAGGTTGCAGTAAACCGAGATCATGCCACTGCACTCCAGCCTGGCAACAGAGCGAGACTCTGTGTCAAAAAAAAAAAAAAAAAAAAAAGACTGATGCCAGAACCTTTTCCCAATTGCCCTAAGCTGAGGGTGGGGCTGTTCCTACCGCTGCCCTTACCTTTTGCCCTTTCTCTTCTAGTCATACCAATATAGTAGTTATTTTCTGCTTCATCCTCCCTCACTGGTGGGCACTCACTACTACTGTCCTACTTGCCTAACCTCCCTCCACCAAGAGCCAGCAGCCCTGGCATTCCCAGGGCATGCCTTGCAATGAGGTCAGCAGCTGCAGTTATGGTTCAGGCTAAGCAGCTCCTTCCTCTGAATCCCTGAGAGGAGACCAGGGCCCTGCCCATTGCAAGCCAGCTTCAGATCTAGGCAGCAAGCCTGGGACACCTGCTGTCTAGATAGCCGGGCATGCTATCTTGAGGCTTCTTCACAGAGTAGAAGATGGAGCGAAAAGCTCTCAGTTCTTGAATATAGCCCAGTAGTGCCAACAATCTCATCCTAGTATCTCCTTCCTCGTTGTGTTTTAAACTCTTAGGTGGTTACAAAGGATTGTCCTCAGGCCATTTACAGTCAGACATGGAGAACTGGGTTACCCAAATATTTGGGGCAAGGAAAGAGGAAGCGTGCGGATATATGTTATTTGTGATATTGGTTGTTTTTGGGAGGAGGATGTGTGAACATGGTAATTGGGGAAGAAGTGCTTTGGAGATGCTGCATGTTTTGAGCAACGGGAGAGATGACCAGGTCAGTTGGTAAACTAGAGCTGGCCACCGATTGCTTTGTGTTGCCCACTTCTAGTGGCTGGGCCCAGGCCAGGGTGGGTGAGGGCAGTACATGCCGGTGGCTGCAGTTACCCCTTTCCCTTCTTGCTGTGCAAACCTTTGAGTCTTCGTGTATTTTTCTGGAGGGAGGAAGTGGTCTCATCACAGCTGGAATGACTGTTTGAGCAAAGTTCCCCTGTTGGTCTCATCCTGCTGACGGACAGGACTCTGGGTACCTGTCCTGCCTAGCCCAGCCCCCCATTCTACTCATCCCCAGCCCCATTCCCTCTGCATTCCCCAGGTAAGATGGGGAAGCTTCTATGATAGGATATTTTTTTCTTTAGCCCCAACTTACCCTTTAGAAAAAAAAAAAAAAGCTTAAGTCTTGACAAACCACACGGAGTATGAGGAAGGCCAGAGGTGAAGGTGGGCATGCTCACTGGGAAGACTTCTCTTCCTGTGTCTTTCCCCTACCTGTGTACTATCCTCCCTGTTTTCCCAAGCCAGTGCCCCAACAGTGATGACACACAATTCAGTCTGACCATCATGGACCTTTTAAAAATGTTTTTCTTTGTGGGTGTGGGGGCCTGGGCACACTGCCTGTTTTCCAGATTGGCGATCAGGACCAGTTGTTCAGCATAGTTTGACAAAAGTACCAAACATTTGAAAATGGGGCCATGATGGAAAATCTGAGAGTTGCATAGTCACTGTAGGGCCAGAGATGGTGGCCTTGGCCACTTGCAGCCAGTTTTCAGTGCTGACCAGCAGACCACCCTCAGAGCCTTTTCCGGCCTTTTTGTTTGGCCGGAGACCTAAGGGACTGATTCCCTGCAGAATTTCAGTTGAACACGTGGTCCTGACGGTCCACACCAGGCCAGGCACCATGCTGCTTGACAGTCCCGTGCAGGGATAGTGGGTTACGTTCCCAGGGCCTAGCCCAGCTCCACACATGGAGCTTACTCAGGTGCCAAGGTCACTGGAGACAGTGAGGGCCAGGACTTTCCTGCCTGTGGTCATGGAGTCTAGGTAGAAACTTTTGGGCTGGAGGCTGAGAGATTCCAGTTTGGAGGGTTTTCAGCTTCATCCCGCCCCTCCTCCTCATTATATTAGATGGCTCTTTGAGAAACTGTCCTCCACCCCCATGCCCAGCTGTCCTTCCACATGTTGCTCTGGGATCTCAATCCCAGGCAAGGCTTCCTTGGTCTGGCCACGTCCAGTTTTGCATAACCTAAGTATCATCTGCACAGCTGGCCCATGCCACTCATGGTCAGAAGCTACCCTACTTGTCCCTCAGCTGCTCACCCTGGGCCAGGGTGTCAAATCTGTTCCAGTGCATGACTCCCCCTGACAAACAACTTTTTGTTCTTTTTCTTTTTGGAGAACAGAGTCTCGCCCTGTCGCCCAAGCTAGAGTGCAGTGGCTCGATTTTGGCTCGCTGCAACCTCCGCCTCCCAGCTTCAAGCAATTCTCCTGCCTCAGCCTCCCAAGTAGCTGGGATTACAGGCATGTGCAACCATGCCCGGCCAATTGTTTTGTATTTTTAGTAGAGACGGAGTTTCACCATGTTGACCAGGCTGGTCTTGAACTCCTGACCTCAAGTGATCTGATCTGCCCACTTCAGCCTCCCAAAGTGCTGGGATTACAGGCATGAGTCACCGTGCCTGGAGACAAACATGACTTTTTGGTCTGCTGAGCTCCAGCTCTACCCTGCTTCCAAAGGGTCATCTAGAATGACTGAGCAGCATGGTGTGACCCCTGTTGTGGCCAGAAGGTTAGTTTTTTCTTTTTCTTTTTTCCTTTTTTTTTTGAGACAGGGTCTCACTCTATTGCCCAGGCTGGAGTGCAGTGGTATTATCATGACTCACTGCAGCCTCGAACTCTGGGCGCAAGTGGTCCTCCTGCCTCAGCCTCCCTAGTAGCTGGGACTACAGATATGCACCACCATAACTGGCTAATTTAAAATTATTTCTTTTATAGAGATAGGGTCTCGCTAGTTGACCAGGCTGGTTTTGAACTCCTGGCCTCAAGCAATCCTACTGCCTTGGCTTCCCAAGGTGCTGGGATTACAGGCATGAGCCACCGCACCTGGCCAGGTTAGCTTTTTGAAGGGGAGCTTTTCTTAGCTGTGACTACATGGTGAGACTCAGAAGAGGAGTCCTATCTAACCTTGGGCACTGGAAACTGGGGACACAGTCCCCACTCTGGGCACTCCCAGTTTAGGAGGGGCTATAGTCCACACCTGTGTACACTCCTGCCTTGAGAATACTCGATGTCGGGTGGGCGCAGTGGCTAATGCCTGTAATCCCAGCACTTTAGGAGGCTGAGGCAGGCAGATCACCTTAGGTCAGGAGTTCGAGACCAGCCTGACCAACATGGTGAAACCCCGTCTCTACTACAAATACAAAATTAGCCAGGTGTGGTGGCACATGCCTGTAATCCCAGCTACTTGGGAGGCTGAGGCAGGATAATCGCTTGAACCCGTGAGGCGGAGGTTTCAGTGAGCCAAGATTGCGCCATTGCACTCCAGCCTGGGCAACAAGAGTGAAACTCCCATCTCAAAAAAAAAAGAATACTCGATGTCAGCATGTCAACAACTTCAAACACAGGATAACCTACTGCATTAGGTTTCTGAGGCTGCTTTAACAAATTACCTCAAACTTAGTGGCTTAATACCACAGAAATGTATTATTTCACAGTTCTGGAGACCAGAAGTCCAAGTTCTGTTTCACTGGGCTGAGATCAAGGTGTTGGTAGGGCCATTCTCTCCCAGGAGGCTCCTGGGGAGAGTCTGTTCCTGCACTTCTAGCTTCTGGTGGCTGCTGGCACTCCTTGGCTTGCAGCCACATCACTCGAGTCTCTGCCTCTGTGGTCATATCGCTTTATCCTCTTCAGTGTGCATACATCTAATCTCCCTCTGCCTCTTTCTTATTTAAGGACGTTTGTAATGGTATTTAGGGTCCACCCAGATAATCTTGGATAATCTCAAGATCCTTAATACATCTGCAAAAACGTTACTATACAAGGTAACATTTATAGGTTCCTCATCTTTGAGGAGCTGTTTTTTAACCTGTCACTGCATCTCCTGACACACTCTGCTCCAGCCACACTGGCCTCTTTATCATTCTCAAACATGCCAGGCTCATTGCCGCCACAGGGCCTTTGCACTGGCTGTTCCCTCTGTCTGGATTACTCTTACCTCAGATACGCACATGACTCACTCCCTCACTTCCTTCGTGTTTTTATTCAGATGTTACTTTTTCATTGGGGGCCTCCCTGACATTTCCAATTGTATCCCCCACCCAGCATTCCTATCCCTTTTCTTTGCTGTATTTTTCTCCTTGGCACTTATCACTGTTTAAACTGTCTCCCCAATAAGAACATAAACTCAGACGGGACAAGTATTTGTGTTGTTTTGTACATGGTTGTATGGCCAGTGCCTGAAACAGTACCGGGCACACAGTGTACATTCAGCCACTATTTGTTGATTGCACGAATGCTGTACACTCAGAGCCCATCTGCAAGGAGGAGACACAGAGCAGAAGAGCAGTCAGCCTGAGGCAGACAAGTTAGGAAAGGCTCCCTGACAAGAAGAATGGGAATAGTTGGCCGGGCAGGCCGTCTTAGATCGGGAGACCAGGCTTGGAGGTTGGGGGTAAGGTAAGAAAAAGGAGAGGGAGATGGGTTTGCTTGGGAGGACAGAGAGCCAAGGATGGAGAGCCCGTGGGATGAAGGGTCAGATGGTGAATTCTATGGCCAGGGGTTGGGTGTTGACACAAAGAAATGGCCTTAGTAGTATAGTTTACACAGAGAAGGCAGTGGTTGGTGGAAGACGTTGCTGAGCGGAGAGAGGTGGGGTCACTTGGATTGAGAGAGGAGATGACCCTAGCTGCTATGATTTTCACATCCCTTTCTTTTTCTTTTCTTTTTTTTCTTTTTTCTTTCTTTCTTTTTTTTTTTTTTTTTCTTGAGACTGTCTTGCTCTGTCGCCCAGGCTTGGAGTGCAGTGGTGCAATCTCAGCTCACTGCAACCTCTACCTCTTGAGTTCAAGCAATTCTCGTGCCTCAGCTACCTGAATAGCTGGGATTACAGGCGCCCAGTTAATTTTTCTATTTTTAGTAGAGACGGGGTTTCACCATGTTTGCCAGGCTGGTCTTGAACTCTTGACCTCAAGTGATCCACCCGCCTCAGTCTCCCAAAGTGTTGGGATTACAGGCATGAGCCACCACCCCCAGCCTCACATCCTTTTTAAGTCCTGTGCTAGCCTGCATTTCTCTTTCCATCCTCTCGCATATCCCAGAAGAAAGAGGTACTTGAAGAGTTTGCAAGAGATATTAGTAGTACCCGTGGCGGCCTGAATGTGGCTGTTTTTTCCTCTCTGTTACCACCCACCTGTGAGTACAGTATCTTCCCTGAGGAAGGGAAATGGGCAGAACGGTCCCTTTAGCTTTTGTCATCCCTCTATAGCCTCTGCCACCTTCCAGGGACAACAGGTTTGTGTGGGGGGTGCGGGGCCCAGCTTCGATTAGCAGAGGTAGTCATCTTTAGAGTTGGTCCTGGAGCCTTGAGGAGAGGATCCTTTGTGTGTCTGCTGGGTCGAGGTGGCTGGGAGAGATGGGCTTCCTCCTCACTTTTCAGTGCATGCACCAGCCTTTTCTGAGGCTTTGTCTGGTAGAACCCTGGTTTAGAGAGACATGGGCATTTGGAAGTAGCTTTCCATATACTGACAGAGCCAGTATATGGCTTTAGGGTTTGTGCTGAAGATTTGGGCCTGAAGGATGTGCTGTCTGCCCTTTTCCTAAAGAAGGGAATTGTGGGGAAATGGATCTCTGGATGCTTTATTTAGCATTTGTAGACTCCTCTGTTACCTACTTACTCGTGATGCTCATCAGAACAAGAAAGTTAGGGTAGTTGTCTCACCCTGGCTATGTTGCGTGGCCCAGTAAAGGTGCTGATCCATGAGCAGCTGGGAGAAGGAAGAGCCAGGGAGCCCCAATCCCCAGTGGCCCCTCTCCACTGCAGCTGTCACATACGGCCGTCTGCTCTCACAAGCTTGCTCAGACTCCCCCGCCGAGCTCCTCTTAGCAGCTGTTGGGTGGCGAGTAGTTGGGTTTTTTTCCCCGTCCTCCCCCTTTTCTGTTTGCAACAACCTCTCGGGGGAGGTCAGCAGATCTCTTGGAGGAGACAGTTCCCAGGCCCTCATGTTTTTGGCAGCCTGTGCTTGTGCACAGAAGTTAGAGAGAAACTGGTTCCACTGGAGCGTTCCCCCTTGGGCCCCTCCCTTGGAATGGAAGTAGGGATACTGGTGGTGGGGAGGGTTCTGGGCCTCTTTGGCTTCATGCTTAGAGCCAACAGCTTCCTCCCTTGGGTCGGGGCTCAGGAAGTAGTCCTGCAGCTCTCCCTGCCTCCATCTTGGACACTCTGTCTTCGGTGCAGCAAGGGAGAGAAGATGCACACTGAGGGCCCTGTTTTTATGAGGGCTGGGCAGGCCCGGGAGGAAAAGGAGTGATAAGGCCAAGAGGGATCAGGAATCAGGGCTGGATTCAGAACTGTGGCTCTCTCCTTTCTGAAAATGTCTCCTTCCTGCTTATTTGCAGCGGGGGCAGGGGTTGGGGGAGTAACACTTATTCCATGTGCAGGGAAAAATGAAGCACTGCACCATACAGGAGTCCCCTGCTTTGGTCAGGGGACCTATGTTGACATTTTTTCCTGTTTTACCAGTTAATAATCCCTTAATGCACTCCTATATATTAACTTGTTTTTATTAGGCTCCCAGGAGCCTGGGCCTGTGCTACACATGTAGAGGGCGAGAGAATAAAGAGTGCCAGTGATTCCCGGAGCCTGAGCCTATATTCTCTTGGAGCTGGTTGGGATAGGAGTGGCAATACTTGTCCTCACCACTGAGGATCAGCTGGAATAACTGGGATATCATATATGTATAGCACTCAGAAAAGAGTAAAGAGGAGGTTGGCCCTGTTGGGTCATCAGGGAATGTTTGCTGGAGGACATGAACTGGGAAGGAGGGAGTGCAGGTGGAGAAGCCTGAAGAAGAACACCGACTGGGAGTGTTCAGAGGTTGATGAGCAGAGAGAAGGGCTCAAAGGGCCATCACCTCTACCCAGAAAACAGTGTGCCTGTTCCCCAGTGCCTGCCAAAGAAGCTGCTGTGTCTCACTGTGTTTCTCTCCCTGCAGACGCCCCTGTCCTGGCAAGAGCTAGAAGGTGAGCGTGCCAGTTCCTGTGCACACAAGCGCTCAGCATCCTGGGGCAGCACAGACCACCGAAAAGAGGTAGCTACCCACTTTGACTCCCTGCCTAGGGTAGCGGCTTCTTCTCGATCCCCTAGTACCATGCAATGCATCTGCTCCATGGTGGCGTCACACTGCTCACCTCTCCTATCTTGACCTGGCCTTTTCCTGATGAGATGGCTCCTTCCTAGCTGACTCCCACTCTCCAAGTGGCCAGGTCTTAGGAGCCCAGACCCTCCTGCTAGGCAGGGGCTTGGCCAGAGGCTGCTAGTGCCTTTCAGCAGCAAGCACAGGGCTGGAGCCACCATTGTTCTTTGGGATTGGATCCAGATAAGCAGCTCAGAGACTGGAGGAAGACAGGGAGGGAGTTCCTGGGAATTAGGAGCTCCCAGCCTCATTTACTTCTTAACTACTCATCTAGTTTTTTGTTTGTTTGTTTGTTTTTGGAAACAGAGTCTCTACTGGCCAGGCTGGAGTACAGTGGCACGATCTCGGCTCACTGCAACTTCCGCCTCCTGGGTTCAAGCGATTCTCCTGCCTCAGCCTCCTAAGTAGCTTAGATTACAGGCACCCACCACCACAGCCACCTAATTTTTGAATTTTTTTTTTTTTTTAGTAGAGATGGGTTTCACCGTGTTGGCCAGGGTGGTCCTGAACTCCTGACCTCAGGTGATCTGCAAGCCTCAGCATCCCAAAGTGCTGGGATTACAGGCGTGAGCCACCACGCCCAGCCCTAGCCTTATTTTCAAGAGAAGAGAAAAATAACGAAATGCTCCCAAACACTTTTTCCTGGCCCTCCCTCTCCCTCAGGAGTGCTCAAGTCATTGAGGTTAAGGGGAGAAAGCCGTAGGCTGGAATATTCCAGGGCTCCCCATCAGCTCCTCCTGACATGCTGTGTGGCAGCTTCTGAGAGGGTCAACTCGATAGGACTCACCCTGCACGCCTTTACAAGAGGAAGTTGCTTCTGCCCTCTATTGCTGAGAACAATGAGAAAATATGAAGTGAATACGTTGAGAGCTTAAGACAAGGGGGAAATAAAAAATATTTAAACTTTTCAATGGTCAGAGTAAGCAAGTTATTCACACTAAGAATGGGGAGATGTGGTATGAGTGACCCACAATAGCAAATTGGAAAGCTCTTTCTTCTTGGCTCTAGTCATAAATCTTATGGCTGTGGGTAGCAGATCTACTCTCTGAATTCCATTTAATTTAGGCTTATATTTAAATAGCTCTTCATCCCCTGAGCATTTTCCAGTTGAGGGCAAGAAGGTCCAGAATTGCACATGTGATGGGATAATATTCAAAACTGTTGATGATAATCTGTAGTAGTCTCAGGATATGAAAGTCAAGATGAAATCCAATATCCCCTTCTTGAGTGTCTATCCCTGTTCCTAGTGTAGTCTACTTTAAACAAGGGAGAATATCCCCATCCTTCCTGGTCTCAGGGCCTCTAAGATCGTTGTGAATGTACTCTGAATGTCCTTAGCATTCAGAAACATCATCTTCCATTGCTATTTATAGAGGGGTAGGGCCAGACGCAATGCCTCATGCCTGTAATCCCAGGACTTTGGGAGGCTGAGGCGGGTGGATCACGAGGTAAGGAGTTCAAGACCAGCCTGGCCAACATGGTGAAACCCCATCTCTATTAAAAATACAAAAATTAGCTGGGGGTGATGGTGGGTGCCTGTAATCCCAGCTACTCAGGAGGCTGAGGCAGAGAACTGCTTGAACCTGGTGGAGGTTGCAGTGAGCCGAGATCGCACCATTGCACTCCAGCCTGGGTGAGAGAGCGAGACTCAGTCTCAAAAAAAAAAGAGGGGTAGTCCATGCCTTTGGAATCTGTAAAAGACAAAATGGTTTCCATGTTGTATATTTTTAATTATTTGGAATCCAATCCATCTAGTTAAGTGAGGTATCCAACTCGTCTGAGGAACAGATCATCACAGTTTTAACACCATTGAGCTATTTTGAGATGGAAGATTAACTTCCATCCTCCTTGTATATATCTTCATGGGCCTCTGCCAGGAGCCACTCTTTGGAAGAGGGACCCAGTGCACTTTGGCTTTCCTTAATCTGCCTCTGTCGTCTTCTCTCTGGGCTGCTAGATTTCCAAGTTGAAGCAACAACTGCAGAGGACGAAGCTGAGCCGCAGTGGGAAAGAGAAGGAGCGAGGTTCACCACTCCTAGGGGACCACGCAGTGCGGGGAGCACTGAGGGTATGTTTTCTCCCCCAGCCCTCTCCCCTCTGTTCTCCTCCATGCAGGCCCCCCTATATGGGCAGAGGTTTCCTGGGTCTTGGAACTGCCGAGCCCCCTACCACACTGCATGCTTTGTGAAGTTTTAGTCCAAACTTGGTCTTGCTGTGTGATATTGGAAGGGCTTCTTGCCGTTCTGAATCTCCCTCTCTTCTACCCCCATCCCCATATAATTGAGGCAATGACTCTACAGCACACAGTAGACTCTGCAAAGCTCAAACTTTTGGAGAAAACTGCCCTGAGTGGACCTATTGCAATCTGTAACTGTCCCCAAATCACCCTTCATTCACTCAGTTCTGCTGTGTGGACATGACCATTACCCCTGGTCAGAATGAAAGACTGTCTAGGCCTGGTGGGGCTGTGTGTGATTTTGTCATTTGCCTCTTCCTCAGGCGTCCCCTCCCAGCTTCCCCTCAGGGTCCCCTGTCTTGCGACTCAGCCCCTGCCTGCACAGGAGCCTGGAAGGGCTCAACCAAGAGCTGGAGGAGGTATTTGTGAAGGAGCAGGGAGAAGAGGAGCTGCTGAGGGTGAGTGGCGGCTGCACCCTGAGTGCACCCACAGTCCGTGCCTCACTTGGCCTGGGCGAGGGGAACTGGGAGTCCTGCTCTCTGGGGCCTCACAGGCTATGGCTACGCAAACAGCAGCATACAAACACCAGCCTGCAAAAGGAATGCAAATGGAGTTTATTAGTCTCAAATGGCCTTAACCCATGTCACTAGGGCAGGCTTTGTGGTGGTGAGTACAAAGACAGGGGGCAAGGATTGGCAGAGAGGAGGCCCCCCCGCTGGGAGGAACAGACAGGGGTCATCTTCAGCCAAACTGCCAGTTCTCACTGTTCCCCGTGTGCTCGGCACCGGCATGGGCGCCTCAGTGCCTGCTGCTCCCTGCCCCTTCTCCATCTCTACCTGGTAACACGCATGCCTCCTTCATGCCAAGCTGCTCCTATGCAGCCTTCTCCCCGACTCCACTCCCAGGCAGAATATGTGCTACCTTTGCTGAAGTCTCAGGCACTTTTTTTTTTTTTTGAGATGGAGTTTCACTCTTGTTGCCCAGGCTGGGGTGCAGTGGCGCGATCTCAGCTCACCGCAACCTCCGCCTCCCGGGTTCAAGCAGTTCTCTGCCTCAGCCTCCCCAGTAGCTGGGATTACAGGCGCTTGCCACCACGCCTGACTAATTTTTGTATTTTTAATAGAGATGGGGTTTCACCATCTTTGCCAGGCTGGTCTTGAACTCCTGACCTCATGATCCACCCGCCTCGGCCTCCCTAAGTGCTGGGATTACAGGCGTGAGCCACCGGCCTTTTTTTTTTTTTTGGAGAGTCTCGCTCTGGTCGCCAGGCTGGAGTGCGGTGGCGCCATCTTGGCTCACTGCAATCTCCGCCTCCCGGGTTCAAGCAATTCCCCTTCCATAGCCTCCCCAGTAGCTGGGACTACAGGCATGCGCCACCATGCCCAGGTAATTTTTTGTATTTTAGTAGGGGGTTTCACCATGTTGGCCAGGATGGCCTCGATCTCCTGACCTCATGATCCACCCACCTTGGCCTCCCAAAGTGCTGGGATTACAGGCGTGAGCCACCGTGCTGGTCTCAGGCACATTTTTTTTTCTTTTTTTTTTTTGAGACAGAATCTCGCTCTGTCGCCCAGGCTGGAGTGCAGTGGCGTGATCTGGGCTTACTGTAAGCTCCGCCTCCTGGGTTCACGCCATTCTCCTGCCTCAGCCTCCCGAGTAGCTGGGACTACAGGTGCCCGCCACAATGCCTGGCTAATTTTTTTTGTATCTTTGAGTAGAGACGGGGTTTCACTTTGTTAGCCAGAATGGTCTCTATATCCCGACCTCGTGATCCGCCCGCCTCAGCCTCCCAAAGTGCTGGGATTACAGGCGTGAGCCACTGCGCCCAGCTGGCCTCAGGCACAATTTTATATTGACACAGTTTAATTGGGGAATGCCAGTTGGCCAATATTAATATGATTCTAATGGGCACACTTCTCAGTTTATGATTTACCTACTAGTTGGTTTTGAATTTGCATGTATGCAGGATTTTACATATACCCAAACACATGCACATAATTTGGTGAGCTACAGGTTCAAGTACCATTGAGTGTTTTTAAAAGGGGGTGAGGAGGTATGTAACACATGCTAATCATCAGCATACTTGTTCTGCAATGGTTACAGCACTTATAGGCTCCTGGTGGTTTGCCGCTATTGTGCCCTCCAGCATACGTTATCATCTTTGTGTTCCTAGAGCCCAGGGCACAGAAGGTCCCTGCCCTCATGAGGCTTATAGTCTTATGGGGACAACACATTGATCAAGCCCTACAGGTGAATATGTAATTATACATTGGACTGTGAGTGCTATTAGGGATAAGAGCAAAGTGCTATGGAAGAAACAGGAGGGAGTTTCTTCTAGATTGAAGGGTGGCCAGGGAAATAAATCGCTGGAGGAAATGGTGTTCTGTGGTTGTGTGTCATGGATAGAGAATGACAGCAGCAAGGGAAATACCCTTGGGGTCACTGTGCTGCTGCAGGCCTGAAATACTCAGGGCTGACAGTCTTTACCGTCCTTCCCCGTTAGATCCTTGATATCCCTGATGGGCACCGGGCCCCAGCTCCTCCCCAGAGTGGCAGCTGTGATCATCCCCTCCTCCTCCTGGAGCCTGGCAACCTTGCCAGCTCTCCTTCCATGTCCTTGGCATCTCCCCAGCCTTGTGGCCTGGCCAGTCATGAGGAACATCGGGGTGCCGCCGAGGAGCTGGCATCCACCCCCAACGACAAAGGTAAGCCGCGAAGGCTGAGGCAGCAGGGCTGACTCTGGGGCACATGAGTGGCTCCACTCCCTTTTCCACCTCTAGTCAATTCAGGCCTAGCATTCTCAGTACCCTACTAGAATATCTTTATGAGTCATCTTTCTTCTGCACATTATACCAATGATAATAATGGTCCCATACATCCTGTTCTGATTGATAATTTATGAAGTCACTGCATTTATACTTCTATTTAATCCTCACTGGGATCCAAAGAAGCAATCCCTGCCATCCCCATTTTTGGGCTGAGGTTCAGCAAGCTGTAGGGGAAAGCAGCAAGTCTTCATTCAGGTGTCCACTGTACTCATTCCCAACAATGGTTTCAAAGTGGTTGTGAGTGATACAAAGTAAGAGAATGTGGTTGCTTGCCCAGGGTTGCATAGTTTGACCCAGACCAAAACTCATTTTTTTTTTTTACTCCAAATCTCTATTTTCTACAATGCCCTAGCTACTTCTCTGAGAAAATGAGATGAAATTCCTACCTCCTAATAATAATCCTTACATTATAAAGCACTGTGCCTATGTTGTCTGATTTGATTGTCACATCAACCCCATGAGGTAGGCTGGTCAAGGGCATGATCTAACAATACACATGGGTAAACAGAGCATAGAATAAGGAGGAATAAATGTGAGATAAATACAGATAAAGTCAATATTTGCAACCTAGGCAAAGTACATTCACTGTGTGGAAAGGGAGAGGAATTTTATCCTACAAGTGGGGTTGAGTAAAGATTGCTTCTCTGAGTCGGAGAAGAGTTCTTGGAAGAAAGGATAGATTTTCAAGACTGTGGACAGGAAGAAGCTGTGGTATGTTGGCAGGGAGGGTGTGACAGTCTTGGAAGAAGGCAGAGAGAGACACAGTTAGTATTCCTTCAAGTCTGAGATCTGGAGTTCCGGTCCCAGTCTACCTCCTGGGAATATAGAATTGGTATGAGATCTTAACTTTCCATACATTCAACTCCGTTTTTCTGTTCTGTTATACACTGTGTATTTTTGTAAGCTGCCTCAAAGGTTTTTAAGGTAGAGTATAATCACACTGGATAAGCACACCCGCTACCCTCTTCCTTACCATGTGTCCCCAGCCTTGCCACTTTACACCTCAGTCCTGGACCCAGAAAAGTGGAGGCCTTCCCTTCATCTCCACTAGACTTAGCCTTGCTCTGTTCACAGCCTCCTCTCCAGGACACCCAGCCTTTCTTGAAGATGGCAGCCCATCTCCAGTCCTTGCCTTTGCTGCCTCCCCTCGACCTAATCATAGCTACATCTTCAAACGGGAGCCCCCAGAAGGCTGTGAGAAAGTGCGTGTGTTTGAAGAAGCCACGTGAGTACACCAAGTGGACAGGGTGTGGGAGGGGAGGGTGGGCCTACATTCTCCCACCTTCTTCAGTCTTGGACTCTCTCTTGTCATAGAGGTGTTGTCAACTTTAGATGATAAGTATTGCCAGCTTTCCATGATCAAACGTGTTGACATTACCTACTCTGAGCACTTAAATCTTTGCTTATCATTATCTCCATAGAAACCTGCTCTCTGCCCACATGCCAGCCACAAGCGCAGCAGGAGCTGGAAAGAAAATATATCTGAAACCTAAGCCCTTTGTTTCTTCTATTTTTTTCCATCTCCGGGGAAGGTGTGAGAATTTGCTAGACCATAATCAGAGAGAGAGAGCGAGAGCGAGAGATGGGGGGTGTGGGGAGAACATATTAGTATTTCTCTTCAGTCAGAGATTAGAAGTGTTTCAGCCCCACTGGAGTAGAATGGGGGGCCTAAACAGCTTAACAGTTTGAGCTTCGGAGTCAAGTCTTCACCCTGTGGCTGCAGTGGTTCAAGTGTCATGAACTCCCAGACAGAAATTTCCAGTCCTTGCAAGTAAGGACTATGGAAAATTTCCAAACCAGATTGGATCGTTCAGAAGCCATTCTTCTGTTGATTCTTTACACTTTCCTCCCATTAGCCGAAAGAATTGAGAGCCAACCTTTCCAAATGCCCCTGTCCCCGTTAGCAGGCACCAAAGAGCTCATTTCATTTCCTGCTGCCAGCTTAATACTCACCAGGGCAGATTCACACCAAGTTGGGGTTTCAGTGGCAGTCAGGAAGTTTAGTCATGGTGTGTGAGTGAAGATGTAGCTGGGACTGGATTTGGGTCATTGAGAGCACCATTTGTATCTCAAATAAGGGAGCAATAACCCATGGTGGCAGCCGAAGGTACATACAGAAGCCACAGTAGGAGTTACAGAGAAAACCATTGCCACTAGAGGTTTTGTTACTGTTATTATTGTTGCCTGGGATCCCTTCAAGACTCCTAGGTCCTCTGAGAAGCTGTGGAGGGAAGAGGCCAGATCTCTTAGCTTCAGCAGGCTCTAGACTCTTGTACCCTCCCTCAATCCACATTATGGTGGAGTAATTACAACCTGGAAATGTGGGTGGAAATTAAGCTGTAGCTCATCTTGATTTTTTCATAGACTCAGTGCCAGAAGAGGCCTTAAAGTCAGCTCATTTATCTTCCTGCCCCTGCATTAACCCTTTAAGAGAGGTGGTGGGCTCGGTGCAGTGGCTCATGCCTCTAATCCCAGCACTTTGGGAGGCTGAGGTGCGTGTTTATCACCTGAGGTCAGGAGTTTGAGACCAGCCTGGTCCAACATGGCAAGACCCTGTCTCTACTAAAAATACAAAATTAGACAGGTGTGGTGGCAGGCACCTGTTATCCCAGCTACTCAGGAGGCTGAGGCAGGAGAATCGCTTGAACCTGGGAGGCAGAGGTTGCAGTGAGCCGAGATCACGCCACCGCACTCCAGCCTGGGCAACAGAGTGAGTCTCCATCTCAAAAAAAAAAAAAAGGAAGTGGTGATCAGCTGGGTGCAGTGGCTCACGCCTGTAATGCCAGCACTTTGGGAGACTGAGGTGGGCAGATCACTTGAGGCCAGGAGTTCGAGACCAGCCTGGGCAACATGGCAAAACCCAGCCTCTACTAAAAATACAAAAAGTAGCCGGGTGTGTTAGTGCATGCCTGTAATCCCAGCTCCTCAGGAGGCTGAGGCACGAGAATTGCTTGAACCCAGGAGGTGGAGATTGCAGTGAGCTGAGATCGCACCACTACACTTCAGTAGTCAGGGCAACAGACTGAGACTCTGTCTCCAAAAAAAAAAAAAAAAAGAGTGGTGGTGATCCATCAGTGATTTTCTAAGATATGCCGGGATTTAAATTCTGTAGTTCACTGAGGTTTCTTTATTTAATCAACTTTCCTATTGGGAAGTTTGTGTGTTTAGCCATTCTTCTGCCACATTTCCCCCTTCTTAGCTGTTGTCCCCTCCAAGATCATCTGGATTTTCCAGGCAAGGAGTCAAGGTATTCAGGGTCATGCTGGTTGCCATCATATTCTCTGAGTGTTGCTGGGTCTCCCCTTGGTCACCTTCCCAACACGTACATGCACACACCTAGAACGTTCTCTCTCTTGCCCATTCCCCATCCCTCCGTAAATTGGGACTCTTTTAAACCCTTCTCCATCAGGGAAGCCCTTGCCACTGTGGAGTCTCTAGGACGCCAGGCCTTCCCAAACACACCCACCACGTGGGCCTTTACCCTCCACCTCTCCTGACTCTGTGCCAGGTCTCTGCTCTTCTCTTCACACCTTGCTCTTCCTGGGCTCTAGAATTATTGGAATTCCGGAATTAAGATGGTAATTGGCTGGGTGCAGTGGCTGATACCTATAATTCCAGCACTTTGGGAAGCCAAGGGAGGATTGCTTGAGTCCAGGAGTTCAAGACCAGCCTGGGCAACATAGGGAGACACCCTCTCTACAAAAAATGTTAAAATATTATCCAGGTGTGGTGGTGGGTGCCTGTAATCCTAGCTACTGAGGAGGCTTAGGTGGGAGAATTGCTTGAGCCCAGGAGGTGGAGGTTGCAGTGAGCCAAGATTGCACCACTGCACTCCAGCGTGGACAACAGAGTGAGACCCTGTCCAAAAAAAAAGATGGTAACCAATTTATCAGTCTGTATACTGAGTGCATTTTTCTCTGAGTGTATATATTATACTTCAATAAAAAGTAAAAAAGAAAAAGGTGATTGGTGAGAACCATTGGTGGCAGAGCTTCACCGTCTTCCCATACCTTTGTCTTCTCACCTGGGATTTTCAAACCGTCAGCTTCTTAGGGCTGTTTCACCCTCTAGGCTTGGCCATACAGTAAGGAATCAGGGCTATTCCTTACTCAGGAACTCTCTGACCTGACCTTTTATCATCCCATCTTCCTAAACAATCAAAAGAGGAAGGATGATTCCTCTCACATTATAAAGGTGAGACAGGCTGGGTGCGGTGGCTCATGCCTGTCATCCCAGTGCTCTGGGAGGCCAAGGCAGGAGGATCACTTGAGCCCAGGAGTTCAAGACCAGCCTGGTCAACATAGTGAGACTCCCATCTCTACTAAAAAAATAATAATAATAATAAAATTAGCCTAGAATGGTGGCAGGCATCTGTAATCCCAGCTCCTTGGGAAGCTGAGCAGGAGGATTACTTGCACCTAGGAGTTTGAGGCTGCAGTGAGCTATGATCACACCACTGTATTCCAGCTTGGGTGAGAGAGCAAGACCCTGTCTCTAAAAACAATTAAAAAATTAAAATTAAAAAGGAGGGTGAGACAGATATGACAAGGACCACATGGTGAGTTAGAACCCAGATCTTCCGATAAGGTCTAGCTGCCTTTCTCACAGTTGTTACCATCCTTTCCTCTCAAAGTTTTGAAAATCACACCTTTCTGGAGGCCAGCCTGGGTAGCATACAGAGACCCCTTCTCTACAAAATAAAAGTAAAGCAATTAGCTGGGCATGGTGGTTCATGCCTGTAGTCCCAGCTACTCAGGAGGATGAGGTGGGAGGATTGCTTGGACCGGGGAGGTCGAGGCTGCAGTAAGCCATGATCCTGCCACACCGCACTCCAGCCTGGGCCACAGAGTGAGACTCTGTCTCAAAAACAAAACAACAACAATAAACAACCCCATACCTTTCAAATGTGCCCAACAATTAGATTCTTTAGGCCAGTAGATTTCAACTAGGGAACATTTGGCAATATCAAGAGACATTTTTAGTTGTCACAACTAGAGGGGAGGAGTCGTGGTACTACTGGGGTCTAGTAAGTAGAGGCCAGGGACACTGTTAAGCATCTTACAATGCACAGGACAATGCCTCCATCCCCACCCCGCAACAAAGAATCATCCAGCCCAAAATGTCAGTGGTGCCAAGGCTGAGAAACCCCACTTTAGTCACTTGGCTTTGATCTCTGCTTTCAGGCATGTGGTCTGTCCCCAAAAACACCATTCACTAAGGAAATATTTCTTTTCTTTTCTTTTTGAGATGGAGTCTTGCTCTGTTGCCCAGGCTGGAGTGCAATGGCACGATCTTGGCTTACTGCAACCTCCGCCTCCCAGGTTCAAGTGATTCTCCTGCCTCAGCCTTCTGAATAGCTAGGATTACAGGAGCATGCTGCCACACCCGGCTAATTTTTTGTATTTTTACTGGAGACAGGGTTTCACCATGTCGGCCAGGCTGGTCTCGAACTCCTGACCTCAAGTGATCCATCCACCTTGGCCTTCCAAAGTGCTGGGATTATAGGCGTGAGCCACCGTGCCCGGCCACTGATGAAATCTTTCGAATGAAAAGATTTCTTGGTCTCCACTTCTTGAATCACATTGTCAGGAAGTTCTCCTTCCTGTCTAGCTTCAATCCCTCCTTTTTTTAGCTGAAGAGCATTTCCCGTTGTTTAGCCATATTTTTTTAAAAATAGAGAGATGAGGGGCTTGGTTTTCGGTCAAGTTCCAATTCTGTTTGAACAGAGACCCAGCTCTCCTGCTGCCTTGATGCTGTGACATCTCACCCTCTCTCGCTGTCTGTTTCTCTCTGTGTGTACGTATGTGTCTTGTGTGTCTCTCTTCATCCTCCAGGTCTCCAGGTCCTGACCTGGCCTTCCTGACTTCCTGTCCTGACAAGAACAAAGTCCATTTCAACCCGACTGGCTCAGCCTTCTGCCCCGTCAACCTGATGAAGCCCCTCTTCCCCGGCATGGGCTTCATCTTCCGTAACTGCCCCTCAAACCCGGGATCTCCCCTTCCCCCGGCCAGCCCCAGGCCACCACCTCGGAAGGATCCGGAAGCCTCCAAGGCCTCCCCACTGCCATTCGAGCCATGGCAGCGCACCCCACCATCAGAAGAGCCTGTGCTTTTCCAGAGCTCCCTGATGGTCTGAGGGTCCCACCCCTGCCCCACTTTACCATAGAGACCAGTGCCTTGGTGGCAGGTCCCTCCCCAGGTCCCCTGAGATGGGGTATGGAGGGGCCCTTCCCTCTCGGCCTTCGAGCACTTTCTTTCACTTACTGTGTCAAAGCCCTGGGTCCTCTTTTTGATGGGCACCGGCCCCTCTGAACGTGATGGGACCTGCCTTCTCCACTAGTAGCTGGGCAGCTCACAATTCACACCTGTGTACCTGCCACATCCCTCACTTGGTGGAAAACACCCAGAAGGTCTTGAGTCCCCCACCCCTGGGTGTCAGTCCAAATGACTGTATAGGAGGCCCTTATTTTTGTCACAGAGCAAGCTGGCCATGAACGAAGGAGAGAAGACGCCACAGATTTCCTTCCCTCTCCTCCAGGAGACCATAAGATAGATCCCCCATCCTCTCAGCCCTATTCCCATGCCTCCCTCTCATTGGAGGAGCTGACCAAAGCAGCCCTAACGGGCCATAACACTTGACCAATTCAGCTGCTGGCAGAGGGAGGAAACAAGTGTTTTCCCAAGTGGCATTTTCATCTCGCTTTCACCCTGACTAAAGATTGTCTTAAGTAGCAGCCCAGCCCGCCCAGCCCCAGGTGGGTAGTGGGGAGGAGAGCTGGCATTCCTCCAGGTGGCAAATGGCGACTCTATACTCTCCGCCCGCCCCAGGGCTGGATGGATTAGAAAAATGCCTATTTTTCTTGTATCGATGTAGAGACTCTATTTTCTCCCAAAGACACTATTTTTGCAGCTGTTTGAAGTTTGTATATTTTCCGTACTGCAGAGCTTACACAAAATTGAAGAATGTTAATGTTCGAGTTTTCTTATCTTGTGTTTAGAGGTTGTTTTTTGCAGATCTTGGTGTTAATAGACCAAATAAATAAATAAATATTCCCAGCAGCTTGAAGTTCTGTTAAATATTTGGGGAAGGAGGAGTGGGGTAGAGATTAAGGGTATATACTGATCATTTCATCTTTGTCTTCAAGAGAAGGAGCCTCAATTCCCACATCTGGGTGTTGTTATGGCTGTACACAGAGTTCCTGTCCTCTGGACACCATGCTTGCATACTTTACATGGACATATAAACAACAGACCCATGAAAAGGCTGTCCAGAATGAAGAGGGTGGTTTGTCCTAGAGGTGGGGTGAGGGAGTCACTGGGGAAGTTACCCATTCTTGTATGAGTCTGAAAAAGCTCCCTAAGGAGAATGGATTTCAGAAAGGAAAAGCAGGTGACCAAGGGAAGACAGTTTGACATTGTGGGTGTTCTTTGCACTGGTTGGATCTCTTGACAGTTTTGGGGAAGCTTTGGTTCATCTCAGGGAGTACCCACAACATAGTGTGCAGCCTTAAAGGGAACAAAGAAACTATACAAAGACACTACTCTTATCCTTTCGCAGCCTTTATAATGCTGCACCTGTAAGAGCTCTTAGGCTTTTGGGGAAAATGGGAATAACCATCTCAATATTTCAATGATGCTTTGGAATTTCCGAAGCATTTTCACAAAAGACACATCCCCATTGTATGGGTGAACAGTTGACTACCCCAAGGGCAGTCATAATAAGTACAATTGTATCTGCCTCATAAGACCTGACAACAAACTCCTAAACCAGGCTATCCCAACCACCATTCATTGGGCTGGTAAGAACCAGCTACCATGTTAAGTGCTTTACATAAAGTGTTATTGAAATATGACAACCACCCAGTAAGAGAAATATGGTAAGTCCCACTGTATAATCAGGAAAGGACAAATAGATCGAATAACTTTCCCCAAAAGACACAGATATGAAGTGGGAGAGCTAGGATTGGAAACCTGATCATTTGAATCCAGTGCCCATGTTTCTAACCACAGCGCTCTCCTGCTTGTTATTATATTCCCATTAATTTCACGTGAGGAAACTCGACTCAGGACAAGCGAATTGTTTGAGGTCCCAGCTGGTAAAGAAGTAGAGCTGGCAGGTCTCTCTTCCCAGCTATTTGGTGCCCTGGCATCGCGGGCTGAGCCAGTAGAGTAAGCTAGTGAGCAAGAGAGCAAATGTATGGGGCTTTCCCATGCCACTAATATCGAGGAGACAGTGGGCTGGGGACACCCTATCTTCTATCCCTTACTCCTCCCTCTAAAAGACTTCTGGCTCCCCCGCAAAGCCTTATTGAGTCAGGCCCGGAGCGATGGGTGTGGTGCTGCCCAGTATTTCCTTCCTTTGCCTGAGGCTGTGCCAAAAGAGCAGGCTGCTAGAAGAGGAGCCTCGACCTAGAGAGCAGCCCAGAGTCCACCAGGTGGCCGGAGATTTGGGCCAATTAAGTAGGGGGTTGGAGGTAGTAGTAGGAAGACCTGAGGTCAGTCTTGCCCTGGCAATTCGTGCCAGCAAGTGAAGACCCAACACTTGCATGAGGAAGGGATCCAACGAGGAGCTCATTAATGGGAAATATTCAGGAGCGCGGCCGAAGGGTTTGCGCCATTGTTGGTGAGTTGTTAAGACTTGGAAGAAAACTGACTTCAGTAAGCTTCCATTTCCACCCCTCGATGTGAGGAAATAAGATCAGGGCTGACAAACAGTGATGACTAATAATACCTTAAGCTTGCACAGCATACTTTACAGTTTACAAAACACTCTTATTTGATCCTCACAACAGCCAAGAGGCGACAAGGTGGCTATTACTAATTATCCCTAGTTTCCAGACCTGGAAAACTCTGGCTCAGAACTTGGGTGACACGGGTAGGTTACCCCGCCTTTAAGTGACCAAGCCGAGACTTACTGTGCCGCTCTCCCCCTTGGAAGCCTAGTGATGTGCCTAGGTAATGAGCAGGTAAAGTCGCTGACGCTGGGCAGCAGCTAGACGGCGCTGAAGCTCCAGTAAGGAATTTGGCATTAGGACCCAGCAGAAGCCTGGCCGCCCGCCGCGGAAAAGACTATTGGATTTGCTCTGCCGACCACACCTCCTCCCGCCCCGCCTACCTGTCCGTCTTCGCACAGCGCAGCCAATTGGTGGCCTCCACATCCTTATACGTCATTATTCTACGCCCAGGTGGCTCTAGGACACCCTGTGGTGCTCTGGGTCGCAGTTGTCCTCAGAGTTGCCTGATTGGAAAAATCTCCAGGGCGAGGGATCAGTCTCGAGGCTGCCGGTTCCCCTGGCCCTCAGGGATGGAGCCAAGGTCCCAGGGCGGGTTTTCTTTCCTAGGAAGTGGTTGCTGGGTTCTGAGGAGTTTCCCCCTTGGCAGCCATGAGCCGGCAGTTCTGGTAGTGACTGCTGGGCCCTGCTGGACAGCGGTCGCATGCAGCTCCTATGAGGCCCCTGCCGCCGGTCGGCGATGTCCGGCTGGAGCTGTCGCCTCCGCCGCCGCTGCTGCCGGTGCCGGTTGTGAGCGGGTCTCCAGTCGGCTCCTCTGGGCGTCTCATGGCCTCTAGCAGCTCCCTGGTGCCCGACCGGCTGCGCCTGCCGCTCTGCTTCCTGGGTGTCTTTGTCTGCTATTTTTACTATGGGATCCTGCAGGAAAAGATGTGAGCGACCCCGGGGGCGGGCCGACAGTCTCTCCCCAGCCTGTGACAGGGATCCCGGGCCTTCTGCCTCTGGACCCGGGCTTTCCTCTTGTCCTCCTGCCCGGCTGTCGCCCTCTTAGCACCCTACTACTTTTGCAGCTATGGCTGAGCCTACCCAGAATTCCAGAACTCCAGGATTATTTTCTGGATTCTTCGGACTTGGTTATTTTCTTTTCTTAGCTGTTTTTCCCCGCTTGGTTCTAAGGGCCTGCGTTTTACAGGCTGAGACTTCTATTCCTCAAACAGGACCCGAGTCGGCCCCCTTTTGGTACTCCCAGATGCTTGCAAACAACCTATTCGTCCTCGGCCTTGGTGCCATAGCCGAAATACCGTCTCCTCCTGCCTGGGGTACCTGATTTCACTATCTCGTTCTGCATGTTTCCTCTCCGTCTTTTTCGGGTATTCTTTTCTTAGGCTTTGGAATCAGTAGGCTGGGATGTCTAGTTTCTAGATCCAGTAAAATCAGCCCCTTTTGCAAATGAGCCTAGTGGTCCTTAACAAACTCTGCCTACATCCAGAGAGGCAAGATAATTTTAAAGTTTTCAGTGGCTCGGGATATATTAGATGACAGTGAGTGAAATACACTAATTTCTCCCTCTTTTCTCATGCATTTCATTTCTAGAACAAGAGGAAAGTATGGGGAAGGAGCCAAGCAGGAGACGTTCACCTTTGCCTTAACTTTGGTCTTCATTCAATGTGTGATCAATGCTGTGTTTGCCAAGATCTGTGAGTACCCAGATAGTAATTTGTTGGGTACCCCACCACCCCAAGTTCCCTCAGTATGCTGGGCATTAAGCATTGATTCAACCTTAAAGGCTAACTCATGATCTCCACCCCATTTTGTACTTACACAGCCTCTCTGTGAAGTCTGTAAAACTAATGACTTTGAAGTGGAGTAAAATATTATTTCCCCAATTTTTATCAGCTTCTGAGTTAGAAATGTTCAGAGAATGGGTCTTCTATATTCCAAATCCCCATTGAAAATACTTAAAACATTTTTTTCTTTCCCTTTGAGTTTCTTTTGTGTGTCAGCTTCAAGCATGCTTTGAGCATTCTCTCTTTGTTCCCTGGGGACTAGCAGCAGAGCTGACTGGTCCCTTGAACTGAATGAGGCCCCCACCTCCACCCTGCATGTGGTCTTTTGTTGGGCTTAGGTAGAATTGGAAAGATGAATAATTTTCAGAGATTTCCCAGTGTAACAGGACAGAAATAGCTTGTGTCTTGTTTGACAGACAAGTTCCTTTCATGTGGCTTCAGCTTTGCTTAGTGGTCCATCCTAGCCCCACCAGGTTTCTCTTGTTTTTTTTTTTTTTTCTTTTCTTTTCTTTTTTTTTTTTTTTTTTTGTCTTCTCCCAGTGATCCAGTTTTTTGACACTGCCAGGGTGGATCGTACCCGGAGCTGGCTCTATGCTGCCTGTTCTATCTCCTATCTGGGTGCCATGGTCTCCAGCAATTCAGCACTACAGTTTGTCAACTACCCAACTCAGGTGAAACCTCAGGGTGGGATGATGGTTGGCTCAGATATCATTTGAAAAGGACTAAGAGTTCTTCCCTCAGGTCTGTGAGTTAAAAAAAAAAAAAAAAAAAAGATAACGGTCCTGTAAGACATTGGGAGTGTATAGAACCATAGAACTTACGTTTAGTGGTGGTGGGTTGGGCCATGATAGGGCTGCTTTCTGAGGCTGAGGTCTCTGGTGCAGGCCCTGTGCTTACTCATCTTAATCAGTGCGGTACCTAGCATAGTACCTGACACATCACAGATGCTCAGAAATTATTTGCTGGATTTAATTTCAGGTCCTTGGTAAATCCTGCAAGCCAATCCCAGGTAAGCAAAGAAGATGGTCTTCCTCTTCTGTCGTCACTCTTCCTATAGTAAGCTCTCTCTCTGCTACAACTGTGTCCCTCTCGGCTTCATCATCCCATCATGGCTGTCTCCAGGGACTTTCCCCCAGCTCTCCCTGCTGCCCATCCTGTCATCTGTGTCACTTCTTGTGATGTTCATAGGCTGGTAATCCTTAATAGGAGCTAAAGGCTGACCTAGCCTGCTTCACTTGGTCAGCCATTTCTGTGTTGCATGTGTTTATATTGTCATTAGACAACTTAATTCCCATTTTGATCATCAGTTTCTTTATCTCAACTTCTTTTCCTTCTCCACTGTTCCCTACCCTTGTCCTGTCCCTTCCTGGACTTTTCACCTTTGTTCTCTACCTCCTCCCTGTCTTATACTTAACCCTGTTGCTCAATCCTTATCTAGGTGCCAGCCTGGCACCCTCCTTTTGTCCTCTCTAAGCCTTCCTTCTCAGTCATTCTTTTCTCCCTGAGTCTTTTCTTGGTTCCTGGGAGGGAGGGCATTGGGGTCATCAATACCTTATGGATGCCTGAATTTTCCACTCTGTTTTTTCCCTGTAGTCATGCTCCTTGGGGTGACCCTCTTGAAGAAGAAGTACCCGTTGGCCAAGTACCTGTGTGTGCTGTTAATTGTGGCTGGAGTGGCCCTTTTCATGTACAAACCCAAGAAAGTTGTTGGGATAGAAGAACACACAGTCGGCTATGGAGAGCTACTCTTGGTATGAGATCCTGTTGGGGAAGGCACCCTTTTCCAGCAAACTTAACCAAAGGATAGTCTCACCTAGGCAGGTAGAAGGCCAGTTCTGTGTCAAGGGAGGTTGTGGTGCTCCTTGTCCCCATATCTGCTCTTTGCTGCAGGCCCCTGACTCTATTAATGCCATAGTGGGAAACCTGAAATATTTAACTACAACTCAGCTCTCATTCTGGAGAAGAGATAACTCTGAGGGTTGTGGCTGAATCCTGGTGTGAGGTCACAGAGACCTGAGAGCAAAGAGGGAAGGAATAATGTCTCTCACTGTGGCTTTCCAAGAAACCTGGAAGCCAGAGTTTAAAATAATATGATAGTAGCTGGTATGTATGCATTAGGCACTGTTCCGAGTGTTTTACATGTTAATTGACTAATTTTTACAACAATAATCTCATATGTAGTATTATCTCCATTTTACAGATGAAGAAACTAGGCACAGAGAAGTTAACTCGCTTGCCCATGGTCACTTGGCTATTTGAAGTGGTAGAGTCAGGATTCCAATCCAGGCAGCCTAAGCACAGGATCCGGTCTCTGGAGCACTATACTCCAAGCTAGGAAGCTAACCTGCTGGGACTACCTTTCCCCTCCCAGTATGTTGGGAAGTGAGCTTCCTGCTCTACTCTGATTACAAAATCACTACGTAGCTCAGTTAGCCTGTCAGTCCAGTGCGTGGGCCGGGGGGCGGGGGTGGGGGGTAGTGAGCATGGTCTCTCCCCACCTTCCACCTGTGACCAAATGGCAACGTTTTGTTCTGAGGACTTTAAAGGCAGTGGCTTTCCAAGGAGCCTGAGAGTGAGAATCCTGTGTCCTGGGTTTGGAAAGGGCCCTGTTGGCCACTTCACTGCAGGCTGCACCCTTTCTTTCCCAGCTATTATCGCTGACCCTGGATGGACTGACTGGTGTTTCCCAGGACCACATGCGGGCTCATTACCAAACAGGCTCCAACCACATGATGCTGAACATCAACCTTTGGTCGACATTGCTGCTGGGAATGGGTGAGAGCCAGTTCTGCTGTTCTTCCCATGTATCACCAGAGGGCAGGCTGCCCTCATCCTTTTGATCCCTCTAGCTGTTAGTTGCCCAGACCAAGGGCCTGAATTAGTTCCAAGATGCCCTTTTGTTCAAGCCCTTGAGAAACCTTCCTGGAAAAACCTGCACCAGCAGGATTTGTTTGCTACTTGTTACTGGCACAATGAAGGAGAGTCGTGTGTCAGTTGTCATGGGAAGACACTCAGTAGTAAAACACAGGGAGGTACCTGGGAACTTTCCCTTTCATGAGGGAAATGAGACACACGTAGTGCTCACAGGAAACAGAGTTAGCTGTACACTGAAGACAGTTCAAATGTGAATGATTTGCTTTGAAATCAGTGCTTCCTAACTTTTCAAATTTGGGCACATGTAGAAAGTATTTTTTATACAGCACACTGGGGTTAATGGTGGAGGCTGCTGATGGCTGAAGGTGACTAATGCGAGGGGCTTCCTTGAGCTAAGGATGTGTGGGTCAGCATCTCTACAGCATCTGAGGATTTCTGCTTGTAATCACTTTGGTAGAAGTAACTCATTAACTTTCAAGCCTTTCTCACAAAATTCTCTTTAGTTTCTCTAATCAGAGAAAAATATGAGAAGAATCAATGATGAGACGATGCAAACCCACACCATACACTTTCCCGCGTCCCACCTCCCTTGCAGTTCTTTAACAGGCCATGTGCAGGAGTGTCTGTGTGTGTGTGTGTGTGTGTGTGTGTGCGCACATTTTGTGTGCACAAAATGCGCCGTACATTTGTTGACATGTCTTCTCAGGAATCCTGTTCACTGGGGAGCTCTGGGAGTTCTTGAGCTTTGCTGAAAGGTACCCTGCCATCATCTATAACATCCTGCTCTTTGGGCTGACCAGTGCCCTGGGTCAGGTGAGTGCTTGAAAGGGGATGGCTTGGCTTCCCTACTCTGGCAGCTGGTTCCCTAAGAAAGACTGGCCTGGCTGGAAGAAGAGGGTGGCAAGATTAGCCCTGAGGTCTGTTTATAGACTTTAGACCAATGGCAGATACCCAGAAGCCCACCGGACCTCACCTTTATCTTTCTCTAGAGCTTCATCTTTATGACGGTTGTGTATTTTGGTCCCCTGACCTGCTCCATCATCACTACAACTCGAAAGTTCTTCACAATTTTGGCCTCTGTGATCCTCTTCGCCAATCCCATCAGCCCCATGCAGTGGGTGGGCACTGTGCTTGTGTTCCTGGGTAAGTGGCCACACAGAGACACAGTGACAGCTGAATTTTTTCTCCTAAAATTTACTTGTATATTTATGAAATTTGTTTAAATATTTTAGAGAAAACTTTTCTCTTTTTTTTGAGACGGAGTTTCGCTCTTGTTGCCCAGGCTGGAGTGAGTGCAGTGGTACGATCTCAGCTCACCAATCGGGTGAGCCTCCTCCTCCTCCTGGGTTCAAGCAATTCTCCTGCCTCAGCATCCGGAGTAGCTAGGATTACAGGCATGCACCACCATGCCCGGATGATTTTGTATTTTTAGTAGAGATGGGGTTTCTCCGTGTTGGTCAGGCTGGTCTCGAACTCCCAACCTCAGGTGATTCCCCCCGCCTCAGCCTCCCAGAGTGCTGGGATTACAGGCATGAGCCACCGCGCTCAGCCCAGAGAAAACTTTTTTAAAAGAGAAAAGAGGCTGAGTGTGGTGGCTCACGCCTGTAATTCTAACACTTTGGGAGGCTGAGGCAGGAGTATCGCTTGAGTTTAGGAGTTCGAGACCAGCCTGGGCAACATGATGAGACCCTTGTCTCTGCAAAAAAATACAAAAATTAGCTGAGCATGGTGGCAGACGCCTGTGGTCCCAGCTACTCGGGGCTGAGGTGGGAGGATCGTTTGAGCCCAGGAGGTGGAGGCTGAGGTGAGCTGTGATCACACCACTGCACTCCCACCTGGGTGACAGAGTGAAAATCTGTATCCAAAGAAAATAAAAGGAGAAAAGGAAGCTTTATTTCTAATCCAGCCTTCCTAGGGTCTCCCTCTGTTGCTCAGGCTGGAGTGTAGTGGCATGATCATAGTCCACTGCAACCTTGATCTCCTGGACTCAAGTGATCCACCCACCACAGCCTCCCGAGTAGTTGCGATTATAGGCATGTACCACAATACCTGACCAATTTTTTTTTTTTTTTTTGTAGCGATGGGGTCTTGCTGTGTTGCCTAGGCTGGCCTTAAACTCCTGGGCTCAAATGATCCTCCTGCCTCAGTCTCCCAAAATGCTGGGATTGCAGGTGTGAGTCACCACATTCAGCCATAGCCTAGAAGTTTTGACTCTTAAATTTCTTTTAGTCTTGCTGTATTATATATGTATCTATATCTATCTGTATCTCTATATAGATATATTTATATAGATACAGATATCTGTAATAACTAGTATCCTGGTGCCATTCTCTTGTCTCTGAGGAAGTTACATAAAACCAGTGTTCTGACATGTATTTTATTTAAAGCCCCCATTTTGGAGATACAAGGCCGACTACCCCACCCCACCACAATCATTGGTAAGTTTCATTTCCCCCCATAAGGCTAAGCCCATTTTCTTCCTTTTCATAGGTCTTGGTCTTGATGCCAAGTTTGGGAAAGGAGCTAAGAAGACATCCCACTAGGAAGAGAGAGACTACCTCCACATCAAGAATATTTAAGTTATTATCTCAAACAGTGACATCTCTTGGGAAAATGGACTTAATAGGAATATGGGACTGAGTTCCAGTCTTTTTTAATAAAATAAAATCAAGCAAAATCACATATTCTAAAAAATGCACTTGGATTTTAACAAGACAGAGTGGTGGTTTTTGTTCTTCATGCCCTGGAGCAGTCTATGGTAAATAAAAGAGGGAGGGAAGAGGCAGAGCTGGATGTTCATTACCCAGGCTGCTCCTCTCACGGGTGTGGTTAGCATGGTTGAGTGGGCGATTCCTCCAAGAACCTGAGGATTATAGGGAGGAACTCTGTGAGATCGCAGAATTGTGCTAATGGCTTCTGTTCCGATGGGTGAGGCTTGTCCCGTTAGAGCTGGTCCCATTAGAGGACGGGTGGCTGTCCATTAGAGCCAGAGAATGTAAAAGTCACTTCCTCTCCTAAAGCTCCTGTGGGCAAATATTTCATTAAAAAAACAAAGTTGTGTTCTGTCTTTTTCTTAGGCCTGGTGCAGTGGCTCACACCTGTAATCCCAGCACTCTGGGAGGCTAAGGCAGCAGGATCACTTGAGTTCAGGAGTTTGAGACCAGCCTAGACAACATAGTTAGACCTTGTCTCCACTAAAAATCAAAAACAGAAAAGAAATATTCATTGAGGCTGGGGTAAAACGAACCCAGAGTTTCAGAATCTACTGTTTTGCCATTTCCCCACTGCCTCCCCTTCAGCCACAGCTCTATCAAGACCAGAGTGGAGACCCAGTGCATACATCATGATCAGCTTTGGAAGGTCTGTGATGTACTTTTCCTGATATTCCCCCTCCATCTGTCTGTCTGTTCTCAGTCTACCTGGTCCCCTCCAGGGAGGCTGGGTTAATCCCTCCTATTCCCCTGCCTCCTCCAGCTGCTGAAGCATTGCAGTCCTCTGCCATCCTTTGCTGTGCCAAGGTGTCACCATGCCAGCTTCTGCCTGTTGAAAGGGATGCTGGCGGAAGTCATGGTGGCTGAGTCCTGGCACAGCCACTGTCGAGTTGTCTGAGTGGCAGCAGAGGGAAAAGGCGGAGTATGGAGCAGAGCCACCTGCCCACTGCTGCCTTTAGAGTTGGAAATCGCAATCCTCCAAGGACCAAACTTTACACATGAAAGTGCATTTCCACCAGCTGCAACTTTCTCTCCATCTGTTCAGCAGCCCCAGCCCCTTGGCTCTCCAGATGGGAGCCCGGCCTCCTTCCTGAACGGCTGCCTTGCCACCCCCCGCCCAGCCTTTCAAGCCCTGCCTCACTTGTGCTCATCTCACTCTCTGGGGACCCAGGTGTCGCTGCAGCCCTGCCCCCAAAAGCCCCCTATCATTTTGAGCTGCTGGAGAGAGAAGATGCTTTAAGTACATCTGGCTGAACTTCCTTCCTTCCTTTCTCCACCCTCTTTCCCCTGTCTTTTTTTTCACCCTGAAAGTTGCATCAATTAGCTTCTTCCCTACTAGATTTATGGGTCTTCGAAACTGTCTTCTCCTGTGGATTGGTTAGGTGGTTAGAGCATGTTACTAGGGCCGGGGACCTGCAAGTGCAAGCAGTTGTCATCTGGGCCTGTTTTAAGAGACATCTTCCCAGCTACCAGACCAATTCCCTCTACCTCTTCCTTCTACCATTTTCAACCGGTTGTCTCAAAAACGCTTAATACTAGTCATGAGCAAGGCAGGGTTTCAGCAGCTCAGCATGGCTCTCACCTGTTATTAGAGAAATGGCTTGTAGAGCAAGCCTGTCCTACCCAGGGTGGGCTAGGGGCCCAGTTCTAGTGTATTTGTTCAGTCCCCTGTCCATCCATCTTACATTTACTTCCTTTTGGGTGCCATGTATTGTGAACATGCTGGGAGTTCAAAGTTAAGTAGGACTAGAACTTACACTCTAGGGACTTCACAGTCTAATAGGGAGACAGGAAAACACATTATTGCATCTCAGAAATGCAGGGATAACAACGAAGGAAGGTGTCTGGGCAAGGTGAGGCTTGAGCTGGAGAGTGTAGGAAGATGAAAGGAGGAGGAGGAGCTGGAGCTTGGGCTCCACTGCCAAGCAGGAAAAGGGGTGCCTGACTACCTTTCGCCCCTTGCTCCTGCCTAGGTCAGTTCCATAGGGAACATATAGAAGAAGAGCAGATTTTACAGGAGGCATTGTTTTGCTCAACTTGAAGATACCTGAAAAGGTTCTGTGAGCTGCCAGCTTGCTTGGGGTGTCAACTTACCTGCAGGATCACAGGGACTGGGAGAGTCAAAGTTGACTAAAGTCAGTAACACTGTTAACTTGTAATAGGGCTGATAAATGTGAAATACCAGACAAGTTCAAACAAAAGTGATGGTGATGGCTAACCCTGGGCGGCCTGATGCCTCAGGTTTCTACAGATCAAAGGACTTTCATCTGCAGTTAATTCTCAGCTATGTGTCGAAGGGAGGGAACCGGCACACAAATTTCCCGACACTGTTTTTCGTTTGGGGTGTATGGTGCTTACAGCTATTTTGGTCAAAGCATCTGAGCCATCTCCTTTACTGTTCATGCTCAGATGCATGATAAAATGATTTTTCATTCCCTGTTCACCTTTTCATCTGTGGCAAGGGGAGTAACCCCCTGCCCCCACTGCCCCGCTGCAGTGTGATTTGGGGTACGATCATGGGGAAAGCTATTCTGGAGTTAAACATTAAAAGAAACTGAAGTCCCATGTTGTTTTTAAAAAGACTTAAGGTGGCAGGAATTAAACATGAATGGTAGGTAATCTATCAAGTGAGGTATTTAGGAATGGATTATGTGTTTTCTCACAGCTTCGTACCACCCTTGTGAAAAGGGGACTCAGCAGACATCCACACTTTTTAGAGTTGGGAAAACCTAAATGACGGAGAGTTAGGTGACCTGTGGTTGGTCCCTAGGTATGTCCCTGAGACACAAACTAGAACTCCAGGCTCCCTGAATTCAAGTTGCGTTTTGGACCTGTGCCCTCTGAGGGAGGAAAGTGAAGCCCCCACTGGGAGACCCTTTGCCTCTGTCTGGCCCCGCTTATCAGTGGAACAGTTTGCAGGTTTTATGAGTAGTGCTGGTCATTTTCCCCGGATGCCCTGGCAGAGAAATTGTCCTGAGTCTCTGTGGAATCATTCAGCCCTTCCCACTAAAAACACACCAGCTGTCTTTGGGAACAGTAATCTCATATATTTATAGAGCGCCTTCTTTCCCAAAGCTCTTTAGTACGTGACATTTTATCCTTAGAACACTCCTGGGAAGAGGTTGGGCCAGAAACCAGTCTCCCCATATTTGGAAGAGGGAGCCTGAAACCCACCAAAATGCATCAGCTGAAGGTCGCGTTGCACTGCCCCACAGGAGGGCAGGAGCCTCCTATTTCACTTCCCACTTTCCAGGGTCAGGGAACCCTAACCCTCAGTGGGCTAAACTAGTGGTTTCCAGCTGTTTGGATTTTCTGAAAGTTCCCAGTAGAATTTTCAAATAATTTGGAGGTATGCTGGCTTTTAATTTTTTTCAAGTAAGGACATTTAAAAAAAATCAAATATCACCATTGTGGTTTAAAAAGTTTTGTTTTTTTTTCTGAGACAAAGTCTGGCTCTGTTGCCCAGACTGGAGTGCAGTGGTGCGATCATGGCTTGCTGCAACCTCCACTTCCTGGGCTCAAGCCAACCTCCCACCTCAGCCTCTTGAGTAGATGCGTCTACAGGTGCATGCCACAACACCTGGCTAATTTTTGTAATTTTGGAGAGACGGGGTTTTGCTATGTTGCCCAGGCTGGTCTCAAACTCCTGAGCTCAAGGGATCCACCTGCCTCAGCCTCCCAGAGTGCTGGGATTACAAGCATGAGCCACCACTCTTGGCCTAACTCAGAAGATTTTAGGAAAAGCTATCCAACCTCACAAAAAAGGACCCTTCTTCCAAAGAAATTACGATTGGAGGCCAGGCATGGTGGCTCATGCCTGTAATCCCAGCGCTTTGGGAGGCTGAGGCGGGAGGATCACCTGAGGTCAGGAGTTCGAGACCAGCCTGACCAGCATGGTGAAACCCCATCTCTACTAAATACAAAAAATTAGCTGGGCATGGTGGAGCACACCTGTAATCCCAGCTACTTGGGAGGCTGAGGCAGGAGAATCGCTTGAACCCAGGAGGCAGAGGTTGCAGTGAGCCAAGATCGCACCATTGCACTCCAGCCTGAGCAACAAGAGTGAAACTCCGTCTCAAAAAAAAAAAAAAGAAATTATGATTGGAAATCATACTACTGTATTCATTAAATTAATTTTTAATTGCAGAAAATGTTCAACATAAAACGTTATTCTACAATCATACATTGTACGGTATATCACTATGCTTGTTTGCTTGATGTACTTGGTCAGTTTGGGCACTGTATTCCACAGTGCAGTCCAGCAGAGCTGAATGTCACATAAACATGCTTGTCTGACAGAGACAGAAGCAACCTGAAATGAGATTTTCTGTAATTTGGATACTTTAAGAGATTCTGGAAGCCACATCCCCCGGCCTTGGCTGCTTCTACCTTCCCTCTATAAGGCCTGGAGGACAGCAGGCTATGGAGGCTTAGAGAGCTTTCCAGAAAGGGCTGTAATGAGACTCCAGGCATGCCTGCTGAGATCTGCCCCCAGCGTGTTCAGACCAGGGGTTTGATCACCCAGCCCAGAATGTCCAGAATATATTCTGGAGGGTTGCCACCAGCTGGTGAGAGCCAGTTTCTGACAGACATGGTCCTCAGAGTGGGAGCCAGTGGGCTATGCCTGGCATTGGCAGGAAGGGCGGGAAGGGGAGCGAAGAGGGACTTGGGATGAAGCGTGACTTCATTCAGTGCCTTCCACTCTGTGGCAGTATGAGCCTGCGAGGACAGGTGGGTTTTTGGTCTGAATATGCCTGACTCCCCCGTGACTTCTGGGAGAGGTAGAAGAGGGAAGTGGTTCAAGGCATTCACCAAGGGGAGGGATGGTATATTTCTTCCTGCCCACTTCTGTGTTTTGTCATGGTGTGTGGGTGGCCAGAGCTAACAGAAGCACTATGTTTCAGCTGGGGTTACCGACAAGACGCCATTTCCTCCTACTCAGAACCCAAGAACTGCCACAGTCAGACCACAGCCCTAGAGGGAATGTGTTACTCTTACATGAAGGCTGGGGACTCCCCGAAAACATTGTGTGTGTGTGTGTGTGTGTGTGTGTGTGTGTGTGTGTAGCTAGTAGGTTCATTTTTCTGTAAAAAGGGCCCACAGTTCTCTTCATATTCACGAAGGAGTCCATACACAGGATCACCATAATCACGGGACTCAATTAAAAGTGATTTCCCAAATAGAACCACACAACTAAGAGCCACTGCAAAATACGAGAAAGCATCATCTCCAGCTCTGCCTGCTTAGATGAGGTTGAGGTTGCAGAGATACCCAAGGAGAGTAACCTGTCCAATTTCATTTCCAGTTTTCTCCTGACCCCACTACACACTACCTAGAATTGTCAGATTTAACAAATAAGAATACAGGATGCTTGGCTGCAGTTGAATTTCAAGCAAACAACGCAAATTTTTGGTGTAAGTATGTCCCTGGATTCAAATTTAGCTGGTGTTCTGTATTTTATCTGGCAACACTATTGTGGCATTACTCATGATCACAAGTGTTCTTATGGGCCCCTCTCTTCCTAGGAAAAGGAAGGCACTCTCAGATACATCACGACTTGCAGTTCTGTGCACAAGCCTTCCAGGTGCTTTTTTGTTCAGGGCCAAAAATTTTTTAATTTCCCTGATGGCCCGGGGAGGTGCAAGCCCAGGCTTAGTCAGCAGGGGGCACCATTCTCTTAAAATAGATTCCCAGGCCAGTTTCAGGGGGTTCAAAAAGGGGAAGGTGGAGGTGAGGAGGGGAGTTTGAATGGAAGGTTCTGTTTGCTGCTTGTTTCTCCTCTGGAGCCCACATCTCCCACACTCCCACCCAGCCAGAGCTATTTCTGTGCAACAAGAATCTACCTGATCCTGTCCCTCCACTTCTCAAATCTCTTCCAAGGTTCCACAGTTACCTTCTTAGCGCAGCACAAAAAGCCCTTCAGGATCCCACCGGAGTCGATTTTCCCTGCTTCAATTCCTGCTACTTCCACCCTGCTCGATCCCACCCACCTCGCACTCCCGGCACTTCCACTCACCAGGAACTATTTGCAGTTCCCTGTATGCTATTTACTGTCATGCTTTGGTGCCCAACGTTCCCTCTGCTTGGAATTCCCTTTTCCATTTGGCGCTTCTAGCAACTCTGTTCATTCAACACATTTCACGAATAGGTATTGAGACCGACCCTGTACCAGGCTATGCACCGGAGACCCTGTGGAGAAGGCAGCTGACCGAAGCCCTTCTCTTACGAGTCTCACAATGAGGGCGGTGGGGTAGGGGGACAATAAACAAGTAAACAAATAAACAAGGAACTTGGACTTAGTTCAAAGGCTAACTGATCTGCCCTCCTCACGCAGAGTCAACTGTTCCCTCCTTTGGGTCCTGTGATGGCTTTTCATTTTAAGGGTCCTAAATTCTGACACCTGCACAATCATTGCAGGGAACATGGATGAATGAGGCAAGCCAGTTTAGGTCAATAGGAAAAGGGGTGGGACGCAGCCTGTGAAAAACAGAATGCGTGTTCCATCTAAAAGATGCTGTGTTCTAAATGGTGAGTTTCAGGAGAGAAAAACAAAATAAAAAAAATAAATTTTTAAAACGTGCAGTGTTCTAGAAGAGCCCACTATGCTAAGTAAAAAAATAAAAAATAAAAATCAAGTGCTGTGGCTTTTCACCTCCTTCCCATTGTTATCAAAAAAAAGTTTTTTTTTGAGACAGAGTCCTGCTCTGTTGTCCAGGCTAGAGTGCAGTGGTGTGATCTTGGCTCACTGCAACCTCCGTCTCCTGGGTCCGAGCAATTCTCCTGCCTCAGCCTCCCGAGTAGCTGGATTACATGTGCCTGCCACCACGCCCAGCTACTTTTTGCATTTTTAGTAGAGATGGGGTTTCACCACGTTGGCCAGGCTGGTCTCAAACTTCTGACCTCAGGCAATCCCCCTGCCTCGCCCTCCGAAAGTGCTGGGATTACAGACGTGAGCCACGAGCCTGGCCCTTTTTTTTCTTTTCTTTTCTTTTTTTTTTTTTAGACAGAGTTTTGCTCTGTCACCCAGGCTGGAGTGCAGTGGCACTATCTCGGCTCACTGCAACTTCCACCTCCCGGATTCAAGCGATTCTTCTGCCTCAGTCTCCAAAGTAGCTGGGATTATAGGCACCCGCCACCACGCCCAGCTAATTTTTTAAAAAATATTTTTAGTAGAGACAGGGTTTCACCATGTTGACCAGGCTGGTCTCAAATTCCTGACTTCAGGTGATCCACCCACCTCAGACTCCCAAAGTGCTGAGATTACAGGCGTGAGCCACCACACCCGGCCCACCAATTTTTTTTTTAAGAGAAGGTGGAAATCCCAATTTTTACATAAACCCACCCGAATTTTTGAATTCCTTGTCAGTTTATTTTATTTAATTTATTTATTTCTTGAGAGGGAGTATTGCTCTGTTGCCCAGGCTGAAGTGCAGTGGCAGGATCTCACCTCACTATAACCCCTGCCTCCTGGGTTCAAGTAATTCTCTTGCCTCAGCCTCTCGAGTAGCTGGAACTAAGGCGCCTACCACCACGCCAGGCTGATTTTTGTATTTTTGATAGAGACAGGGTTTTACCATGTTGGCCAGGCTGGTCTCGAACTTCTGACCTCAAGTGATCCACCGGCCTTGGCCTACCAAAGTGCTGGGATTACAGGTGTGAGCCACCATGCCTGACCTAAATTCTTTGTTAGTTTAAATAAAACGTGCCTGCAGGTCAGATTTGGCCTAGGGTCACTAGTTTGCCACCTACCCTATTGAAGTACTTATATCATTGCCTTGGATCTGATTAGTATTTATATGTATTTCTCCCCCAGCGCTGTATCTTTGTATCTTTAGCCCCTAACATGGCGGATGGCACATGGTAGGTGTTCTGTAACTGTCTGTGGAAGGAAGGAAAGGAGGGAGGAGGAAGGAGACAACCTGGGAACAACAATTTGTTTTTGTTTTTGTTTTTTGTTTTGAGACGGAATCTTGTTCTGTCGCCCAGGCTGGAGTGCAGTGGCGCGATCTCGGCGCTCATTGCAAGCTCCGCCTCCCGGGTTCACGCCATTCTCCTGCCTCAGCCTCCCGAGTAGCTGGGACTACAGGCGCTCACAACCACGCCCGGCTAATTTTTTTTTTTTTTTGTATTTTTTAGTAAAGATGGGGTTTCACCTGTCTCTACTAAAGAGGCGGGTGAAATCCAGGTGAGCCACCACGCCTGGCCTAGACTATGGAAACTTCTATCCCATGATTGTGTCTCTAGTGAGAGGTACTTTGAAAGTCAAAGCCACCCCCAGCCTCCATGGTACCTCGTGCTTGGCCAGTCAGAAGCTTTGAAGCCAGACTTCCCAGGAAGCCATCTCTCCCACAGACAGTGTTGACTCAGCCCAGACTCCAAGTTCTAACTCTGGTTCCTGTCCCAGAGTGGCCAACAGAGGCAGAGGCATATAAGGGACTGTGGTACGGGCTGTGTCTGTTCTCAGAAGGGGGAATGTGGGGTTGGAGAGACAGTGGGGCATGGACCTTCAATTGTTTAGGGCCTCTTTTGCTAAAGGAAAGGAGAGAGTGAATTAACAGTGTCTTGAGTCCTCTGGGCTCCAGCACTCTTTGACAAAACCTATCTTTTTTTTTTTTTTTTTTTTTTTTTTTTTTTTTTTTTTTAGATGGTGTCTTGCTCTGTTGCCAGGCTGGAGTGCAGTGGCACCATCTTGGATCACTGCAACCTCGGACTCCCTGGTTCAAGCGATTCTCCTGCCTCAGCCTCCTGAGTAGCTGGGATTACAGCCATTCGTCACCACACCCAGCTGATTTCTGTATTTTTAGTAGAGACAGGGTTTCACCACGTGGGCCAGGATGGTCTCGATCTCCTGACCTCCTGATCCATCTGCCTCGGCCTCCCAAAGTGCTGGGATTATAGGCATGAGCCACCATGCCCAGCCGACAAAACCTATCTTTAACCAGGCGTGGTGGCACATGCCTGTAGTCCTATCTACTTAGGAGGCTGAAGTGGGAGGATCACTTGAAAGGGGGGTCCAGGTGCTATGCTCTTGCCACCACACTCCAGCCTGGGTGACAGAGCGAGAGCCTTCCTCTAAAACAGCAAAACAAAACAAAACAAAAACCCTATCTTTCCTAAATCCCCAGGAACAGGAATGATGGCAAAGTCTGTGCCTGGAATTTGGGAGTGAGAACATTCCTTCCTATCTTCCCCGACTCTCATTTCTAACACCGACATCCGGATTTCTAGTCACATCTGAGGGTGTGACTGACCATCTCTCTGGGGCTTCCGTCTGACTCTCTAACGCCCTCTCTCCCCAATTTACCTGACTTGGATTAAGGGGAGGATGCATGCTCCCTCTCCGTAAACTACCAGTGATCCTTACATCCTGCAGCTTCCTGCTTTCCTCCCACTATCCTCCCTTCCTCTGGTCTTTCACTGTCTTTTTCCTCTCTTCACACTCCTCCCTTTGGCGCTCTCTCTCTCCCGCTCTTGCTGTCTGCAGTGCTGACAGTGAATCCTTTCCCTGACAAAGGCTCTCAACTTGCTCACCAGCCCTGCTGTGTTACTCTCCTCAGCCTTGTAGCTTCTGTCCAATTATCTCCCTGACCAGGCTCCTTGGGAGCCCTCCCCTCTGACCACCCTGCCTCCTTCCTTCCATCATCCAAGATGAATTTCCATTTGGAGATGGGGATGGGAAGCCAGTTTCAATAAACTGGGAGATGTTTGGCAATCCACTCTGCTCTGCCCTGCCTGGCAGAGTTAAGAAATCGTAGGGAAGGTGACACCATTGCACAGACCATTAAGAGCTGCAAGATCTAGTTTTCACAAATGTGAGATCAAAAGCTTTTCAGAGTCAGTCCTTAAAAACAAGGGCCCAGTTATGGGGAGGAACTGAGGCCCTTGCCACAGAAAACAAAGCTGTGACTCAAAGGCATCGCAGAGATGCTTCCTTGCTCGTCGGCGTTGCTGAGTGTAATGTCTTTGGCTTGGGAATTGACTTTGAGGCTTTCCAACATGGATAAAAATAGAGCTCATAAATGCCTTCACAGGCACTTTCCGATAAGGTGGCCTTTTAAGGGAAGACTGGGCTCCCAACGGAAGGTCTGAGTCAAGGAACCTCTTGGATGGGTATTCAGGGTTGTCACGGGCCTCTGACCAGCCAGCCCACCGACCAGCCTGAGGCCAAATAATGGATGCAAGAAGAGGAAGGCTCTGGAGGCTTCTGTGCCTAATGCTCCTGGAACTAAGTTCCTGAGAGGAATGTTTATTTCACTCATTCATTCATGTATTCATTCCACAAGTACTTATCTGAATACCTGTGATGTGCTAGGAATGCTGCTTGGTGCCAGAAATACAATAGAGAAAAAGAGGCCGGGCGTGGTGGCTCACACCTGTAATCCCAGCACTATGGGAGGCCAAGGCGGGTGGATCACCTGAGGTCAGGAGTTCAAGACCAGCCTCGCCAACATGGTGAAACCCTGTCTCCACTAAAAATACAACAATTAGCCAGGCGTGGTGGTGGGCGCCTGTAATCCTGGCTTCTCGGGAGGCTGAGGCAGGAGAACCGCTCGAACCCAGGAGGCGGAGGTTGCAGTGAGCCGAGTTCGTGCCACTGCACTCCAGCCTGGGCAACAGAGAGAGACTCCATCTCAAAAAAAATAAATAAATAAATAATAAAATAAAAAGAATAAGTCCCCAAAGAGCTTACAATTTAGTAATGAGCAGAGGGAAGGACTCAGGCACCCACAATCCAGGGTGACATGCAGTGGAAGAAGAATTTTAGGAAAACCTGGCTCAGGGCTGTGAGACACTTGCACAGCTTCCTGGAGGAACAGATGGATAAGCCGAAGCCTGAAGAATCAGCAGGAAATTAACAGGGGGAAGGGGGTGGGGGCAGGGAAAGACACAAAGAAGACTGTTCTGGGAAGAGGGAACAGCATGTGCAAAAACAGAGAACTTGGTTCACTCAGGGAATTGAAAGTAGATCTGTGTACGACTGGAAATATATTGCTAAGTGGGGTGGGGAGGGTAAGAGGGCACCTAGAGTTAAAAGCACAGGTCACTTTTAGAGAGCCTTTCACCCCTGTTAAGGAGTTTGGATTTTATTTTCCTGATGGCAGTGGGAGCCAATGAAGGGTTATATGCAAAGTGACTTTATCAGATTGGCATTTTATTTTATTTATTTTTATTTATTTGTTTATTTTGAGACGGAGTTTTGCTCCTGTTGCCCTGGCTGGAGGGCAGTGGCTCGGTCTTGGCTTACTGCAACCTCCGCCTCCCCAGTTCAAGTGGTTTTCCTGCCTCAGCCTCCTCAGTAGCTGGGAATACAGACATGCGCCACCATGCCCAGCTAATTTTTGTATTTTTAATAGAGACGGGATTTCTCCATGTTAGTCAGGCTGGTCTCGAACTCCCGACCTCAGGTGATCTACCCGCTTCAGCCTCCCAAAGTATTGGGGTTACAGGCATGAGCCACCGCGCCCGGCCTATTTATTTATTTTGAGACAGAGTCTCGCTCCGTCACCCAGGCTGGAGTGCAGTGATGCAATCTTGGCTCACTGCAATCTCGGCTCACTGCAATCTCCACCTCCCGGGTTCAAGTGATTCTTGTGCCTCAGCCTCCCGAGTACCTGGGATTACAGGCCGCGCCACCACGCCCAGCTAATTTTTGTATTTTTAGTGGAGACAGGGTTTCACCATGTTGGCCAGGCTGGTCTCGAACTCCTGACCTCAGGTGATCTGCTGCCTCGGCCTCCCAAAGTGCTGGGATTACAGGCTTGAACCACCGCGCCCAGCCAGATTGTTATTTTAGAGAGCTCACTCTGGCTGCAGGGTGGAGAATGAACTGGAGGGGGGATAATCAGAGGCTGGGAGGCTGCTGAGGAGGCCGTTGTGATCCAGGAAAGAATTGGGGAAATGTCAGTGGAGATGGAAGGAAGTAGGCAGAATTGAGAGATTAACTAAACTATGAAATGTCAGAATTTGGTTATTAATTGGATGAGGGCTGGAGGAATCAAGGCTACTCCCCAGTTTTCAGGCATGAGCAGCTTGGTGAGATACTAGAGGAAAGCCAGGTGTTAGATCTGCTGGATATTAGGTGCCCATGGGACATCTGACCGAAGCTATCAGGTTGGTAGTTGGGTAGGTAAGTCTGGGGCTCAAGAGGAAAGCCTGGCTCAAGACGGACTGGGAATATTCTCTGGCAGATGGATGGCAGGGGAGCTGTGAGAGTGAATGAGAGATCTCAAGGAAAGTGAAGACAGTGTGAAGAGGAGAGGAAGTGAATGGAATCCGAGGAAAGCAGATTTTCAAAGGATTGCTAAAAAAAGAGCTTGTAAAGGACACAGAGAAGGAGCAGCCGGAGAAGGCAGAGGAAAACCAAGAGTAGTGGTCTTGCATTGTTGTCCCCTGCATTCATTTCCCTCTTTCCCCACCCAGAGCACCCTGACTGTGCTTTGGGGAAGTTCATTCCTCCCCTACTCTCAGGTCCTGTGGTTTGGATTCCAGGGGAGAAAGGCTGGCTCTGCCTTGCCCTCCTGACCCACCTCACACGGCCCTCTTGCTCGCTCTCTATCCTCCAACCACATGAATTAATTAGTTAATTAATTATTATTATTATTTGAGACAGGCTCTCACTCTGAGGCCCAGGCTGGAGTGCAGTGGTGTAATCACAGTTCACTGCAGCCTCAATCTCCCGGGCTCAAGCAATCCTCCCACCTCAGCCTCCCAAGTAGCTAGGACTACAGGCACGTGCCAACACACCCTGGTAATTTTTAATTTTTTTTGTAGAGTGGAGTCTCACTATGTTGCCCAGGCTGATCTTGAACTTCTGGTCTCAAGAAACCCTCCCGCTCCAGCCTCCAGAAGCTCTTGGATTACAGGCTTGAGCCACTGCACCTGGCCCAACCACACTAATCTTCGTGGAGTTTCTAAAAAACTTCAAGCCCTCCCTGGCCTTAGATTCTCTGCCTGCCTGGACGGTTTTTCCCCAATTCCCCTTCACCCACATTACCTATCAGCCTTCCATTTATGCCTCCAACTTTTGCTTGCGTCTTCTGTGACATTCCAGGCAAGGCTAAGGCTTCCTGTTATATGTTTATTCAGTAAGTAAGTAAGTACAGAGCACTTCCTGTCCACATGTCAGCATGTGCTGCATGCCATTTCCTTTCCTTTCTTTTTTGTTATTGCTTCTTCTTTGCCTGGAGTGCCACCCTATAGATACCGTGTATCCCAGCCATTCCCCAGGTTAAGACCTCAGAACTTCTATGTCTGTAAACATATTGATCAAGTCCTCAGATAAGTACTCCATTCCATGCCTTTTTTTTTTTTTTTTTTGAGACAGAGTTTCGTTCTTGTTGCCCAGGCTCTGGAGTGCGATGGCGCAATCTCAGCTCACTGCAACCTCTGCCTCCCGGGTTCAAGCGATTCTCCAGCCTCAGCCTCCCAAGTAAAGCTGGGACTACAGGAATGCACCACCATGCCCGGCTAATTTTTTGTATTAAGTAGAGAGGGGTTTCACCATGTTGGTCAGGCTGGTCTCTTACTCCTGACCTCAGGTGATCCACCCGCCTCGGCCTCCCAAAATGCTAGGATTACAGGCGTGAGCCACTGCATCTGGCCGCAAGACTTTTTTTTTTTTTTTTTTTTTTTTTTTGGAGACAGAGTCTGGCTCTGTTGCCCCAGTGGCAGGATCTCAGCTCACTGCAGCCTCAACTTCCCAGTCTCAAATGATCCTTCCACCTCAGCCTCCCAAGTAACTGGGACTACAGGTGCCCACCCACGCCCAGCTAATTTTTGTCTTTTTCTGTAGAGACAGGATTTTGCTATGTTGCCCAGGCTGGTCTCAAACTATGCTGGATGCTGGGACATAACGGAGAGCCAGCCAGCCAGGTCACTGTCCCCATGGAGCTGACAATCCAGTAGGGGAGACAGATAATGAAAGAGTAAATTCACAAAAACAGTTACAAATTGTTGGCGGTATTGTAAAGGAAGTAAACAAAGTACCATGATAGAAAATAACAGAAAGTTCTTATTTTGGATATGGTGGGAGGTCAGAGAAGGATATAACAATTAAGCTGAAACCTGAAGAAGAGACAGAACCAGGCAAAAAGTATTCTAGTCAGAGACAATAGTAGCCACAAAGGCCTGGGGAGGGAAAGAGCTTGATGGGTTTCTAGGAATCTGTAGATGGCCAGGGTTGCTGGAGCAAGGACAGGAAAAGATGCAACATGAGATGTGATTGAAGATGAGGCTCTGTTACTTGGTGATACAAAGTTTGGATTTTATTCTTGGTACAACAAAAAGCCATTCAAAGGTTTTAAGCCAGATTGCAATGTGGTCTGACTTAAATTTTAATTAGATTGCCCTGATTGCTGAGTGAAGCATGGATTGAGAGACAAGCAGAGAATTAGGAAGACTATTCAGGACCCTCTTTCTATGGTCCAGGCAAAAGAGGATGGTGGCTAGAACTTCGGTGGGACAGAAGAGAAGTAGACAAGTGGATGGATTCAGGAGACACTTTGAAACTAGAACTTAACAGGAATTCCTGATGGATTAGGTGTGAGACTTCGGGACTAGAGGAGCCAAGGCCAAGGATACTGGCTAATTTCTTTCTTTCTTTTTTTTTTTGAGACGGAGTCTCACTCTGTCGCCCAGGCTGGAGTGCAGTGGCGCGATCTCGGCTCGCTGCAAGCTCCACCTCCCAGGTTCACGCCATTCTCCTGCCTCAGCCTGCCAAGTAGCTGGGACTACAGGCGCCCGCCACCACGCCCAGCTAATTTTTAATTTTTTGTATTTTTAGTAGAGACGAGGTTTCACTGTGTTAGCCAGGATGGTCTCGATCTCCTGACCTTGGGATCTGCCTGCCTTGGCCTCCCAAAGTGCTGGAATTACAGGCGTGAGCCGCTATGCCGGGCCTCTTTTTTTCTTTTTCTTTCTTTTTTTTTTTTTTTTTTTTTGAGATGGAGCCTTACTCTGTTGCCCAGACTGGAGTGCAGTGGCGCAATCTTGGCTCACTTCAACCTTCACCTCCCTGGTTCAAATGATTCTCCTGCCTCATCCTCCCTAGTAGCTGCGATTACAGGCATGCGCCACCACGCCCCCCTAATTTTTTTGTACCTTTTTAAATAGAGATGGGGTTACGCCATCTTGGCCAGGCTGGTCTCGAACTCCTGGCCTCAAGTGACCAGACTGCCTCAGCCTTCCAAAATGCTAGCATTACAGGTGTGAGACACTGTACCTGGTCAATGATGGCTACTTTCTGAACTGAATGGGTGAAAAAGACAACCAGGTTTGCTTGGCTTGGCCTGTCCTGGCCCCATCAGGTCCCTCCCTCCCAAACTTCCTTGGAGCCCCTGAGGCAAGTCTTCAGAAGCCCGGAGCTTGGGAAGCAAGCACAGTTTGAAAACCACTGGGTTGGAGAAGCTTTAAGGTCCCTTTAAGTTATAAAATTCTTTTATTCTAACTTGAAAAGTCTGTGAATAGGGACAATATTTCTATTTCTTTTGACTCACCCTGTAGTACCCTGGTAGAGCTCTGTACCTGGGGAGCATTCAGTTGACTTTTCACTTTGGCACAGATCTTCCATAATTGAATTTTAGATTAAATTCTTTTTTTAAAAATAAGATTCTAATGTAGAGTAAACTTTCAATTGAAATCAATTCACCTTGATAAAGTAGAGCCATGGCAAGGATAATCTAAAACAGTAAAATCCAAAGTAATTCTTATTTGAGTTGATGTAGAAAAAAATTTGTTTTTGCTAAACTAATTATCTACATTTAGGTAAATGTTATTTTCGGGCAAATGCCAACAGATGGTAGATCAATCCCATTCAGAATAGGATTGGGAAATCCTAAAAAACCCACCGGAAATAATTCATGACAGTGAATAAAATCTACTTTTGATAATATATTCTTTGTTGAAAACAAATATTAACCTTCTAAAACTTATTTTGAAGTAATGACTTCAGATAACTTTTAGACCCGTTTTAAAGATGAATGAGATGGAGATGGAGTTGTGTTGCTAGTCCAAGACAAAAATAAAAGAAAAATAGGCTCAAACCTGCCATTTCCTTTTCTTTCTTTTTTCTTATTGTTTCTTCTTTGCCTGGAGTGCCACCCTATAGATATCATGTATTCCTGCCATTTCCCAGGTTAAAACCTCAGAACTTCTATGTCTGTAAACATATATTGATCAAGTCCTCAGATAAGTACACCATTCCAAGCTGTTTTTTGTTTGTTTGTTTGTTTTTTGGGTTTTTTTTTTTTGAGACAGTGTCTGGCTCTGTCGCCACAGTAGCACAATCTCAACTCACTACAGCCTCGACTTCCCAGTCTCAAGTGATCCTCCCACCTCAGTCTCCTGAGTAGCTGGGATTACAGGTACCCACCATGCCCGGCTAATTTTTGTATTTTTCTGTAGAAACAGCGTTTTGCTATGTTTCTCAGGCTGGTCTCAAACTGCTGGGCTCAAGTGAACCTCCTGCCTTGGCCTCCCAAGGTGCTGGAATTACAGGCATGAGACACTGTGCCCAGCTGTTTTGTCATTTTATTTTACTTTATTTTATGAGTTGGAGTCTCAGTCTGTCAACCAGGCTAGAGTGCAGTGTTGCAGTCACAGCTTATTGCAGCGTCCAACTCCTGGGCTCAAGCAATCCTCCTGTGCCTCAACCTTCCAAGTAGCTGGAACTACAGGCACAAACCACAGCCCAGCTCCCTTTTGTTTTATTAAAGAGGGAAGTAAAGTAAAGGAATCCTTTTGTATGTCAAGCCCTTTTGAACAAATATGTCATCCAATGCTGTTTATTACCCTATGATGGAATGCCCCATTTCACTGATGGGTTGGGGGCCTAGAGGTCCAGCATCTGATCTGCTTCCTGTTTGGGATGTGTCCTCTGCTGTGGATCGCATCAGTGAGGAGGGTCACATATCACACCATGGACACCATGGCAGGGAGACCTTTCCTTGTTACCCACCATGGTAGTTAGGGCCCAAGAGGTGGACTAGGATTGGCCAACCGGATACTTCCACCTGGAGCTGTGGGTTTGCAGCATGAGACGCAGATGAAGAGAAGATTAGACATCCTTTGCAGCAGCAGCAGCAGCAGCAGCAGCAGTGGTGATGTGTCTGCTGGTGGCACATTGTGGCAGTGCCCAGCAGCTGGGCCTCCTCTCCAGACTGTCCTGCTGAAGAAGGTGGTTGTCCTTCCTCCACCAGCCATTGGTTTCCAGCTGAATTTCCAAGTTGGACTCTTTAGCTCCTGTTAATTCTCGGAGCCAGCAATATTTCTTCAGTCAATTCCAGTTCTGATTGATGTAGCCAGAGTTGATGCAGTTCTTGCAACTGGGAACTCTGGCTGATGTTTGAGGAAACAGGTTCTGAGGTCAAAGAGCTTGTGCAGGGGCCACAGCTAGCAAGTAACGGTGTTCTGGCTGAGAAATCTGTGCTGTTTTCTTGATTCCACACTCCCCAAAGAATTCTGAAGAAGGGCACGGAGGCAAGGAGTGACACAGTGCACAGATAAGAGTGGGACTTGAAGGCTAGCAGGTATGTGAACACTTACTCCAAAACATCCACATTCAGTGACACATTCATAAATAAGTTGAGTCTACTGTATGCCAGAGACTGTGCTGTGTTCAAATACTATTTCAACCAGGCACAGTGGTTCATGCCTGTAATCCCAGCACTCTGGGAGGCCAAGGCAGGCAGATCACCTGAGGTCAGGAGTTCGAGACCAGCCTGACTGACATGGTGAAACCCCATCTCTACTAAAAAAAAAAAAGGCCGGGCACGGTGGCTCACGCCTGTAATCCCAGCACTTTGGGAGGCTGAGGCAGGCGGATCACGAGGTCAGGAGATCGAGACCATCCTGGCTAACACGGTGAAACCCCGTCTCTACTAAAAATACAAAAAATTAGCCAGGCGTGGTGGCGGGCACCTGTAGTCCCAGCTACTCCGGAGGCTGAGGCAGAAGAATGGGATGCACCCAGGAGGCGGAGCTTGCAGTGAGCTGAGATTGTGCCACTCCACTCCAGCCTGGGTACTCCGTCTCAAAAAAAAAAAAAAAAAACTAGCCAGGTATGGTAGCGGGTGCCTTTAGTCCCAGCTACTGGGCAGGCTGAGGCAGGAGAAATGCTGGAACCTGGGAGCCCGAGGTGGCAGTGAGCCGAGATTGCACCACTGCACTCCAGCCTGGGCAACAGAGCAAGACTCAAAACAACAACAAAATATTATTTCAGTTCATCCTCACATAGTATATGATAAGGTGGGCATTATTTTGCTTATTGTTCCAATGGAAAAACTGAGCCTTAGAGAGGTTTGTCCAACTTTATATTGTAGTAAGTGTTAGTGCTGGGTTTGAACTTGAGTCTCCAGACAAGGGGGCTGGAGCCCTTTCATTAAGCCACAGATGCCTCACTATGCAATTTCATGAATCAATGAAAATGTCTCCACTGCTAATATTTGTGAGCCCCATAGAGGCCCCAGTGCAACATCATAAATGTGTTATTCTTGTTTCTTTGTGCATGTTCTTACACCTGTGTCCTGGGGTATGACATTTGTCTCTTTTCCTTTAGGCGGGTACCTCTGGAACACAGGACTCTGCCCCTACTAAAGATCTTCCTTCCTGTATATTCATCTCTAATGTCCATGAAGGGCTCCACCAAAGGAGACGCTGGGCCCGGGGACCAACTGCCCAACTGAAAAGTTGATCATTGACCACTCAACGGAAGAGCTGTCCAGTGAGGAGAGAAAGACTTCAGCTTCTTACAGCACTTACAACCAAAATGGGAGTCTGTACTCATTTTCTATTCAGTCCTGCCTGCCTCCACCTCCCCTAGAGCTTCAAGGGAAACCACACCTTTGCTTGCTGGACTGTAAAATGGAGCCGAAGATCCTCGTTGGCATCTCAGAGCCTTTGGGGAAGATCCCGCACCCAGACCTGGCTCATAACAGCCAATGAACACTTTGTTGTCTGTGTTTCGGATTAAGAAAATGAGTTCTGCTTGTTGCTTACCATCACAAGGAGCAGTGAACTGAATTGGTGCCATTGTAAGCTTGATTGTTGTTGCATAGATAAAAGCCTCATTAAGTCCCTCAGGAGGAGACAAGAATTTTATTTTGAGGAAAGAAGAACAAGAAGCGCTTCTTGCTTGTTGTCATTACAGCAACAAAACATTTAATGGAGGAAAAAATTAAATAACTGCACTTTTTTTTTCTTTACCCAAACCTCGTCAAGAGGCTGGGTGAGTTTTTAATTAGTGCTGCATGTTCAATAAATCCGTATCTGTATGTGGTGCGGATTCTTTCCTGGATAAGGGAAAGATAATAATGAGAATCCTATTTTTCAGTCCCACACTAAAGGGATGCCTGGTATATTTAATCATGCTGTAGAAATCCTGGCAGCTTTCTCTGAGCCCAGCCTCTGCTCTAATTACATTTCTAGATTTTAGTAAATTGAAAGGGAAAATGTAGGAACAAAATAATTAAAACCGAAGAGGAAGTGCATATTAAAAAGGAGAAGCTGTTTAAAATTCTTCCACACAGTGCTTCCAAGGACATCTACAATCGTTTAATCAGCTCCACACCAAATCAAAGTCCTTTGTACAGAGGCTGATAGGATCACATCTCAGGTGGGAGGTATGGTCCCCACAGTATAATAGGAGCTTCATTGCACCAGGCTACAGATGGGGATAAGACCTCTCATACCCTTCCAGATCACTGGGGATTCGGGCCCAGCCTGGACAAGCTGTTGGCACAGACTCACTTTCCCCAAGGAGTCCCCTTCCAGGTCCTGGGTAGAGTCTGGCGAAGCTGTTACGATTAGCTCCAAATGTGAGGGAGCTACAGTAGGTTGTCCATGCATCCAGTTTCCTTTTCCTGCACCCTGTTCCCGATTTTCATGCTCCTTCCTGCAAAGAGTACCCCTTTTCTTTTTTCCCTGCTTTTGTGTGAACTCTGAAGTCAAGAGAATAGGTAATTGAGCAACCTCAGTGACACCAGGAACCAGTTACTTGTTACTGGTTACTGGATTATTTCTGGGGCATTCCGAATTTTCAGGACCAAAAACTTTGCTGGCTTCAGCTAAAGGAATCATGTTTGTTGATAACAATGATAAGTTAAATCTCTTTTTTTTTTTTTGAGACAGAGTCTCGCTATGTCGTCCAGGCTGGAGTGCAGTGGCTTGATCTTGGCTTACTGCAACCTCTGCCTCCCAGGTTCAAGCGATTCTCCTATCTCAGCCTCCTGAGTAGCTGGGATTACAGGTGTGTGCCACCATGTCAGGCTAATTTTTGTATTTTTAGTAGAGACGGGGATTTTACCATGTTGGCCAGCCTGGTCTCGAACTCCTGACCGCAAGTGATTCGCCCGCCTTGGCCTCCCAAAGTGCTGGGATTACAAGTGTGAGCCACCTGATAAGTGAAATCTAATTGGAAAGTTTCAAGCCTCTGCCTAATAGGTGACAAAGGCTCTTTTTGTTTTGCAGTGGGGCAGGTACAGTCACCACATCATTGTAGAATTTAGGATCTACATTTCTTGATCATTCTGGCTGAAAAATCGGTTGTGTAAACTCTAGGAGTCTGGAGTGTTTTGTCCGTGATTCCTAGGAAATTTTAAACTGTGAGATTATAGGACTTGCTTCTGTATTTGAAAGTGGAAGACAGCCTGGCACTGTCAGGGGCTTTTTTTTTTTTTCAAACCCCTGGGGTTTTGCTCATGGGCTCCCAGCCTTCCTGGCTGAACAGACTCACCAGCCACCTGGCACCAGGACGCGTGTGGCAGGAGACACTGAGCACTGTCTCCTAGAGACAGTCACATAGGCCTGGGAGACAGCAGGGCTCCTGGAAGCTGTTCCCAAAGCAGGGCCCACACTGTGTCACCTCCCAATCTACAGGTTCATTGGGTTGCTCTCGTGTCCAATGCTATGTGCGTGTGTGTGTGTGTGTGTGTATGTGTAATGATACCATTCCAGCACGAAAGAGGCGTTCAGTAAGAACATATATTAAAAACTTTTTTCTTTCTTTCTTTTTTTTTTTTTAGAGACAGGATGTCACTTTGTTGCTCAGGCTGGAGCACAGTGGCGTGATCATGGCTGACTGCAGTCTTGAACTCCTGAGCTCAAGTGATGTGATCCTCCTACCCTAGCCTCCCAAAGTACTGGGATTACAGACACAACGTCATAATAATTTTTTTTTAAGACAAGGTATTACTCTGTCGCCCACTTTGGAGTGCAGTGGCACAATCAGTTCACTGTAACCTTAAAGTCCTGGGCTCAAGGGATCCTCCTGCTTCAGCCTCCTGAGTAGCTGGGACTACAGGCAGGTACCACCACACTTGGCTAATTTTTTTGTAGAACGGAGTCTTGCTTTGTTGCCCAGGCTGGTTTCCAACTCCTGGGCTCAAGCGATCCTCCCACCTCAGCCTCCCAAAGTGTTGGGATTACAGGCATGAGCCACTGTGCCCAGCCCAAGAATAATTTTTAAAAATTTTTAAAATTTGAGCTAAAGGAAAGAATCATAACAACTAATACCCAACACTAACATTATTACTGTAACACCGAGACAACTTTTTTTCTCTAAGGGCCAAGGTGATCCGAGCCCTTTTCTTTCACTCAACTCAGGAATCACTTATGGCCCATTGGAGCTAAAATGTGAAGCTGACAGGGAACTCAGGTGTCCAAGACAACAAATTGTCACTGAATTAGCTTCCTTCCTTCCTTCCTTTATTTATTTATTTATTTATTTATTTATTTTTATTGAGATGGAGTCTCGCTCTGTCGCCCAGGCTGGAGTGCAGTGGTGTGATCTTGGCTCATTGTAAGCTCAGCCTCCCGGGTCCACGCCATTCTCCTGCCTCAGCCTCCTGAGTAGCTGGGACTACAGGCGCCCGCCACCACACCCGGCTAATTTTTTGTATTTTTAGTAGAGACAGGGTTTCACCGTGTTAGCCAGGATGGTCTCGATCTCCTGACCTCGTGACCCACCCGCCTCGGCCTCCCAAAGTGCTGAGATTACAGGCGTGAGCCACCGCGCCGGCCCCTTTTATTTTTATTTATTTTATTTTATTATTTTTTTTGAGACGTAGTCTTGCTCTGCCATCCAGGCTGGAGTGCAGTGGCGCGATCTCTGGTCATCTCCGTCTCCCAGGTTCAAGCAATTTTCCTGCCTCAGTCTCCGGAGTAGCTGGGATTACAGACGCGTGCCACCACGCCTGGCTAATTTTTTTTTTTTTTTTTTTTTTTTTTTTGAGACGGAGTCTCTGTCGCCTAGGCTGGAGTGCAGTGGCGCGATCTCGGCTCACTGCAAGCTCCGCCTCCCGGGTTCCCGCCATTCTTCTGCCTCAGCCTCCGGAGTAGCTGGGACTACAGGCGCCCGCCACTGCGCCCGGCTAATTTTTTGTATTTTTAGTAGAGACGGGGTTTCACCGTGGTCTCGATCTCCTGACCTCGTGATCCACCCGCCTTGGCCTCCCAAAGTGCTGGGATTACAGGCGTGAGTCACCGCACCCAGCCACGCCCAGCTAATTTTTATATTTTTAGTAGAGATAGGGTTTCGCCATGTTGGCCAGGCTGGTCTCGAACTCCTGACTTCAGGTGATCCGCCCACCCCAGCCTCCCAAAGTGCTGGGATTACAGGCGTCAGCCACCATGCGTGGTCAGCTTCCTTTTAGTTAGATCACCTATATCTCCTGCCTTCCCCTGAAAGGATAGTCCTTGTTTTTGTTTACAAGTGCTAAATTTTAAAAGTTACCTAAAAGGGTCTCTAGCATCATCATAAAGTCCAAAAAATATTTTACTGACAGGGCTGGCTTTTAAAAAATGAGTTAATACATATAAGAGTCGTTGGTACTCCATAAACTGCTTGCAGACCTAAATCGCTGTTGTGAAATGCCTTTAACTGTTCCGTTGCCCACTCCGACCCTTGGCTTGTTACGCCTCTATTTGGTCCTCGCACCTCGCAGCGGGCTCCCGCGCCCTGCGCGCGACCCCCTCCAAGTTCCCGCCTCTTTTTACTCAGGCCCCTCCTTCCTCTCAAATCCCCGGGCCCTGACTTGGCCCCGAGACGCATGCGCACTAGGAAAGATAGGCGGAGTCTTGAGGGAGGAGGAGCAGGGAAACCCAGGGAGGGGAGGGGAGGAGAAGGGAGTAATGGGGAGGAGGCCGCGCGGGGTGGGGTCTGGCGGTACGCGCTGGCTGCGTCGACGTGCTGACGCCATGACGCCCCGGCTGGTGTGTGTCGGTGTGTATGTGTGTGTGTGAGTGTGCGCGCTCCGAGTGTGTGTGTATTTGTGTATCGGCGGTCCCGCAGGTCCCGGATGTTGCGGACAGTATGAGGCAAGCGCAGGGGGACGGGGACCAGCAGCTGTCGCCGCCGCTCTCAGGTGAGTGGGGGGAGGAGAGTCGAGGGAGGGGGTTGTCCTGTCGGAGTGGGGGGGGGGCACCTCCCTGAAGAGGTGACTGACCCCCACTGTCCCCCCACCCCCCGCCACACACATATACTCTCCTCAGTCCCATTTCCTACACCCGGATTACGTGGCCTGCGAATGCCAGAGCCGAATCAGCCGTCCCTTCTCCCTATCTCAAGCATTCAGAAGACACAAACGCGCCCCCTGCCTTCAGCCCCCCCATCATTTCCCAGCCCCATCCCCCTTGCCAAATACTGAGCTGTCGCCTGCGGCGAGATGGGTGACTGCGCATGCGCGAGTGTGAACGCGCTCGGGCTGCTTCTTCGCTGCCCCGGGGGCGCATGCGCATCGCGGTGTTGCAGGGACCTGCGGGATAAAGAGCCGGTGGAGCACGAGTCCGCCTTCTTCCCAGGCTGTGGGCTAGACTTGCTGCCAGATAATGAGCCTGTTGCTCCTGTCCAAAGGGGAGAATTTAAATTATGTGAAAGACTTAACGGACAAAGCACTATTCTCATCTGGTGTTGCCCTAGAGACTCCCAGGCTACAAACGCCTCGCAGAGCCAGCGTGTCCCACACTGACCCTTCTTTTGAAACTGTCACTGTATCTTCTAGTTCTAGGATTACTTTTCCATTCCTATACTCCCATCGTTGTGCTTGTACCTTTTAGTACCAACTTACCCTAAATTTAGGAGTGGGTGCTCCATCCCATCACTTATTCTGGCAGGGGATTTTGGAAGCCTTGCTAAAGAAGACTAAGGGTCATAAATGGAACTAAGTGAGGCATTTCATTTTAGTAAAATTCTTAATTCGCAGAACTAGATAAGAGAGATAAAGGGCACCGGCCTTCTTACTTTGTGTGACCTATTTGCCTTTTTTTTGGTCAAAGATCTTCCTTAGCACTTTTCATTTTATCTGTACCTTATTGGTGCTCTGTAACATGAAAACAAATCGGAAAGCAATCTGAAACTGTTGGTGGACAATAACTTATTCAGTGGAGGTTTTAAGTAATGTGATGTTTCTTTCACGTTGGCAGATAACAAAAAGAAATGTAAATAACGAACTTTGAAGTACAATAGTATTTCAGTGATCTAGGACCTGGGTTTTCAGTTAGCGATTATATGTGGCCCTTTTTTTGGATACTTTGCTGCTGCTTACCTCTGCCATCAAAACAGAGTGAAGAAAAGATAAAATCTTAATAGCAAAAGATTTTCTAGATAACATTGAAATGAATAGCTAAATTGTTGTGGGGAAGGGAGTGCGAGAGGAGGGGCATTTTTTGTGTTTTTCAGTTCTCCTTGCCAATCCCGTCTCCTAGCTGGATAACTGGGAAGGGAACTATTAGTAAGCCTTACTTTCAATTCTCTTTAGTTTGTATTCTTTGATGTTCTTCTCTCAAGGCTTTTTTGGCTGCCACTGTTAACTCCAAAACCGCATGTTCTTGGGCCTTAAAGTATATGTATTTTTCACTTCCCCTTTTAACCCTGGCCCTTACAGGGTTCTGCTGTCTTTTGTGCTGTTTCCTGTTGCCATGGTTACAGTTAGAACCAAGAGATGACACACAGGGAACAGAGAAATTTGGGGTGCATATATCTTCCTGGGAAAGAGCTGGAAACTCACCTTTTTTTCCTTAGAGGTAGAAGTTATTGTAAGACTACCCCACCCTTAGGTTTGGGGTAGTTGTTATCCATTTAGTACTTTATTGATTTCTCGTTTTAGAGCTCTTCATAGTAGCTAGTTTGGTATTTGGAGATGTTTACTGTTTCCTATGTCCATACTTAGATATTACTTAGGTAGTATCTAGAAGTGAAACTATTGTAGTAAGTGTCCGTCTTCTCAGTAGGTTTCGGCCATTGGGATGCTTAGATTTTTTCTTTTTTCCTTTTTTTTTTGAGATCGAGTCTTGCTCTGTCACCCAGGCTGGAGTGCAGTGGCGCGATCTCAGCTCACTGCCACCTTTGCCTCCTGGGTTCAAGCGATTCTTCTGCCTCAGCCTCCCGAGTAGCTGGGATTACAGGTGAGTGCCACCATGCCTGGCTAATTTGTATTTTTTGTAGAGTTGAGGTTTTGCCATGTTGGCCAAGCTGGTCTCGAACTCCTGACCTCAAGTGATCCACCCCCGCCTTGGCCTCCCAAAGTGCTGGGATTACAGGTGCGAGCCACTGTGCCCGGCCTGATTTTTTCTAGAAACATTTTGTCTAGTTGAATTCACTGAAGCCTCATTTAAAATTTTGATGGCGTGCAATGCTTTTAGATTAAGACGAATATTGTTAAATAATTCGTACTGGTGCAGAGCCTTTTTTAAAAAATCATTGTTTAAAATGGGTTAACACATGTACATACATATGAAACAAAATTCAAAAGGTACACAGAGAGTGAAGTCTTTCTTTTCTTACCATCCTCTTTTTATCCATGAGTTCCCCTTCCCAAAGGCAACAGTCTTGTTTATTCATCCCGAGACAGTATATCCTTTTACAAGCATATACACCTATATATTCTTCACATTTTTTGTTTTTGTTTGTTTTACACAATAAGACACTATGCTCATTCTGCACTTTGCTTTTCTCACTTTATTTATCTTGGTGATCATTCCATGTAGTAAATACAGTCCCTCTTCCTTTTTGAAAGATGGCAGATAATTCCATTGTGTAGATGTACCATCATTCAGCCAACACTTATTGGACATTTAGGTTGTTTCCAGTGATACAATTAATTCCTTGTATGTACTTATTCTGTGTACATGGGTGTCTGTTGGTTTAAATTCCTAGTGGAAGCGCTGGATCAATGGATGTGCATTTGTAATGTTGTTAGGTATTACTAAATGCTTTCCACAGAGGTTGTATGAATTTATATTCCTGCCAGCAGTGTGAGTCTGCCTGTTTTCTCACCAACACTATTATCAAAATTTTTGATCATTTGTGCAGTCTTTTATCTAAGATTTTAAAGCTCATTATGTAGTTTGTTAAGCTTCATTTCACTGAAGAGTTGTGTATAAATACCTCACTGTTTTGCAGATTGGGGAGGGGTCATGGAGGATTTTGTTTGAAAAATAATGTCATGAGAATAAAGTCATATGTCTGGATAATAGCAAATCCATGACAATGCTAGGAAGACATAAAAAACCTATATTCCAATTTCTTCCTTTAACTCTTAGATGCTAGTTTCTCTGTTAGTATTCTGTAAACCTGTAAATGATTTATGATCTCCTTTTGATAGCTCTGACTTTAAATTGTTTATCCAAGTAAACTGCTGTTATTCTGGTGAGAAATTGAAAAGCTAATCTAGTTAGTTGAGGTCTGCTCTCTTGGTACAGAATACTGGTACTAGCATTTTTTAAGTCTGCTGATAGCAGAATACTTCACTATGAGCTTCAAATAAATAGAAAATAATTAAATATGTCTGTGCCTGAAGAGAGCTTACAGTCTTGTTGGAAAACCTAGAAGAAATGGATAACTTTCTGGACACATGTAGTCTACCAAGATTGAACCATGAAGAAATAGAAAACCTGAACAGATCAATAATAGTGAGTAACGAGATTGAAGCAATAATAAAAAGTCTCCCATCAAAGAAAAAGCCCAGGACCTGATAGCTTCATTGCTGATTTCTACCAAACATTTAAAGAAGAACTAATAGCAATTCTACTCAAACTATTCTAAAAAGTTGAAGAGAAGGGAATACTTCTTAAACTCATTCTATGAGGCCAGCCTTACCCTGATACCAAAACCAAAGATGTAATCTTTTTATTTATTTATTTATTTTTTTTTGAGACCAAGTTTCACGGCTGTTGCCCAGGCTGGAGTGCAGTGGTGCAATCTCGACTCACCGCAACCTCTGCCTCCCTGGTTCAAGCTATTCTCCTGCCTCAGCCTTCCTGAGTAGCTGGGATTACAGGCATGCAACACCACGCCCGGCTAATTTTGTATTTTTAGTAGAGACGGGATTTCTCCATGTTGGTTAGGCTGGTCTCGAATTCCTGACCTCAGATGATCTGCCTGCCTTGGCCTCCCAAAGTGCTGGGATTACAGGCCTGAGCCACCACGCCCGGCCCAAAGATGTAATCTTGTTGTAAAGCCACACCTACTGAATATAGGAAATAATAAGAGAACAATTAGAAAACAGAACTGGAACAGTAATACACTGTGTTCCATGCTGAGAGGACCTTGTGAAGACATGATTAAGGGTTAGAGGAGAGTTCATTTGGGAGGCCTTCCTGGAGGAAGTGCATTTGGAGCCTTTTTCTTTTTTCGTATAATGGTTTAAGTGAAAAATTTTAAACATACAGAAAAATGGAAAAAATAGTACAATTATCACCTTTATATCCATCACTTAGATTCAACAGTTGTTCACATTTTGCTATATTTACTTTATGTATATGCATATTTATTTTATTTTATTTTATTTTTTCTGAGACAGAGTCTTGCTCTGTCACCCAGGCTGGAGTGCAGTGGCGCGATCTTGGCTCACTGCAAGCTCCGCCTCCTGGGTTCATGCCATTCTCCTGCCTCAGCCTCCCAAGTAGCTGGGACTACAGGCGCCCGCCACCACGCCCGGCTAATTTTTTGTATTTTTTAGTAGAGATGGTGTTTCACCATGTTAGCCAGGATGGTCTTGATCTCCTGACCTCGTGATCCACCCACCTTGGCCTCCCAAAGTGCTGGGATTACAGGCGTGAGCCACCGTGCCCAGCCGTGCATATATATTTAAATATATAAATTTTTGTATTGCAAACATCATGACACTTTACCCTTAAATACTTCAGCTGTATCTCCTTAAAGCTTATAATATTGTCACAGTTAAGGCAATTAACAGTAATTCTCTAATACCATCTAATATCCAGTTCGTGTTCAGATTTTCCCAATTGTCTTGAAGATGACACTTCTTTTTTTCCTCCAAATATATCTCTTTAGTCTCTTTAAATCTAGAACAATTTAGAAGCCACATGATACTGTTTTTTGTTTTTTTTTCGAGATGGAGTTTCACTCTGTCGCCTAGGCTGGAGTGCAGTGGCATGATCTTGGCTCACTGCAACCTTTGCGTCCAGGGTTCAAGCCATTCTCCTGCCTTAGTCTTCTGAGGAGCTGGGATTATAGGTGCCCACCACCACACCTGGCTAATTTTTGCATTTTTAGTAGAGACGGGGTTTCACCATGTTGGCTAGGCCAGTCTCGAACTCCTGAACTCAAGTGATTGGCCTGCGTCGGCCTCCCAAAGTGCTGGGATTACAAGCGTGAGCCACCATACCTGGCCTCATGATACTGGTTTTTAAAGAGCCCGAGCTGTTTGTCTTGTAGAATATATCACTTATGGGATTTTCTGGTTATTTCTTCATAGTTTCATAAACAGATATTGAGCTCTAAAGGTCTGATTAGATTATCATTAAACATTTTTGATGAGACTACTTTGTACGTGTTTCTTTGCTCCTCGCTGCATCATAGTAGGAGAAACACAATGTCATAATGTCCCACTATTAATGATGCTGAGTTTGTTTGATCATTTAAGGTGGTAAATACCAGACTCATTTGTTGTAAAGACAATTTTCCCCCTTTGTAATTAGTAAGTTATCTGTGGAGTGGTGCTACTTTGGCATTGTACTGTTACACTTCTCCAGCAACATTTCACCTCATGATAATGATCTTTGCCTAAATCAGTTAATTCATTGGTTTTTGGAAATAGTGATTTTTCTGATTCTGTCATTTCTTTTACACTGATTTGCTTTCAATCTTCTGTAAGGATTTTCCTCATCGGTTAGGAATAAATTATAATTTTTTTTTTGAGATGGAGTCTTGCTCTGTCTCCCAGGCTGGAGTGCAGTGGAGCGATCTTGGCTCACTGCAACCTCTGCCTCCTGGATTCAAGTGATTCTTGTGCCTCAACCTTCCAATTAGCTGGGATTACAGGTGCCCACCACAACGCTCGGCTAATTTTTTGTATTTTTAGTAGAGATGGGGTTTCACCGTGTTAGCCAGGATGGTCTCGATCTCCTGACCTTGTGATCCACCTGCCTCGGCCTCCCAAAGTGCTGCGATTACAGGCGTGAGCCACCCTGCCCAGCCAATTTTTGTGTTTTGAATAGAAATGGGGTTTCACCATATTGGCCAGGCTGGCCTCAAACTCCTGACCTCAAGTGATCCTCCCGCCTCTGCTTCCCAAAGTCCTGGGATTACAGGCATGAGCCACTGTGCCTGGCCTAAATTATAATTTCTACTAAAAAATTGAGGTAAATTCTTAATTTTTTTTCTTTAACACTTTTCTGAGTAAGGAAATGGTACAATATCATCTCTAATGGTGGTAAATGAGTTTTTTTCACTCTCATTGTTTTAGTGTCATGGATTTTAGTTTATTCTGTTTTACCAACATTACCTTCTTTTTGATGCTCACACTGTCCTGTATTTGGCCTGTGGGAGCCCTTTAAGCTTGAGCTATGAGTGCTTCCTTGCTTTCTGTCACAAGAAGTTCCTAGCTCACTTTGTATTTTTCCCGTCCTAGATGCAGAACCCTTACCCTTAACCTTTATGTATATGACATTTTCTTCCCTTTCAGTAAATTATGAGGTTGGTGCAAAAGTAATTGCGGTTTTGTCATTTAATGGTAAAAACCTCAATTACTTTTGCACCAACCTCTAACAGGTTATTTGTCTACCATATGGAGCTTCTGGAACCAAATTCTAAAAACTAAAGGTGCTTTAATTTTAACTTGATGTACCTAGTGTTTGACTCGCTTCTGTGTCACTGGCATTGCTGGATTCTGGATGTTAGAACTCACAGCTTCCTTGTCTTGAATATTCTTCGTGAAAGGCAGTATCTCTGAAGAGAGCATTGACCACCCCGTTGTCCCCACCTCTCATGAGCAAACTTGTTTTTTTCTAAGATGAAAGGCACACAGAATAAAATTTAGAAGTTGAAATTGTGTGTTTCTAAGCTTTGGGATGTGGCGGTTTTATTATTATATAAAAACATCTGTGCGTCTATGCACAAGTATGTCTTCCCTTTTCCTCATCTCTACACAGTGTTATGTAAGATTATGCTGTAATCGCATATTTTTTTTATTACTAGATTTTCATCATAAAGAAGTGAGGCAAATTGTTCTTAATTAGGGAAAAATTTCAGATAGGCCGTAAACTCTGATATCTAGCTGTCTTAACTCAGGGTCTGGAACAGTGCTGAATCCTGTGGCTTTCTGTCATGTACTGTAGACTCAGGAGAAAAGTCAGGGCAGCCACAATGTTTTCTGAAAATTCATCACACTAATAAAGGTTAATACAAATGAAAGATACAGCAGAACTGCATTCTAAAGTGGGTTTCGGAGTGGACTAATTCCTATCTTAGCAAAAAATGTTTTGTTAGACTCCTACAATGTAGTGGTATTTGAGTAATCTTACTGATTTCAGGTTACTCAAAGCCAGATAATAACAGTATTCTGATATTTATCTGAAATTCATATTTCAGTTTCTTTTTACCATTTTGTCATATTTACAAGGTTATTCTCAACCTGGTTTCATAACAATACTGGTCCCAAATTAAATCCTGGTTGTATATTCAGGGAAGCACACCTGTTTCTTGTGTTTGTTTTCAGGCATAGTGAATCTCTCCGAAAGGCTATTCTGACACATTTGCCAATAAGACCTAGTAGCTGCTTTTATTTTTGTTTTTGAAAAGCTCCCATTACAGGAAAAAGAAATTCTAAAGTACACATTCTTGAGGAAATGCTTGGGCTGTCATTCTTCCAATTATGATCATGTTTTAATAGAACTGGCAAGGAGTTGCCTAGGTACTCTATGACAGAGCTGGTCATGCAGCTTTGGGAGAGCTGGATATAGACCTTAGGGAATTAACCATTCAGACAGCAACACCTTCTTGACCATGGAGACCTTTATTCTTGACTTTTGATTTTCTAAAAAGCTGTTAGTGTAAATCTCCTTGCCATGTCAGTAGTTCTTTGAAAGCCTCTAATCTCCCCATCTATATATCTATTTATTTGTAAGAGGAAAAATGTATGTGTGATCATTCATCTCCTCAAATTGAGATTTATATATTCCTTTACTTGATATTTGGAAACAGATAACCATGTAGAAATTTTCTGTAAATAAAAATGACAGTTTTTCAGTGAACATCTTTTATGCTGTCTTAATTTTTTTTTTTTTTTTTTTTTGAGGCAGAGTCTTGCTCTGTCATCAGGCTGGAGTACAGTGGTGCGATCTCGGCTCACTGCAACCTCCGCCTCCCGGGTCCAAGCCATTCTCTTACCTAAGCCTCCCGAGTAGCTGGGACTACAGGCGCACATCACCACGCCCAGCTAATTTTTGTATTTTTAGTAGAGACGGGATTTCACCATGTTGGCCAGGATGGTCTCGATCTCCTGACCTTGTGATCCGCCCACCTCAGCCTCCCAAAGTCCTGGGATTACAGGCATGAGCCACCATGCCTGGTCTTAATTTTTTTTTTTTTTTAATATTCCGTACTACAACTTGCTTTTTTTTTTTTTTAATTTATTTTTTATTGATCATTCTTGGGTGTTTCTTTAATTTTTTAATTATAAAAATATCTTAGGCTGGGCGTGGTGGCTCACGCCTGTAATCCCAGGACTTTGGGAGGCTGAGACGGGTGGATCACCTGAGGTCGGGAGTTCAAGACCAGCCTGGCCAACATAGTGAAACCCTGTCTCTACTAAAAATGCAAAAATTATCCGGGCATGATGGCGGGCGCCTGTATTCCCAGCTACTTGAGAGGCTGAGGCAGGAGAATCACTTGAACCTGGGAGGCGGAGGTTGCAGTGAGCTGAGATCGCACCACTGCACTCCCGCCTGGGCGACAGAGCAAGACTCATCTCAAAAAAAAAAGGCCGGGCGCGGTGGCTCGCGCCTGTAATCCCAGCACTTTGGGAGGCCGAGATGGGCGGATCACGAGGTCAGGAGATCGATACCACCCTGGCTAACGCGGTGAAACCCCGTCTCTACTAAAAATACAAAAAATTAGCTGGGCATGGTGGCGGGCGCCTGTAGTCCCAGCTACTCGGGAGGCTGAGGCAGGAGAATGGCGGGAACCTGGGAGGTGGAGCTTGCAGTGAGCCGAGATCGTGCCATTGCACTCCAGTCTGGGTGACAAGAGTGAGAGACTCCGTCTCAAAAAAAAAAAAAAAAGATATGTATATATATGAGTGTATATATGTCTATATATATGTCAATATATATGTGTGTATATATGTATATCTTAAACATATAGAAAAATATAAAGAATAATACCATGCATATACTTATCACCCAGCTTTATAAAATCTTAACATTTTATTATATTTGCCCCCAGATACTTTTTCTAGTGAATAAAACATTACTGAAATAGCAAAGCCTTAGTGTACTCCTATTTTCTTCTTCCCTCCCTCCTTAGAGGTAACACCTATCTTGCATTTGGTGTTTATTATGTTCTAACTGTGCTATAATCCAATATGTACTATATACTCCAGTCAATACCATTCTTTACCTTAATATTTTTGCTTAGTATGTTTTTTTGAGATATATTTATGTTGATACATGTAACTTGAGTTCATTTTAACTGCTGTTTAGTATTTGGTTGTATGAATATGCTGTACCACGGTTTATCCATTTTCTGTTTAATACACATAAGGTATTTTGAGTTTTTTATTATTACACATAATAAACAATCTTTTTATTGTGGTAAAAAACTTAATATTAAATTTACCACCTTAACCATTTTTAAGGATACAGTTAGTGGTGTTTAGTATATTCACATTGTTATGCAACAGATCTCTAGAACTTTTTCATCTTGCAATACGGAAACTCTGTACTCACTAAACACCTTCTTGTTTCCTCCCACCCCCAGGCTCTGGGAACCACCCTTCTACTTTCTGTCTCTAGGAATTTCACTACTCTAGGTGAGTGGTGTAAGTGGAATTATACAGAGTTTGTCTATTTTGTGACTGGCTTGTTTCGCATAGCCCAGTGTCCTTAAGGTTCATCCATGTTGTGGCATGTGCTAGGATTTCCTTTCTTTTAAGGCTGAATAATATTCCATTGCATATTTTGTTTATCCCTTTATCTGTTGATAGACACTTGTGTTGTTTTTACCTTTCGGCTATTGGGAGTAATGCTGATATGAACATGAGTGTACAAACATCTTTTCGAGACCCTGCTTTCAGTTCTTTTGGGTATATGCCCAGAAGTGGAATTGTGGATCATGTAATTCTATTTCTAATTTTTTGAGGAAACTCCATACTGTTTTCCATAGTGGCTGAACCATTTTATATTGCCACCAACAGTTCACAAAAGTGCTAACCTCTCTGCAGCCTAATACTTTTTCTTTTTTTCCTGTTGAGATGGAGTCTTACTCTATTGCCTAGGCTGGTAGGCAGTGGTGCGATCTTGGTGCACTACAGCCTCTGCCTCCCAGGTTCAAGCGATTCTCCTGCCTCAGCCTCCCAAGTGGCTGAGATGACAGGCGCATGCCACCACGCCCAGCTAATTTTCGTATTTTAGTAGAGACGAGGTTTCGCCATGTTGACCGGGCTGGTCTCGAACTCCTTACTTCAAGTGATCCGCCCGCCTTGGCCTACCAAAGTGCTGAGATTATAGGCGTGAGCCACCGTACCTGGCCTTTTTTTTTTTTTTAAGGCTCTGGATATCCCTTTTAGGGCAATACTTATTTTGTTAAAAAAAAATTTTTTTTTTGTAATAGTAGCCATCCTAATGGGTGTGTTTTAATTTTTTTTTTTTTTTTTTTTTTAAGACAGCGTTTCATTCTTGTCGCCTAGGCTGAAATGCAATGGCATGATCTCGGCTCATTGCAACCTCTGCCTCCCAGGTTCAAGTGATTCTCCTGCCTCTGCCTCCCGAGTAGCTGGGATTATAGGCTTGCGCCACCATGCCCAGCTAATTTTTGTGTTTTTACTAGGATGGTGTTTCACCATGTTGGCCAGGCTAGTCTCGAACTCCTGACCTCAGGTGATCCACCCACCTTGGCCTCCCAAAGTACTGGGATTGCAGGCGTGAGCCACCACGCCCAGCCCTTTAATTTGTTTTTAAACTTAATTTTATCTTTTATCAAACTGAGTTTTAGATTTGTTTTGTTTTTTTGAGATGGAGTCTTATTCTGTTGCCCAGGCTGGAGTTGCAGTGGTGCGATCTTGGCTCACTGCCACCTCTGCCTGCCAGGTTCAAGTGATTCTCCTGCCTCAGCCTCTCAAGTAGCTGGGATTACAGGTGCCCACCACCACACCAGGCTTGTTTTTGTATTTTTGGTAGAGATGTGGTTTTACATTGTTGGCCAGACTGGACTCAAACTCCTGACCTCAAGTGATCTGCCTGCCTCGGCCTTTCAAAGTACTGGGATTACAGACATGAGCCACTGTGCCCGGCCTTGAGTTTTAGATTTTCATGCAATCAGATTTATTATATTGTTCCTATATGGGTGTGTGTGTGTGTGTGTGTGTGTGTGTGTGTGTGTGTGTGTGTGTCTGTCTTCATGAAGGAATCCTCCCCTATATGGAGGTAATGGTTTCATCTTATATTTTCTTCTAAAAGTTGTAAAAGTTTGCTTTTCACCTTTAGGTCTCTAATCCACCTGGAGTTTATTTCGATGTTTCCTGTGAAGTAGAGATCACTTTTTTTTTTCATAAAGATAACCCTGAAATATGGATCCAATTTTCTTTCCATAAGGATAATCTAGTGACCAAGCATCCTTTATTGAATAGTCCATCTGTTCCCTACAACTTTTCTAATGCCACTTAAATGTTTCCATATATATGAGAGTTTGTATCTGTATTTTCTCTATTCCATACCATTGGTCTTTTTGCCTATCTTGTACTACACTGCCTTAATTCTCATAGCTTTATAATAATTATTTATATTTGATAGGGCAAGTCTCACTCCCTTGTTCTTTATTTTTCAGACTTTCTGTCATACTGGTATTTTTTTTTTTTTTTTTGAGATGGAGTCTCGCCCTGTTGCCTAGGCTGGAGTGCAGTGGCGCTATCTCACTGCAACCTCCGCCTCCTGGGTTCAGGCAATTCTCCTGCCTCAGCCTCCTGAGTAGCTGGGACTACAGGTGTGCACCACCACACCAGGCTAATTTTTGTATTTTTATTAGAGATGGGGTTTCAGCATGTTGGCCAGGCTGGTCTTGAACTCCTAACCTCAGGTGATCCACCCGCCTCAGCCTCCCAAAGTGCTGAGATTACAGGAATGAGCCATCGCACCTGGCCAGATTGGTGTGTGTGTGTGTGTGTGTGTGTGTGTGTGTGTGTGTGTGTGTGTCTGTATATATATATAATCTTTTTTTGCTTTTTTTGTGAGACAGAGTCTTGTTCTGTCACCAGGCTGGAGTACAGTGGTGCGATCTCGGCTCACTGCAAGCTCCGCCTCCTGGGTTCACGCCATTCTCCTGCCTCAGCCTCCTGAGTAGCTGGGACTACAGGCGCCTGCCACCACGCCTGGCTAATTTTTTTGTATTTTTAGTAGAGACGGGGTTTCACTATGTTAGCCAGGATGATCTTGATCTCCTGACCTCATGATCCGCCCGCCTTGGCCTCCCAAAGTGCTGGGATTACAGGTGTGTGCCACTGCGCCGGGCCCCAAATTGGTATATTTTAATGAAGCTATTTGTTGTCCAAAATATATTCACATGATATATAATGGACTTTTCCTAAAGAAAAGAAAAATTACACCTTCCTTATCTAGTAACTGATCACTTGTTTTGAATGAGCCTACAATTTCCATTCAACTTTTAGTTTTGTTGGAGTAATTTTATATAGGGATATCTTCAAATGGAAGGGAACCTTATTATAATTTGGTGTCTTGTATAAGGATACCAAATAAAACAGTTTGGGTAAAAGCATCGAAGTTTTATGGTGTCAAGACTTCCTTGATCATAAGGAAATGAAACCTATTCAAACCAGTTCATATAAAAGAGTTTCTGATGCCACATGCAGGGTTGAAAAAAACATAAGCCAGGGGAGATTTATCTAAAGGAAAAAGGAAATAGCTGTTGCAGAATCTAAGGAAAAGCTGAACAACCAAACCTCAGAAAAGGCTGGAACCAAAACAGTAGCAGGGTCTTCCGCAAGAGTTTATGGACTCTAGTGTTCTGCTGTAAATAGGCTTTAGTCTCCATGAGGCATAATTCAGATTCCTGGGGGAGATCTGATATGGTCAGTTGAAAGGTTGATTTTCCTCCGGGCCAGATACCTGCCCCAGGTTCAACTTCAGTTGCGGGTGAGGAAGTGGGAGATTTTGGTACAAACAGAGCAGTTTTGGGAGTGGCTGGAATCAGGCGTATTTTTCTTAGAACAGTGATTCTCACTGTCGTCTCAGGAGTTTTTACACTGTTAAAAACTTTTGAGGACCCTAAAGAGCTTTTGTTTATGTGGGTTATATAAATTGATATTTACCAAATTAGATATTAAAATGGAAGACATTTAAAAATATTTATTACTATAAAATAATAAACCTTTCTCGTTAACATAATATATTTTTATGAAAAAATGTTTTAGAAAAATTCATGAGAAGAGTTGCATTTTTTACATTTCTGCAAGTCTCTTAAATATCCAGCTTAATGGAAGGCAGCTAGATTTTCATATCTGCTTCTATTCAGTCTGATGTGACAATTTGTTTTGATTGAAGTACCCAAAGAAAATATGGCCTGAAAGAACATGTAGTTGGAAAAGGGAGAAGTATTTTATAGCCTTTTCAGACAATTGTGCATATTCTTCTCTGATACTACACCAAAACTTGACAAGTGTTAGTTTCTTATAAATTAAGTTGCAGTATGAAATCTGAAATCATATTGATGTTACTGTTACATTAAAATCCATTAACCTGACTTGCACTTGAATGGATCTTTTACCCATATGTGATTTTAGAATATCATGCTGCGGTCTTTTGGGAAATACTTGTTAATTGAGTTAAGCAGATCTTCTAAATGTTTAAACATTTTATAATACAATAACAAAAACCCACATTAGTTATATCACCACCCATTTCATCAGCAAAGTCTATAAGTATTGGGAAGCTGTCAAGTAGCTACAGATTTTCCAGAATTCTAGTTTTTCTCTAGAAGCCTGGTTTTTATCATTGGCAACAAATACTGTCACTTGTTTTCCTCAAAGTGACAGACTCCATTTTCAAGAAAATGTCTGCTAAATATTCATGTCTAAATAACCAGTTTGTTCTTTGTTCCAAGTAAAAGTAGGGTTCCATGGAAAAAGCAGCTAGTTCAACTCACAACTCAGAGTCACAAGTGCTTTTCCTGGAGACAGCCCATTGTACTTGAGTATCTTGCAGAAGTGCTTTATGCATACTTCCCAGTTTTTTTACAGACTATTTAAAAGACCTACACTCAAGGGTTTAGATTTAATTAATAATTTTTATTGCTTCATCAAGAACATTCTTAAGTGCAAGCAATTGTTTTTTAAAGTCACCTGTGTGATGGCAAAAGACAATGACTGTAGTACAGTTCGATGTCATTACTTATGCTGATGAGTAATAGCTCATGCTAGCAGTGGTCCCCAACCTTTTTGGCCCCATGGACTGGTTTTGTGGAGGACAGTTTTTCCACTACCTGGTAGTTGGGATGGTTTTGGGATGAAACTGCTGCACCTCAGATCATCAGGTATTAGATTCTCATAAGGAGCTTGCAACCTAGATCCCTCCCATTTGCATTTCACAGTAGGGTTGAGGCTCCTTTGAGAATCTCATGCCATGGCTGATCTCACAGGAGGCACAGCTCAGGCAGTAATGCTTGCTCGCCCGTCCACCTCTCACCTCCTGTGCGCCTGGTTCCTAACAGGCCATGGGTCGGTAAGGTCTGCCGCCCTGGGGCTGGGGACCCCTGTGCTAAGGCACCAGCAGTTTTACCCATTATTGCTCTTGTACTATCAGCACAAATATCAACATAATGAAAAAGGCAAACAATTTCTTGGTATTGTTATGAAAATAATGTTGCCTTCACAGACCACTTGAAAGGGACCTCCAGGAATCTACTGGGACCACACTTTGAGAACCATAACCTTAAGAGAGGGTGTGGGTGGGGAAACAAAGGTCAATACTTGAAGTACAGGTGTTTCCTGATGGAATTTTACCGGATCGTTAGTGCAGTCACTTAACATCACTGAACATAATGTCAACACGAATGGGATATTTTTAAAGATCATAAAAAGTTTCAAATTTCTTTTGAACAGAAATGTTTTTCTAGGAATTATCATTTACTTTTTTTTTTTTTTGAGATGGAGTCTCCCCCTGTCGCCCAGGCTGGAGTGCAGTGGCGCAATCTTGGCTCACTGCAACCTCCGCCTCCCAGGTTCAAGCGACTGTCCTGCCTCAACCTCCCGAGTAGCTGGGATTACAGGCGCCTGCCATGTGGTGGTGCCCGGCTAATTTTTGTATTTTTAGTAGAGATGGGGTTTCACCATGTCAGCCAGGCTGGTCTCAAACTCCTGACCTCAGGTGATCTGCCCGCCTGGGCCTCCCAAAGTGCTGGGATTACAGGCGTGAGCCACCGCGCCTGGCCTGGAATTACCATTTTCTAACAGCAGAGTTTATGGTGTTTGGATTTTCAGCCAGATAGTCTTTCAAGTATATAATAATCTTAGGGGAAACCATTTTAATGAAGCTTATGGAATTTGTCTCATGTAGTAGTACATACAGCTTAACATTTTTTTCAAGCACTTGAATATATTTTGAAAATCTGTCACAATCTGAGGGGGGCAAAAATCTGAGCTTTAAAAATTGCATTTGGGCAGGTCCTGCCTTTCTAGAAAAGGCATAGAAGAGAAAGTTCATACTGAGAATTCTCCATTCTAGCTTTGTATCTTTTGGTCATTAAAGGGTCTCTCTAAAGAGGAAGAGACCTCCCTACCCCCAAAAATTTAAATTTTTTTTTTTTTTTTTTTTTTTGAGACGGAGTTTCACTCTTGTTGCCCAGGCTGGAGTGCACTGGCATGATTTCGGCTCACCGCAACCTCCGCCTTCCCAGTTCAAGTGATTCTCCTGCCTCAGCCTCCAAAGTAGCTGGGATTACAGGCATGCACCACAATGCCCGGCTAATTTTGTACTTTTAGTAGAGGCGGGGTTTCTCAATGTTGGTCAGGCTGGTCTTGAACTCCCGACTTCAGGTGATTTGCCTGCCTCAGCCTCCCAAACTGCTGGGATTACAGGCATGAGCCACCGCACCCGGCCTTAAATATGTTTTATGGTAGAGAAGGGAAGGGAATAGTGTTAACTGACTTTTCTTTTTAACAAATACCTGCTGAGTGACTATAAGCAAAAGCATAGTAGAAAGACAGGGAGGGGTATGTTCCAAAATGAGTGGGGGATTAAAGCAGTATTATATGTTTGGTGCTTAGAAGAGGAAGAGTTCTTTGGGGAAGCTGGGGTGAGATTCAGGACTGTCTTCGTGAAGGTTACCTTTGAGCTGGGCTTTGAAGGGTGGGTATTTTGAAGGTTGGATTTCCATTGGCAGAGATGGGGAAGGGAATTGAGGCAGAAGGAATGTCATGAGTGAAAATGTGGAGGTGGGGAAGCTCAGTGTTAGTATAGGGTGTGTACTGAAAATGATGAAGAGCATAGCATGGCTGAAGCAGAAGATGGGATAATGGATGATAAGACTGGAAAATAAATGGGCTCAGAGCTTGGAAGGTTTTCGACCATGGCCAAGCAGTTTGGGTTTAATGTGGTAAAGCATGAGAGATTGAAAACTTTTGATTGAAGAAATAACATGATTAGGGTGTGCTTTCACAAATTTTGTTACTGATTTATTAACTATTTTTTTAGTAGGTACTGTGTGCCATATAAGTGAGGCAAAGTTTGTATAATGGTGAGCCTCATAGAAAATCCCCACTCTGATGGAATTTGCAGTCTAGAAAAGGAACTTCAGCAAGCTAATGCAGTTATAAATTATTGTAAATGTAATGAAGGAAAGGAATAAATTATTTTTTATTTTTTTGAGATGGAGTCTTGCTCTGTCACACAGGCTGGAGTGCAGTGGCGCAATCTCAGCTCACTGCAAGCTCCGCCTCCCGGGTTCACACCATTCTCCTGCCTCAGCCTCCCGAGTAGCTGGGACTACAGGCACCCACCACCACACCTGGCTAATTTTTTTGTATTTTTTATTAGAGCTGGGGTTTCACCCTGTTAGCCAGGATGGTTTCGATCTCCTGACCTCGTGATCCGCCTGTCTCGGCCTCCCAAAGTGCTGGGATTATAGGCGTGAGCCACTGCGCCTGGCCAGAATAAATTATTAAGGAAAATAATGGGGAGATTAAATTTAGGTGGAGGAGTCAGGGAAGGCCTTTCTGGGGCATTAAATATTAATTGGGTACCAGTTATGTGCCAGATGCTATTCTAAATGCTGGAGACAAAAACAGACAAAAATCCCTACTCTCATGGAGCTTATATTCAGGCAGCAAACAAGATAAATAAAATATATGGTTTATTGGAAAGTGATAAGTTTCAAGGAGAAAAATACGACCCGAAAAAGGGATAGATAGAGAATGTTGGGGTGGGAGTAGGTGTTGTGATTTTAGATAGAATGGCCAGGGAAGACCTCACTAACTCACATCAAAGGTAATGCTTGAGTAAATATCTGTAGAAGATGCAGGAGAGAACTAGCACTCTAGACAAAAGAAATAGCAAAAACCATGAGGTATGTATGTGCCTGCCATACTCAAGGAACCAGCAAGGAGGCCAGCATGACTGGAGTTAAGTGAACAAGAGAGAAAGTAGTAGAAATGAGGTCAGAGAGGTTGGTGGAAGTCCAAATGTTGTAGAGCAGTGGTTCTCACTCTTAGCTGTTTGTTAGAATCACCTGGGGAACTTTTTCTACTCCTGGTGCCTGGGCTGCACCCATACCACTTAAGTAAGAATCTCTGCAGGTGGGACTTAGTGGCAGAAGAGATGGAGAGAAGTGGATGGATTTGAGAAGTATGTTAAAGAAAGAATTCATTTAATTATAGATTGAGTGTGGGGGTTGAGGAAGAGGAAAGTGTCAAGAATGACTCCCAGGTTTCTGGCTGAAGCAACTGGATGGGTAGACGTGTCACTGAGATGAGGGTGGGAGATAGGAATGGGAGGAGTAGGTGTGGAATTTGGAGGGAAGATCAGAAATCAGGAGTTCAATTTTAGACATGTTAAATTTGAGATGCGAATGAGGCTAAGTATAAATATGTTAAGTAGGCAGATATATGAGTGGAGCTTGAAATGAAATCAGAGCTTGAGGTAATACAATTTTATATCATCCGCTTGTTGATGGTCTTGAAAGTATCTAAATAACATCATGTAGGACAAACTTAATGGTGAAAGAACTGGAGATATGGAAACTAGCCTACTCTACTAATCTGAACAAGAATTGGTGCTAATTTGAATCAGGATAGTGTCAGTGGCTCTAGAAAAATATAAGTAGGTTGGAGGTTTAAGGACTGAGGAGCCTGTGTGTAACGGAGGTGGACAATAGGCAAGGAATGAAAGATAACTTTGAGATATAAAGCCTAGGTGAATGATCCGTCCATTAGCAGATACGAAGCTGTCGGAGGAGCTGGTTTGGGAAAACAGGTAGTGATTGGCTTTGGTTGTATTGATGTTTAGGAGAGGCTGCCTAGCAGGCAGGCAGTTGGGTCTATTGCACTGAGTTTTGGAAGAGTAGATGAGGTTCAAAACGTAGATCAAGAAATAGATTTTCGTACATTGAAAATGAAACACTTTCATTTGCATAAAATTGATTCACCATGGGAGCAGCAACATTTATGAAAATAGCAACATCCCCAGATTTATTCTGACCTGTTAGGATCTCTGTGATGTGGTCCTTACCTGTTTCTTTTAGTGTTTTCCTTTGATGACCGTGTTCAAGCTATACTGCCCTTCTTTCTATTCTTCCAGCATACCCAGCTAGGTCCTCCTTTGGGCTTTTGCACTTTTTATTTTCTCATTTTAACTCTTCTCTCCTTCTTAGTAGAGGGATAAGAGGGCTGAGAAAAATTCAGAAGTTGGTGTCTGGGAAGTGGAGAAAGTTGCAAGCAGATCTTTGCTAAGGTGTGGGAGCATGGATGAGCACATGAAGTAGAATGGCTGTGGGAGCCCTTGACGTTGACATTTGGTCAACACAAAGACACAGAGTACCATGTTGGTCTCAGTGTATCCCAGTACTCAAATCTGTTGACCAGAGATGCTACAGCAGTGGTAGTTCTTCTCCGCTTGGTTGTCTGATGATGGTGGTGGTGATGGTCCACCTTTGAAATATGACTTGACTCATTGCTATCTGTCCTGCCACCGCCGATGGAAACATCTTCTGCATAGGTGAGAAACTCCCTTCAGTGAAAGCTATGGGTAAATTATTTCAGAAACTTGCTGGCTTGAAGAAACAACATGAAAACAGCAGGGAAGTTCCTTGCAGTCCACTTTGACATATTGTTAGGAATTACTTCTCATTAGGAGCACCTATGTGGCTCTTTATTGGTGGTGTTAGTAGTAAAAGGGAGTAATGCACTCCACATGAATCCTTAAAAAGAGATTTAAAAATCAACATGGTATTTTTTCAGAATAAAAGTATTTGCTTTTGCTGATTATGAAATAATTTGTGGAAAAAAATAGAAAAGTATAAAGAAAAAAGTAAAAAATTACCCCAAATCCCACCATACAGAGTTAACTACAGTTAACGTTTTCTGAACATCTTATTGGGCATTTCTCTAAATGTGTATGTGCATGTAGATATTTATATCTATAAAAAATTGATTGTGTGTTTTTAAAATTGCTTTAAAAATTCAGCATATTGTAGACCTCTTTTATGCCAGTAAAAAAATAACTTCTCAAAGTAACTACATAGAATTCTGTTTTATGGATTAATCATACTTTATTTGGCCAATTTCCCAATAATGAATTTTTTTCCTCCAGTTTTTCCTTATAAATTGTGCTGTGATGGCCAGGCGAAGTGGCTCATGCCTGTAATCCCAGCACTTTGGGAGGCTGAGGTGGGCGGATCATGAGGTCAGGAGATTGAGACCATCCTGGCTAACATGGTAACACCCTGTCTCTACTAAAAATACAAAAAATTAGCTGGGTGTGGTGACACGCTGCTGTAGTCCCAGCTACTCAGGAGGCTGAGGCAGGAGAATCGCTTGAACCCGGGGAGGTGGAAGTTGCAGTGAGCCGCGATCACGCCACTGCACTCTAGCCTGGGTGACAGAGCAAGACTCTGTTTCAAAAAAAAAAAAAAAAAAAAAAGGCCGGGTGCGGTGGCTCATGCTTGTAATCCCAGCACTTTGGGAGGCCGAGGCGAGTGGATCATAGGGTCAGGAGTTCAAGACCAGCCTGGCCAACATGGTGAAACCCCGTCCCTATTAAAAATACAAAAATTAGCTGGGCGTGGTGGCGGGTGCATGTAATCCCAGCTACTCGAGAGGCCGAGGCAGGAGAATCGTTAGAACCCAGGAGGCAGAGGTTGCAGTGAGCCGAGATCACGCCATTGTACTCCAGCCTGGGTGACAGTGCAAGACTACATCTCAAGAAAGAAAAAATTTGCTGTGATGAACATCGTTGTACATAAATCTTTATACATCAATCATATTGATTCCTTAGGATTTATTCCTGAAGTAGAATTGCTGTACAATATTAGATTTTTCCTAATTATTCCTTAAATATTCTTGTAATTGAAAAAATATGTAAACAGCATTAAAGGACATTTTGATAAAGGTAAAAAAATCAACTTTATTCTTTTTTTTTTTTGAGACAGAGTCTTGCTCTGTCGCCCAGGCTGGAGTGCAGTGGCGCAATCTCGGCGCAATCTCGGCTCACTGCAAGCTCCGCCTCCCAGGTTCACCACATTCTCCTGCCTCAGCCTCCCAAGTAGCTGGGACTACAGGCGCCCGCCACCATGTCCAGCTAATTTTTTGTATTTTTTTTTAGTAGAGACGGGATTTCACTGTGTTAGCCAGGATGGTCTCGATCTCCTGACCTCGTGATCTGCCTGCCTCGGCCTCCCAAAGTGCTGGGATTACAGGCGTGAGCCACTGCGCCTGGCCTAAATCAGTTTTATTCGTATAGCAACTGTTTTCTTCTTTCCATCTGATAAGTTGTTTTTTAAGTACCAATTCCTAGATCTCACTAGACCTATAAAAGAGAATTTTGGAATAGGGAAAAACATACAGAGAATTAAAATTCTGGGCATCCTACGTTAATTGGCAGCTAATGGGTTCTTAGTAACATTTGTTAACTGCCAAGAAAGTGACACTAGGAATTTAGAGTATACTGGGGCAGTTAGGAAATGCTTCAGAACAAGGTAGGACTTGACTTGGACCTGGAAGGGTAGTATTCAGATAGGAGGTAGAACATTTCTGGCTTTCGGGGTGGTATGAATAAATTTGAGAAAGGCATATGGTTGTATGTATGAGCTGACAAACAGGCTAGAGTCAACTAATTGGAGAGGAGGGTTTGTGTTGTGGTGTAGTGGAGAGGTTTTTATGGGAGTTATGTCCCAGAGGACTGATTTTATTTTTAGTACATCTGAAGTTGTGTAGTATGCAAGTGTAAGATAAAGCAGTATCTAGATGTGGCCTAATTTTAAGCAAACTGGATACATTGAAGTCTCTTTTTACAAGAAATACTGGAGAAAGGTTCTTTATATGTGGATTATTTAAATAATGATCTTCCCAATACTTAAATATTTATTTTACTTTGTAGTTCTCTATAGATAGACTAGTTGCAACTTTTGTGGATCTCAGATTCTTTTGTAATATCAAAGAGTTCAGACAAGGTGGTTTCTGAAGTTCTTTCTGGCACAGAGATTATTACATAACTTTTAAGAATACCTGGCTGGGCACGGTGGCTCACACCTGTGGTCACAGCACTTTGGGAGGCTGAGGCAGGTGGATCACCTAAGGTCAGGAGTTCGAGACCAGCCTGACCAACATGGAGAAACCCCGTCTCTACTAAAAATACAAAAAATTAGCCGGGCATGGTGGCGCATGCCTGTAATCCTAGCTACTCAGGAGGCTGAGGCAGGAGAATCACTTGAACCCGGGAGGTGGAGGTTGCGGTGAGCCAAGATTGCGCTATTATACTCCAGCCTGGGCAACAAGAGCGAAACTCTGTCTCAAAAAAAAATTTTTTTCATTCGAAAATTATTTTATGGCTAAGACTGAGCTGTTAGAATATGCTGTGAGATCGAGAGAAATTATTATATAGTAGTTTTAAATTATCCTCATATACATTATCCATCAACATTTATCTCATGCTGAGTTCCTATTTTATCTTGAATTCACTCCCATGATGTCTTTTAATCTATGTCCAGGCTACGTAAATAATTACTATTATTTCAGCCAAGATAGAATTTTGGATGTAAATCTATAGGAAAAATTACATCATGCATTCCAAACTAAAATGTTAAGAATTTCCTTTCTTTTTTTTTTTTGGAGACGGAGTCTCGCTCTGTCGCCCAGGTTGGAGTGCAGTGACGCGATCTCGGCCCACTGCAAGCTCCGCCTCCCGGGTTCACGCCATTCTCCTGCCTCAGCCTCCCGAGTAGCTGGGACTACAGGTGCCCGCCACCACGCCAGGCTAATTTTTTGTATTTTCAGTCGAGACGGGGTTTCACCGTGTTAGCCAGGATGGTCTCGATCTCCTGACCTCGTGATACACCCGTCTTGGCCTCCCAAAGTGCTGGGATTACAGGAGTAAGCCACTGCGCCCGGCAAGAATTTCTTTTTTAATACCTGTTTTGGAATATTTATATCACTTTTTACATCCTTTAATATGGAAAATTGAGAACTGACTAGTACTTTTTTAAACTCAGTAACTTTCTTTTTAAAGTATATAACCATGTTCAGAGCTTATCAGGGGTGTATGTTAAGTATCTCCTTCCTAGTGTTACATTCTTTTCACTAAATTATACAAGTTTTGACCAAGGTAAGGCACCATAAGGTGACTGACTGGCTTTTCTGACAGGCCCTCTTAGGATGCTGTTAACTTGGTGGAGTCTTAAAGATTCAGGATCTGTTCCTCAGTTTTGCTAGTAAACTCAGTTTCTTCATTGTTACCAGAGTTAATTGGTCTTGGGAAAAGTAGTTAGCAAAACTCACTAACAGTTGACAAAATAAACCAGAATGCCATTTTATTTTATTTTATTTATTTACTTTTTTGAGACAGAGTCTCACTCTGTCACTCAGGCTAGAGTGCATTGATGCGATCTCAGCCCACTGCAACCTCCGCCTCCCAGGTTAAGGCGATTCTTCTGCCTCAGCCTCCTGAGTAGCTGGGACTACAGGCATGTACCACCACGCCCGGCTAATTTTTTGTATTTTAGTAGAGACAGGGTTTTGCCATGTTGCCCAGGGTGGTCTGGAGCTCCTGAGCTCAGGCAATCCGCTGGCCTCGGCCTCACAAAGTGCTACTGTCTCTTTAAAAAAAAGAAAGAAAGGAAAAAAGAAACTAACATAATTTCCAAAGTGGATGCCATGAATTAATTTAATAATTACTTATTCAGTATCTACTACATGCCAGACATTGTAACAGTTATTTAATTAAACATTTAGTTGGCTGTGGTGGCAGCATACCTGTAGTCTCAGCTCCTGGGGAGGTCAGGGTAGGAGGATCACTTGAGTCCCTGAGTTTGAGAACAGCCTGGGCAACATAGATAGACACTGTCACTAGTAAAAAACAAACAGTTTTAAAAATGCCTGAAGAATTGTTGTCTATGTGTTTTACTAACATGTTTATCACCTCTGGAATTGTGCACTGTCCTATTTAATTGGGGGATAATGGCTGCATTAATAGGTATCCTTTGTCAGTGACAAAGACAAAGAACTAAATTCACTTTCACTGTGCTAATAACCATTTCTGGGTGAAAGAGGCCAGATTATATGTAGAGGAATTTAGTTGTACATTTAAATTCACATCCTGATCTAAGACAGAATTAGGCCTTCTTGGGATTCATAGGATTTGCAATACAAGTTGCTCACCTACTCTCCTTGAATAGAAAAAACTTTTTTTCTGTCTGTATCTTCTTTCAGAGCTCTGCAAGGAAGCATCAACACTTAAATCTTGTAAACAAAGTACCACATATCATATCTATTATATACTTATATATTGTGTATATTATATTTATATTATATATTTATATTATTTTTGTATTTATAAAAGGCATTTCTGACTTTCTCTTTTTTTGGTCTAAATCTCACTGGCTCTTCTACTGAAAGGTTTTTTTTGTACCCACTCTTCTGTGACTATCTCTGACCATCCTGAATGTATCAAAGAGGGTAGATGCTCAAGTGGGAGTCACATTGGAAGTACATATTGATATATTTTGGAGGGCAATTTGACAATATCAAAATAAACAGCATGCAGGCTATTGGGCCTACTTGTGCTTATGTTTAGATATACTTGTTTGCTACATTGTTTGCAGTAGCAAAAACATGGAAACCATTCGGCAGGGTAACAGTGGAATTCTCTGCAACCATTAGAAAGAATAAAGTGTGTCTACAGGGAAAATATTATTTGTATTTTATATATATATATGCTGGTAGATGCCTGTTGTGTTCATTTTTTGTTTGTTTGTTTGTTTTGAGGATATAAAAAATCCCTCTCTAAAGGCTTTAGAGAGGGATTTGAAATCTAGAAGGAAACTTACTTTTCAATTGTAGCTTCCTGTAACTTTTGAATTACTTAGGTTATGTATATATATTGCTTTTCTTTAAAATAAAATGCATATATGAAGAAAAGTAGATACAATTTTAACAGTGTTTCCAAAGGGGCATAGAACTTTAGCACTGAAGGGACCTTAGAGATTCTTACACAGTCACCCTCAATTAAAGATGAGGGGGAAAAAAAATGAGGAAATTCAGATTCAGGAAAGTATCTTCAAGCCTGCACTAGAATTCAGGCCCTGAGGATAGCAATAGCTTATGAATATATTGACTTGTTCTTATTCTAACAGTTTATTTAACTGACGTCCATTTCTCATTGTGAAGGATTGATTTTTGGAAGACCCAATAAAATGCTGACCTTTGTAAGACAGTTCTTAAAGCAACTACCTCTGGCAATAATGATAAAGTGGTAGTTTTAACTCTTCCCCATGTTTTGTAACTTTGAGGGGCCCAATCCCTTAGAAATATATTTATAAGTTCCTTAAGTATTATTTGAAGCGAATTTGGGTCTAGAGTCCAAAGTTTCCCTTCCTGATTTGAATTCCTAGCTGACTATTCTAGATGTTTAAAATTGGTTTTACTGTGTTTTTGTTCCATTTGGTATGCAGGGATGAAAGGGTCAGGGTATAGTTTTGGTGACTTCTAAATGGCTTGCTATTTAAAGGAAGAATTTACTGTAAGAGATGGTAGGAAATTGTCTAGAGGAGGAAATTTTATGTACTGAAGAGAAACTCTTAAGTTCTTGAACATATGAGTTACTCTTTTAAGTTGAGTCTTTTCCTGGCTCTTCAAGGCCAGAAACACTTTCTCCTTATTCAAACCACACAAAGACATTGGTAATGGTGAGATTGGCAGTTCAGCATGGGACTGGACATTCAAACTACATTCAATGAATATTTTTTATGGTTGATTGACTTCAGTTAGGCACAAGCAATAGAAACACATTTACTAATGTTAAGATTAGTTGTTAGCTTTAAGATTAAAATCTGTCTCTCTGGTGACTCTACTACAGGTTGAACATCCCTTATCCAAAATGCTTGGGACTAGAAGTGTTTCAGATTTTTTATTTTTTTCTGATTTTGAAATATTTACACCCCTAATCCAAATACTCAGAATCCAAAATGCTCTAATGAACATTTCCTTTGAGCATCATACCCGTGCTTAAAAAGTTTTGGATTTTGGAGCATTTCAGATTTTCAGGTTAGGGATGATCCACCTGTAGTAGTATTGGTGGGGAAAACTTATTCTTCCAATTTTTTTTTTTTTTGAGAATGTCACTCTGTCACCCAGGCTGGAGTGCAATGGCACGATTTCGGCTCATTGCAACCTTCGCCTCCTGGGTTCAGGCAATTTTCATGCCTCAGCCTCCCTAGTAGCTGGGATTACAGGCGCCCGCCACCACGCCTGGCTAATTTTTGTATTTTTAGTGGAGACAGGGTTTCACCATGTTGGCCAGGCTGGTCTGGAACTCCTGACCTCAAGTGATCTGCCTGCCTTGGCCTCCCAAAGTGTTGGGATTACAGGCATGAGCCATCGTGTTGGGCCTATTCTTCCAAAATTTAATGATCCATAGGCCTATCACAAAATGGGTACTCTAAATATTTGGTAATAATTTGATTAAGATGATAGGATGAATCTTTGCTTTGAAAGAGGAAATAAAGGAAGCCTTTTATTCCGGAAATAAAGACACCTTTCACATCTTAAGAATCAGAGTCAAATTATGTCTGTGCTGTTTTAATCAGTAAAGATTTGGTTGAATTGAAAATAAAAGGTTACAGGAGCCAAGAACAAATAGAGTTGCAAATTTATCTTTGTAACTCCATATCCTTAGGAGGAATCCAGTTTGTATAGCCACTTTAATTTTGTTGTGAATATAGACTGAGCAGTGGAATTGAGTAGCTTGACAGTTGACTTAATTTGAACAGTCACATTAGATAAGACTGGAAAGCTAGGTTGAGGGAAGTCAATTTTGTGTGTGTTTTCTGGTTTTGTTTCTAGTATCGTTTCTGATAATGAGGAGAATTTGGTGGCCCATTTGGACCCTACTTAATGGTAACTATAGTGCCTCACCAATATCTTTCTTGTGCTATTCCAATTTATCAATCATTATTGGACCCAATATCCTGAATTACAGTCTGATTATTTTTCACCAATCTTTTATCTTTCATTTACCCACACTGAAATTCTTGAGCCCAACATCTCTTTTTTTCCTCACATAACTGTGGGGAGATAGTATGATAGCTAGGTACTGTTCTAAACTCCGCTGCTGGCTTCCTGTGTGTATTATTAACACATTGGGCAAGCCACTAAGCTGCTTTGGGGTTCAGTTCCTTGATCTGTAAAATGAAATAATTTGACTGGATATTATTAAGTCCTTTTATATCTCCAGAGCTATTTTATTCCTTTATTCACCAGACTTTTCTTGTGAAGCACCTTCTCTGTGCTAGGCACAATACAGGATGTTCTGGGTACAAACTTCTTGCCCACAAAGAGTATTTAGAACTTCCATCACTTTATTCAAATCAGCTTAGTCTTTTACTCTGGAAAAATTTAGTATTAGCAAGTTTTGTCAATTTTTACTATCACTGTATAAGGTATTTGTTAAAATTGCTGGTATTACTTAGATCTTCATCTCCAAAAATACTCATATCTCTACTTTTTGTTTTTCTACTTATTTATTTATTATTGTTATTATTATTTTTGAAACGGAGTCTTGCTCTGTTGCCCAGGCTGGAGTGCAGTGGCACGAGCTTGGCTCACTGTAACCTCCACCTCCCGGTTTCAAGGGATTCTCCTGCCTCAGCCTCCCGAGTAGCTGGGACTATAGGCGTGCACCATCATGCCCGGCTAATTTTTGTATTTTTAGTAGAGACAGGGTTTCACCATGTTGGCTAGGCTGGTCTCAAACTCCTGACCTCAAGTGATCTGCCCGCCTCAGCCTCCCAAAGTGCTGGGATTACAGGCATAAGCCACTGCACCCAGCCTGTTTTTCTATTTATAAGCCAATTTCTCATCCTGGAAAACAAATCTCATCTCCCCGGTCCCACTATGAGTAGTTGTTGTTTTCTAAATTGATAGAAAGTAAACTATGGGCTGGGTGCGGTAGCTCACACCTGTAATCCAAGCACTTTGGGAGGCCAAGGCGGGCGAATCACCTGAGGTTGGGAGTTCAAGACCAGTCTGACCAAGATGGAGAAACTCTGTCTCTACTAAAAATACAAAATTAGCCGGGCATGGTGGCGCATGCCTGTAATCCCAGCTACTGGGGAGGCTGAGGCAGGAGAATCGCTTGAACCTGGGAGGTGGAGGTTGAGGTGAGCCGAGATCGTGCCATTGTACTCCAGCCTGAGCAACAAGAAGCGAAACTCCGTCTCAATAAATAAATAAATGAAAGTAAACTATGTACTATAAAGTAAGAAACTAGTGGTTTCTTTTTCTTTTTTTCTTTTTTTTGAGATGGAGTCTCTCTCTGTCGCCCAGGCTGGAGTGCAGTGGCTCAATGTCGGCTCACTGCAAGCTCCTCCTCCCGGGTTCACGCTATTCTCCTGCCTCAGCCTCCCGAGCAGCTGGGACTACAGGCGCCTGCCACCATGCCCGGCTAATTTTTTGTATTTTTAGTAGAGACGGGGTTTCACTGTGTGAGTCAGGATGGTCTCGATCTGACCTCTTGATCTGCCCGCCTCGGCCTCCCAAAGTGCTGGGATTACAGGCGTGAGCCACCGCGCCCGGCCTCTTCTTTTTTTCTGAGACCGAGTTCCACTCTTGTTGCCCAGGCTGGAGTGGAATGGCACAATCTTAGCTCACTGCAACCTCCCCCTCCCGGTTTAAGCAATTCTCCTGCCTCAGCCTCCCTAGTAGCTGGGATTACAGGCATGCGCCGCCACGCCCAGCTAATTTTTGTGTTTTTAGTAGAGACGGGGTTTCACCATGGCGGCCAGGCTGGTCTCAAACTCCTGACCTCAGGTGGTCCGCTCTCCTTGGTTCCCAAAGTGCTGGGATTACAGGCGTGAGCCACAGCTCCCGGCCCATAGTTTACTTTCTATCAATTAAAGAGAACAAAAACTAGTCATAATGGGACACCACCGCTTCTGGCTGATTTCTTTAAGGCAAATAAAAAATACAGAATCTAGAGGTGTGATGTAATTTTTAAAAAGAGAGACCTAAACAACATTATAGGAAAATTTTCTAAGATTAAGTATGGCTTTGTTTAAAAATTTTACACCCAGGCTGGGCGCGGTGGCTCACGCCTGTAATCCCAGCACTTTGGGAGGCCAAGGCTGGCGGATCATGGGGTCAGGAGATCAAGACCATCCTGGCTAACATGGTGAAACCCCGTCTCTACTAAAAATACAAAAGATTGGCCGGGCGTGGTGGCGGGCGCCTGTAGTCCCAGCTACTCGGGAGGCTGAGGCAGGAGAATGGCATGAACCCGGGAGGCGGAGCTTGCAGTGAGTCGAGATCCGCCACTGCACTCCAGTCTGGGCAACACAGTGAGACTCCGTCTCAAAAAAGAAAAAAAATTTACATCCAAAGTAAAAAGAGTTTAGTAGGTACTCTGTTGGGCACTGAAAAGAAAAAGACCAGGGAGCTGCTTCTGACGTAGAAATGGGCATTCTTTGAGGAGAGCCCCCATTGTCTAGGTTCTGAGTCTCAGCCCGGCAGGACCACATGTGATTATTCTAAGTGCACCCACAGTGTAGAGGATTAAGTCACATGAAACATTCATAGCAGGTGTAGGAGTAGAGCTACTACTTTTGGCTATGGTCAGAGAAGACCTAAGTAACAAGAAGCAATGTGAATATCTGGAAGAAGCGTCTTCCAGCCTGAGGGAAGAATGCAAAGGCCCTAAGATGGAAACAATCTTGGCTTGTTTGTAGAAAGAAAACCCAGTGTTTTGGAGTAAAGTTAGTGATAAGGGAGAGTGGTAGGTGATGAATTTGGTATAATGGGCCAGCTCTTATAGGACTCTGTAGGTTCAGATAAAGAGCTGGAATTCTAAGTGTGGTTAAGTGAAGGAGCAATATCTGGATTTACATTTTAAAAGCTCACTGTGGCTGCTATGTGAAGAATACATAAATTGGGCTACAGAGGAAGCTGGGAGATCAATTAGAAACCAGTAACTATTCAGGTGAGAAAACTCTGGCTTGGACAAAAATGGATAAATATGGAATACATTGAGAAGCAGGACAGCTGACAGGACTTCCTGATAAAGAGGATAGGAAAAGATAGGGTTTTTAGCTTAAGCAATTGAGTTGAAGAGGTGCCAGTTAGTATGGACACCTGAAATGAATATAATTAAAGAATGGTAAAAATTGTGCTTTTCTGTAAGCTTGTGGCAAAGGAGAGGAAGGTAACTGTGGAGAAAGACACTGGTTTCTTGAAAACTTAGACTAGAAAAATTACTCTGGCAGTTAGAACAATAGATATTTTATTTGAAAAAATTAATGATGATTAGGTGCTAAGGCATGAAAAGTCATTCTAAAATAATTACAACATAGGAGGGCCAGGCGCAGTGGCTCACACCTATAATCCTAGCACTTTGGGAGGCCAAGGTGGGCAAATCACTTGAGGTCAGGAGTTTGAGACCAGCCTGGCCAACACTGTGAAACCCCGTCTCTGCTAAAAATACAGAAATTATCTGGGCATGGTGGCACACCCCTGTAATCCCAGCTACTCGGGAGGCTGAGGCAGGAGAATCGCTTGAACCTGGGAGGTGGAGGTTGCAGTGAGCCGAGATTGCGCTACTGCATTCTAGACTGGGTGACAGAGCAAGACTCTGTCTCCATCTCAAGAAATAAAAAAATTTAAAAAAAATAAAAATAATTACAACATAGGATTCGTTCCCAGGATCCAGTCATGGAAGTAGACACGAACCCATTAATGATTTGCTGAGGTCTCCATTAATAATGGTGCTCCAAATTCATTAGAACAAAAGAACTTTTTTTTTTTTTTTTTTTTTTTTTTTTTTAAGACGGCATCTCACTCACTCTGTAGCCCAAGCTGGAGTGCAGTGGCGTGATCTCGGCTGTCTGCAACCTCTCTGCCTCCTGGGCTGAAGCGATTCTCCAGCCTCAGCCTCCCGCTCAGCCTTCCGATTAGCTGGGACTACAGGCATGCACCACCACACCTGGCTAATTTTTTTTTTGTATTTTTTAATAGAGACAGGGTTCTACCATGTTGGCCAGGATGGTCTGCAACTGCTGAGCTCAGGCGATGTGCCTGCCTTGGCCTCCCAAAGTGCTGGAATTACAGGCATGAGTCACCTTGCCCGGCCAAAAGAACATACTTTCATACTGAGTTGCCACTTGAAAATGAAATTGGAACTGAAAGCTAGAGAATATAAGTATCTTTCTCAGGTATTTTTTCCATTTCTACATGTTGAATAAAAGACCATACCTGATCTAAGAGTCACCCCAAAGGAATTGCAAAGTGTTGGTTTAGGAGTTAAAAGACTTTGTGTTCTAAACTCAAGCCCATTAATAGCCATGTGACCACAGCAAATTGGAACTCTGAGCTTCTGTTCCCTTATTTGTAAAATACTTGCTTGCTCTGTGTGCCTCACAGAGCTGTTGAAAATCCCAAATAAGATCATAAATGTCAGAGTACTTTGAAGACTGTGAAACATTGAATACTGCTTATGAGGGAGTGGTTATATAGCTTAAAGCATTTAACTGGAAAGGACCTTGGAAATCCTTTTAAAGGAGGATGGGGGTGGAAATGCACAGGTTGCTTCTCTCTCTCTCTCTCTTTTTTTTTTTTTTTGAGACGGTCACCCAGGCTGTAGTGCAGTGGCGTGATCTCGGCTCACTGTGGCCTCCACCTCCCAAGTAGCTGGGATTACAGGCTTGCGCCATCATGCAGGGCTAATTTTTGTATTTTTAGTAGAGACGAGGTTTCATCATGTTGGCCAGGCTGGTCTGGAACTCCTGACCTCAAGTGATCTGCCCACCTTGGCCTCCCAAAGTGCTGGGATTAAAGGCATGAGCCACCACGCCTGGCCTAGGTTGTTCCTCTACTGTGAATCTTGAGGTTATGGTTTCCACTAGACTATAGTGCTCAACTATAGTGGCCTATTTTAAGTGGCCTTATAATTCCTAACCAAAGTGACTTGTGAAACAGAGGACCCTGGATAAATTTAAATGTTATAAAGATGATAAAATGTACAGGTAAGTTTGATTTTGCTCTCTTATTTGGCAATTAGAGCTTTATTCCTAGCCATAATACAGAAAGGAAAGGCAGCAAAATATGGTTAGTACTTTTTATGTGTTTTTTCCCCTTTATTTGACCTTTGGGCTGTGGAGTGGGAGCATCTTTTCCTTTAAGAAGTGAAAAATATAAATATGCCAGAGGCTTGCTAGCAGTTGAAAGCAACTGTTGGTCAGTGAGATAATGGAAGGAAAAAAAAACAACAACAGGTTGGAGATGGGAAACGTCAAGGAAGAAGGAGGAAAAACATGTTTGAAAGAAGGGGAAAAAAAGCTTAAGTGAATTCAAGAAGGCAAAAAAGCCTTAAGTGTTCTTTTTATAATCTGTCTTTGAGTTTCAGGTACTAAAATTTGAGATGATTAAAAGAGAGATTGGTTCTTAGAGGAATAAATAAAATTAAGGCAAAGTATAAGGATTTATGGTCTTTATGAAGATATGTCAGATTACTGTGGACATTATTTTTATTTAAGATGTGCTTTCTGGCTGGGCGCGGTGACTCATGCCTGTAATCCCAGCACTTTGGGAGGCCGAGGTGGGCAGATCACAAGGTCAGGAGTTCGAGACCCGCCTCACCAACATGCCCCATCTCTACTAAAAACAAAAAAAAAATTAGTTGGGTGTGGTGGCACGTGCCTGTAATCCCAGCTACTTAGGAGGCTGAGGCAGGAGAATTGCTTGAATCTGGGAGGCAGAGGTTGCAGTGAGCAGAGATCGAATCACTGTACTCCAGCCTGGGTGACAGAAGGAGACCCCGTCTCAAAAAAAAAAAGAAGGAAAGAAAGAAGATGTGCTTTCTTATTGACATTTATGAAGTCAGTCCCTATACTTTCTCTGCTTAAGGAACCCCAGTGCTGTATAATTTCCATCAGCTATAGGAAAAATATTTACCAACACAGGATTTTCCTTAGTGAGATGATCTGGACTGAATTCATAGGCTCTTTTTGGTTTGATTTAGGCTGCATTAGTATCTATTTAAAATATTGCTTTGAGCTATTTAGCTTTTTTTCCTATATCACAAGTCATTAAGCAATCTTTAGCTTTTCTAATTTACCATTTTTCCTGAATTCATCGATTTGAAAAGCTTAAAAAAAGAAAAAGCCAAACAAAAAGAGACTGTGACACTGTCAGCTAAAGTTTTATTTATTTATACTTTCAGTTCTGTTTCCATCCTTCACTACCAGAGACAACCTATTGCCATGAATTTAGTGTGTATCATTCCAGTGCAATATAGATGTGTATGTATGTATGTGTGTATGTATGAAAATGTATTGCTTTACGTGTTTAATTTTTAGACAATAAATTATATACATATGTGTGAGTATATATGTGCATATGTATATATATTTATATGTATATAAGTTCTGCAGCAGTCTTATTTTCATTCTTTTTTTCCAAAATCTGTACATGTTGGTAGATTCAGATCTAGGTCTTCCATTTTAGCTGTTTTGTTTTTATTATACAGTATGAATATTTCACAGTTTTTCCACAATCCCTTTGATGGATATTTAAATTGTTTTCCTTTTTACCCCCCATTACATTACAGACAACTAGTGAACAACCTTGTACATATCTTTTCTGGTCTTTGTCCTCATCATCATCATCTTCTTCTTCCTTCTCCTCTTCTTTTGTTTCAGTGGTTTGATTTTGTCCTAAACTACCTCATTATTTGAGTTCTCCCACTGGGTCCAACACTTTGGTATTTATAGTCATTATTTGAGGGAGGGAGAGGGATGAGGAAAACCTTCTATACTTTGAAATGATACTCTTCTTTTATCAGAGAATGAGAGGCTCTGAAATTTTCTTTCCTTATGGATTCTTTTTGGAATCTGATAAATTTGGCAACTTCGCATTTTATTTTAATTTAGTTAATTTTTTAGAGACAGGGTCTCACTATGTTGCCTAGGCTGGTCTTGAACTCCTGAGCTCATGTGATCCTCCTGCCTTGGCCTCCCAAAGTGTTGGGATTACAGGTGTGAGCCACAGCACCTGGCCAGCTTTGTATTTTAATATTTTGCATTTCTGTTGTCTCATGTTATTAACTGTTTTTTAATAAATTTCAGTTACTGCTCACCTTTTATTCTCCTTGTAAGCTTTCTTTTACTACTTTTTAACTCCTAGAATACTTTCTTTTTTTTTTTTTTTTCCTTGAGACGGGTCTCACTCTGTCGCTCAGGCTGGAGTGCAGTGGCACGATCTCAGCTCACTACAACCTCTGCCTCCTGGGTTCAAGCGATTCTCCTTCCTCAGCCTCCCAAGTAGCTGGGATTACAGGCACCTGCCATTATGCCTGGCTAATTTTTGTGTTTTTGTAGAGATGCGGTTTCACCATATTGGCCAGGCTAGTCTTGAACTCCTGACCCCAAGTGATCCGCCCGCCTGGGCCTCCCAAAGTGCTGGGATTACAGGTGTGAGCCACCACACCTGGCCTTCTTCTAGAATATTTTCTCCCTACTGTGTGGGACTATTTAGTGATCTCCAATCCAGTTCATGTTCTTCTTATATTACTTTATAAGTTCAGTGTGATCCAGACATAGTTGATATTTATAGAAGGGTTTCTTGAAGCATTCTTAGCCAAAGGTAGCATTTAAAAAATATGTCTTCACCTCGATATTTGATTAGAATTATTACATTTAAATTTTGTTCAAGGACCATATGTTTCAATTGCCAGTGGTTTTCATTTATAAATTTTTTCTGGAGTCTTTAATCCACTGTGCCTTATTCATTATTGTGAGGTTGAGTATATTTTTAATTTTTATGCTCCATGTTTTTTCACCCTTTAAACCTGGCTCCTATTCAGAGCTTTGAGCACTTGGAATCCTGAAGTGTTACAAATGAAAACTGTTACTCTTCTCTAATAACACACTCTGCCTGCTGCAAGCGTTTGAGTAGGACTTCCTTTCTTAACAACTAGTTTGGGCAGCCACCTGTCTCATGAATATATCAACTATCTTTAAGAATTTGAGAATTTATGTGCTGAATTTTTTTTAAGACAACCAATAAGACCTTCAAATAGAAATCAGAGTAATAAATAGAACTAGTATATCAGATGCCTGTGTATTTTATCTCAGATCTGTTCTTGTCTTAGGGTTTGGTTCAGGTAATAAGTATTGTGGTTGGAAAGTAACCTTTGGATCTAGGCTTACGCCAACTTTAACATAGATGACGTATTCCATCAAAAGTACAAGCACTATATGTATACTCGGAAGTATCTGTCATGTCACCCAATAGGCAATTTCATTCAGTGAATTATCTTCCCTATGCCATCATAGTCACCAAGTTTGATTGGAATTGTTTACCTGCTCTTTGTCACATCAGTCCCACATTTTATGCTACAGAGAAATGTTCCTATCTTAAATCTTTCTTTAGAAGAAAATGATGCTCTTATATGGAACACTAACACTGTAGGGTTCGTTTTCCCTTCCACTCTGGAAACTGCTATAAAACTTTTTTTAGTTCCTAAGTAAAAAACCATTATTTTTCTAACTGTAGTTACCCTCTTGAGATATTTCATCTGGATATGTAACAGAAGCCTTTATTGCTTTTGTTGGAGTCAAAATACAATATAAAGAACTTTCTCTTTTTTTGAGACAGAGTCTCACTCTGTCACCCAGGCTGGAGTGCAGTGGCATGATCTCGGCTCACTGCAACCTCTGCGCATGCCAGCATGCTCAGCTAATTTTTGTATTTTTTGGTAGAGATGGGTTTTTACCATGTTGGCCAGGCTGGTCTCAAACTCCTGACCTCAAGTGATCTGCCTGCCTTGGCCTCCCAAGGTGCTGAAGAACTTTTTTATTGAAATTATATATTTTTTTGCATGATTCTTTCTTTTAAAAACCTTTTTTTTCTGACTATAAAAGTAAAATGTGCTCACTTTTTACAAACTTAAATAGTATATATAGTAAGTACTCAATCTTTATCCTACATATTGTCAAGTAGTTCCCATAATAGTTATGCTGATTTGCACCGCACCAGCAGTACATGAGAGTTCTTGTCTCTTTGTGCCCTCAATGGCATTGTTATTAAAAACAGGTATTACACTTTTTTTTTTTTGAGGCGGAGTCTCACTCTGTCACCCAGGCTGGAGTGCAGTGGCGTCATCTTGGCTCACTGCAACCTCTGCCTCCCAGGTTCAAGCGATTCTCCTGCCTCAGCTTCTTGACTAGTAGCTGGGAGTACAGGTGCCAACTACCACACCCGGCTAATTTTTGTATTTTTTGGTAGAGACAGGGTTTCACCATTTTGGCCAGGCTGGTCTCAAACTCCTCACCTCAGGTGATCCACCCACCTCGGCCTCCCAAAGCGCTGGGATTTTAGGCGTGAGCCACCGTGCCTGGCCACTATTACACATTTGTTAAGGGAAAATATGTTTGTATCAACTTTTTAGAAGTCTTAACTCTGACTCATTAATATTAATAAGTGCATAAACCTGAAACTTGTTAGTAAAATAAACTTTGTTAATTTGACATACAAGGGGAGAAACATTCTGGGTTTTTTTTTTTTCTTTTTTTTTGTGCTATAGAGTTACTGTCTAATCTTTCAAGCACGGGAATCTAAAAGAAAACATTAATTCAGTCATTTATTAAATAAGTATTTGTAGCCTTCCATGTGCCAGACACTGTCTGGGTGCAGCAGCAAAACAGACAAGAACCTGTCTTGGTAGAGTTTATTTTCCAGTTAGAGAAGACAGATTGTAAAAAGATACAGGATGGTAGATGACTTTATGCGCTATAGAAAAAAAAATGATGAAGCAGGAATAGGATTGTGGTTGTTAACGGAGGGAATTGCTTTTTTTTTTTTTTTTTTTTTTTTTTTGGAGACAGAGTCTTGCTCTGTCATCCAGGCTGGAGTGCAGTAATGCAATCTCTGCTCACTGCAACCTCCACCTCCCAGGTTCAAGCGATTCTCCTGCCTCAGCCTCCTGAGTAGCTGGGACTACAGGTGTGTGCCACCACGCCCAGCTGATTTTTGTGTTTTTAGTAGAGACGGGGTTTCACCATATTGGCCAGGCTGGTCTTGAACTCCTGACCTCAAGTGATCCACCCGCCTCGGCATATCAAAGTGCTGGTATTACAGGCGTGAGCCACCACGCTCAGCCAGGAATTCATTTTTAAGGGTATCAGGGAAGACCTCACAGAGATGGTGACAAGGAAAGTCTTAGCAATGGTGAAGGAGTGTGCCCTGAGAACATCTAGGGGAAGACTTATTCAGACAGAAAATGACACGTACAATGCTCCAAGGCAGGAATGGGCTTATTCTGAGGAATCACAACAAAGAACGGCAGTGTAGCTGGTACATAGTGAGATCAGGAAAACGTAGTTGGAAATGAGGCCAGAGAGGTAATCAAGTCCAGATTGTGCAGGACCCTTTTGGCCATTGTAAGGCTTTCACTCAGAGGGAGTTGGGATTTTACTGGAGGTTCCATCAGAGGCCATGATTAAACTAGTAAAACCAAAAAATACTTGTGTCTTGGCTTTGCTTTTTCAGAAGATTTTGTCTCAAAATAATTTGGGGATTAACTCATGGTTCCTGGTGGTAGTCATATGTAGATTTAAACCTTTATATTAGTACAGAAAATTTCCCTGAAATATAGATCTTAGGTATGGCATTTAAATTCAAAGAACGTAATAGAAAATCCTGCCTATAGGTATTTATTCCTGGGTGGCCCTGCTTTATTACTGACTTCTCATCCTAAATTGTCTTTTTTTTTAAAAAAACTGTATTATTTGCAAGATGTACTCACACTTATATATTATTGGAGGCTAGATAGACATCTACTCTATTAGGTTATTTTAATAATGTATGCTTTGAACTTTTTTTTTTTTTGAGACGGGGTCTCACTCTGTCATCCAGGCTGGAGTGCAATGGCACCATCTTGGCTCACTGCAACCTCTGCCTCCTGGGTTCAAGTGATCCTCCCACCTCAGCCTTCCAAGTAGCTGGGATTACAGGTGTGCGCCACCACATCTGGCTAATTTTTTTTGTATTTTTAGTAGAGATGGTGTTTCACCATGTTGGCCAGGCTGGTCTTGAACTCCTGATCTCAAGTGATCCTCCCTCCTCAGCCTCCCAAAGTGTTCGAATTACAGGCGTGAGCCACCATGCCTGGCTTGAACATTTTTATTATGAAATATAACAGAAAAATACACAAAGCATGACTGTATAATGTAAGGATTAATTACAGAAGGCAAATACCTAGGTAACCACCAGTTAGACCTAGAAATATATCATTGCCAGCACCTGGAAGAAGCCTGCTGCGTCTCCCTTCTAGATCATAACGTATACCATTGCTCAGAATAACCACTCTTCTGACATGTGTGATAATCATATCCTTATTTTTCTTTATGATTTTACCACCTAGGATTCATTCTAAACCAATATAATTTAGTTTTGTCTGTTTTTAAACTTTGTATAAATTGGAATAATACATTATGTGATTTTTACATTTTTATGTCTTCTTTCAGGAAGAACCTAACAATATATATGTTCATAACTTTCATCCATGTTACTATATAGAACTGTAGTTTGATTTCATTGCCATATAGCATTCTGTTATATGAATATACCACAATTTATGTATTCATTCTGTTGATGAACACTTTGATTGTTTCTAGTTTTTGGCTGTTAATGAACAATGCTGCTGTGAACATGTACAGAAGTTTCTCTAGGCCATATACTTGGAGTGGAATTGCAGAATCTTTAGTCTTATTAGATAATAATAAACTATTTTCCAAACTGGTGGTACCAGTTTGTTCTCCTACCAACAGTATGATAGTCTCCCTGTTCAGCCCTTACCAGTTTTGTCAGATGCTTTAAATTTTGAGAAACCCAAACCTTAAGCTTAAAAAAAAAAGTGGAGAGTAAGGGACTAAAGGTATTGGTTTCTGCTTTAAGAATCACAGCTATTTATTTTCATTTGTTAGAGTTGGTTGATATCTTCTGCCTTAAAGGCATTCTATCTTTCTATCCTCAGAGGGTTGGGAACCTTGTCTGTCTCTTTTACCACTGTGTCTCAAAGAATGCCCTGCAGTTGGTACTCAGTAAATATTTGTTGCATGAATTCAGCCTGACTCCTGCTATTATTAACTGAACTACGTGGGATTGTTGGCTCAGTCTCTGCTCACTACAACTGCCACCTCCCAGGTTCAAGCGATTCTCCAGTCTCAGCCTCCCAAGTAGCTGGGATTATAAACGCCCGTCACCACGCCTGGCTAACTTTTGTTATTTTTAGTAGAGACAGGGTTTTACCACATTGGCCAGGCTAGTCTCGAACTCCTGACCTCAGGTGAATTTATTTTATGGTATCTGATTAAGACTGCCCTGTTTTAGCATCAGTCATTTAGCACAGTTTTTGGTGATGGCTCATTTGATCACTGATAGTAACTGGACTTGGTTTACCAAAACCTATTATAGTCTAAGAGAAGCTTATTTGTACCATGTACTAGTTAAAGTTGGTGCTTACATTTTCAGGAAGAGATTCTATTTTTTTTTTTTTGAGACAGAGTCTCACTCTGTCACCAGGTTGGAGTGCAGTGGTGCGATCTCTGTTCACGGCAACCACTGTGGGGTTCAAGTGATTTTCCTGCCTCAGCCTCCCCAGTAGCTGGGACTACAGGCGTGCACCACCATGCCCAGTTAATTTTTGTATTTTTAGTAGAGACGGGGTTTCACCATGTTGGTCAGGCTGGTCTCAATCTCCTGACCTCGTGATCCGCCTGCCTCGGCCTCCCACAAGTGCTGGGATTACAGGTGTGAGCCACTGTGCCCAGCCGAGATTCTATTTTTAAGGAATCATTTACCCATGATTTATGCAATACTTTATTTTCTCACAAAAGGGAATATAGCAGTGGAATTTTCTGCCTATGTTAGACTCCTAGAAGCATTGCTACTTCTCTTATCCCAGTTTCTGTTTTGAGCTACTTTGTAGGATATGGTAGATTATCAGAGGTTGGTGTTGCTTGGCTATCTCTCCAGTCTTCAACAGGAACCTCTTTCTCTCCCTTGTATAATCACTATTAATCCAGTCCATTCTGCATCTCATTGTCACAGTTATTTATTAAAACCATAGGGCCAGGCATGGTGGCGTGTGCCTGCATAGTGCCAGCTACTCAGGAGGCTGAGATAGTGCACTATGATCAGTCCTGTGAGTAGCCACTGTACTCCAGCTGGGGCAGCATAGTGAGACCCTGTCTCTAAACAGAAAACCATAGGATACATGGCTTTGTTTAAATGCATCTTGCTTTGGTGTAATTTACCCATAGAGCACTTTTTTAAAAGGTGTTTTACATAAAAACTTATAATAATTCTTTAAGCATTTTGTGAAAGAGCTGGCAACAGTGATCTCTCTTTTCTTGTAAATATTGACACAGGACAAGTCACCTCATTTTTGCTGCACTCATAGGTCAGTTTATTAGAAGAACTAGCTTGGGGCTGGGCGCAGTGGCTCACGCCTATAATCCCAGCACTTTGGGAGGTCGAGGTGGGCAGATCACTTGAGGTCAGGAGTTTGAGACCAGTCTGGCCAACATGACAAAATCCCGTCTCTATTAAAAATACAAAAATTAGCCAGGCGTGGTGGCAGGCACCTGTAATCCCACCTACTTGGGAGGCTGAGGCAGGAGAATTGCTTGAACGTGGGAGGTGGAGGTTGCAGTGGGCTGAGATCGCTCCACTGCACTCCAGCCTGGCTAACAGAGCTGAGATTTCATCTCAAAAAAAAGGAGAACCAGCTTGGATTTTTCTGACTTCCATTTCTAAGTATAATATTTTTTTGAGAGATGACTAAGAAATAGAGCATTCAGAGCTAGTGAGATAAAGGAATGGTAATTTTTTTGTTTGTTTTTTTTGAGAGAGTATCACTCTGTCACCCAGACTGGAGTGCGGTGGCATGATTTTGAGGTCACCGGAATCTCTGCCCTGCCCTGCGTGTCCCTCCTCCACCGGGTTCAAGCAATTCTTGTGCCTCAGCCTCCTAAGTAACTGGGACTACAGTCGTGCACCACCATGCCTGGCTAATTTTTTGTATTTTTGGTTGAGGCAGGATTTCACCATGATGCCAGGCTGGTCTTGAACTTCTGGCCTCAAGTGATCCACCCACCTTGGCCTAAGAATGGTAATTTTGACTAGTAAATTTTTACTAGTCATTTCTTCTTTCATATATCACCTGCTTTTGTGAGATTTTTCCTTTTTAGGAATAGACAAAGTAAGTAAAGACTTGTATGAGATTCAGAATCTAGTTAAGTCTGATTCATATTCTCTATTTCCAACAGAGATTTCCTGTTAGACAAGACAAATTAGAGTTTTCCTACTGACTTAACTTGGTGAGTTTTTACATAGTTTTATTTTAAATATAGTTTAATCATGAGGGAAAAAGCAGAATGAAATGCATAAAAACATTTACCATGACTTTTAAAAATACACCTCTTGAGTACAATCTACTGTTTCATTTTAGTGCAAATGATAGGTAAAGTTAAAAAGTTAAAGTCATATAAGGTAAGCGTGTAAGATTTTCTTTTAAAATAAGAATTATTACAGTGTTAAATAAACATTTTCTATAAGTGTCTTCAAAAAAAGTTTTATTCTAAATATTCTTACCTGGAGTAAGCCAGAACTATTTATTCTGATCTTCTCTGGTGATTTCTAGATATAGGATAAGACTTTACAGTAATGGTGGAGGGGAGAAATGATATTTGAATTTAAATTTTTAATCAATGGTTGATAATATATGATACGGAAACCTTAGAGTCAGATTATTTTTCTTCCTAGAAAAGTTCTTCAGGAAGGTCGGGCATGGTGACTCATGCCTGTAATCCCAGCACTTTGGGAGGCTGAGGCAGGAAGATTGCTTGAGCTCAGGAGTTCGAGACCATCCTGGTCAACATGGTAAAAACCCATCTCTATAAAAAATACAAAAATTAGACAGGTGTGGTGGCACATGCCTGCAGTTCCAACTACTCAAGAGACTGAGGTGGCGGATAATTTGAGCTCAGGAGGTCTAGGCTGCAGTGAGCCATAATTGTGCCACTGCATTCCAGCCTGGGTGACAGAGCAAGACCTTGTCTAAAACAAAAACAAAAACAAACAGAAAAAACATAAAAGACCTTCAGGGAAATTAGAATTACAGTTTATGAAAAAGAGATACTTGGGACCAGGTGCGGTGGCTCACACCTATAATCCCAGCACTTTGAGAGGCCGAGGCAGGTGGATCACTTGAGGCCAGGAGTTTGAGACCAGCCTGGCCAACATGGAGAAACCCCATCTCTACTAAAAATACAAAAATTAGCCAGGCATGGTGGCACGTGCCTGAATCCCAGCTACTCGGGAGGCTGAGGTGGGAGAATTGCTTGAACCCAGGAGGCAGAAGTTGCAGTGAGCTGAAATCGCACCACTGTACTCCAGCCTGGGCAACAGAACAAGACTCCGTCTCAAAAAAAAAAAAAAAAAAAAGAGAGATACCTTAAAGAAATTTGTAGGCTTCATTTTACTTTATAAAAGGAGTTTGATTTTGAACAAATTGCCTTTGTGTATTTTACCTTGGAGCTCATATCTCTCTGGGTAACTTACAGAAAAAAAACTCTCCACCATTTTGTGTAACATCTGAAAACTTGTTACTTTGTAGTATGAAATTTTTAGCTTCCAAAGCTTGTGTATGTTTTGTCAGAGTCATGTTGGGTTAAATAGGTGTTATTGCATTTTAATCTTTTAAATTCTGACACAAATCATCAGGAGCCAGGAAATTCTGTTAAGACAGACATTCTGTCTAACCTTCCCTATTTTGTCTGCCTGTGTGGTTTTACTTTTTCCTTGAGTCATGAATTTTGGAATGAACATTTAAAACTGAGAAATTCCTGCCCATCCTTTGTTCCATTTCGTTTACTTAGAACTGTAACATTAACATAGAATTTTGCTTATTTTTAATAATGTTAGAAGAGGGAATTTATTTTCTGCAGATTGTTTCTAGGTAAGGCACGTGGTCCATGTAAATAGTAGTTAGGCTTTTTTAGTTAAGACTGTAAAGGAGAAGATTAAAAACATACATATACCTCCCTTCTCTTTTAAAGTTGGAAGGAGGTCTAGGTGCCTTTCAGGAAGAAAAGTATCTCATGGGAATACTGAATTCTTTACTGCTGGATAGTAATAGTTAATGCTGAACATAATCAGTTGCCCTTGTAGGAGACCAAATCCCCTGGAGCAGGTGGGCCTTTTCAGTTTCCAAGTTAATGAACTTATTTCAAATTGTATGCCCTAAGACTAATTAGACTTTCTCCTTTGAAATTCATTCCTTGGGTCCCTTCCATAGCCGAATCATGTTAGCAAGAAATATTTTTAAATGGCTTGGCTGAAGTATAGATGGCCAAAGAGAACTGCCTGTTGAATTTGGCTTCTATAAAAGCCAGGGGACTCTGTGGGGTTATATAAGCTCTATTTGTTTCATGAAATGACTCTTCTGTTTTTGAATTCCTTGCAGATTGGACATGCTTAAATAGTATTAGGGCCAGCCTTTTCATCTGTTTACTGTTTAGATTTTATAAGGTTCTTCATAGTCATCATTGAGGGGAGTGGGTCAAAGACCATAACCTCTCAAATTGGAAAACAGCTGTGAGAATATTAACTTATGTAATAAATGGAATCTTCTTACCATAGGGCTTTTCCCTGCTTCCTCCTTTTCTGATCCTTTTTCAGCTCTTCTTTAGAATAAGTAAATTTTCTCAGCCTAGAGGAGGCATCTTTTATAACATGTGGGACGTGTTAAAATCTTCATCTTTCCCAAGTTCACTCTTTGTGGCCCTAGAGATTTGTGCCCAAGCCATTTAGTGGAATCAACACATGATTCTAATTTGTGAGAATGGAGAAGTTGTTGATTGCTTGCGTTTGCCTTTCTGACTTCATTTCTAAAGATGTTCTCTTTTGGAACTGAGACCCACTCTGAAGTGAAATAGCCCCTTTGTAATCAGGTTTGTTTCCTGATTCGGATTCCTGTCCTTCCATTTCAGGTATTTCCCAGTGTGGAAAAGTCTAATCTGAGGAACTCTATTTTCTCTTTTTCTGTTTTTTTTTTTTTTAAGCAGCTGGAGGAGTTTTTCTTCCTAGCAGGGGTTCTGTAATTAACAACAGCAGCATGTCACCTGATGGTATTAACCCAGATCTTGTGAAACCTGTGCTTGTTGCGGCCATTATTCTGCTGGATCCTCCATCCAAATGGAGACAGAGGAATTTTTTCCTCTGATGTTGTTATGTGGATGTGTTTAGCTCAGTAATCCTTTGTGCCTAAATTAAAAGTAAAACAAAAATTCAAGAAGTCTTTTTAAGGTCCAGGGAGTTGCAGTCCTACAAGGTGTTTGAGTGGCATCTGCCCCTTTCTAGGACAAACTTCGGCATTTGGAGCAGAGATACATTGCATTCTTCCTGGACATATTTTTGGGGTAAATAATTTTGCTAACATGTTTATATCAATAACTGTTACATAGTGGATAGTTTCTAGGGCAAGGGAATGATCCCCCTGCCCTAACTTAACTTGGCATTACATTTTCTGCTTTTTTGATTTTTTTTGCTGACTGGAAAAGTTGCATCCAAAGTGAGAATTATTCCATATTTTAACCTTTGAGCTGGCTGCTAAGGTCTCCTTGGGGACAAGGACAGTTTGTAGTTATTTATAGCCTGAAAGAAGAGCAGTAAGCCTGTAAACTGCCAGCACACACCGAGGCTTGATAGTCGGAGCATTCTGTTGTTATCCTATTGGGTTTAGTGACTTGAGAGTCATGTACCTTCTTGTTCATCTTCAGCTTGCCTTGATCTATCTAGATGAGCCTTACTAGCTAGGCATTTCTATAAAATTATAACACAGATTGAGGAGAGGAAGGAGAAATAGGCTTTTTATGTACAAGTGCATATCTAATCCTCACAATCATTTTAGAATCTATACTTACCTAAGAAATACCTGTAAACTGGGAAAATCTTAAAAGTACTGACTTGAACACATAATACTATGCTTGTTTCTAGGTTTTCCTTATATACAACAGTTACAAAGTAGTTCAGCTCTTAATTAGAGAAATATTTGGCTATGCCAGAAATGTGTTCTACATCTTAGCCTGGTATAGAAAAAATTTAGTTATATGCCTAGTCATGTTTTTACATATGTACATATTTACACTGGTCTGTATTTAATAAATGTTAGTTATCTTTTCTCCATACATCCAGAATCCAACCCAGTGTCAGATACAAAAACAATAGATCAAATATAAGTAGATGCTAAGGATTTCCCTCACTTAATATATTGGAATTTTATTATAATATATAGTATTTAACTTGAGGCAAGGCGTAGTGGCTCACGCCTGTAATTTGGGAGGCCAAGGTGGGTGAGGAGTTCGAGACCAGCCTGACCAACACAGTGAAACCCCGTCTCTACTAAAAATACAAAAATTACCTGGGCATGTTGGTGGGCGCCTGTAATCCCAGCTACTTGGGAGGCTAAGGCGGGAGAATTGCTTGAACCCGGGAGGTGGAGGTTGCAGTGAGCCGAGACCATGCCATTGCACTCCAGCCTGGGCAACAAGAATGAAACTCTGTCTGGAAAAAAAAAAAAAGAAGAATTTAACTTGAAATAACTTAAGAGTTTAGCTTGGGTTCCTGACAGCTGCTGTAATGGTACTTCTATAACCAGGATTGACTTATTCTGGGAAATGTACTTTTCTCACTATTGTCTTGTGGATTCAGGAACTCCCCCCATAGCTCTGTACGTTTCCCTTTTCTTCCGTTTTCTTGGATTTGAAAAGATTTTTAATCAGGGAAGGGTATAAATAGTTTTGTAATGTACTCAATAAATTCTTAAAGTTGGAGTGACTTGATAGTTTTCTTTTTAAAATGTTTTATTGTTTTAAAAGTATGCCTGGATTCCTATAGCTACATTCATTCAACAACTCCTAAACTTTAATTTATTAACTAGAACTCATTAGGGAAAAATGATCCCAAAAGAGAAGGAGTCTAATTGCTCAACCAAAATTTCATTGAACAAATATTTACTGAGTGCCTGTTATGCCATTCTAGGCACAGGGGGATACTATTCTCGTTGAGCTTAACTTCTAGTAGGGAACACAATAGACAAGTGAAAAAATAAAAACAAGATAATTTCAGGTAGTGGTAATAAAGAAGAAAATAAAATAGGGTAATGTGATGAGAGGAATAGGCTAGAAGTGGAAGTGGCTTCAGATTGGGTGGTCAGGGAAGACTCCTCTGAAGATAACTTCATTTGCTAGGAGACCTAAATGACAAGAAGGACCCACCTATAAAAAGACCTGAGGGAAGAAAGAGCTTTCTAGGCTGAGGAAAGAGCCCAATGTGTTTGTGGATTAGAGTTAAAGCCCTGAGTGACTAAAACATCAGGATTGAGAAGATTGTTAGAGAAGGTCAGGGAGGTATGCTGAGGCCATGGTGGTCATGATGAAAAGGTTGATTTTACTCAGATAGCAATGGAGGCCACTGAAGAATTCCTTTCTTGTCTCTCATGTGGGTCTCGATGTATAAGCCTCTTCACAACTTGGAAAAATTAATTGTAAAGGCTGCTAATTCCTTTTTAAATTTTTTAATTTACTATTTGAATAGGTAATATATTTACATGGTTCAAAATTCAGAAAGTATTAAGAGGAATACAGTGGGACTTCTTCCCACTCAGGTGTACCCAGTTTCCTCCCATGGGAGTAACCAGCATCCCTAGAGCCTTGTGTCTTTTGGGAGATATTCTATATGTTAAAACAAATGTATATTTTCTATTAAAAAATGGAGCTTCCTTATTTTTTAAGAGATGCATATTATTACATTATCTGTATCATAGTTTATTTAATCCACTGTTGATGAACTTTTAGGTTATTTCCATTTTCACGTGTTTTATAAATAGTCCCCACAGTGAAAAACCTTTTATATTTGTCCTTTAAAACATATCAGTAGGGATACATTTCTAGAAGTGAAATTGCTGGATTAAAGGGGATGCACATTTTTTACTTTGATAGACATTGCCCTTCACAGAGATTGTAACAATTTATACACCAACCAGAAATGTTTTCTTTACCCTGGGTAAGTGTTATCAAACATTTTGATCTTTGCCAATTCAGTGGGTGAATCAATGTGTGATTTAATTTGCATTTTTATCTTGAATGAGAGTTGAACATCTTTTCATATATTTAAGAACCATTGGGTATTTCCATTTCTGTACACCGTTGGTTGTTCTTTGCCCATTTTTCTGTAAGGCTGTGGACTTTTTTCTTGATCTCTAGATTCACTTGGTATCGGTAATCCCCCTATAGGTGCAGTGTAAGAATTTAAAAAATGAAAACAGGCTGGGCACAGTGGTTCATGCCTATATTCCCAGTGCTTTGAGAAGCCAAGGCAGGAGGATTGCCTGGGGCCAAGAGCTTGAGACCAGCCTAGGCAACATAGCAAGACTCTGTCTATACAAATTTTTTTTAAAAAAAATTTAAAGAAAACAAAAAAACAGGCATCTTTAATTTGTAAAGTTTTACAAAGCATGAACCCGATAAAAGACATAAGAGAACCTCAGTCTTTCCTTTGCTGATTGAGGTCTGTCTGAAGCCCTGAGTTTCATTTTAAGCAGTGTCTCTAAAAATTTTTTAAGTATATTTAGTATTTTGTTGGACTAGATTGAACTGCAGAAAGTTTACTCATAACAAATATTCAAAAGTCATTTAAACCTTGCAACAGTAGAAGTCAGTATGACCTGTAATAACTACCCTTGGGGTAATGAGAAAGAAAAGATTACCTCCTGGGCTGTGTATGATTGAGCACACTGTAACAGAAAAAACAAAAGGCTCCTTTTGGTCACATTAGTTTCTCAAAAATTAGTATACAAAAGTCTTACAGTTTTTTTGTTTGTTTGTTTTTGCAATTGTCGTCAATCTTTTTGGCATCTTCTGTTTTGGAAAACGCAAACATCTCGGGTTGAAAATAGTTATGACACTGGGGCTTTTCTTTACTTGGAAACTGTACAAAGCTTTAAACCAGAAGAAAGCAGAGAGAGAGGCTTTTAAAAAGTCCCTAACAGACCATTCTCTGGTCTGTTCCCAGCCATCTAGCTTGTACATGCTGTGTATTATGTTGAACCACATGAAATTGCTGATATTCAACTATTTTTGTCATATAAAACAACAGTTTCATGATTCAATCTAATATCTTCACAATCTTGTTCCTGTCATCTTAAAACTGATGGATATAAGTAAGGCTAATTCATAGATATCATGTATGAGATTCATGCCTCTCTCTCTGTTAACTGGTTGATTTAATTCTCTGGATAAGTAGATTAGACTGATGATGGAGAAATGCTCATGGGAAATAAGTGAAAGATTTAAAAAGTGACTGCACAAGCTGTCTGTGTAACACTTTTCAGAGGGTGTTCTAGCCTAGTTCTGTAAATACTGCAAAATAAACTATTGGGACATTTTCCTTTATTGTACAGGGAATTTGTCTTCTATCTTGAAAGAATTCTGATTATGCAAGAGTTTAGTTCAGATAAGTTACTGATTTTTGTTTTCAAAATGAAATTATAACAAGGCTTTCTCCTCTTGTAGAATAAATATATACTTGATACTGGATGAAAAACTCAGTTTTACCAGGACTGGGATTAGAGGTACCGGGCTGGGAGTTTTGGGCTTTGTAATATAATTTATCTGAAATAACAAATTAATTATTCTCATTACATTGCAAATCTGATATACTCAGCATTGTTCAAAGGGCTGTTTTAGAGATATGTGAAAAAAAACCAGAAAACTTAATGAACTTGAATGCAACTGGATGAGTGTTTCAGTCATCAGAGTATTTTTTATTTTTTTTTTTGAGATAGAGTCTTGCTGTGTTGCAGGCTGGAGTGCAGTGGCACCAACTCGGCTCTCTGCAACCTCTGCCTCCCAGGTTCAAGCGATTCTCCTGCCTCAGCCTCTTGAGTAGCTGGGATTATAGGCACGTGCCACCACGCACGGCTAATTTTTGTGTTTTTAGTAGAGACGGGGTTTCGCTATGTTGGTCAGGCTGGTCTTGAATTCCTGACCTCATGATCCGCCCACCTCGGGCTCCCAAAGTACTGGGATTACAGGTGTGAGCCACCACGCCTGGCCTTCATCAGAGTATTTGTACTGAATTCCTTGAGTTCCAGGCAGGCTGTGCTAGGTGATAAGGGATATATAGAATAGTTGCAGGTTCTGTTTAAGGAGCTTGAAGTCTACAGGAGTCAGCAGAAGTGTTCATAAGTATAAAAGAAGGCAGGAAAGAAGTGCACCGTAGGTTCAGTTGAAAGCATTATCTGTGCATCACGACAGCATTACAGGTTGAATATCCACTTATCGGAAATGCTTGGGACCAGAGTGTTTTGGATTTCAGATTTTTCCAGATTTTTTGGAATAGTTTTGTTACGTACTTACTGTTTCAACATTCCTAATCTGAAATCCAAAGTGTTCCAACGAGCATGTCATGTCAGTGCTCAAAAACTTTTGGATTTTGGAACTTTTCAGAGCAGGGATACTCAACCTGTAATTCATTTTTTTTTTTTGTCCTTCTGTCTGTCCTCCAAAGTTTAATATTCTAGTTAGAAATTATATTGTTGGCTTGAATCACATCAAAACTGGTTAATGACTTCATGGTCTTATAATACCCACTAGGAAGCATTCCATTAGAGATTTTTATTAGTTGCTAGCTGATACTACCTTCGTTGGAAATTAAGCAGTATTACAGTTGACAGAGATATTTTAAAGTGCATTTTTTTATGTAACTCGAAGAGGTCTGTTCTCACAGGTCAGAATTTAATAGAGTAAGCAGGAAAATAAATGGTGGTATATGTTCAGCCTCAGAGTTTGAGCGTACTAGAAAGTTTGGTAAGCTTTGGAAAATAAATTTCTCAATAGAGAATGCAGACAGACTGTCTTAACTTGTTTGAAGGCAAGAGCAATATATTTTGGCTTTAGCTGTCTGCTGCAGAGGTTCTCGAACTCTAACCCTCAGGTAGGTCTCCTCTTTTCTAAAATTTTTTTCTGCTGGTCATCTGCAGCAGTTGGCATGAAGTGCTAGAGAGTTCATGTAGCACTAGGCTACTTTGCTGATGAACACTTTGCCCATGGTTCCTGCTATGAGTGAAATTAATTAGACTTGTGCTGTCCTAGTCAATTTCCTTTCCAGCAGGTTGTTTGGTTAAGAGCTCCTCAGAGTCTGAGACAGATTCTCCAGTTCTGCTGGCTGTGAGGTTAGAGATTTTTAAAAATTAGAAGAAGGGAAAAGATGTAGCTACAAAATAAGTCAGAAGCAAAAAAAGGTGGGAAAAAATGGTCAAGATCAAAGTAGTAGTTTCTTTTTTCTGGTTATAATAATGAACCAAGGATGAGTAACAACAATTAAGGCATTAAAATAAACCAGTTATTAAAATTTGGCCTTTTCCTGGGCTTAGATAATTCATAAATTGTTCATTGTTAGATCAGTTTGAAGTTTTTTTAACCTCAAAATAAGTTCAAATTGGTATTTTAGGATTACTCAGTGTAGAGCTGTGCCTATAATCCACCTCTCCAGAGCCAAATTTTTTGTTCTTAACTAATGCATAAAATCAAACCTTCATTGCCACCCTGTCCCAAAGTAGGAATTTTGAAATTTCATTCTGGCCATTAATGATAATTGGGATTTGTAAAACTAGCTCATTTATACTTACTTGTTAATGGAAAAATAAAACAGTTCTTTAAGAATGTGTTTTCCATCAAATGCAAGCCTATCTTGGAGGTGACCACAGTAGCATTTGGCTTCTTTTCTTCATGTTATCATGGAATCATGAATTGCACAAGCCAGGGAGGCCCAAATGCCACTGCAGTGCTTAGGTTGCTAGCTTAAGTGAGACAGCACACCATGTTAGCTTCATTTGTGATTTCACAGATTCTTTAATTGTAAATTCCTGGCCGGGCGTGGTGGCTCATGCCTGTAATCCCAGCACTTTGGGAGGCCAAGGTGGGCAAATCACGAGGTCAGGAGATCGAGACCATCCTGGCTAACATGGTGAAACCCTGTCTCTACTAAAAACACAAAAAATTAGCTGGGCATGGTGGCGGGTGCCTGTAGTCCCAGCAACTCAGGAGGCTGAGGCAGGAGAATGGCATGAACCCGGGAGGCGGAGCTTGCAGTGAGCCAAGATCGCCACTGCACTCCAGCCTGGGCGACAGAGAAAGATTCCGTCTCAAAAAAAAGGAAATTCCTGTAAGATAGTGTTTATGACCATGGGAATAACATCTCATTTCATTTATGAGTATTACTCTGTGAAAGTGCAACTGTAGTTTATTAATCTCCGTGTTTATTATTTAAGTAGTCAGTGAATATTTGTGAGTTGAGTTATTGTGTGATTTGTTGTTACTTTTTTTTTTTCCTCTGTCTCCCAGGCTAGAGTGCAATGGCGACATCTTGGCTCACTGCAACCTCCACCTCCACCTCCTGGGTTCAAGCTACTCTCTGTCTCAACCTCCCAAGTAGCTGGGATTACAGGCACGCATTATCACACCCGGCTAATTTTTGTATTTTTAGTAGAGATGGGGTTTCGCCATGTTGGCCAGGCTGATCTCGAACTCCTGACCTCAGGTGACCCGCCTGCCTTGGCTTCCCAAAGTGCTGGGATTACAGGCATAAGCCACCATGCCCAGCCTGTTGTTACTTGTTATACCTCTTTCTGCAGAGGATTTGAGGCAGATTCCAAAAATACTTAACATATAAAAGATTAAAAGTTGAGAGAATTATAGCAAAGGGAATAATTAAGAAAATAAAACTATTATAGAATGAACTATAATAAAACTATTATAGAATGATCCTGTATAAAATATAGCATCTAAAGCAGGCATATGGGCTTATAGTTTTAAAAGATGAGTCACAAACTTGTCTCAGGATTTCTTAGTAGCCAAGCAAGGAGGGCAACATGATCAGTTATAAGATTCATATTGTTTGGCCTTTGAAAACAAACTAGGTGTTCAGGAAATTTCTCCCTTGTATATTATAAACCAGAGATGTGTGATATAATGGAATATATCCTTACACAATTGCTCCAATATCAAAACGATAAAAATAAAGCAGAACACTACAAAAAGTAGTTTATACCCAAGTACCTGTCATCCCTAATTAACAGATATTTGTATTATCATATTTTCTTTGTATCCTTATTTTAAAAGAATCACAAGAGATAAACTTGAAGCATCTTACATTATTTTCCCAGTCTCCTTCTCCTTCCTTCCCTCTCCCAGTATGAAACTGATATATAGGCTGTCAAGGCTGTTTTTTGTTGTTGTTGTTGTTTTTTACTTTTACTGTATCGTATATCTGTAAATAATATATAAACCTTAAATTTGCATAAATAATGTACTGTACATGTCATTCCTAAACTTGCTTTTTTTTATTAGCTCTGTGTTTGATGTCCATGGTGCTGTAGATCTAGTTCTTTTATTTTATTTTATTTTTTGAGATGGAGCTTCGCTCTTGTTGCCCAGGCTGGAGTGCAATGGTGCGATCTCGGCTCACCACAACCTCCGCCTCCCAGGTTCAAGCGATTCTCCTGCCTCAGCCTCCGGAGTAGCTGGGATGACAGGTGCATGCCACCACAGCCAGCTAATTTTGTGTTTTTAGTAGGGACAGGGTTTCTCCATGTTGGTCAGGCTGGTCTCGAACTCCCAACCCCAGGTAATCCTCCCACCTCAGCCTCCCAAAGTGCTGGGATTACAGGCGTGAGCCACCGTGTCCAGCCTAGTTCATTAATTTTAAATTCTGAAGTATAGTTTTCTATTACATGGAAATAATACAAATTAGTTATCTATTCCCCTACTAAAGATTTTCAGTGTGTTTCTAGTTTTCACTGTTATTAATGGTGCCGCATTGAAAACCCTTGTCTGTATCTTGTGCCCACGTTTAGCGTTTCTCTAGGACAGCAGTTCTCAAAGGATCATCTGGGAACTTGTTAGAAATGCAAACTTGGGCCCATCCCAAATCTCTGAATCAGAAACTCTGGGGGTGGGGCCAGCAATCTGTTTAAAAGGAGATTGTGGTGCACTCTACACTTCAGAATCACAGCTCTAGCACATGTATTGTTAAAAGTGGAGTTACTAAGTTTTAGGGTACATGTATTTTCCACTGTACTAGATAACACCCAATTGATTTCACAGAAATAATTTATATATCAATTTTTTATTAAGTCCCTTTGTCATGTGTTACAAGCTTTTTTTTTTTTTTTTAGTTTGTCTTTTGGCTTTGTTTATGGTGCTTAAAAATTGTAACCAAATTCACCAATTAAAAAAAATTGTGGCCAGGCATGGTGGCTCATCCCTGTAATCCTAGCACTTTGGGAGGCCAAGGTGGGCATACTGCTTGAGTCCAGGAGTTCAAGACCAGCCTGGGCAACATGGCAAAACCCTGTCTCCACAAAAAAATACAAAAAATTAGCAAGGTGGTATGGTGGTGCACGCCTGTAGTCCTAGCTACTCAGGAGGCTGAGGTAGGAGGATTGCTTGAGCCTGGGAGGCAGAGGTTGTAGTGAGCCAAGATTGCGCCACTGTGCTGCAGCCTGGGTTACAAAGTGAGACCCTGTCTCAAAAAAAATAGTAAAAATTGTATATATTTGAGGTATGCAGCATAATGTTTTGATTTGCATATGCATAGTGAAATGATTACTATAATCAAACCAATTAACATATCCATTATCTGACAGTTACCGTGTGTGTGTGTGTGTGTGTGTGTGTGTGTGTGCGCGCGCGCGCGTGTGTGTGTGTTCCCGCGTAGGTGGTAAAAGCACCTAAAATCTCTTCTGGCAAACTTCCATTATACAATACGATATTATTAAGTATAGCCCTCATGTTGTACAGTAGATCTCTAGATGAATTCATCCTACCCATCTGCAACTTTGTACCCCTTGACCTACATCTCCCCAGTCCCACTCCCTCATCCCCAAGTTCACCAGTTTTTTTAATGGCTTTGGTATTTAGAAAGGCTGTTGGAGGGAAGAATTTTGAGTTGGATTTGATTTGCTACTGAGACACCCCATTGAGATATATAACAGTTATTGGAGAATGGTCTGAGGCTTATGAGAGAGGTGAGAGTTGTAGAGATTTGGAAAACTTGTATAAAGGTAGAAATTTGACATTGTTGGGATGGATGAAATTGCCATAAAGATATGTCTGACTGGTGAAAAAACAAAAAATTGACACAGAGAATGTAGATTGAGAAAATGATTGAGGATTAAATGATGGGGAGCAACAGTGGACGAAGATAATCTAGTAAAGGAGACTGAGGAATGATCACAAAACAGAGCAAGGAGAAGAATCTGAAATATCGAGTGATGACAGGAATGTAAGCAGGGAGAGATCACGAATGCTGCAGAGAAAGGAATACATCTAAGAAAGGTGTAAAAATATTCCCCTTCAAGAGAGCAGCCAGCAATGGGTTGAGGAATAGAAGATTCCTTAAGTTTGCAGTGAAGCATAGGAGAAGATGAAGCAAACTTAGAGAGGGTAACAAGGTCATTTTGCTTTAGGAGTAGAGTATTTTTACCCCAAAGGAAGGAGCCCATGGCAAGTTATGTCTGATGTTAATGATGCTGTCTCCTCTTCAGGCAGCCTTTTCATAGATATACTTTAAATACCCTTTGAATAAATTCATTCAGCAATAGAGTTATTGAGTATTGTGCAGAGGTATAGGGTGATATAATTGTGACTAGGTGACTACTTTACATTAGATAGTCTTCTCTGATGTTAACATTTAAATTTAGGACCTCGGCTGGGTGCGGTGGCTCACGCCTGTAATCTCAGCACTTTGGGAGGCCGAGGAGGGTGGATCACCTGAGGTCGAGAGTTCAAGACCAGCCTGACTAACATGGAGAAACCCCGTCTCTGCTAAAAATACACAATTAGTCAGGTGTGGTGGGGCATGCCTGTAATCCCAGCTACTCGGGAGGCTTAGGCAGGAGAATCACTTGAACCCAGGAAAGGCGGAGGTTGCGGTGAGCCAAGATCGCACCACTGCACTCCCGTCTGGGCAACAAGAGCGAAACTATCAGGAAAAAAAAAAAAAATTTTAGGACCTCAGTGGTAAGGAGCCACTCAAACAATGTGGAGACAAAATTTCCAGCCTCTATCAGGTCAAACAATAGTTAGGATCGTATCTTAATAATCTAATAAAGTTTTCTTGCTTCTTGGATCTGACCAGGGTGAAGAGGGAACAGAAATCTTTGCCCCCTGACTTTGGAAATCTCGTTTAACCTTCAAACTGGCGATGTCAAGGGTTCCAAGTCCTCCACCTCCGGCAGAAATGTCGAGTGGCCCCGTAGCTGAGAGTTGGTGCTACACACAGGTAAGTTGAAGTTTTCAGCCTGTGAATCTTGCATCTGGGGAGGATTTGGTGGACGAAAGGAGTAGGATTGCTTTTCTACATTGGGCTTCTTGCTTTCTCTGGAACATAACTGCCAAAGAGCAGATAGATAAGATACTTGTTAGCCTCAGGTTCCTTAGTTTTCCATGTGGAATCTAAATTCCCTAGGCTAGTGTTTTTCAGTGGAGGTTGAAAGGGGGAATCTTTGAAACTAGATCTGCTTACATTGCCCTTGATGAAAGTGTGTTCTGAGTTTCCTCTGTTGGGGAAACAAGTTTGAGATGTGCAACCCCAGGCAGTGACATCAACATTTTAATAACAGAGACCCATTTTAAGTACGGTTTTATCATATGCTTTCCCAGCCCTGTCCATGGTGGTGGTGGGTTTTTTGTTTCTGTTTTTCCTGTATGTTTCTCTCACTTTCCATCCAGTGTTCTCAGCAGCTGAAAAAAGTTATAAAAGCTATTGGTCAGTGTGAGATTTCTTAAAATGTGGATGAGGAACATAAGGTGAGAAAAACCTGAAAACTGCTATCTTCCTATCAGGATCATGCAGAGGGAGGGAGGGGAAATGATAATCTGCCCTTCATCCTGTTTTTTCAGGTTGTCCACTTCCTATTTAATTGCTTCCTGTTTTTCTATCAACAGATCAAGGTAGTGAAATTCTCCTACATGTGGACCATCAATAACTTTAGCTTTTGCCGGGAGGAAATGGGTGAAGTCATTAAAAGTTCTACATTTTCATCAGGAGCAAATGATAAACTGAAATGGTGAGGAAGAATACGTCTAACTGTAAAAATTTTTCTGAAGTTGTCTGTTTTGTTTGGTTTTATGGGACACTGACAAGAATGTAATTTCCATGAAGGCCAGGACTTTTGTTTTGTTCTTACTGTATTTCCCAGTGCCTAGCACAGTGCCTGGCACATAATAGGTACTCACTAAATGTTTGTTGAACTAATTCAATGAGTATATCAGAAATCAGCAAACTCAAGCTATAGGGTAATGTAAATAAATAAAGAAAGCCAGTGTTATAAATGATATCCATAAATGGAATGACTGGTGACTGCTTGGCAAACTAGTGAGTGTTCTTCTAAAAGAGGTGCTGGCTACTCAGCTCCAGCTAACTATAGCTATGCATGAGTAAGGGCTGACCCTTGCCAGATTTTCTGATTTTTCAAGAAAAGCAAGAAATCTAGATTTTAACATAAAAATCTCTTTACTTTTAAATTGCCTGCTTTTAAACAAGAAAGGGGATTTATTTGCTTATGTAACTGTATTGACAGGGTATAGGATGGGTTTGAAGGTAGCTTGATCCAGCAAGCCAGTAGTTAGAGTAAGAACACCATCTCTGCCCTGGCCCTGTTCTCCACGCTCTTGGACATCTCAGGTCTGGCTTCTCTTGTGCTTAAGGGATAACTGGCAGTACCAATGGGTATAATCTACTACATGCTAGCAAAAGTCTTTGAGCTTTCTCTGAACTGTGTGGCCAGGAATATGTCGTACATGCACCAATTGTTTTACGTTTGCATTCCCTGAACCAATCCCTGGAGCAGGGAAAATATGATCCAGGAGTGAGGATCAGTCTCATTCAGACTATGTGTCATCTTGCCTGAGGAGCAGGCAGTTGAGGATACAACCATATACCCACTGCAAAGACCAAAACGCAAGTCTCTGAACCACCAGTTTTGACCTCTGATAACCCACCAAAAGTTATTTTTTCATTCATTTAGTATTTTTTGGCTATATATTGTGCATTTTACTACTAAGTGTTGAGAGAGATGTTTATTCTTAGACATTGTATTTAAATCCTCATCATTAGCAAGGTGTATAGTAATGTATGTAGCATATGCACTCCCTAGAGAGACACTGGATTGGGCCACCTGTTTGAGAGAGGTGCAATAATACAGATAAGGCTTAAGGATACATATGACCTGTGTATTGCATGTGGTAGAAGCAGTGCCTGAAACCCATGCATTTGACTAATGACATTTACAACTTAGTTGAACCTATTCTGTCTGAATTTTGTTTTGATCTCTCCGTAACAGATTGGCATCTCTAACACTATTTAGAAGTCTGGCCTGGAATTCTGTGCTGCGTAATGATAATTTACTTTTGTCTGTGCTTCCTTCATATTGCCTCTTTTATTTTAGTCTTAGAATATTGTTGCCAGATTGGTAAAATATCTATAAAAGATTATGTATATTATTATCTATAAAAGATTATTCACACTTTTTTTTTTTTTTTTTTTGAGACAGAGTCTCACTCTATCGCCCAGGCTGGAGTGCAGTGGCACGATCTCGGCTCACTGCAACCTCTGCCTCCTGGGTTAAAGTGATTCTCCTGCCTCAGCCTCCAGAGAAGCAGGGATTACAGGTGCCCACTAGCACGCCTGGTATTTTTAGTAGAGACAGGATTACACCATGTTGGTCAGGCCATTCTCGAACTTAAGTGATCTGCCTGCCTTGGCCTCCCAAAGTGCTGGGATTACAGGCATAAGCCACCGTGCCTGGTCCACACATTTCTTTTTTTTTTCTTTTTCTTTTTTGAGATGGAGTTTCGTTCTTGTTACCCAGGCTGGAGCGTAGTGGTGTGATCTCAGCTCACTGCAACCTCTGCCTCCCAGGTTCAAGCGATTCTCCTGCCTCAGCCTCCTGAGTAGCTGGGATTACAGGCGCCTGCCACCACGCCCAACTAGTTTTTTTCTTTATTTTTTATTTTTAGTAGAGACGGGGTTTCACCACGTTGGCCAGGCTGGCCTCGAAGTCCTGACCTCAAGTGATGCGCCCGCTTTGGCCTCCCAAAGTGCTGAGATTACAGGGGTGAGCCACCGCACCCAGCCTGTTGTTTACTTTTTAAAAGGTGACCCATTTTGCTTTACGAAAGTGGTTCCCAGCCAGGTGTGGTTGCTTATTCCTGTAATCCCAGCACTCTGGGAGGCTGAGGCAGACGGATCGCTTGAGCTCAAGCATTCAAGACCAGCCTGGGCAATATGGCGAAACCCCATCTCTACAAAAATTAGCTGGCCATGGTGGTGCACATCTGTAGTCCCCGCTACTCGGGAGGCTGGGGTGGGAGGATCACCTGAGCCCAGGGAGATCGAGGTTGCAGTAAGCCATGATCATACCACTGCACTCCAGCCTGGACGATAGAGTAAGACCATGTCTCAAAAAAAAAGAGAAAAAAGTTGTTCCCAACTAGTCATTCTACTGAATTATATTCTTCTATGGGGCCTGCATTTGTTTTTTAAACATCTCCCTCTCTTGAGTCTGATTTCCAGTTCTATCAAAATGGATGCTTTTGACATTTTTTTTTTCTATCTGTTTTGGACAGGTGTTTGCGAGTAAACCCCAAAGGGTTAGATGAAGAAAGCAAAGATTACCTGTCACTTTACCTGTTACTGGTCAGCTGTCCAAAGAGTGAAGTTCGGGCAAAATTCAAATTCTCCATCCTGAATGCCAAGGGAGAAGAAACCAAAGCTATGGGTAAATGTTCTCCTCTTTGTTCAACTCTTAAGTTTCACATCCAGAAGTTTCATACACTGACAAGTTGTGGCTTTGATCTGGTTTTTGCGTAACCTTAAATATGACTTTTTTTTTCCCCACCCCAGAGAGTCAACGGGCATATAGGTTTGTGCAAGGCAAAGACTGGGGATTCAAGAAATTCATCCGTAGAGATTTTCTTTTGGATGAGGCCAACGGGCTTCTCCCTGATGACAAGCTTACCCTCTTCTGCGAGGTGAGTCCTTGTATTCTGCTGAGACTAGCAGTTCCCAGATCTGATGAGTATTGGTAGACTTAATTATATTGTATCAGGGATGTAGAGTAAGAAAAAGCCCCAAGTGGAGTAGTGCTGCACAAATGTTATTTATGTGACTGATTGAGCTACCTGATGATTTCAAGGTTGTTGGGCATCTCAGCTTTCCACTTGTTACTGTTCTTAAAAACAAAGGTTGTATGTATGCTACCTTGGTATGTGTCAGTTTTAAGTTGCTTGGGTCAGGAGTTTTCACTGTGGGATTTTTTTCAGATAGCATTTGAAAGGACTGTCACATCAAGCTAAATATGTGTATCTGTTGTTTATACTTTCTGGCTCCTTAAGTGTGAGGGCCATGTGTGTTTGCAGATTACTTACCTTTTCTGCTCTTTGAACTAGATTCTTATCAAGAGTTGAGGCCTATGGTTTGTCTTGCTGGAGTAATTGTGAAATAAGAAGGTGAGAACCATTTTTTTTCTAGGGTGAAGGCTATGTAAAGCTCTCTAACTCACAGTTAGCTCACAGAGTTATCTGTAGTCAGTTAGGAAAGTCCTCTCACCAGTGACCTAAGAGCTTTTCCCAGGTTTACAGGAGAAGCCTTGAAATAAAATTCCCAAACCAAGAATGAGTTGGAAAGTGGTTTCTTTAATGAGTATATACTGATTAGTCATTTCATGCTGTTATGAATACATTTAGAAATACTGACAAGCTCACAGTGTAATAAATGAATAAAATCTCCAGTCAACTGGGGCATTAGTGTTCCCTGCACATAGGTTGAGGAACCACTTCCTGAGCAGCACCGCTTGATAATAATAAACAGTGTATCATCATGGGGGATGGTACAGTTGTTCCCCAATTGCCAACTCGCTCGGTCAAATAATAGGCTCACACTGTGAGTTAATGACAGTTTCAAAGGCATATCACCACCTGAGTAGCAGGGAATGGAGTCCCTTAGGAATCTTGCCCTTTTGCAGAAAAGGCCTAGCGGTCGGTAGCAGGCTTATGTATTGCTTTCTTTCTTTTTTTTTTTTTTTTTTTTGAGACGGAGTCTTGCTCTGTCACCCAGGCTAGAGTGCAGTGGCGCAACCTTGGCTCACTGCAACCTCTGCCTCCCAGATTCAAGTGATTCTCCTGCCTTAGCCTCCCAAGTAGCTGGGATTATAGGTGTATGCCACCAGGCCTGGCTAATTCTTGTATTTTTAGTAGGGATGGGGTTTTACCATGTTGGCCAGGCTGGTCTCGAACTCCTGACCTCAAGTGATCCGCCTGCCTCAGCCTGCCAAAGTGTTGGGATTACAGATGTGAGCCACCACGCCCAGCCAGCCTTCTGTATTGCAACAGAGTAGTTGCAAATGATTAGAAAACTTTGGAGGCAGTTTCTTATAATACCACACTAAATATGTAAAATATAGTTTGCATAATTTGGTATCCCCTCTCCTTTTTAATTACCAAGTAAAAGAAGGAAATACTAGAGTGATAGCATCTATAATAAATACATAAAATGTGGCAGTTCTTTTATGTCTGATAAACTTGGAGTGTGAATTCTGTGTAAATCTAACGTCACAGATTATACTCAGTTGCCTGAATGAAGAAATGAGAATTTAGTTGGTTTTACATGAGGTTAGATGTTATGTAAACAGATCACAGTTTGAATCTTCACCTATCTTACAGACTTGCATTTCAGAAAAACTTAAAAATAGTAGAAAATTCTAGTTTCTATTGGAAATGAAAGCCAATCTTTAAACTGTTCTCTGAAGAAAATCTCCCCTAAATACTGCATCTGGCAGTGTTAGGCAATACCATAACCTTTACTGCAGCTTTTTTGAGTCCACAGTGGGTCCAGCCTTTTCTCATATGCTTCCCCCTCTCTTCCCAATCCATTCCAGCTGCTCCAACCCCTGTCTTCACAGTCTTGATTTGGAAGCCAGTTGGCCTGCCCTCACTTGGCAGTCTCTTATCCTGTGGTTAAATCCGAGGCCAAGTTCCAGCTCGCTCGCTCTCTCCCTTCACTTCCCCATATGAAATTCTCTTAGGAGAAATCCTGTGGTTAAGTTTAGATGTGCCTTGACTTAGATGGGAAGTGAGATGACACTTTAGAAACGAGGAGATGTTGAACAGGGTAACGTCTGCTGGGTTCTGCTGATGCCATCGGTTTCTTACCATCGAACCAGGTGTGCCATCTGTTCCTCTCACACTTCTCTGTTGGCCACAGGTGCTGAGTGTTGCTTCTCATACTTGGGCTTATGCCTAGTGAGACTTGTTTCTGTTCCAAGGCTCTCTGTGGACTTAGTAGCATTCAGCGTTGCAAGACGGTTGCGTGGGGGTGTGTATTGGATGTGTGGGTTTTAAGGATGTCTGCAGCTCATCTAAGTTCTTAGCACTTTTCATAGCTAGATCATTTTTGGTGCACATTTTATCCCTTTGACCTGTTGTTTCCCTTCTATCAGTGGAATATTTATAAACACATTTGTTTTAATTCATATTTACATTTTGTTTGTTATTGGTTTGATTAGTATTTTCATATTGTTTAGAGGCTTTTATGAAGTTGATGTCCAGATAGAAATCTAGGTTCTAGTACCCCAGTGCCCCATTCGTCACTCAGCCTTTGACTGAGGCACTTCTCATTCTCATCCTGATACAATAAATACAGTTGTTTCATAGGGATTCTGGTGCTCCCAGAGGCCACAAGAGGGACTCCTATGGTGGAAGACCGAGAAGCACCCTTTTATGTTTGGCCTTTATTTCAGTGGTATTCCTGTTGTTGAATGTTTAAATGAAATTAGATTGTGGACTCTGAAAATGATGAATGGGTGGTCTTGTTTATAATGTGCCCTACATTGAGTTCACTTTCAGACAAAATCAGGCGTGTTCAGGGTGATATGACTGTAGACACTGAGATCACTTTCAGTTCTCAGTGATGTTTTACCTATTAGGAAATGTGGCAGTTCTTCCAAGTTGTTATTGCTTAGTTAACTTATTTGGAAGCATTTCCAAAGCATTTCCTGAATTGTCCCTTATTACAATCCTTTGAGCTAGGTTTAGTTCTGTTTTCTTCATTTCATGTTACAAGGGGAGAGAAGCAGTGCCCAGGGAGTCAGGAAATTTTTCCTAACATTGTGCAGCAAACTAGTGCGAGGGTCATGTCAGCTCCCTATTTTCTATCTCTAGTCCGCTGCACTACACTAAGTGGAGCTGAATGCCATTCACCCAAGGAAGCACAAACTCGGGTCCCAAGTTTTCTTGACAGAGCATTTACTTTGGTAATGAAAGAGAGAGACATAAGAGTCAGGAGTGGTGGCCCACCCCTGTGGTTCCCAGCTACTCCTGAGGCTGATGCAAGAGGATCACTTGAGCCCAGGAGATCGAGGTTGTGGTGTGCTATGATCGTGCTTGTGAGTAGCCATTGCACTCCTACCTGGACAACATAATTAGTCCCTGTCTGTTAAAAAATAAATAAATAAATAAATAAATAGAGACATGAAGGCATGTTTAAATTCCATTTTAAATTTTCTCTTTAATAATTTGGTCCACAGAAAATCTTCATGAAATAGTTCAGCTTCTATTGACCCTTTTCTCCAATTATTTATATTGAAAACAAATAGCCATTAGCAATAAAGAAGCATTGTATTCCAACTTTACCATATATGCCTTTGACAGGTAGATAATCCCAGAACCTCTTTGTCATGTTGTAACTAAAGATGAAATATGAAATAACATAAATGTGAAATATCCAGACACTAATTAACTTTATTTTAATTTTTTAAGAGATGGGATCTTGATCTTGCCCAGGCTGGAGTGCAGTTGCTTAATCATAGCTCACTATAACCTGTAATCCCAGCACTTTCGGAGGCCAAGGTAGGAGGATCATTCAAGCCCAGAAGTTCGAGACCAGCCTGGGCAACATAGTGAGACCCTGTCTCTACAAAAAAATTAAAAATTAGCCAGGTATGATGGCACGTGCCTGTAGTCCTAGCTACTTGGGAGGGTGAAGCAGGAGGATTGCTTAAGCCCAGGAGTTGGAGGCTACAGTGAGCTGTGATCACACCGCTACCACTGCACTCCAGCCTGGGCAACAGAGGGAGACCCTGTCTCTAAATTTTTTAAACTAATAGTTTTATACACACACACACACACACACACACACACACACACACACACACTTCATAGCATGGGAATAGGTATTTTTGCTAAATTTTAAATAAATGAATCTATTCATTTTTACCTTTTTATCCTTTAATTATTGGATTATTTGAATATATTATTTGTACTGGATGAAAATACCAATATTTGCTTGTTCTTGACCTACACAAATGGTGATTCAATAGGTAACATCATTGTAGGTTATAAAGCATGAGAATATACTAAACCCACCACTCAACCTAAAAATATGACCAATAACTTGGAACTAACCTGTAATGCTTCTCCCCAATCCCTAAGATTTGTTTCCCCACTCAGAGGATGATAAATAGCTATTTTGAATTTTATGTTATCATGCACTTGTTTATTATTTGTATGTCTGAATAATATATTGTTTAGGTTACTTGTTTTGGAGCTTTATAAAAATGGTGTCAGACTGTATGTAGTCATCTAAGATTTGCTTTTTCACATTATGTTTCTAAAATTTATATAACTATACTTCATCCATATTTAGTGCTGTATATAATAGTCTTGTGTGAATGTATAATTTATTCATTCTTTTGTTGATGGACATTTAGGTTGTTGCTAATCTTTTGCTAGTAGAAATAGTGCTCCTGTTGTAAATAATTTGTAGGCAGTGTCTGTTTTTCCTAGATTGTTTTAATTATATAGAAGTTAAAAAATGTATTTCCCTGGGTTTTACTTTATGTATAGATGAAATGTACAAGAATTGGCACAATCTTTAGTTTTTTATGAAATTTGTTTTTTTAAGAAAAGGATTGACTTTAAAAGTGAGACCCTTTTACAACTTGAAGTTAAGGAGATTATACAGCCTTCCTGAGACATTTTCATGCAGTCATTTATAAGATGACATAAATGTCACAGTCACGTCATCTTCACAGCTGCAGTTCTGAATGAGTCTCCCCAGTCAACTTTATAGGCATTAAAAAAAATCTTTAGTTTTTCTCAGAATGGTCTCATTTTAGCATCATCATTTGCAGAGGAAAACAATCCCTTTCTAAGTTAAAAGTTTGGGCTCTGAAGACTCATTTGTGAATGCCATTTAGAATTTATTTTTAATTAAGCGTATTTAATGTTGGTGAGAGGTGCCAGACATTCAGAGCTCTGGAGACTCCAGGCATCTATATATCTACAGAACAAGCCTGGCTCAGACAATAAAGGTACATTCTCTTTTCTGCTGTGTTCCTGTCTGTGTCCAGAGAGAGGAATTGCCCCAGTGAGAGATGTCACAGCCTTTGGGCCCCACTCATTACCACATGTGCATCTAACCAGCAGAAGGCCCACTGGTAACTATGGTTTGATTATGTGAAATTCAGTTTAGCTCTTCTTGCCAATTCATTTCACCCAGTCTACTAAATTGCCATCAAGTGTTAATGACTTTGGGCTCCTGTCAACCTGGTTTAATTCAAGCTAGGAACCCAGTGCCAAAAGCATTCTCCATTCCCTTCATTGGCCATCCCAGGAGATTCCTGCCTTTCCCTGTGAGAAAGTTGGATTTAATTGGTCTTTTCCTTTTTTTTTTTTTTTTTTAAATTAGTATTTTAGAGCTATAACTGAGAACAGGCAACTTCTACTTTCAGTGTTAATGTTATGTCAAAGAAGTGAGGGTATTAATATGAGAAAGTGGCAGAAGCAAATTAGAGGTCTTATAAAGGACAAGAGAGAATCTCTATGGGATGGTTTGTACTGTGTCCTAGGCTATTAAAATAATGTTATAATCTGGCTCTGATAAATGTGATACTAATGCCAAGTATATTCATAATTGATTAACTTGGCTGTTTCATTGCCCAAGACCATAACAGCTAGTTTTAAACAAATGAATAAATTTCTTGACCTGATAGTAAATATCTCACTCCTGCACAGAAGGAACTACAGGTCATTAACTTTGCCTCTGGGCTTATGACTGCGTTTAAGGGATGACTTGCATCTTGAAGGTTAAAAGAAATCTGGGTCATTAAGGATGTTCCTAAGCTGTCTTTCTCATCTTACTGTTAGGAACAGCAAGAGTGGGGAGCTAATTCTCAAGGTTTGTGAGTTCTGCTTTGAATTTAACTTTTCTAACAGAATGTGATGTAGGAGATGAAGCATAACAACAATTGTTAGGCAGATGACTGATCTGCAGTGTCCTATCTACAGTTGGGCAACTGACATTTATTTTATGATGTTGTATGATTTATAAATCCTTGTATTTGGTACCCTAACAGATTTATCTGAGTTTCACTGACTCACCTAGAAGTTAACTTGGTTTTTTACCTAGGCTGAACTGGTTAAAACATGCTTCTGCTGAAGCCATAGTGGGAAGTTGGGATTCCTTTATAAACCTATTGTCATCATTATCTTCCAAAGCTATAAGTGCATGTGTAGCTACAGCCAAGCATCTTGTATGTCATTATCACAACTGACTAAAGGTATAAAAGTGTGGGATACTCACCCAGTTTTCACTACTAGAAAGATCTTCCAAGTCTGGTCCTTACTGACAGTGGGTCAATAATGTCATGTTCATTAAACTAATATTTTTGAAGAAGTGCCAGTTATTTACCAGGCTCTGTAGAAGATGCGTTTTATGTGCATGTTCTCGACCTAACTAAAATAACGTCTTTTAGGCTTCAGTTATTAGATTTGGCGAGGTGCAGTGGCTCATGCCTATAATCTTAGCACTTTGGGAGGCCAAGGATGGAGGATCACTTTGAGCCCAGGAGTTCAACATCATCCTGGGCAACATAGTGAGACCTTGTCTCTGTAAACAAATAAAAAATTAGTCAGATGTAGTGGCATGCGCCTGTAGTCCCAGCTACTCCAGAGGCTAGAGTAGAAGGATCACTTGAGCCTGGGAGGTCAACGCTGCAGTGAGCCATGATCATGCTACTGGACTCCATCCTGGGTGACATAGTGAGACTCTGTCTCAAAAAAAAAAAAAAGTGATCAGATTCTTGTCTCTAGAGTTTAATTTAAATGGTAGTATTTATAGGAGTTCTTTGTATTGAACTTAAGGCAGAATAAGGTAAATACTTGAGGTTTAACATTTGTTTCTGTTAGTTTTGTCTCTCTGGCACCTTTGCCCAGGTTTGTAGTCCAAGGGAGGTGAAGCTTATTAGAAACTGGGGGAAAAAGAGATTTGTGGGGCTCTCTTCCTATTGTCCTGAGATGGTATAGAATAAGTCTGATTGTGACAGAAAAGGAGTTACTTGATCCGGGGCTAAAGCCTTGATTTGTGGAGGTGGTTTCAAGATAATATGATTAATATTAGTATCTGAATGTACTACAGCAGTTAGGTAAAAGTCGTCTATCTGCTGGCAAAAAAATTCCTGGTAACAAAAGCTTGGCTTGTGTTTCCTTGTCTTTCACAGGTGAGTGTTGTGCAAGATTCTGTCAACATTTCTGGCCAGAATACCATGAACATGGTAAAGGTTCCTGAGTGCCGGCTGGCAGATGAGTTAGGAGGACTGTGGGAGAATTCCCGGTTCACAGACTGCTGCTTGTGTGTTGCCGGCCAGGAATTCCAGGCTCACAAGGCTATCTTAGCAGGTTGGTATTTATTCATGAGGAATTTTATAGTTTTGGTGAAATAAGGAAAAACAAGTGATTGCATAATCACCTTTTGAACAACTTCAACTTTTTGAACTCAACTACAAAACAAACTGCAGCTAAATATATCTTTGTATTCCGGTAACAATGCTCAGAACCAAAAAAGCTGCTCTCTAAAATGACATTTCTGTTTTTCCTCTCTGTAGTGGACCTAGGCCATCATTTTCAAGGCATGGATGATGATGTACAAAGGTATTGAATGCCTTTGCCCCTAGAGAGTAGATGTCAGAGCACCAGTTAAGAGCAGGTATCAACCCCTAGATAAGGGTTTAGGATGTAATGGAGAGGATTCTATACTCAGGACTAAATGCCATCTAGCTAGTCCTCAGCCCTGGAGGGGTTAGCCCTCTTTTCAATTTAAACATACTAGAAGAATGAAACTCTTGCCCCTGACATGGAGGATCAGGTCTTGCTTTAATAGGCCCATGGTTTTCAAGACCAGGGAGATTGACACCAAGGAGGAACTGATGAGGAAGGACTGACTTCACCGCCCAGGGAAGGGTAACAATCACCGTATACTTCTCTTAAGACCATAAGACCTAACAGGAAATTGTGTGAACCTTCAAGTAACACACTTCTTACTAAGACCCTCCGCTCCGTCATTCTAAAGTACACACCTGGTAAAACCTCAGACTGCCTCAGTCTAAACATTTTCCTGTTCCCTCTCACAACTGGCTGTTACTGTGTAATACTCAAGGAAGTCACGGGCGCGGTGGCTCATGCCTGTCATCCCAGCACTTTGGGAGGCTGAGGCGGGTGGATCACCTGAAGTCAGGAGTTCGAGACCAGCCTGGTCAACATGGTGAAACCCCATGTCTACTAAAAATACAAAAATTAGCTGGGCATCGTGGCATGCGCCTGTAATACCAGCTGCTCCAGAGGCTGAGACAGGAGAATCGCTTGAACCCTGGAGGCGGAGGTTGCAGTGAGCCGAGATCATGCCACTGCACTCCAGCCTGGGCAACAGAGCAAGACTCTGTCTCGGGGGAAAAAAAAACAAAACTCAAGGAAGTCTATAACTCTTTGGTTAGTGTCTCCACACTTAGCTAGGCCCTCAACACTGCCAATAGTTTTTCTACAGATGTTTAGGCAACTCCCTTTCTTAACGATAGCTGTCTCAAACCTTAACCACTCTTTAACTCCTTCCAAACTCCTAAAAGATTACCTTGCCTACTTCCTCCAAGAGAAAAGGAGGCCCTTTTGTAGGAACTTCCTCAACTCTTGCTTCTTACCTCACCTGCATTCTCAGTGGAGGTGTTCTTCCTCGTGGACAAAGCAGACTTTTTTTCTACCTCTGCTCTGTTTTATATCCCATCTTGCCTTCTCAGAAACCTTACTCTACCGGTTATACCCTTGCTATCTATCTAGTATCTTCACTATCTCTCTGTTATTGCCTCTTCACCTTCAGCCTGTACAGGCTCCAAGCTTCTCCCTCTAGTTATTCTCTCTCTCTTTTCCCCAGAACTGAGTTTCTTGAGTTAGCATATTCACTTTCTACTTCCTTTCCTCCCACTTATCCTCAGTTCACCTCCATGCTATGAAAGCAGTTTTTCAAAATTACATGATCTACTGGTTCCTAAATTTGAAGGACTTTAGTTCATATACTAGGACTCCTCTCTCCTGATTCTCTGGTTGCTTCTGATGTGTGGTCTCCTTACTTCTTCCTCACCAATCCCTTTATACATTGGTGAGCCCTGAGGATCTGCTTCAGTTCCGTTTTCATTCCACTTCTTCTCCCTGAGTGATTTCATTTATTCCCGTTGCATCAGCTGCTGCCTATTTACCGAGGACCCTCAAGACCTGGCTGCTTTGGACCCTTCCTTCTTTATGAAAAGCACCGGGCCTTTAGTCTTTAATTTCTGAAATATATTTATTTAGTTCTCTATGGTCTGTAACCCTTCTGAAATAAGAACAATGAGAATTGATATCCTTTCGGTAGAAATTAAAATACTGAAGTTCAGAGGGTTAAGTGATTTGCCCAAGAATATGTGGTTAGAAAATGGCAGAGCTAGGCCGGGTGCAGTGGCTCATGCCTATAATCCCAGCACTTTGGGAGGCATAGGTGTGCAGATGACTTGAGGTCAGGAGTTCGACACCAGCCTGGCCAACATGGTAAAACCCCATCTCTACTAAAAATACAAAAATTAGCCAGGCGTGGTGGTGGGTACCTGTAATTCCAGCTACTTGGGAGGCTGAGGCAGGAGAATTGCTTGAACTCAGGAGGCAGACGTTGCAATGAGCCAAGATCATGCCACTGCACTCCACTCTAGCCTAGGCAACAGAGCAAGACTTTTGTCTCAGAAAGAAAAAAAAAAAAATGGCAGAGCTAAAATTAGTGCTTTCTGACATAAACTATAGGCCAAAATTTCCAGTTCTCTGTTAGCTCAAAACCTTTCTACTATATATTTTGTCCATTCTTTCACTCTTAGGTAATCGTTGGATCTCAGCTTTCACCAGAACCCCTGATTTATTTGACAACATGAACAAATTTGAGTTCTTAGCCATTCTATTACTTTTCGTGGTTGAGATTATTATTTTTCATGGTGTTCATTGGACTAGAATGAGCATGAGTTGGAGCACTGTTTCTCAACCTTCCAACCTTCATTATCCCTGCCTCTAAGGAGAAAAACTAAATTTAAATTCTCCCTGATGAGAGAAATAAAATACTAAGGAAGAAGATTTTATCAGGTAGGGTTGTGCTTTAAAGGGACACAAATCATTATAATATCTAAAGTTTCTTTCCCCCCCCACCTCTTTGGGGCAATATCATCTCTGTTAGGAATGCATAGCTTAGAAAAACAGACAGTTTGCCATAGGTGAGCATGCGCTTCATCTGGTTAGTGGATGCCATTGAGCCCAGTTCTTGACCTTCTTCCTGTGCAGTCCCTGGAGGTGCAGAAAGTATGGTGTCAGTTCCAACAAAAACATAGGTATTAGAACACCCTGCTTGATCATAAGGGACCTTCCATTTGAACCCCAAATCTATACAGAGAACATAGCATTATCATCCAACATAGATAAGTAATTTTCTTGAAATGTGAATGGTTGGAGTAGAGCCGATAAGTTATTTTGGAAGTAGTGGTTTCTTATTTTCCTTTATGTATTATAATTAGTTACTTATTGTTATAATATATGAAGAAAGGAATTTTGTAATTCTGATGTAAATTGAGGTAGAGACCTTTCCTATAGCAGTAGGATAGGTTAGAAAATGATCTCTCCCTCATGACTGGCAACAACCAAGAGATTTCACTGTGATAGCCTTATCTGCTTGTTTCTCTTTGACTTTGTAGCTCGTTCTCCGGTTTTTAGTGCCATGTTTGAACATGAAATGGAGGAGAGCAAAAAGGTATGTAACAAGATGAAGACATGTCTGTTTAGCCAGGTATCTAGAGTCAGATGATTTCCCACTTTAGCTGCAGATTCATTTTCCTAATTACTTTTTTCTTACTAAAATGGAGTATGAGTCCCTAAACTCCTTCTGAGAGCAGAGAGAAGTGGTGTAGAAGTATTATGGGTAAAGCAGATTGACTTATTAAATGAGGCTGATCATCCACACAGTTTTGGGTGAGGGTATTTAGACATATATGTTTTTACTCAGAAAACTGAGGAAAAGAAAGGTGAAAAAATCGAAGAGTTGTTTTGCTGTTATGTTTAAGAAAACAAAGATGGAACATGTGATGGACGAAAAGGCTATTATAATCAAGCCGGGCAAAGAAATTTTCCATTAATGTTAGGTTTTAAATGATACAAAGTTCTCTCCTCACTAGAGCTTAAAATCATGAAAATAGTTTAGTTTAGGGATTTTGTTCTGTTGGAATGTTTCTCATATTCAGTTTTTCTGGCATAGAATCGAGTTGAAATCAATGATGTGGAGCCTGAAGTTTTTAAGGAAATGATGTGCTTCATTTACACGGGGAAGGCTCCAAACCTCGACAAAATGGCTGATGATTTGCTGGCAGCTGCTGACAAGGTAAGATAAGAATAGAAAAATAATCAGGACTAGGAGTTATTGTGACTTCTTGTGTTTCATGAACAGGATTCTATGTTGCATTGTGGGTAAAATGAGCATATATCTTGGTTTGGCCAAGACGGTCCTGGTTTACACATATTATTCCAACACAATTATTAATAGCACACTTTTTATTCTCAAAAGTGTCCTGTTTTGAATAGTAAACTATATGATCACCTAACTATGGGAAAGAAGGATAAGTTTGACTTCTACCTCTCCTCTTTTTTCCATCTCAAATTTAACCACAGTGATAGTAAAGATTCAAATAATACTAACATTTGGATTGTGCTTTATAATTTACAAAATGTTTTTGAGTTTATTAATGTATTTAAACTTTATCAGTAAAACAGCCCTTTGTATCCATGTGGACTCAACCAATCTCAGATCACAAATATTTGAGAAAAAAGAAACAAGAGGCCAGGCACAGTGGCTCATGCCTGTAATCCCAGCACTTATCGGAGGCCGAGGCAGGTGGATCACCTGAGCTCAGGAGTTTGAGACCAGCCTGGGCAACGTGGCGAAACCCCATCTCTACTAAAAAATACAAGAATTAGCTAGGCATGATGGTGCACACTTGTAGTCCCAGCTACTCAGGAGGCTGAGGCAAGAGGATCGCTTGAACCCAGGAGGCAGAGTTTGCAGTGAGCTGAGATCGTGCCACTCCAGCCTGGGCAACAGAGCAAGACTCTGTCTCCAAAAAAAAAAAAAAAAAAAAGAAAAAAGAAACAAGAAAAAACAGGCTGGGCACAGTGGTGCTGGGTGTGCAGTGCCTCCAGCCTATAATCCCAGCACTTGGGGAGGCCAAGGAGGAAGGATCGCTTGAGCCCAGGAGTTCAAGGCCAGCCTGGGCAACATAGACTCCATCCCTACAAAAATAAAAATAAAAAAATTTAGCCAAGTGTGATGGTGCACGCCCATAGTCCCAGCTACTTGAGAAGCTGAGGTGGGAGGATCACTTGAGCCCAGGAGGTTGAGGCCACAGTGAGCCATGATTGCACCATTGCATTCCAGCCTGGGTGACAGAACGAGACCTTGTTTCAAAAAAATAAATTAAAAAAATACAAATAAAAAACCAAAATAGTATAACAACTATTTACATAGCATTTATATTGTATTAATTAGTATAGATAATATAGGGCTAATTTAAAGTATACAGGAGGATATACATAAAGATACAGGGAAATACTGCCTATTTATTTGTTTGTTTATTTTTTTTTTTTTGAGAAGGGAGTCTTGCTTTTGTCACCCAGGCTGGAGTGCAATGGCACGATCTCGGCTCACTGCAACCTCCACCTCCCAGGTTCAAGTGATTCTCCTGCCTCAGCCTCCTGAATAGCTGGGATTACAGGCGCCCGCCACCATCCCTGGCTAATTTTTGTATTTTAAGTAGAGATGGGGTTTCGCCATGTTGGTCAGGCTGGTCTCAAACTCCTGACCTCAAGTGATCCGCCCACCTCTGCCTCCCAAAGTGCTGGGATTACAGGTGTGAGCCACTGCACCTGGTCTATTTATTTACTTTTTGAGACAGAGTCTCATTCTGTTGCCCAGGCTGGAGTGCAGTGGCACAATCTCGGCTCACTGCAACCTCCGCCTCCCAGGTTCAAGCAGTTCTCCTGCCTCAGCCTCCCGAGTAGCTGAGATTACAGGCATGCACCACCACACCCAGCTAATTGTTGTATATGTAGTAGAGACAGGGTTTCACCATGTTGGCCAGGCTGCTCTCGAACTCCTGACCTCAAGTGGTCCGCCCACCTCAGCCTCCCAAAGTGCTGAAATTATGGGTGTGAGCCACCATGGCTGGCCAATACTGTCAATTTATATAAGTGACTTGAGCATTCACAGATTTTGGTATTTGCGGGGCCCTGGACCCAGTCCCCCAAGGATAGTGAGGCATGGCCGTAATCTTTTACCTAGTGTCCTGGTTAGCATTTTCAACTTTTACCTTAGTAGTTATTGAAATAAACAGTATTTCTTCAAAATTATGAGAGAATTAATAGCTTAATAGTAGAATAAATTGTACTTCATGACACATTTCAATTTGAGAAGTGTTCAAGTGTGGAAATAAAAATGCAGATCTTAGAATCAAAGACATATGATGATTACCTAAAATAATTCGGTCAGTGATTCCCAAAATAAGGTGAAATATCAACAGATATTAGGTTGGTGGGAAAGTCTTATGAAAAATACTGAGTTTAACCAAGACAAATAGTTGCTATCTTACTGCAGGATTTCTCAGAACATGTAGCATATTAATGTTACTGTGAATTTTCTAACAGGAATTATGATAGACAGCATTTCTCCAATTTAGTTAACCCTGGAATCCTTTTTCTCAAGGATCACCTGCAAGATTAGTGGTCCCCAAAACGCACATTGGGAAACGGACTTTCATTGTTTAGGTACATCAGAGAGAGAACTCAATGGTCTGCCCTTCTAGGCCCTGCGGTCTGTGGAAACATGACCTGTGGGGAAGGGTGAAAGAATTGGTGTTTACCCTGTGGGAGCTTTTCCTGTGTTGGCGGACAAGTAGAGTTGGCGTGAGGATGGGAGAAGGGCGTAGATCCTGCCAGCAGTAGACCCTGTGAGAAAGAGGGTTATCTGCCAAAAGCACCTCCTTTTCCTGCTGTGATGCTGCAATACCCATTGGAGGGAAAAGTGGGCTCTGGTCTAAGGACACAAGAGCCTTCCAGGGTTTGCTCATGGGATAGTCTCCTACCTCCCTTTGTGCCTGAGGACAGAGGAAAGTGCCTGTGTTTATAGTGGAGGTTTTATCTTTATTGATCAGCTTTTGGAGTGTATGTGGAGGATGGGGCAGGTAAATGCCATCAGTGCTCCTGATGAAGAAGATTGGAATAATAACCGTATCTTTCTTGTCACTTTTCAAGACTTTATGAGTACAATGAAGCAATGTGAAAATTCCATACCCTTCCAGTCTACCTCAATTCTGACCAGGGGAAACTTGCTTTTAATGGAGACAGTAAGAAAATATTCACTGCAAGCTCTGGGAAAGTAGAAGACACAATCCAATAACTGCCTTTTATAAAGTTAATTATGATTCTGCCTGATCTGTGCTCTGATTTTTAAGGAAGTGGTCACTTGTACTTATACACATCATGTGTTTATCCTCTCATCTTCTAGATTCCATAAGGATAAGTATTGCAAGGCCCACTTTTTAGACAGAAATACTAAGGCTCAGAGTTGTATATCCGCAGAGCCAAGATTAAACTTCTGCCATGTCCCTTAGTTTTCATTCTTGCTCCCTAGCCAGAAAACCTACTGGTAACCTACTGTAAGTACACAGGGCATGGTGATCAGCCTGAACTGCCATTTCAAGGATAGCATTTCAGCACAATGTGTTAACTTGTGGTTTTAAAAGATAAAGCTGTTGAATCACGGCAGTGCTTTAAATTTATGAATGAGAAGTAATTGAAGGGTGTATTTTCAAATTCCATTCAGAATTTCCAACTAGACAGTTTTTGCTTCAAGCCTATTTGAAAACGTTTTTACCTTTACACCTCTTCGTGAGTTTTAGGAAAACAGAATAAGAAATCTTTCATGGAATGATCTAAACATCTAGAATTTACCCAAGAGGCTGAAACAGCTTCTCTTAAGCTTTTCCAGTCTCCTGGGGACATGTGTAATTAGACCAAAAACAACAAAACTCGTTGGGCTAGGCCTGGGAGACACAATTTCCATCTCTTGGGTAAGTACTGCCATTAGGCAGGTTTTTCAGAAGCATAATTAAGAAAAAACTTTGTCCCCAAGGGACAAGAATGGCTACTTTTGTCTAATTATGCAATAGGGATCAGAGCTATTCACAGTAAAAGTCCTTTTAAAAGAATGTATTGAGAAAGGATAAGAGGAATCGTCTGGGCAGCACTGTATAAAAAACTGAACATTTCAGCCTTTTAAAACAAAAACGGCAACTTCATTTCTTGCTTATCTAATGTTATTCCTGTTTTCCATGGAAACTGTTTTCCAGTTACTCAAATGTAAAAAATTAAAGCTGCACCAAAACCAATAAAACCTCTCTTTTTTGCTGCAGGAGATCACAGTGCCAGCAGATATGCCTCCTCACCCAGAATTCATAACAATTAAATTGTCCTGATTTGATTGCCATGATTCACCCTGAAGGGGCATTGTGTCATTGAGTTCTGGGGCCTTCAAGCTGGGGCCTATAAGGAGACTGTGCATAGCCTCAAAGCAAACTGTTTTCCTGTGAACTGATCAATGACATTTTATTTTGTGCCTCCTTGTATTTCCTTCCTCTTTCCTATCCCTCAAGTTCCTAGTAAGTTCATAATCTCATATTAGAGAACAAGTGGTAGAGCTGTATCTGAACCAATCAAGTAGATCAGATGTGCCCAGCATTAACCTAGGCTTTCCATTTCAAGAACATTTATGCCCTTTTCTTAGAAAATACAAGTTTTTAAACTGAAGTTTTTAAACTGAAACTGCATTTAGGCTCTCTGCCACTTTGTCCTTTTACCCTGAGAAGCTTAACCTCAACCCCAGTAAAATAAGACTCTATTTATCCTTCTCTATTTAAAAGGAGGCCTTTAGTTGACCCTCATTCAGAAACAACTAGTGGCAGAGGTGTTGGTAAAAGTCACCACAGGGCTCCTTTTCACAACCTGATGGGCCAGTTGGGATATCTTGCTGGGCTAGTGACAGTGCTTAAGTCAAAAGGACTGTGCTTCACCCTCTTCTGGCTCTAAGGGGATTGCAGTAAATAAGGGATTTCACAGGGTAGACACCAATTCTTTCACCCTTCCCCACAGATCATGTTTCCACAGACCGCAGGGCCTAGAAGGGCAGACCATTGAGTTGCCCTGTTGACGTGAAGCAGACTGATGCCTCACTGTAATTGTAAGTGGTGAAGGTTTAAGAACAACTTTCATCACAGTCAGGAGGAGAGTAAACTTCAGGATGCAGATCTACCCTGTAATTGCCATTTTTCTAATAGGTAGACTTTAGAACTCTAATGGCAGCTTTCCAAGTTACTTTAGCTGTTTACATTTCAAGCTTAAACATCTAACCTTCAGAAATGGTTATGTTTTATCATTGCAGTAGTAGCTTTTCATGGTCTGTGCAGTTCTATTCAAGTATCTAGTTAATATGATGGTACAGCTAAAGAAAACAGCTTCAGTAGTGGTCAGCCCAGAACTATTGCTGCTCTGATGACAGCAGTGCTTGTGTTTTACAGTATGCCCTGGAGCGCTTAAAGGTCATGTGTGAGGATGCCCTCTGCAGTAACCTGTCCGTGGAGAACGCTGCAGAAATTCTCATCCTGGCCGACCTCCACAGTGCAGATCAGTTGAAAACTCAGGCAGTGGATTTCATCAACTAGTGAGTTGGCATCTTCAAAGTTCTTCTTTCAAAATAGTTGGATAGCTGAAGAAATGAGAAAGGCTTTGAATTAGTGGGTAAAGCAGGCAAGTAGCTTCATTAACCTTTTGGCAGTAAGAATAGAGTTTTCATCTTTTCCTTCAGTTGACCGTATGGAATTGACTTCATGGGTTGAATCCTATTGGTGAGTAAAGTGTTTTACTTCCTCATAGTGAATCGAAGTGATGAAAATAACTTGCTGGCCTGAAAAAGCTGTATGCCCCAAATGATAGTATCTTTACTTCACACTGAGTGACTTAATAAAAGACATGTAGATTTCTAGGAGGATAGACATATGTTTATGAGTTAGTAAAATGTACCTCATGTTTGGTTGTAGAATAAGGAAAAAAGAAGGGATCATCAGTAGCTGGTTTCACTGTTTTGAGAAAGAAATGTTCATTCCACTAGGTCTGTTCCTTCATCTTAAGTGACAAATGACCTGGAAATACTACTTTCTGAAATAATAATATGGAATAATAATAATATGAAATAATAAGAATAATAATATGAAAGATGAGTTGTAACTACAACCCATCTTCTCAGTGGGACATGTTCTACTCCCTTGCCCCATGGAGAGAGCAAAAGCTGGAAAAAACCCAAAGAAGAAAAGCCCTCACAACAGCAGTTCTGGGGCAGGACAGGTCTGAGACATTCCAGGTGGATGAGTGAACAATATTCAACATAGAAAATTCCCAAAGACAGGAAATAACATCCTCTAGGTCTAGTTGTAGAATTATTTTCTAAGGAGTGATCAAGTGAGGCAGAAGAGGGAGGGGAGAGACCCATCAGTGTGAGTTCCTTTGAGTGCTTACTGTGTGCTGGACACTTGCTTGGTGCTTTTGAGATATTAACCATTGAATGAAGTATGGTTATCCTCCCCTCTTTTTTGATAATCAAGTAGGCCCCAGGCTCTGATCTGCCCTGTGGTTAAAGGCTGGTGAGTGGCAAAGCCAGGCAGAAGCTCAGGGCTTCTGGCCGAGGGAGCCCATGCTCCTTTTTATGACTAGCATCACCGGTGAATATAAGGAACATAGGCAGTGTTGGGGGCCTGGGGAACATTCTGCTTTTTGTTTTTGAGAATATAGTGGCTCAAAGTCTTGGTTTTCAGATGACGACAGCCACAGGCAAGTCACCAGTCTGCTCATTGTCTAACAAGCAAATTCTTATGCATATTAAGGGTTCTTCTGTTTCTTGCATTGACACCCTTTATACCTAACAGTGGAAAATTAGGCTATCTAGGTGGCTGTTGAATTCATCCCTTGCTCACTCCCTTTGGTAACCCATTTCTCCACATTTCTCCTAGTCATGCTTCGGATGTCTTGGAGACCTCTGGGTGGAAGTCAATGGTGGTGTCACATCCCCACTTGGTGGCTGAGGCATACCGCTCTCTGGCTTCAGCACAGTGCCCTTTTCTGGGACCCCCACGCAAACGCCTGAAGCAATCCTAAGATCCTGCTTGTTGTAAGACTCCGTTTAATTTCCAGAAGCAGCAGCCACTGTTGCTGCCACTGACCACCAGGTAGACAGCGCAATCTGTGGAGCTTTTACTCTGTTGTGAGGGGAAGAGACTGCATTGTGGCCCCAGACTTTTAAAACAGCACTAAATAACTTGGGGGAAACGGGGGGAGGGAAAATGAAATGAAAACCCTGTTGCTGCGTCACTGTGTTCCCTTTGGCCTGGCTGAGTTTGATACTGTGGGGATTCAGTTTAGGCGCTGGCCCGAGGATATCCCAGCGGTGGTACTTCGGAGACACCTGTCTGCATCTGACTGAGCAGAACAAATCGTCAGGTGCCTGGAGCAAAAAGGAAAAAAAAAAAAGAAAGGACATTGAGTTTTAACAGAAGGGAAAAGGAAAGAAGAAAAGATTTTTGCAGAATTTCTCAAAAATCAGTTTGTGGATTCCAGTAGTATTTATATTGAGAGAAACAAATTTTAGTCCTTCTAACTGTGCTAAAACTTGGATATTTGTGAAAACTCCTTACCACCATACAAGCATCAGAAGAGCTCTCTTGTTGTTAGCACTTATTGTTTGCAAGAACAGAATACATCCTTTTATCCTTTTATGAAAAATGACAAGTGAAGGCAAAAGGGGAAGGTTATTTGATCTGGAAGATGAGTGTTCTGATGTGGTGGCTTTTGCAAAAATCTTTATTGGTGTTGAAAACTGGAAAAAATAACTCATCCAGAATTCATATTGTCTTGACAAGAACTATGGTTCTCTGTTTTTAGATATTGTGGAAAATGTTTTTGGGCATTTTTCTCTGATTTTATTTCTTCTCCCCCACCCCTTTTTCTAAAAAACAAACAAAAAAAAAAACACACAAAACAAAAACAGAACAAAAGAAGAGAGAAGGAAATTTTATCAATTAAAAATGCTGTGTGATAAAATCCCAGCCCAGATTGCTCAGCTGTTTGTACCTGACTTGCCGCCTGCATAGGAGCCAGTTCTGTTCCTTCTGACTAGCCCCTCTTCCTCCAGGGGAGAACTTCCAAATGTTAATTTTTTTTTTTTTGAAAATATAAATAATTACTATTTTGTACTGTGTGGTATCTCTGGTCTTTTGTTTCACTCACCTGCCTTGTCTCTTGGGTCTGAGTCCCTTGCTTAAGGGATTTTGAAGTCCTAGTTTTCAGCTTGCAGAGATTATGTCTGAAATGCCTAATGAGTCGCAGGGATTTGTTGAGACTCCGTAATCTCAAGTTCTCTTTGTGAGCTATCAGCATCTGCCAGTCTCTTGTCCTCCCTGAGTATCTCACAGTCCATATCCTGATGAGGGATCAGGCCCCTACCTCTGCCAAGGCAAGTAATGGTAGTGGGCTTTTAAACTGCCCCCCGTATGTTTTAAGACCTAATCCCCACCTCCCTTCTTCTAACTAAATATAAAAAGATCCAGGGGACATAAATGTGGAGATTAAATAAAGGGAAATTATTGTCTCTAACTGGTTCTGTCATTGACTTGATGTGTTTCCAGAAAAGCTAATACTGGAGCTCACAAGAATGTTCTGGGGCTCCCTGTCTGCCTTTTTTGTGGCTCTGTTAGGACAGTGGGATATATTGAAGAATGCATCAGCTATTTGGCCAGCCTGTGTATTTTTTACCTTTGATGGAACCTCAACCTATTTCTCCTTCTATTTCCCTTCAGTGGACCTTAGACTTTGTACATTTTCCGACTTTTCATTTATCTTACTGCCTCTAGAATGGATAAATATGATCTGTTACTAACATAATCAAAGGCAGGATTAGTTTATTGGAAACCACTCCATTGCAATTCCCGGTTTCCCCTGGGAAGCGTCCCCTGTGTGAGGAAGTACCCAGTTCTGCATGTGCTGGCTGCTGGCTGCTGGCTGCTGTCCTGTGCCTCCTCCATCCTAGCTTTCCAGATCAGCACACAAGTCCAAGAATCCGGGCGAACTCAAAGTCTCCTCTACCCATATCGTCTTAGGTTTTTCCAGCTAAATTTATATACAGTATTTCATCTGAACTTCCCAACAACTTGACGAACTTGGTGGGACAGGTGAGATATGGCATCTTCCCACTGTGTAGATGAGGGAAGCAGAAACCCAGAGAAGGGACATGCCTCAGATCATACAACTATTGAATGCCAGATCTTCTAATGGAGTATCCTGAAGATTACGTAATTAACTGGAGGAAGTTCCATTTCTGAAATGTTTAGGTACAAAACTGAAAGTAAAGCTTCCTTCCTGTGGGAATAGCAAGAACAAAGCTCTGGAAAGGTGCCTCTGCTGGCCTGTTCTTCAGAGGTTCCAGAAGGACAAACCAGGCTTCAGATTTGCTTTCCTCTTCATTCACAGACAGCTGTGGGTTGGGATGCTGGTGAGTTCAGGGACTATGCCCTCAGGAGGACAGCAGTCCTGGCACCTAGCTTCTGTCAGGATGAAGGTCTCTTCTGGGATCTTCAATATTTATGGAATTTCCAACTTGGGCTTTACTGTGGGTACAAAGCTGTTGGGATTTCAGGTACAGGTAAAGCTACTGGATGCTTCTGTCATTATTTCATTCTTTCTGGACATGTTTGTTTTTGTTTTAAATGATACAGTTGAAGCCATCTGGTTATGACAACATCAGAGCCCCAGCATACTGTTCATAAACCTCCCACTGCCACCACCCCCCTCCCTTAGCTCCCCCACATCTGAAATTTAATTCAAGTTAACTCCACAATCTGGGGCATGAGCTGTCACTGCAGAGATGTCCGTGCCAGTGAAGCAGTTGGAGATTTCAATTCCACGAGGATATGGCTTATTTATCAAAACAGTATTTCGGGCAAGTAGTTTCGCAGAACCATTGGAGTTGCAGTTTCAGTTCCACATAGAATATCTGGCATCATCCCCATCTCCCCTTCCCCTGTGTTGTCAGCTTACCCCATATATCCGACCACCTATGGAAAATTTTCCCCATTCCCTATGTAAAGATTAAAGCTCTTTGCATTGTTACTAGGCATCTCAAACACCTTTGTGGGTTTTAACAATTTGGGTAAGAGATGCTCCTCTTTTCTTTTTCACTGTTAAAGCCTTTTAGGTCTTGAAGAGCTTTCTCTTGTATTTTTTTTAATTCCAGCCAGGCACATTGAGATCTTTCTTAGGCCGGAAGATCCCTGGCTTGACCACAGCTCTGCACATTCATCTTTAAATCTGGTGTAAATCTATTGTGGGATCTCCATATTGTATGAGCCTGTGCAGATGAAAGGAAACAGCTTGTATGTTTATGAGCAGAACAACAAACAGAGGGGGAGTTGAGCTGCACTTTGAAACTGACTGTTGCTTTGTTCTTGCTCTTCAACTCCTATAAAAGAACAACTAAATCCCCCCAAAATGACTGTATCAAAGCCTTTGGTTTATCTTTGTCAAAGACAAATTCTGGGCTGGAGCCCAACCTTATTTTCCACAACTAATTATCTTTTTAATCAGCCTGAGCCCTGTATGTTTCCTTTATCTCTTGACTTGTCACTGAACTCTGCCCTACATCATTTAGATTCATTTCTAATGGCTTGCTGACTAATCTAACATTCAGGTGAGTATCGTTGGGCTGCTCTTTATGTACGTGTATGCACAAGGTGAATGCGTTTTCCTTCTTTTAATTTCAGAGGTGACCGCGCCATGTTGGGGCCTTTGACCCAATAGATGGACACCTCATGGAGACAGTGAGCAGGAAAGCAAATGTAGGATGATCAGTATTTGGGATAATGAGTTGGGAGAACCAGAAGCTTTGACCTCCGGATGAGAACAGGAACTTGAATGTTGTTGACTGATGGGATCTTTATGCTGCTGAGCCATTAGCAAGATGATCCCTCCCCCTCTGTAAATCCTATAGTTGCTGGAGTAGAAAGTGGCATCTGGAATACTGTTTGGTCTTGATTTCTGCAGCTCTAGGAAAAAAAGAATTTTAGACTTGAGGGAATTCAGTGCAAGCAACTGAAATGATTAAGGAGTTGAAGGGGATCAACTCCAGGGGAGAAATGTTACGAAGATAAAATATGTGTAACTCTAGTTTGGGGATGTAGCTCCAATACCTGCAGTTTACAGATCTCACAGGAGTTCTAAACATTTGCCAGCTTGTCTTGCACAGCTCCCATTCATTCCAATTGTATAGCTTGGGAAGATAGCTACGTAACTTCCTCAAGGTCACTCAGCCTGACTCTGAGCCAAGAAACAACAGGAGGCAAAGGGAAAGCTTTGGAGCTTAGACCCAAGGACCAAAGAGAAGGTGAAAATCCAGGAGTTTGCCTGGTAGTAAAAGTGGACACATCCACTTATAACGCTCACTTGAAATAGGGAGAGTTGGCTGGGTGCGATGGCTTATGCCTGTAACTAGCACTTTGGGAGGCCGAGGTGGGCGGATCACAAGGTCAGGAGTTTGAGACCAGCCTGCCTAGCATGGTGAAACCCCATCTCTACTAAAAATACAAAAATTAGCTGGGCATGGTGGCATGTGCCTGTAGTCCCAGCTACTCAGGAGGCTAAGGCAGGAGAATCTCTTGAACCCAGGAGGCGGAGGTTGCAGTGAGCCGAGATCACGCCACTGCAGTCCAGCCTGGGTGACAGAGCGAGACTCCATCTCAAAAAAAAAAAAAAAAAAAAAGGCGAGCAGGGGGAGAGTTTTAGCCCTTGCAAGACCCTTAAAGGTGAGTCTCGACAAACTGAAGGAGAAAAAAGAAGGGGTCCCACATGATTCACCTTCTTTTCATGTCTAAGAAAACAGACATCCATGGAAGTGAGGTGGCATGCCCAAGGTCACAGAGATTACATTTCCAGCCACTGAGCAAACAATTGCTGAGCATCTAGGAGGCCCCAGACACTGTGCTAGGCTAAGCCTAGTATGGAAGGTAGGATTTCTGTTCTATTAACTCAGTCTAATGGAGGAGGCAGAAATAAACCAGAGAGCCCGTAGAACTGAGGACTAAAAAGAAGCCATTGAATTTAGCAGTAAGGAGGTCAAGGGTTACCTTCGAGCAGTTTCAGTCAAATGGTGGAGGCAGGAGCCAAGCCTGACAAGGAGGTGAGAAAACATAGATTGAGAATAAGCTCCTCTTTCCAGAAGTTTGAAAGGGAGAGAGGAAGGGGATCTCTCCTACTCTTCAGGATTTGTATCTCAATCTAGTCAACACATTTGTTTTTGTCTAGAAGTAATGGTGTACAGGTTGTCCTATAAACGATGGACACTTTAGTAAGTGGTATTTGTTATGAAAGCCATGTTGTAGAACAACTGTAGCTTTAAGTTGAGAAGAAATTGCCTTCAACCCTTACACAATTTTGAGAAGGATTTCTTAAAGACATGTTTTTATACTTTTTTTTTTTTTCTTTTTTTGAGACGGAGTTTCACTCTTGTTGCCCAGGCTGGATTGCAATGGCGCGATCTCGGTTCACCACAACCTCTGCCTCCTGGGTTCAAGCAATTCTCCTGCCTCAGGCTCCCGAGTAGCTGAGATTACAGGCATGCGCCACCATGCCTGGCTAATTTTGTGTTTTTAGTAGAGACTGGGTTTCTCCATTTTGGTCAGGCTGGTCTTGAACTCCCGACCTCAGGTGATCCGCCTGCCTCAGCCTCCCAAAGTGCTGGGATTACAGGCATGAGCTACCACGCCCAGCTGACATGTTTCTTTACTTTTTAACCTATTCATCTTCCAAGTAAACATTTGCTTCAGACCTTCAAATGTTTTCATGGGCCAGTGGTTTGGTTCTTGGTGTGCTATAAAGGTACACCATTCAGTTCCCAGACATGGAAGCCCGGCTGGCAGCATTGCCAGTTCCCACGGTGTAAACACTGCCACCATGGCTGATTCTGGATCACTAAAATGACATCACTGAAGCAGAGTTGGGAAGAGCAGCACAGCCCACCATAGCTGAGCATGGATAGTAGTAAAATGTAAAATAATTAGAAAGAAATAAGTCTTGGGTACTTATTACCTTTACTAATTGTATGTTAGTATAATTGAATTTTTAATAATGGCTGTTTAGCAACCAGCTCTCAAATTCCTGAAAATTTAATGATTATCTCTAGAGATCCAGTGTGAACCAGCTCCAGCACACCACTGGACATTTGTGTGCCTCATCTCCTGTTACCCATAGCATTTTTTAAAATTATTATTATTATTATTATTTTAGACAGAGTCTCGCTGTGTCACCAGGCCGGAGTGCAGTGGCACGATCGTGGCTCACTTCGGACTTCTCCCAGGTTCAAGCGATTCTCCTGCCTCAGCCTCCCCAGTAGCTGGACTACAGGTGTGCGCCACCACACCCGGCTAATTTTTATGTTTTTGGTAGAGACGGGGTTTCGCCATGTTGGCCAGACTCTTCTCCAACTCCTGACCTCAAGTGATCCACCCGCCTTGGCCTTCCCAAGTGCTGGGATTACAGATGTGAGCCACCATGCCTGGCCACCCATAGCATTTTAAAAATGCATTTATGGACTGGGCGCAGTGACTCATGCCTGTAATCCCAGCACTTGGGGAGGCTGAGGCAGGAGGATTGCTTGAGCTCAGGAGTTCAAGGCCAGCCTAGGGAACATAATGAAACCTTGTCTCTACAAAAAAAAAAAAAATTTAAATTAGCTGGGCACAGTGGCATATGCTTGTAGTCCCAGCTACTTGGGAGGCTGAAGTGGGAGGATCGCTTGAGCCGAGGAGTTTGAGGTTGCAGTGAGCCATGAGCACCACTGCGCTCCAGCCTGGGTGACAGAGTGAGACCCTGTCTCAGGAAACAAAAATAATACATTTATGTAGTTTAAAAGCAAAATGAAATACTGCCTTTTCAGAAATCGAAAGATACATTGACACTGATACCTGTTGTATTATATATTTTACTCTCTGGTTAAATTAACACATTTTAAAATTTCTATATCTTATCAGTATTGGAAGTGTGTAATTTTTTTTTTTTTTTTTGATTCAGAGTCTCACACTGTCACCCAGGCTGGAGTGCAGTGGCGTGATTTCAGCTCATCGCAACTTCTGCCTGCTGGGTTTGAGCAATTCTCCTGCCTCAGCCTCCTGAGTAGCTGAGACTACAGGCATGCACCACCATGCCTGGCTAATTTTTTGTATTTTTAGTAGACCTGGGGTTTCACCATGCTGGCCAGGCTGGTCTCGAACTCCTGACCTCATGATCTGCCCGCCTCAGCCTCCCAAAGTGCTGGGATTACAGGCGTGAGCCACCGCACCCAGCCAGAAGTGTGTATTTTATTGAAACACTAATGAAAAGTAGACATTGTGACTGACATGTTATCCAACATAATCTTCAGTGATTCCATGGAGTTTTCTCCGTAGTTGCATCCTTTCTGCCCCATTATCTCTGAACAACAGTTTTTCATTTTAAAAGAAGAAAAGGGCATTTGAGAGTGGTCAGCACGCCTGCCAACAGGTGATCCCGAGGGTCTTCTCCCACCAATATTTAAGAATCTCTGCCTTGGTTTGGCCAAGAGTTTTTACAGCTCTTTTTGTTTTCTTTGCTAATAGTTCATTTATACATTCCATTTACTATGTGCCAAGGACTGTTCTAGTTTCTAGGGATACAACAGTGAGTAAAACTAACTGCTCCCTGTAGTCATTGGAGTCTAATGGGACGAGATTATCCTTAATAATCCCACAAATAATGTCAAAGCATGGTAAGCACCCTGAAGGAAATGTGTAGGGTACTGTGAGATCCTCTGCGTGGAACTATCTTGTCTGGGGAATCCAGAAAGGCCTTTCTAAGAAATCAGCTCTTGAAGTGAGAACTGAAGGATGAGGAGCTGTCAGCTTGGTACTTGGGAAGGCACATTCCACACACAGAAATTGCATTCATAAAACCCTGAGGCAGGAGGGAGCTTAGTGTGTTGTTCCAGGAGCCTAGGGCAGGCCAGGTGGCTAGAGTGTGGAGAGGTGTGAGAGCAAGTTGGAAGCCGTGGCAGAACCTTCGTAGGTCACATTAGGATTTAGATACTTAAACTAGAGCGATGGGAAAGCCATGGAGGAGCTTTAGGCAGCAGGGGATGACAAGATCTGCATTTTAATAAGATCTCTGGCTAGAGTATGGAAAAATTAGCATTGGGGTTGGGGGTGGAAGAAGGGAAGAGATGACAGAACTTGAAGTAGGAAGGTGGCGCAGCTGGAGAAGAGTACATCTATATGAGAGGGATTTTAGGAAGCAAATTTGGCAGAACTTGATGAATTGGACAGAGTAAGGATGAAGAGGTTTCCGGCTTGTGTGAATAGATGGATTCACCGAAGTGAGACCAATGGGAAGATAAACAGGCTTGAGGGCAATCAGGTCATTGATTTTATTTTACTTGTTGACTATGAGATGCCTTGAGAAATCCAAATGGAGGTATCACATGGGCTGTTGAGTTGATAAGCCTAGAGCTCAGAAGAGAGGTTGGGACTGGAGAGATGGTTCTGGGAGATATAGTTTTAGGGGTGCCATTGAAATCCTGGGGTGTTAGATCACTGAGGAGGAGTGTAGAGTGAGGAGAAAGGGGGCCCAGGACTGAACTTTATGGAATTCTTATACTTAAAGCCTAGTACAGGAAGATACGCCACAAAGGAGAAGTGGCCAGAGATCTATATGAAGGAAATACAAAGTTAAGTGAACCAGATTTAAAAGAATTTTTTAAAAAACTGTTGAATAAGAGAGTAAAAGATGCCCACTGGAGTTAACAACATGGAAGTCATTGGTGACCTTAGCCAATGCCGTTTCAGGGAAGGGACCCTGATGGGGGAAGGTGAGGAACTGGAGACAGGCAAGCCTTTGAAGCATGGCTGTGAAGGGAAGGACAAAGGACAATAATTGGAGGAGGAAAAAGCGTTGAGGGGAGTGTTTTGGTTTTGTCTGTAGAATGAAGGAGACGTAACATGTTTAAAGCTGATGGGAAAGATCCAGTAGAGAGGAAGCAGTCGAAACTCCAGGATCCGGTACAGCGGGGACAGTCTATGCCTTCAGGTTCTAAGAGTGCTGGAGAAGGAACAGATAAGTGGGCTTAGGCAGGGATGAATCCTCTCTCTAGATGTGAGGAGAGTCCTGCAGAAATAAGTGGGTTTGTCTGATACTGGGAGGTTGAGCAAGTTTGTCGTATGTTTTTCAGATTTAAGTGGAAATAAGGTCAGTGGCTGAGAACTGGGAAAGGGTGGGGTTTGGAGACATGATCTGAACTAGCTGTTGAAGAAGAGCTGGTAAGAGTGCAGGCTGCACCAAGGGCCCAGCCGCGGCAGGTGTTTGGAGAGCACACACCTGGAGTCTAGGAGTCTGGCTTCCATCTCCTGCCACCACTCGTGATCCTGGCCTTAGTTTCCTCATCTGTAAAATGGGTATATCTCATAGACTTCTTGTGGGGAATTAATGAAAATATACATGTCACATCTTCATCATGGTGCCTAGCATTGAATAAAGGCCTCAGAAAGGTAAACTGCTACTAAGATTATAGCTATTGCTATATTATTGTTTCTGAACTAAGCCATATATGGCCTTCTGAGACCAGTTCCTGTAAGGATTTCTTAGATTGGAATAAAAATCTGTAATGAGACACTAAAATGGGCACCTTTGGGAGTGTGGGAATCTTCTGAGTAGGATTCACTCTGGAAAAAGCATCCTGAGTAGACGAGCTGGCCTGGCGTCCTGCAAGTTTCCAGGTATCTTACCTGTTGTGATATGGAAGAGGGAGAGTCCGCAGAGGTCCCAGGAAAGAGCCTGTGTCAAATCTTTCACTCACCTGGAAATCACTCTTTCCTTCTTCATTTATGATCATCACTGTCATCATTGTTACAGTCTCCAAAAGTTAGGAGATTAGGCATTCCAGAGAGGAAGCTCAGAGGCATGGCAGAGGCAGTTTGGCTTGTAGGTATGAAAATAAGAGTTGGGGGCTGGGCACGGTGGCTCTTGCCTGTAATCCCAGCACTTTGGGAGGCCAGGGTGGGCGGATCACCTGAGGTCGGGAGTTCACGACCAGCCTGACCAACATGGTGAAACCCCGTCTCTACTAAAAATACAAAATTAGCCGGGCGTGGTGGCGCGTGCCTGTAATCCCAGCTACTGGGGAGGCTGAGGCAGGAGAATCGCTTGAACCCGGGAGGTGGAAGTTGCAGTGAGCCAAGATTGCACCATTGCACTCCAGCCTGTGCAATAAGAGCGAAACTCCGTCTCAAAAAAATAAGATAAGAGTTGGGGCTGGGCATGGTGGCGCAAGCCTGTGGTCCTAGCTACTCTGGAGGCTAAGTCGAGCGGATCCCTTGTCCAGGAGTTTGAGACTAGATTGGGAAACATAGTGAGACCCTGTCTCTAAAAAAATTTTTTTAATAAAAAAAAACAAAAAACACAAGGGTTGAGGAGAGGAAGGCACTTGGGACCCAGGAGTCCTGTGTCTTGGGCTGTTGCTGCCTTCTGAGTGGCTGGGGAAAGATGGATGCAAACCTGCTAAATCGAGCCCATCTTCCCTACACTATCTTATTTAGCTTCTCTTCTTTTTTCTTTTTTTGCCCCCATTCTTCTCTTCTGGAACATAGAAGCTTCCATTTATTTCTCCCCTATTTTCGTAGACATTTATCTCCCCATCTCTAGTCCTGCTCACTAGAGTGACATCTTGAGCCTGATCCTGCCACATTTAGAGAAAAAACAAAACCTGCCTACAATGAGCCCTCCAGTTCTGATCTCTGCTGAGATGTGGCAGATGGCAGAGCCTGACTGAGTGGCAGCAGGCCCCCTCCTCTCCCAGGCCTGGGAGCTGCCAAGACTGGGAAATGGGGGCATTATATACCTTTCCACACTCATGCCCCGTCTACCCTCTATTTACCCAAGCCAGCGTGGCATGGCAGAATGTAGCTGCCTCCTCACCTCTGTCTTTTCCCTTCTCTTTCTCCCTGTCCCTGTGAAAGATTCCCACAATAGAAACTGTATTGAGTTCATCTGTGAGTCAACCAGATTTACTAGCCAGGCCCTGTGTGTACCCGAGGCACTTGGCCCTTCTCAAAGTATGGAAGGAAAGGGTCACAAAAGGCCCTGTCCTCAGGGGACTCACTATGTGGCAGAACAGACATGGTCCTCACCCTCAAGGATACAGTCCAAGACAGGGACATGTTTCACACACGCATTCACAGGGGGTACCAGCAAGGGATCATGGGGCCATCCAAGCCTAGAGAAACTGATCTGCCAGGCGAAGGTGATGAGGCTGGGTGAGGAGAGAGGGAGGGCACTGGGTTATCGGTACATGGTTGGGGGACAGGGCACTGGGGCCAGGACTCAGGGCAAGGTAAGGCAGGAGGGTCCCCTTGCCTGGAGAGTGTGCCTGTTGGACAGCTCTCTGGGTCCCTAAATAAAAATCCTTTAGTTGCCTGCATTCTCTGAGCCTCGTTTGTTTACAGGTAGAGGTCCAGAGGGTGGTACACAGATGAAACCACTCAGTGCACTGGAAGGGCTGGTGCTTGCACAAGTGAGATGCTGGGCCAAGGAACAGAGGGAATGCAACCGAGTGCCCCATTTTTGGGCCAGAATCAAGGAAAACAAAAGTAGATTCCTTTTTATGTGTCATCTTTTGTAGACATGACAGACTTCTGACCTTCCCTAGTTTTTTTCCTGCACATTCTTCCTAACCCAGTGACTTCTTCCCATTATGCCAGGCTTCCTCGCCCCAGATCCCCTTCATGGCTTGGCAAAGAAAGCCCTACTCGGTCCTAGGGAGCCTGGACTCCCCTCACTTTGGGGTGAAGGCAAAGCTGTGCCCAGCTAGGATATGCAGCAAGGAATGATAGAGCCCATGGCCACTCTTCTCCCTACCTCCCACCCAGGCTTGGCAGGAGCAGGACAGGCATCATGAGCTGTCATTGGGCCGCTGGTCTTGAGCACCGCCCCTGTGCCAAACACAGCTCCAACTCACAACAGCCCTCTGCGAGGAGCAAGCATCCCCACTTTACAGATGCGGAAATTGAAATGCAAAGATGATCAGTAACTTGCCCAAGGTCTACAGTTACGAGGTGGCAGGGCACGAATTTGAATCCACGCAACCTGGCTTCAGAATCTGTGCACTCAGCTGTTGTGCCACATAGCCTGCCCTGAAAAGAAAGAGAAACCCAGCCCTCTCCCCATTCCTGTGGATGCCTGTGAGCACTAGCGGCTGGGGCCGACAGTGATGTGGGGCTCACCATCCACTGGGCCAGTTTGGCCCTCACAGGGACCATGTGAGCAGGTGGGGGAAGAATTGCCATCCAAGGCCCAGAGAGGCAAGGTGGGTAGATGATCACATGCCAATGAAGACTCAGACACAGCTGTCTTCAAACATATCCCAGCTTGGCACACCTTTGCCTTCACCCCAAAGTGAGGGGAGTCCAGGCTCCCTAGGACCAAGTAGGGCTTTCTTTGCCAAGCCATGAAGGGGATCTGGGGCGAGGAAGCCTGGCATAATGGGAAAAAGTCACTTGGTTAGGAGCCAGAAGCCTTGGCTCTCTTCTGACTAAGAGATTCAGGGTGAGACCTGCCCCTCACTGCGCCCCAGGAGCCAACCTGGGTCTCTGAAAGCCTTTCTAGAGAAGACAACATACAATATCAGGGACAGGTGAGAGGAGGGGTGTGTCAGCACTGGCTGGCATGCCACCATCCTTTCCCACTTTCACCCTTCCTGCCACACCTGCTCTTCCGGCCAGGAGGACCTGGGAATTTGGGGTGCCTACCGTGCAGCAGTCTGTCTTCCTGTTGCCACTTCCTCTCCCACATTAGTGGGCTGAGGCTGTGATCATGCATCAGCAGCAGGCCAGTGAGGCACAGCAGGGATGACCTCTCATGCAGAGTTGGATGAGCCGCAGCACCTGCATGCAGGTAGCTTATCAGCCGCACCTCTGTAGGGAGTGCCACTCTGCCTCTGGCGAGTTTTTTTTTTTGTTTTTTTGTTTTTTTTTTTGAGACAGAATCTTGCTCTGTTGCCCAGGCTGGAGTACAGTGGTGTGATCTCGGCTCACTGCGACCTCCGCCTCCCGGGTTCAAGCGATTCTCCTGCCTCAGCCTCCCGAGTAGCTGGGACTATAGTCACTCACCACGATGCCCAGCTAATTTTTGTATTTTTTGTAGAGGTGGGGTTTCACCATATTGGCCAGGCTGGTCTCGAACTCCTGACCTTGTGATCTGCCCGCCTCGGCCTCCCAAAGTGCTGGGATTATAGGCGTGAGCCACCGCACCCGGCCTCTGGTGAGTCTTGAGGGGCACACAGCCCCTGCCCTTAGGGAGTCTCTGGTCCGAAGGGGAAGGCCACTCCTGTTCCCCGTCTCTAGTCTAGAGGGGACATCCACATTTCCTGCTCAGAGAGTCTGCAGGTTGGCACTGCAGACACTACTTCAGACAACCTGAGTCCAGGGGTAGCAACAGGCTTTTCAGAGGCTGTGAATGGTAGGGACAGCAGGGGAAGTGAGATGAGGGTAACTGAAGCAGGATTCTGGAGGAGAGAGGAAGAGGATGGGTGGGTGGGAGCACAGAGGGCTTGGTACTGGAGGGCTTGTTCAATAAAGCATGTAGATAGCCTCCTTGGCTTTAGCTTTGGAAGAATCTTTGAGGTGTGGAATGGTGTGGAATGGTGGGGCCTGGTGGTTTTAGCTCTTCCCTCTTGAGTTTCTCCTTCCTTTTGGGATTTGTTGGTTCAATTCCAGCTGCTGATATCACACTGACTCCAGTAGAACATTTCTCTTGCTTTAAGACTATGGCTCAGGTGTGAATCAAAGCCGTTTCACCTGGATCTCCTGGGCCAGGGAAGACCAGCCGGAACTTTCAGAGGCTTTGTTAATTAAGCAATTGTTGAAGGACTCAGTACTAAGGGAGAACTGAGGGCGTATTAACACATGATATCCCCCAAACAGCCCAGCTTACAGGTCTGGGTTTCTGAGTCTGCCTTTGCCAAGGCCTAGCAGGCTCTGGCCTGGGCTGGGCTCCTTCTTTCTGCCTCTATCAGGAGAAGCCAGTTGAGGCTCAAGACCACGAGAAGAGACCAGGTGTGGTGGCTCACGCCTGTAATCCCAACACTTTGAGAGGCTGAGGTGGGCGGATCACCTGAGGTCAGGAGTTCACGACCAGCCTGGCCAACATGGTAAAACCCTATCTCTACTGAAAATACAAAAATGAGCCAGGCATGGTGGTTCACACCTGTAATCCCAGCTACTTGGGAGGCTGACGCATGAGAATTGCTTGAACCCAGGAGATGGAGATTTCATTAAGCCAAGATCATGCCACTGCACTCCAGCCTGGGCGACAGACAGAGTGAGACTCTGTTTTGAAAAAAAAAAACCACCACCAACAAAAAAAATGAGCAGTCCTTATAAGTCCCCAAGAAACCATGTGGCCCCTCTGCAGCCCACTCAGGTTACTCCCTTTCATCGCCCCTCCCCAAGTAGATGACATCTTGAAGAAAGACCCTGTTCACAAGGGCACGAATTTCCTTTGGTGGTTGCAGAGGTAACTGCTGCTTCTTAAGCCAGCCCATTCAGGAGAAATTAGAGCCATGCCTGCTCCTACCCGGAGTGTCCTGCAGGGGCAGGGTCTTGGGAGTGCTCAGACCTGACCAGAACAGGCTGTACTGGTCTCAGTGTCAGCACAAAACCAGCACTGACAGCTTCAGGCCAAGAGCCTGGTACTCTGCTCCCAAGGGCCTGGTTCATGCACTCCCCTGCTTGGCTGTACCCTATAAACCAACCAGAAGCCTGGACCACACTGGCTGTTCCATGCCCACTGGGGTGAGAGAAACACCTTGCATCCCTGGGTTCCCTCAGTGCTAAAAGGGCAGCCACTACTCTGCCCTGTGGATGGTGCCCCTCCCATCACAGGGCCCTTTTAAGGCATTGGACTTCCAAAGCAGTGTTGTTGCAGGTAATTAAAGGGTTTTAATTAAATTAGGATCCCATCTGGCTGGGATCATTCAGGCCCTTAATGAGGATTGTGTGTCACCAACAGCAGAATGTAGATGGGACTCAGAGGTGTCAGGGACGAATTTGGGGACTAAGGCCTTTCAGGGCTAGAGAATCCTCCTGAGCCCTTCCAGGGCTCCCAACAATACGGTAGCAACTTGTTTGCTACTCCCCTCAAAATAGAGGCTGTGTGCCTTGAGACAGGGAGGAGGACCAGAGCCTTCCATGTTTATTCTTGCCCGTGAGTCTATAAAACCTCTCTGGTGTGTGCCAAGATGTAAGCATTATCTCAGTTCCACAGATGAGGAAACTGAGGCCATGTAAGTAAAGTGCCCAAATACATCCACTGACTTAGGAGGAGCTAGAATTAACTGCAAGAAAGGGAAACCCAAAGCATAGTGACTTAAATAAGATAGAACTGGCTGGGCACGGTGGCTCACGCCTGTAATCCCAGCACTTTGGGAGGCCGAGACGGGTGTATCACGAAGTCGGGAGATTGAGACCATCCTGGCTAACATGGTGAAACCCCGTCTCTACTAAAAATACAAAAAAAATTAGCCAGGCGTGGTAGCAGGCGCCTGTAGTCCCAGCTACTCGGGAGGTTGAGGAAGGAGAATGGCGTGAACCCGGGAGGCGGAGCTTGCAGTGAGCCAAGATCACGCCACTGCACTCCAGCCTGGGCGATAGAGCGAGACTCCGTTTCAAAAAAAAAAAAAAATTGTTTTTGATTTTTCTCTTACATAAAAGTCTGAAGGCAGGCAGCCTAGGGCTGGTATGGTATTTCTTTTTTTTTAATTGAGACAGAGTCTCACTCTTCTGCCCAGGCTGGAGTGCAGTGGTGCAATCTTAGCTCACTGCAACCCCTCCCTGGCCCCCTGGCCCCCCGACCCCCCACTCCCCCACCCCTCACTCCCCCACATCCCCATCCCCCCTCTCCCGTTCAAGCGATTCTCCTGCCTCAGCGTCCCCAGTAGATGGGATTACAGGCGCCTGCCACCACACCTGGCTAATTGTACTTTTAGTAGAGACGAGGTTTCGCCATGTTGGGCAGGCTGATCTAGAACTCCTGACCTCAGGTGATCCACCTGCCTCGGCCTCCCAAAAGTGCTAGGATTACAGGCATGAACCACCACGCCTGGCCCTGGTATGGTATTTCTATTCCACAACATTCCCAGGGACCAAGACTTCTTCCAACTCACTGCTCTGCCACCTCTAGGGTGTGGCTCTTACCGCCGGTCTAAGATGGCAGCAGTCTCGTACCTATTCCAGGCTGCAGGATAGAGGGTGGAACAAAGGGACGAAGAGTGCACATCAGCTGTCTGACAATTTCTGGAAGGTGCCACCTAAACCTTTGGCTTAAATGTCACTGGCCAGATCTTAGTCACATGACTACATCTAGGGAGGCTGAGAAATGCAGTAGTTATTTCAGGCAGCCACATGCCCAGCTAAAATCAGAGAATCCCATTACTATGGAGAAAGGGAAAATGGGTATTATGGGACAATTAGAAATCTTTGCCACATGCATGATGGGGTGGAACCAGGATAGGAACCTAGGTCTCCTACCTCCAGCCTGGGACCCTTTCCCCTGTCCACACCAGGAGCAAGGCCAAGGTTAACAACAACCCATCTTAGAAAAAAAAAGACAGGAGGAAGTAACATTTATTGAGCAACTCATTTAATTTTCCTAACAATACGCCAAGGTAAGCAAAGCCCTAGTTTTTTATCTAAGGAGGCTCTGGGAAATTATGTCATTTGTCCAAAGCCACACGTCTAATAAATTACAGACCCAGGATGAGGACCCAGCTATATCTTCCTGCAACACCTGTGTTGCCAGTTTATTGGCAGCCTCTGCAGTTCAGGAGGACCTAGCTTGTCCCTTGGGACCACCTGACCAGGTGGCCTGGGATGAGGAACTGGGAGGCCTTGAACTAGGCATCCTTCACTTGAATTATCAGGTCAGCCTTTGAGCCTGGGAGACCAACAGGAGACAGGGGCCCTATGGAATCACAACCCAGGTGAGTGCCAGGTCTCTGCTGGCATTTGTGCCTTGGTGATGGTGCCAGCTGCCACTCCAAGACTTTGGCATAATTGGCAGGTGCCGCCCCCACCCCATCTTGCCTCTGCCTGGCGGGGCTAATGGTGCCTCTCCTTACCCATCACCCCAGCCCCCGGTTCTCCTGGCAGTACCACAGGACTCGGAATCTTTGGAAGTAACATTTCTGTCTCCCACTCCCAGCGATGACACTGGATCACTTCCCAACACAGAGCAACTGTTTCATTGTGTCTCTACAATCCCTCCTGCACATACTCACTCGATGATCCCAGCACCTGGTCACCCCTCCCTGCCCTTCAGCTGCCTCCGTCCCCATAAACACTCCCCCAGGATCCCTGCCACCCACCCACCAGGTGCATCTCGAGCAATGGGCCTCGCCACCTGAATCTGCCACAATGCAAGGTCACCAGCATTCCTGCCAAGGATGGGGAACAGGGTGACTCAGTTCCCGCTTGCTCATCCCAGGAAAGGGAAGGGGGGAAGGGGGGGAAGGGACCTAGATATTCATTTGCTTTTGCCTTAAGCTTCATCGAGAAGGAGACTCGGGCATTGCTACCAGTTGACCTAACGGGTAATCCCCCTTATTAGCTTCACAGAGTGCTAGGAGATTCACCCTACTTGAGAAAGGAATGCTGAGACCCAGACAGCGCCTTTGAGCAAAGCTGAAGGGCAGAGGCAGCCTCCAGGTGCTCTGATGCCTAGGAAAAGGCAAGCTGTCCCCCTCCCATCCATAGCACAGTTCTTGCCCTCAGGGAGACTCCAGTCTGATGAGGGGAGGCATAGCTTCTGCCCTCAGGGACCCCCAGTCTAAGGGGCCATCCAGCCCCTGACATCAGGGTGTCCTCAGTCTGATGAGGGAGGCATGGCCCCCGGCCCTAGGTGTTCCCCAGCCTGATGGGGAGATCCAAGCTGTGTCCTTAAAGAACCCCCAGCCTGGTAAACTTGTCCCAGAGGCTCCACTGATGGAGGAGACAAGGCCCCCGGCAGCCCCCAGCTGGGCTGAGGGGTTAGGGTGGAGGACCACGGGACCGCTAAACGGTCTGAGGGCATTTCAGACTGCCTTGAAGGGCAGTGGATGGGGAAGGTCAACGGGTTGGAGTGTGAGTAGGACCTGGCCCTTTGGGGTCTGGGCAGAGTGGGGACAGGTTTCTTCAGAGGAATCTCCTGTGAGTGTGTGCATGGCAAGAGTGGGAGGCCAGCGCACTTCGTCGTGATGGTGGGGGGGCATCACCATGGGGACACTGCTCGCCAATGGGGCAGAGGTGACGTCTTCTTAGCCAGAGGAAGTTGGATGGACCCCTTGCCCTTGTGAGGACCAAGCGGGCACAGAAGTATCTGGCAAGAACAGTAGGGACCAGAGGGCTATTCCAAAGAATTAAGGTTTGGGAGGAAATCTGTTAGCGAAGTCCTAGCTGAGGAGAGCAGCCAGGCTACTGGGGAAGGTGGAAAGGAGGGATGAGGCGGCAGTGTGCATGAGGGTGAAATGAAGTTATTAAAATGAATCCATCCCTGGTGCAGGCAGAACTGTGTGCCAGGAAGGCCGGGCCCTCCAGCTGTCGCCAGCATCTGGCTCTCCACAGGAGGAGAGGAGCAGGAGGGGGGTCAAAGTGCCCCCAGTGCCTGCTGAGAGTTCAGCCAGGGGAGGTGGGGAGGGCGCCCAGGGCCTCTGGCCCCATTGCTTCCTCCTCCTTCCTGCAGTCTCCACAGCACTGTGGGAGGCTGAACGGCACACGGTGGGTGTCCATTGGTGGGCTGCTCCAGTGCCAGCAGTCTCAAGCCTCCAGGGTGGGGAGCGGAGGGTGGTCTGGAGGAGGGGTGTGTGTCTCACATCTCCACTCAGGAGAGACGGCCCCTGGAAGCATGATGTGGGGGAAACAAGCTGGGTCATTTCCTACAAGGTGGGCTGTAACCAGATGGCTTCTCAGCCCCACCCAACTCTGCGCTGCAGTATGAGGGGACCAGTTTGCGCGGAGCGCTGGTGGGCAGGGGCGAAAGGTGGGGGGTGGCAAGCCCATCTTACCTTACTGCCAGGACTCTCCTCTCCTCAAGAGGGCCCAAAGGGCCCTGAGTGCTGCCCTCCCAAGAGAGCCGACTTAGAATGACCTCCAGAAGGCACTGTGACCTTGGTAGTGTCTTCCCTTCACAGAGTCCCAAAGGGCCCAACTAACTCCCAGACAAGGTGCCACTGGCAGCTGGCCATTCTGAGGCCTCTTACTAGCTGCAGGAGGGGAGTGACTGACGCAGGCCCTGTGTCCACACCCCACTCCAGCCTGTTCCTTCACTGGCATGTGGTCAGATTGAAAATCCAATACAATAGCCCCGATTCTCTGAAAGGCCCCTTCCCCAGGAGAAGCAGATGGAAATTACAGCTGGGAAATCACATCCGAGGTGTCTCCCCCTCCTGCGGAGCCATAGCCAGAGATGAACTTCAAGGTCCTTTGAGTGGGTCTCCCAGCATGGGCCCTGGAGCAGCAGCATCAGCATAGACCTGGGCACTCGTTAGAAATTCTAATTCTTAGGCCCCACCCAGGCCTGCTGAATTAGAAATGTGGGTAGGACCCAGAAATCTGTGTGTTAACAAACCCTCTGGGTGATCCGCGTTTGAGAACCCCTGGTCTGGGCAAGCCCTTCATGTCATAGAGGAAGAAACAAAGAAAGAAAGCCAGAGAGGAGAATGGACATGGCCAAGGCCACGCAGCAAAATGACGGGGCTAGGACCCTGCTGGGTCTGCAGATGGCAGTTCAGGGAGGACACCAAGGAACACCCTCATTGGCCCATTCTACCTGCTAGCTCTCCCTCCCTGAGCTGTTCTTGAAGATGCTACGCCCTCCTCCAGCACCGAGCCCAGGGTGTTTGCTCAAGTTTCCTCGTGGGGGATCAGACAGCTTGGAACCGGGGCTGGAGAGGGAAGCCCTGAGCCCTCAGCAAACATCAGCGCCAAGGGCGGTTGGATCCCTGCCACTTGGGTCTCAAGCAAATGTCCTGCGGCCATCAGAGAAATTCTTCCTGGACCAAGGGATGCCTGAGGCCCTTTCCTTGGACAACTCTGACTCCAGTGCCCCGGGGCAAGCTTTATTTCCTGCTCCAAGAACACGATTCTTCACACAAAAGTCAGCAATCAGCGGTTTCACAAGACTTCCCTCCCCTCCCCCCACCCACAGACAGACACACAGAACAGATCCAGCACATGCTCTGCGGCCCGGCCCCGCCCCACCCGTGCCCGCTGCTGAGAGGGCGGCGCCATCCAGATCCGGGAGAACCCCGGTCTGACAGGTGAGGCTGACTGTTGAGGGACCCCTCTCCGGGACATGGATGCTCCCAGAGGAGCCAGCAGGGGTTGGGGTGGAAGAGGGACACACAGCACGCGGATGGGCTGTGGCCTTAGTGTGGGAGGACCACAATCGTCCTGTCTTAGCTTAAGGATGGGTGTGCCATCAGCAATGGGTGGTACAGGGGGAGTACTGGCAGAAGAGGGAATTTTGGAAAGGGGTGGCCTGGCTGGAGACAGATGGTCAATCTGTCAAGACATCAAAGACCCCAGGGTTGCCACTTCAGCCTCATGCCATGCTCAGCACACGACAAGGGGCTGAGGGCGCCCACTAGGCAGGGCTGGAGAGCTCCTCTGGCCCCACCCCACCCTGCTGACTGGCTCCTAGGAAGCCCTCTCAGCCATCCATCCTAAGTTGACAGGCTGTCCACACTGATGAAATCTCCCCCTCCCTGTTGCTATCTTTCCTCAGGATGGCAAGAACCAAGGGCTTAGCTTCCTCCCATGACTTGATCTGGGGCCACACTGATCGGCCTGCCCACAGGCCTCGGGGACCCAGCATCTCTCTGTGGCTCCGTGGCAAAGCCCTGTGAGGCTGCACAGAGAGCCCACTCCTCCTCCAGTGCTCCTGTGATCTAGTCACTCCACAGCTTCAGGTTGGGACCAGCACTTGGGACCCTTTCTCTGCCACTTGAGACTTGGCCCTGGCCCCACTTGGCATCTCCTCGTCTCCACCCCCCTCCCTGCCTGAGGCCCAACCCCTTCCCTGCCCGGTGTCCAGATGGTCTCCTGCATGGGCAGGCCTGTCCTTCCAGCCCTGGCCTGGCCTCTGTGGCCTGCCCCGGGTCACCCAGATGGGTAGTAGGGGGTATCACTATGGTAGTTGTAATCTGGGCACACCTTCTGGACCAGCCGATAGTCCGTGCTGTAGAAGGCGATGTAGACACAGACGACTTTGAAGGGCTGGGAGCAGCTCCAGGTGGCTGAGCTCTGAGCGTGGTCTCGGGAGCAGATCTTGGCTGGGTCGTGGGTGCAAAGCGAGGTCCGGCGGCCCCGTTCTACCTTCTCCCACTCCATCCGGCAGTTGAAGATTTTGGAGGCCTTGGCTTCGATGAAGATCTGCTGTTCCTGGTGGAACTCTACAGCTTTACTGGGGGGCACGAGGCTGATGGAGATGTTTCCCTGGCCTGTGGCATTGTGTTGGAAGTGGACGCTGAAGGTCCCATTGCCATGGTCCACAATCTTCCCTGTGACGAGCAGGTTCAGGGCCACCGTCTTGATGTTGGAGTAGAAGTCGCCCCAGCCAAAGATTTTCTTCACCTTGGCTGAGGGTGGGGGGCTGTGGTTCGGGCGGTTGGGGGGCTGCCCAAGAATGCCCCAAGCCTCCCCAGGCGGGGCCAGCAGCCCTAGGAGAGTGGAATTGGCCATGGGGCGGGACTTAGGTGAGATGTGGCCCCGCTTCCGAGGCACCCGGGGCCGGGGCTGGCCCTCGTGGTCATCACGCTCAGGGTCCTCTGAGCCGGGAGGACCATCATCCTGGCCACAGATGACCTATGGAGGGAGTTGTGAGTACAGTGAGAGCCCTGTCCCTGGAGGTCCACCACCCCCGCTACCAGCAGTACCCCTGTCCCTGCCACTTCACTCTGACCTGGGTGAGGAGCTCCTGCGTCTTGCCCACTGAAGCTGGGGGGCAAGTGTACACTCTAGCTTGTGTACATCTCAGGTTCTGACAGTTGGGTCACCCCCCCCCCCATTGTCCTTTCCTCACTGTCTTGGCCACTATTCAAATTCAAAGTCTCAAAGACCGACAATAATTCTCTCCAGTGAACTGTGGCACCAGGGACAACGGCTCCTACCCCTAGGGAGTCCCCAGTCTGATGGGGGAAGCCCAGCTTCTGATCTTGGGGAGCCCCCATCTAATTGCAGAAGCATCATCCCTGTGCTGACAGAGCCCCCAATTTGATAGGAAGTAGAATCCCTGCCTCTGTGAAATCCCCAGGCTGATGGGGGAGGCATAATCTCTGCTCTGAAACAGCCCCGAGTCAGACAGGGAAGCACCATTCTTATCCTGGGAGAGCCCCTGGTTTGACAGGAGAGGCCAGCCCCTGCCTTTTGGGACTTCCTAGTCTGTTGGGTAAGACACCGTCCCTACCCTAGGATAATTTCTACCCTTAGATGCAAAGAGAACCACCAGACAATGGAATAAGAAAGCAGAACACAGTGTAATTCTCAAGCACGAATATAGTTTAGGTTTGGCAAGAGAACTAGGGGAGACCCGGAGTGAATGCCACACCCAGGATGGCCATGGGAATGGAAAGCCAAACACCTCTCCAGGGTACACTGATGATGACATGCCACGATGTTACTTGCATTCTGAGGTAGGAGTTCTTATTCCCATTTCACAGATAAGGACACTGGGGCTCAGAGATTACAACACTACAAGGCTGAGTTCACATAGGGTCAGCCCTTCCTTTACACTCCACACTCCTGGCCTCACAGATCAGATGTGTCTTTTTGAAAGGGTTTTTATCCAGGCGCCATCCGCCTCTGGAATCTGCAGGGGCTCATCCTCCCTCTGCTGGATCAGCTGTGGTGACAACCCACACCTGGGAGATTCCTGGAGGTGCCACAGGGAGAGTGGGACAGCAGTGGGGGGCATCAGGGGGTTGACAGGGCTTCCTGAGGCGCAGCCTGGCTGTGGGTTTGCTCAGCTTTTGAAAGCAACCACTTGCCCTAGGTGTCTTTACTACCAGCACCGGGGGGCATCTGGATTTGGTGGTGACACTGGGGTGGGGACAGTAGGGTTCCAAGGGGCTGTGGGGTCCTCATGCCTGTGTTCTGGCCTGGGTGTTGCCGGCAGCTGTGTGCTGTGGCCGAGTCTGTCTCTGCCCCACAGTTCAGGCTGGCCCTGACTGCCAGGCCCCAGAGGTGGGGTAGAGGGACGGCTAGGACGGGAGGCTCGGGGTCTGGGTCTAGGGCTGCAGACCTGTAGGTACTTGCTCCTGAGGGTCACGGCTGAGTGGCTGGAGGGTAAAGGTGGGGCCGTGAGAAGGGAAGGGCTCTTCCCACAGTGGCATGGGGCGGTGGCAAGGGGCTTGTTGATTAAAGGGGCAGGTCCAGATGTGGGGCTGAGGCTTCACGACAGTATTGCGGGGAGGGTCAGCGGGCGCTCGGTCGGAGGGGAGTTAAGCCACGGGCTGGGTTCGGGGAGGGGATCCCCGGCGCCCTGGGTCGCCGAGAAGCCGCGGAGCCGGCGCACGGGGAGCGGGCTCTGGGCGCTCCGCTCAGCTGCCGCGAGTGCCTGGGGCGGGAGCCGCCTGCCCAAGTCCTGTGGGGCTCCGGCTGCGCGCAGCCGGGAGAGCAGAGGAAAACAACAGGCGGGGAGGGAGGGAGCGGGAGGGAAGGCGGGAGGGGAGGGACGCGGGGGCCGCCCCCCGCCTGGACCGGCTCTGTGCTCTGGGGGACCCAGAACCCGAGGCTCTCTGAGTCCCAGAGGTCAGGGGAAAAGCCTGCAGGTCACCAGCTCCACGACCCGCGCCCCACTCGCCCCCGGCTTCAGCGGTCCTGAGGCTCTGGGAAGGGGTAGGGTAACCCTGGCGACCCGGCTCCAGGCCTTTTTCCGAGCGCTGGTCGCACCTCCAGCCACCCGCTGCGGAGTGGGTGGGCCAGCCAAGCACCCTCTCCCCGCCCCTATTAACCCTATCTGTCCAGTCTCCGGCCTCGGACCCGCCCTCTCCCCCAGCCTCCAGTCTTCCCCGCCATCCCCGGGATGTCGGGGGAAGGGAGAAAGTTTCAGGGCTCGCAAGCTTCCCGCGCTCTCCCCCGATCCTCCGGGCCCCCGCCCCTCTGCGCAGCTCCCCTCGGACCACTCACCAGATAGAGGCTACCCTGCACCAGGAACACGAAGCAGCAGCGAGTCAGTTGCATCTTCCTCCTCCGCTCTCGTCCCCTCGCTCTCCCCTTCTCTTTTCGGGGTCCCAGGCCTCCTTCCCCTTCCTGCTCCTTCAGGCGCGCCGTCCCATGCTCCAGTCCCCGGCGGCCCGCGGCCCTCCCCTCAGCGGGTCGCCCAGGGCCGACCCCGCCCCCTTCGGTCCAGCTGTGCAGCCGCCGCCCCCCTCCCCTGGTCCAGCTGCGCGCGGCACGGCCCCCGCTCGAGGTCCCAGATGTGCGCCCCGAGCGCCTCGAAGGGCCCCAGCTGCGCCGTGGCTCTGCTGCTCCAGATCTGCGCTCGGCGCCCCCCTCGGCTCCAGCGGCGCCGCTCTCGCCCAGATGTGCTGGGGACCTGCGCGCGCGCCCGTCCTTGGTGCTAATTCCCCAAACCAGGCTGCTCCACCCGCCCCGTCGCGGCGCGCCCCCTGGCGGACGCCCCCAGCCGCGCGGAGCCCCGGCCGCCCGCTCCCCGCGCTGCGCTGCGCCCCGCCAGACTAGAGCGCTCCTGGCGCCCAGGCGGCTCCCGCTTCCTCGTCCCTCCCACCGGCGGCGGCGGCGGCGGCGGCAGGTACAGTGAGCCCAGCCGGTACCTCCGGAGTTAACTCCTCCCCTGCCGGCCCGCAGCCCGGGGACCTAGGACGCCGGCTCTCCAGCCAGGAGAGGACGGCACGCGGGGGCGGAGTAGCTCTTGGAGAGGAAGGGAGAGGGTGGTGGCCAGGGGATACGGACCCTACCGTTTCCACCTCTTTTGCAGGGCGCCCGTTCCCCGGGAGCGGGCAGCAAGAATCGGCTGCCCTGCCCCCAACTCAGGAGTCCTGGAATTAAGAAAGATCCTTTTTTTAAAAAACCCATTCTAAGAGCCAAAACCTGTGCTGAGGGAAGTCCTTCTGGGTGTCTAGCCTGCACTCCTTTTGTTATGATGTCTGCTCCTTCCCTCTTCTACTTTACTTGGAGGGGCTGAGATAATCCCTGGACCTTCTCGGTCCAGCCACTGTGACAGGAAGTATTTGGCTGGGCCCCTGGGCTGAAAAGGCTGTTAGGGGCCAGGCTAGATTCTGGGGCCGGGGGCAGGTCCTGAGAAGCTGGAGAGTGAGGGGAGCAAGGCCTTCCTGGAGCCTGTCCCTTCATTATTCACTACTTACCCTCTCTATGCCACAGGGGTCACCAGGCCGAGAGTGGCTCCTGTCCCAGTGGGGTCTCTGCAAACCTCCAGGGCAAGGAGGAAGAACACGACCCTGATCTGAGATTCCCAAAGATGGGGGCCCATCCTCCATCACCCCCACTCCATATCTTCAGGTCTCCCTCCTGGAATTCCAGGGTCCCTTTAGTCTGTAGAAAAATGAAAGGTCAAGTCCTGGCATCCCTTGGAGGCTATGAAGGTGAGGAGGCACCCCATCATTTGAAGTGGTCCCAGCTTGGGCTGGGCCCAAGGAGCACGGTGGGTGGGCACTCTGCTCTGTGGCCCTCCAAGGCCCAGCTTGGTCCCGTGGCTGCAACCCCGGCACGCACCCAGCCTCCTCCCCCACCATCTGCCAGGCGGGTGCGCGGGGAATGCAGATGAATCTTAATATCAGCCTGGGCCAAGTGCGATGAGGGAGACAGATTCTGCAAAACCCAGACAGCATCACAGAGCCCCCTGCATTTCCAGGCACCCTGGGCCATACCAAGATGCAACAGCTCTTTCTTGGTGTTGGTGGGGGGTGGGGTGGGTGGTGGCGTGCATGTCTAGTCAAAGACCCCCCCAAAGCCGGGGAGGCAGGAACAGGCAAATCTTTGTTTGGCCTCTAAGCCTCTGGTCTGGCTGGGAGGGAGAAGCTGTTGGCCTGAGTGTGGGCAGCTGGTTCCGGCGCTCAGCTAGGCAGGGGCGTAGCTGGGCCCACTCCTTGTCTGGTTTCCAGAAGGTCCTGTCCCTAGGAGAGCTGTGTGGCCCAGCAGAAAGAGCACAGGTTTTCAGGCCAGACAGTCCCAGATTCTGTTCCAGACCTGGCTGTGTGACCTTGGGCAGGTTACTTTGGTTCTCTGATGTCCGTTTCCTGATCTGTTCTTGCAAGAACCAAATGAGACAAAATGTGCAAACAAAGCGCAGGCACAATGGCTGGTGGGCAGTCGTAGGAGTGCAGTAAACGGAAGTTCTCGCTCCTCCACTTCCCACACATTTGCTCCGGCTGCTCCTCCTGCCAGGCTTGCCCTTACTCCCCTCTTGGTCATTTCTGGCTCTCACTTTGTTCAAGTTTCCCCTCCGCATTTATCCATCACCCACTGGCCGAGCCTGTCCGCCGTGCCAGGCGCCAGGCCAGGGGTTGAGATAGAGATGAATGGGACACCCTCCCTGCCCTCAAGGATCTCATCGGCAAGTGTGGAACAGAGACATGAAAATCGATAATTGTAACTCAGTATGGTGAGTGGAATAACAGATCCTTGAACAAGGAAGGCATATGGATGCACTGAGGAAGCTGGGGGCAGGGGCGAGAGGGTCAGAGATGGCTTCCTGGAGGAGGTGATACTGCAGTTGTGAGGAAGAGCCTGTCTGGCAAGGGCTATTCCTGGCAGAGGGCACTGAATGACTAAAGGTCTGGAGGCTGGAACTGGAAGCAGTTTGCTGTTCAGGGAGCACAGAGCGGGAGGAGGGGAGGCTGGGACCAGATGATGGAGGGTCAAGGGGTTGAGATCTTTGTTTATGAGGAATCTTTGAAGGATTTTAAGGGGGCTGTGATTATAGTTAGATTTGCATTTTAAAAGCTTTTGGAGAATTCCCTGGACTAGAGGGAGGGAGAGGAGAGGAAATCATTAGGAGACAAATGCAGTGGTTTGGGGGTGGGGGGCAGGGAGACTGAAGGCATCTTTAGGAGGCAAAATGATCAGGATTTGGTTGTTGCTGTGGTGAGGCAGGAAGGGAGAGAAGGAGTCAGGTGTGACACCCAGTTCCCTGGCTTGAGCAACAGGCTGGCTAGTTGATGAGGTGGGTACCATAGATGGGAGGAGAGGGATGGGGTCTGTGGTGAGGGTGGGAGGGTCAGCTTTCGCCATGTCAAGTCTGGGTGCTGTCGGCCACCCAAGGGCAGGAGAAAGTCTAGCCTGGGGTGCTAGAGGTATGGAGGGTGCCAGAGGAGCACTGGGCACCCTGGCATTTAAGGTAAGGTGGTCAGAGGAAAAGAACCCCCAGAGGATTCCAGGGAGGAACAGGGAGCCAGGGGCTAGGAGGACAGGTGGGGCTGATCCCGAAGCCACTGGAGAAGTGGGGTTCTCACGCTCAAGGTGCCAAGCAGAGTGGACACAGTGCGGAGTGTGCATCATGCAGATTCTGGGGTCCCATCCCCAGGGAGCCTTAGTTGGTAGACAGGAACCGAGGACTACATATTATATAAGCTCCTGCCCCTACCCAGGTGATGCTGATGAAGGTGGCCTCTAGATCTGGGTGTGGGGAGTGTCAGGAAGAGGGGAATGAGCCACAGCAGAGTGACCTGGCAAGGGAGAGACAGAAAAGTGACCACTAGGTTTGGCTGAGGTTTGACAACAACTGTACCCAACCTTGGGCCCTCCAGCTACTCCCAGCGTGGGAAGACAGATCCAAGACACAGTAAACTCTGTGTACCAAGCACACTAACAGCTGTGCTAGAGGTGATGTGTCTGCCATTCAGGTGCACCTCTCCATATTCCTCACCCCTCTCCCCAGCCATGCCCTGCACACACCAGGTGCTCAGTGAAGGGGGCAGAACTGAGCACTTTAGGTCCACCCCTCTGCCTCCAGCCTTCCCTGCACCCATTTGCACCCTGGATGGGGGTGGCTGGGCTTTTGCTGAGCACCTCTGATGCTTTCACCTGCTTCCCTCTCACCCTTGGAAGAATCCTATCTACACTGCTTCCTTCCTCCATGCTTCCCCAGTGCTGCCGGAAGGAAAACAACGCGACACAGTGGGCACCTGAGCAGTGCCTCATGAATGAATGGGAAATGGGGTTCCTAATGGCTTGAAAGGCAGAGAGAGTGATGCCCTTGAGCTAGCTGCAGTGGAGAGGTCTGGGGGAGAGGCAAGAGTAGATAGATCATTATTGTTGTTAATCTCTCATGTTTAGCAGGCAATTTGCAATTTTAAAGTGTTAGGATAGAGTGCTATGTATAGGGTTCCAAGGGGGCCTGGAGGGAAACCCTAATTCAAATGAGGGGGCGATGGACAGATTGCAGAGAGATTAATCTTAAATGACGTGTGGATCTGCCCAGGTGGGAGGGAATGGAAAGAACCTTCCAGGCAGAGGAAGCAACTCTTGCAAAGGCCAGAGATGAAAGAAAGCCTGGGAATGGGGTTCTGATGAGGACGAGATGAAAGATTCATTTGTTCCACAAATACTTACCAAGTGTCTACTTTTATGTCCGGTCCTGGGCTGGTGTGGAGGTACAGTGTGGACAGGGGAGACTGCAGTCCTATTTGCATGGAGAATTTGGGCTATGGGAGAGACAGACATTAAATAACTGAGCACATGAAAACATAAGCTCTGAGATGTGTTGGCAAGAGGTACGGGGGAAGAAGAACAGCAAATTCCAAACAAGAGAGAAACTAAGGAGGGATCCTAATTTACCTGGGAGGGGTCAGGGAATGCCTCTGCAAGAATGTGACCTTTCAGCTGGGATCTAAAGGATGAAGAGCTGGACAGAGGGGCTGCACCTGCTGAGACCGTGAGCCTAGGAAGAACTTGGTGCTTTGGAGGAGCTGAAGGGAGCTGAGCTTAGTGAGTGGGGGGAGAGGGACACAACACCGCCAGAGAGGTGGCAGGGGCCAGACCATGCAGGGCTTTACGGGTCTAGCTAAGGGTTTGGGGTTTCATCCTGTGGTTAAGGTGTCTTTGTTTCTGTTTTGATTATGAGGTTTAAACACGGCTCGGATTTGCACTTTAGGAAGATCTCTGGAAAGACCATTCTGGCAGCTGCGTGGAGGGTGGGTCCGAGAGGGTGGGTGAAACTAGAGGCTGGGAGGTGATGGTGGTCTGTATCAGAGCAGAGGCATCTGCTGGGAAGAAGGGATGACCTTGAAAGATGTCTAATGGGTGGAATGGAGAGGGGACAGACTCTAGGACATGAGGGTGAGGAGTCAAAGAGGACCCCCAGCATTCTGGCTTAGGGAGCACAGGTGTGCAGGGGTGATGTGGCATCTCATCCTGGACAGGGGGCCTGCAAGGGGCTTGAGGGTGCTCAGGTGAACAGCAGGGTGCACAATAGAGGTCAGACTGGAGGGACAAGACTGGGAGGTGTGTGAGCCCGGAGAGTCATCTGAGGTGAGTATTGGGAGCTTGTAGAGAGCAGAGCAAAGCCTGGGGAGGCCGCATAGGAAGGGATGAGGAAAGACGGGGAGGACAGGAGCAGGGGGCGAGGGAGCCAGGGGAGCAGAGGAACTTCTGGCCCAGAAGGCCCTAAGGGATGTTGCCACTGACATCCCAGAGCGCACCCTCCTCTGGCCTGAGAGGTCAACATGTCTATCCCCCTGCCTCTCACAGGACCTCACCCGCCAGAAGGGACCTTCTCCTGGCTGTGAGCGCTCCTGCTTGTGCTCTGGTGGAGTGGGGAGGGCGTGGCAGCTGGAGTCCGGCAGCCTGGATTGGGGGCCTCGCTCTCTGTGGCCAGGGTGATCTGGGGGCAGTCTCTCCCCTTCTTGGGCGGTAGCCTCCTCATCTGCAAAGGGGGATCATCCTGCCCGCCTCCTGGGGTGAGGACGTGGCGAGTGTGAGACGGCACGTAGCCGGTAGAAAGTGCTCTGTCCCCAGTGAAGCACTGGCGGGAAGGGGTCGTGCGGGGCTCCTTCTCGCTACACTTCAGTGTCTTCAGAGGTGAGAAGCAAGGGAAGAAAGCAGGGCCTGAGCAGGGCCGCTAGACTGCAGGGCACCTGGCAGGGAGCCAGGGACACCTGGCACCAGGTCAGTGGCTGCCCCCTCGGCCACCTGTCGGCTGGACCCAAGTCGCTGCGGTCCACGCCAGCTCCGCAGGGGGCGATGAAGAGACCAAGCGGGTGTGGCGCGTGGGAGGCGAGTGGCGTCAGCGCGCCACCTGGTGGGCACTCGGGGCGCCTCCTGTGGGCGCTTGGCCCGGGAGAAGGTGAGGCCCCGCCGCGCCCGCCGCGCGCTCTGCTCACTCGCCTGCTGGGGCGCAGACCCTTTCCGCTCCCGGTTTCTGGCGCACAGCGGCGCTTAATAAAGACAACTTAAAAAACGAATGGCGGGCCGGGCGCGGTGGCTCACGCCTGTAATCCCAGCACTCTGGGAGGCCGAGGTGGGCGGATCACCTGAGGTCAGGAGTTCGGGACCAGTCTGGCCAAGATGGCGAAACCCCATCTGTACTAAAAATACAAAAATTAGCCGGGCGTGGGAGCGCGCGCCTGTAATCCCAGCTACGCGGGAGGCTGAGGTAGGAGAATCGCTTCAACCCGGGAGGCAGAGGTTGCAGTGAGCCGAGATCGCGCCATTGCACTCCATCCTGGGTTACAGAGCGAGACGCTGTCTCAAAAAAACAAAACAAAACAAAAACTCAAACAACGATAAAACCGAATGGCAGCCGGGCGCGGTGGCTCACGCCTGTAATCCCAGTATTCTATTTTGGAAGGCCGAGGAAGGTGGATTTCTTGAGCTCAGGAGTTCGAGACCAGCCTGGGCGACACAGGGAGACCCCCCGTCTCTACAAAAAAAAAAAATTATTTATATATATATATACACACACACACCTATATATATTTGTGTGTGTATATATATATTATATATATACATATATTACATATTATATATACATATATAATATATATAATATATTTTATATATTATATAATATATTTTATATATTATATATAATATATTTTTTATATATAATATATAATATATTATATATAATATATTTTATATATATTATATATACTATATTTTATATATATAATATATATACACACACAAATATATATAGGTGTGTGTGTGTATATATATAAATAATTATATTTATTCATATTATATATATATTATATATAAATTATATATAAATAAATAAATAATATATTTATTATATATAATATATTTTATATATAATATATTTTATATATTATATTTATATATTATATATATAATATATATTATATATAATATATTTTATATATTATATATAATATATTTTATATAATATATATAATATATTTTATATAATATATATAATATATTTTATATATTATATATAATATATTTTATATATTATATATAATATATTTTATGTATTATATATAATATATTTTATATATTATATATTATATATAGTGTGTACACACATATATATACACACACACAAATTAGCCGGATGTGGTGGTGCACACCTGTAGTCCCAGCTACTCGGGAGGCTGAAGCGGGAAGATCACTTGAGCCTGGGAGGTCGAGGCTGCAGTGAGCCGTGATAGCGCCACTGCAGTCCTGCCTGGGTGACTGAGAGAGACCTCATCTCTAAAAAAAATTTAAAAACAAAAAAATAAAGCATTTGCTACAGAGAGGCGTTGTTACCAGCCTGACCTTGATCTTTGGAACCAGATCGCCTGGGTCCCCATCCTGGATTTGCCACAGTGTCGTCTGGCAAATTACATCACCTCTCTGTGCCTCAGTTTCTTCGTGGGGATAAGAGTATCCACATTTTAGACTGCTGAGAACAGCGTCTGGCACACAGTAGGTGCTCAGTAAGTGCCGGCTGTTGTTATATTCGCATTCATTTACTCGTTCAGCCACAGACTTCCAAGTGTCGCTGTCGTGCTAGGAGATCGCATCTCTGGAAATAGTCTCGACTGGAGCGGGTCATGGGGTTGGTGCCACTTGGAATACGAAACTGAGCCTCGGGTTCTTTATTTGTGAAACAGATCTATATAACGCGTACGGCGAGAAGTTCCCGCTTCCTTTACACTCAAGCGGCCCAGGGTGGGCGTCCAGGGTCTGGACCCTCTCTGCATACCTGGCCCTCGGGCTTGGCGTGTGTCGCGGCCACAGCGGCCTGAATTCAGGGGCGTGTGCCTCTCTGGACTCCCGATGGACATTGGGGTCAGAGCGCCAAGTGGCAGCCATCTCCGGACGTCCTTGGCCACCCTGCCAGTCCTGCCCAGGCCCTTCAGCCAGTCCCGAGGCTGACAGTTCCCCTGGCGTCCAGACCGGCCTGACTGTGCCTTTCATTTCCAGGCTGGTGGTGACGCCTGGCGGTGGCGGGAGGGATAACCGCGACCTCCACTCCTTTCCAGGAACCCCCACTGAGAAGCTCCTCTCTGTGGGGCACCTCTGGGCGCCAGTGAATGGTGGCGGAGAGGAGCAGCAGACACTGTCAGGAGGACCCACGAGGTAGAAGGGCCTCTCACAGCAGCGCTGACCTGAGCTTCTACTGGGGGGATGGAATCTAGGATCTTCTGATTCTACATCAGACGAGAGGTGGAGGTAGGGGGAGTGGAGGGGCACCCAGCAAGGGGCCCAGCTGCGGTGGACGCCAGAAGAGATCTTAGAGAGTTCGAAGGGAAGACTTCCCGAGTTCCTTCCTCCACCCCTTTTGGGGTCATCATTGTCCTCCTTTAGTGCCCCAGCCTCTTAAGATTTCAATGAGGCAATGGAGGGCAGTACATGGCAGGGAAATTGCCCTGAGGGTGGCTGAAGCCTGATTGGGGTCCCAGGCCCGGCACTCTCTGGAGGGCTCAGTGGCAGCCACCAGGCCCAAAGGACCAGCAGAGGACTGAGCAAAGGAGCAGGAGGGATGCCACCTGGAAAGCACTTCTGACCCCTGCTCATCCCTGGACCACCAGGGAGGCATGGCTGCCACAACCACTTCATGCAAACTCAGCACCTGCCAGCTCCAGGGGTGCGGGGGCTGGTGAGGTGCCCGACCTTGGCCCATGGGCGCAGCCTACTCACTCCTGAACACCCGGCCTGAGGTCACCTGCCTCCGGACACACTGACTCCCCCAAGTCAAGGTATATAAATTGGGTACTAGACACATCCTGTCCTAGAAATATGTGAACCCCTGTGGTCCCTACTCCACGAAGGGCCCGATGCTTCCCCTCGTTAGAATCTCGGTGCCAGCTTTGCCTCTGGTCTCTGTCCCCAGTACTCAATTGCATCTTCCTCTCCACCCTTTTGTAGGCTTCAGGTCTCCATCATTGCTTCTCGGAACCACAGCAGCCTCTGATTGGTCTCTCCTGGCCCCTCCTTATCCCACAGCCAGAGGGAGATCTAGTTCTAAGATGCAAACTAGACAGTGCCCCTCTTCTGGTTCGAATGCTGGAGGGCTTTTCATGGCCCCAAACTAGCCAAGGCATATTCACTAAACACTCCCCACATTCTCTCACTGAGTTGCGCAACCCAATGAGGTAGGTCCTGTTATTGCCACATGTGACAGGTGAGAGAACTGAGGCATAGGAAAAGGAGGTGACTTTCCCAAGGACTTCTACCGAGTGCTCCTTAGAGCTGGGGTTTGAACCCAGGCAGCCTGGATGCGGGCACCCTTGGTTTTCCCATGCCAGCGTTTCCTGAAATGAGGTAGGCATGCATTGGCTGGGAGAGTCCTCTCTCTGTTTTAAAATAGTACAAATGAACATTTTAAATTTTAATAGAAATATGTTTCTTTTTAAAGGCTTTTCTTCTATTTTGTTTCTGGCAAGGGATACTGGTTTCTCATTTATGGGAATGATACAAAATGTTCCTTTAAAATACATTTATTTTGAGGAAAAAAAAAGTAGTTGATTGAAAGAAAAGCACTAAGTACGTGCGAGCACAGGTGGAATGTTGGTGTGGAAGAAGGAGTGCTGGCATCCTTATCGCAACATACTGCCTCTCAGGAGAGAGTCCAAACCCGTCAGCACGCCTACGCCAGGGCGTTCAGGCCCGCTCACCCGCCAGTCCCTTTCCACTTTCCCTTCCTCTGCCCTCCCTCCACTGTGGCCTCTGAACCATTTGCAGCTCCCCGAACGCAGCAGGCTTTCTGTGCCTTTGTACACAGTGTTCCCTCCACGTGACCCCCCCTTTCCTTCTTGGCTGTCTGGCAAACACCTACTCACCATTTGAGGCTTAACAGAGCTCAGATATCACTTCCTCCTGGAGGCTTTTCTGAAATGGAATTGACACCCCTCCCACCACTGTAACCCCAGTCACCTGTCCTCAAGCATCATTATACTCTGTTCTCTGCCTTTCTCCCGCCCCCGGCTTGAACTCCTAGAAGACAGGGACAGTCATCTCTAGTCCAGCACCTGACACCCAGGGGGAGCTCAATAAATGTGTGTGCAGTGAATGAATTCCATGGGAGTGCAGGTGGGGAAAATGTTGATTTCAGATGGGAGGATGGGGGGAGGTAGGAGCAGCCTTTAAGAAGATGGTGGGTGTGGACTTTTGAGCTGGATGTTGATGACCTCATGGAGAGCTGGGGAAGATGGTCTCCTGGAAGCCAATCCAGGGATCTATATGGGAATTTATTATCTGTTCAAGGGGAAATGCCAATTTAGGGCAAAAGTCAATTTATTTAATAAATGATGCTGCCGTATCAGTGATCCATCTGGGAGAAAATAAAGCCAAATCCTCCCTCCCATCTGATAACACCTACAAAATAGATCCCAGATGGACCAAAGATTTAAAGTAAAAATCTAAATATATTAGAAGCAACTAAAAATATTAGAAGAAAATTTAGAAGACTAATTCTTTTCCCTTGTGGGTGAGGAAGTTCTTTTTAAGTAAGACAGGAAACTAAGAAGCCACCAACAAGAGAAACAGTCAATGAGAGAGATTTGATTATGAAAAAATTATTTCTGAATGACATAAGGTCCTGTAAACAAAATAAAGAGGTAAAAAAATAGACCGAAGTAATATTCGCAATGTGTGTAACAGACAAAGGATTAATATATTTTCTTTTTCTTTCCTTTTTTTTTTTTTTTTTTTTTTTTTTGCGACCGAGTCACTCTGTTGCCTGGGCTGGAGTGCGGTGGCGGGATCTCAGCTCACTGCAACCTCCACCTCCTGGGTTCAAGCGATTCTCCTGCCTCAGCCTCCTGAGTAGCTGGGAGTAACAGGCACCTGCCACCACACCCGGCTAATTTTTGTATTTTTAGTAGAGATGGGGTTTTACCATGTTTGCCAGGCTGGTCAGGATCACCTCCTGACCTCAGGTGATCCGCCCACCTCGGCCACCAAAGTGCTGGGATTACAGGTGTGAGCTATTGCGCCTGGCCAGGATTAGTATCCTTCCTATGAAAAAAACTATAAACCATTTTTAAAAGAGAAAAGATTTGAAAGTAGAGGTATGAACAAGCAGTTACAGAAGAATATACAGGCATACCTTGGAGATACTGCAAGTTCAGTTCCAGACCACAGCAATAAAGTGAATATCATAATAAAGTGAGTCACACGGATATTTTGGTTTCCCAGTGCATATAAAAGTTATGTTTACACCACACTGTAGTCTATTAAGTGTGCAATGGCATATGTCTAGAAATGTACATAGCTTAATTAAAGAGTACTATAGTGCTAAAATATGCTAACCATCATCTCAGCCTTCAGAGAGTTGTACTCTTTTTGCTGGTGGGGAGTCTCCCCTCGAAGTCGATGGCTGCTGACTGATCAGGGTGTTGATTGCTGAAGACTGGGGTGATGGTGGCAATTTCAATTTTTTTTTTTTGAAAGAGGTTCTCACTTTGTCACCCAGACTGGAGTGCAGTGGCATGATCATGGCTCACTGCAACCTCAACCTCCCAGGCTCAAGCCATTCTCCCTCCTCAGCCTCCCTAGTAGCTGGGACTATAGGTGCATGCCACCACACCTGGGTAATTTTTTTTTTTTTTTGAGACGGAGTCTTGCTCTGTCACCCAGGCTGGAGTGCAGTGGCGCAATCTCGGCTCACTGCAAGCTCCGCCTCCCGGGTTCACGCCATTCTCCTGCCTCAGCCTCCCGAGTTGCTGAGACTACAGGTGTCCGCCACCAAGCCCAGCTAATTTTTTGTATTTTTAGTAGAGAAGGGGTTTACCAGGATGGAATTTTTTGTATCTTTTTTTGTAGAGACAGGGTTTCACCATGTTGTACAGACTGGTCTCGAACTCCTGGTAAGTTGTTGTGATCCTTTTGCCTTGGCCTCTCAAAGTGCTGGGATTATAGGCGTGAGCCACTGTGCCCGGTTGCAATTTTTTTTTTCTTTTCTTTTTCTTTTTTTTTTTTTAAGATGGAGTCTGGCTCTGTCACCCAGGCTGGAGTGCAGTGGTGCGATCTTGGCTCACTGTAACCTCTGCCTCTTGGGTTCAAGCAGTTCTCCTGCCTCAGCCTCCCGAGTAGCTGGGATTACAGGTGTGCACCACCACGCCTGGCTAATTTTTGTATTTTTAGTAGAGACGGGGTTTTGCCATATTGGCCAGGCTAGTCTCGAACTCCTGACCTCAGGTGATCCGCCTGCCTTGGCCTCTCAAAATTCTGGGATTATGGCGTGAGCCACAGTGCCTGGTTGCAATTTCTTAACACCGGACAACAATGAAGTTGTGGGGGCCTTTGTGGGGTGGGGATTGCATTGACTGACTCTTCCATTCACGAAACTATTTCTCTATAGCATTTCATAGCATTTTACCCATAGTAGAACTTCTTTCAAAATTGCAGTCAGTCCTCTCAAATTCTGCCACTACTTTATCAACTAAGTTTATGGAATTTTCTAAGTCCTTTGTTGTCATTTCAACAATGTTCACAGCCTCTTCAGGAGGAGTAGATTCCATCTCAAGAAACCACTTTTTTTGCTCATCCATAAGAAGCAATTCCTTACTCATCCAGTTTTATTGTGAGATTGCAGCAATTCAGTCACATCTTCAGGGTCCACTTCTAGTTCTATTGCTATTTCCACCAAATCTGCAGTTACTTCCTCCACTGGTCTTGAAACCTTTAAAGTAAGTCAGCCACAGGGCTGAAATCAACTTCTTCCAAACTCCTGTTAATGTTGATGTTTTGACCTCCTCCCATGAATCATGAATTTTTTTTTTTTTTGGTGGGGGGACAAAGTCTCGCTCTTGTCCCCCACGCTGGAGTGCAATGGCACGATCTCGGCTCACTGCAACGTCTGCCTCCTGGGTTCAAGCGATTCCCCTGCCTCAGCCTCCTGAGTTGCTGGGATTACAGGCGCCTGCCACCAAGCCCAGCTAATTTTTGTATTTTTAGTAGAGACGGGGTTTCACCAGGTTGGCCAGACTGGCCTTGAACTCCTGACCTCAGGTGATCTGCCTGCCTTGGCCTCCTAAAGTGGTGGGATTACAGGCACGAGCCACCATGCCCGGCCGAATCATGAATGTTCTTAATGGCGTCTAGAATGGTGAATCCTCTCCAGGAGGTTTTTTCTTTTCCTTCCTTCCTTCCTTCCTTCCTTCCTTCCTTCCTTCCTTCCTTCCTTCCTTCTTCCTTCCCTCCCTCCCTCCCTCCCTCCCTCCCTCCCTCCTTCCTTCCTTCCTTCCTTCCTTCCTTCCTTCCTTCCTTCCTTTCGAGCTTGCTCTGTTGCCCAGACTGGAGTGCAATGGTGCTATCTCAGCTCACTGCAACCTCCGCCTCCCAGGTTCAGGCAATTCTCCTCCCTCAGCCTCTTGAGTAGCTGGGACCACAGGCGCATGCCACCACACTCGGCTAATTTTTGTATTTTTAATAGAGACGGGGTTTCACCATGTTGGCCAGGCTGGTCTGGAGCTCCTGACCTCAGGTGATCCGCCTGCCTCGGCCTCCCAAAGTGCTGGGACTACAGGCATGAGCCACCGCGCCTGGCCTTTTTTTTTTCTTTTTTTGAGACAAGGTCTCATTCTGTTGCTGAGGCTGGAGTACAGTGGCATGACCATAGCTCACTGTGGCCTCAATCTTCTGGCTCAAGTGATCCTCTCATCGCAGCCTCCAGGACTACAGGCACAAGCCATCATGCCTGGCTATTTTTTTTTTTTGGTAGAAACAGGGTTTTGCTCTGTTGCCCCCACTGGTCTCAAACTCCTGACTTCAAGCAAGTCTCCTGCCTCAGCCTCTTAAGGTGTTGGAATTATAGGCATGAGCCACTATGCGTGGCCCAGAAGGTTTTCAATTTACTTTGCCCAGATCCATCAGAGGAATTACTACCTAAGGTAGCTACAGCTTTATGAAATGGAATTCTTTTTTTTTTTTTTTTTTGATACGGAGCTTTTTTTGTTATTTTTGCCCAGGCTGGAGTGCAATGGTGCGATCTCGGCTCACCGCAACCTCCACCTCCCAGGTTCAAGCGATTCTCCTGCCTTAGCCTCCCAAGTAGCTGAGACTACAGGCATGCACCACCACGCCTGGCTAATTTTGCATTTTTAGTAGAGACAGGGTTTCTCCATGTTGGTCAGGCTGGTCTCGAACTCCCGACTTCTTGTGATCGGTCCGCTTCAGCCTCCCAGAGTGCTGGGATTACTGGCGTGAGTCACCGCGCCCGGCCTGAAATGGAAATTTTAATAAGCCTTGAAAGTTGACATTACTCCTTGATCCGTGGACTGCAGAATGGATGCTATGTTAGGCATGACAACAACATTTGCACATCTCTGCCAGAGCTCTTGGGTGATCAGGTGCATTGTCAACGAGCAATAATATTTTGAAAGGAATCTTTTTGTTTTGAGTGATAGGTCTCAACAGTGGGCTTAAAATATTCAGGAAACCATGCTGGAAACATCTGTGCTGTTAGCCAGGCTTTGTTCCATTTCTAGAGCACAGGCAGAGTCGATTTGGCAGGATTCTTAAGGGCCCTGGGATTTTCAAAATGATAAATGAACACTGTCTTCAACTCTATGTCATCAGCTGCATTAGCCCCTAACAAGAGACTCAGCCTGTCCTTTGAAGCTTTGAAGCCAAGCGTTAACTTTTCTTCTTAGCTATGAAAATCCTGGATGGCATCTTCTTCCAATAGAAAGCTGTTTCATCTACACTGAAAGTCTGTTGTTGAGTGTAGCTGCTTTCATCAGTGATCTTAGCTAGATCTGGATAACTTGCTGCAGCTTCTACATCAGCACCTGCTGCTTCATCTTGCACTTTTTTTTTGTTCTGGAGATGTCTTCTTTCCTTAAACCTTATTAACCCACCTCTGTTAGCTTCCAACTTTTCTTCTGCAGCTTCTTCACCTCTCTCAGCCTTCACAGAACTGAAAGAGTTAGAGCCTGGCTCTGGATTAGGCTTTGGCTTAAGGGAATGTTGTGGCTGATTTGATCTTCTATCCAGACCACTCAAACTTTCTCCACCTCAGCAATGAGATACAACATTGATTTGCTGTTTCACTTTCTTATCATCGGTGGGTTCACTAGAGTAGCACTTTTAATTTCCTTCAAGACCTTTCCCTTGAGGTTCTCCAAGCTGGATTCACAACTTGGCTGGTGCAGGAGGCCTAACTTTCAGCCTATCTTGGCTTTCAACCTGCCTTCCTCACTGAGTTTAATCATTCCTAGCTTTTGATTTAAACTGAGAGATATGTCTTTCTTTCACTTGAATACTTAGAGGGTTATTAATTGGCCTAATCTTAATAATGTGTCTAAAGGAATAGGAAGGCCCAAGGAGAGGGAGAGAGATGTGAGGATGGCCAGTTGGAGCAGTCAGAACACACAAAACTTTGATCATTTAAGTTTACCGTCTTATATGGGCATGGTTTGTGGCACCCCAAATCAATTACAATAACATCAAATGTCACCGATCACAGATCATCATAACAGATATAATAATAGTGAGGCTGGGTGCGGTGTTCATGCCTGTAATCCCAGCACTTTGGGAGGCTGAGGTGGGTGAATCACTTGAGGTCAAGAGTTCGAGACCAGCCTGGCCAACATGATTAAATCCTGTCTCTACTAAAAATACAAAAACTAGCCGGGTGTGGAGGCATGCACCTGTAATCCCAGCTACTCGGGAGACTGAGGCAGGAGATTCGCTTGAACCCAGGAAGCAGAGGTTGCAGTGAGCCAAGATCATTCCATTGCACTCCAGCCTGAGTGACAGAGTGAAACTCTGTCTTAAAAACATAAATAAATAAATAAAATAATAATAATAATAGGGAAAAGTTTTAAATATTGCAAGAGTTACCAAAATGTGATACAGAGACACAAAGTGAGCACATGCTGTTGGAAAAATGGTGCCAATAGACTTGCTCAACGTGGGGTTGTCTCAAACCTTCAATTTGTAAAAAACACATTATTTGTGAAGCACAATTAAGTGAAACGTAATAAAGCAAGGTGTGCTAGTCTATGCGAAAAGAGATTCAGCCTCAGTAGGAGTCAGGGCCCAGAGCCCAACACATAGTAGTTCTCAGTCCTTCTTACTTGTTTAGTGGAAATACCATTTAAAAAAACAATGAGGCCGGGTGCGATAGCTCATGCCTGTAATGCCAGCACTTTGGGAGGCCGAGGCAGGTGGATCACCTGAGGTCAGGAGTTCGAGACCAGCCTGGTTAACACAGTGAAACCCCTTCTCTACTAAAAATACAAAAATTAGCCCGGCATGGTGGCAGGCGCCTGTAATCTCAGCTACTCGGGAGGCTGAGGCAGGAGAATCCCTTGAGCCTGGGAGACGGAGGTTGTGGTGAACAGGGATCATGCTGCTGTATTCCAGCCTGGGTGAGAGAGTGAGACCCTGTCTCACACACACACACAAAATAAATAAATAAAAATAAAAATAAAACAACAAGTTGTGCATTTTTAAAAATTAATAGACAATTTTTTAGAGTTGTTTTATACTTATGGAAAAAAGTTGAGCAGATGGTACAGAGAGTTCCCATCGGTACCTCCCAACTCTGTTTCCCCATTATCAACAACTTACCTTAGTATGATACATGTTACAATCAGTGAATCAATGTTTATATTTGCTTATTAACTCAAGTCCATAGTTTATTAAAATGCCTTAGTTTTTGCCTAGTGTCCTTTTTTCTTTTGCAGGATCCGTCATTGCCAAATGCCTCATGACTTCTAGTTATGATTTTCCCTGAGGCTTCTCTCAGCTGTGGCCATTTCTCAGACCTTCTTTGTTTCTGATGACCTTGACAGTTTGAGGAGTACTGGTCAAGGATATTGTAGGGTACTGCTCTGCTGGAGTTTGTCTGATGTTTTTCTCATAGTTGGGGCTGTGGGTTTTTGGGAGGAAGACCACAGAAGTAAAGTGCCATTTCACTCATCATATCAAGGAGCCAAAAAACTGTTGGTATTGACCTTGATCCCCTGGCTGGTGTCATCTTGGTCAGTGTCTCCACTGCAGAGTTAATCTCCATACAGTGCTATTTAGAAGGAAGTCCTGATGTGCACCCCATAGTGGGGAGTAATGTTCCCCCTCTTTTAAGGTGAGGTCGCGACATAATTTATTTGGAATCCTGCATGAGATATTTGTCTCTTCTCTCCCACTTATTAATTGTTTTTTTGAGATGGAGTCTCGGTCTGTCACCCAGGCTAGAGTGCAGTGGCATGATCTCGGCTCACCGCAACCTCCGCCTGCCCGATTCAAGTGATTCTCCTGCCTCATCCTCCTGAGTAGCTGGGATTGCAGGAGTCTGCCACCACGCCCAGCTAATTTTTGTATTTTTGGTAGAGATGGGGTTTTGCCATGTTGACCAGACTGGCCTTGAATTCCTGACCTCAAGTGATCCGCCCGCCTTGGCCTCCCAAAGTGCTGAGATTATAGGCGTGAGCCACCATGCCTGGCCCCCACTTACTAATTTATTCAATCATTTATACATATCAGTGTGGACTCATCGATATTTATTTTATACTTTAAGTGATTATCCAATATATTTTTGTTGCTCAAATTGTTGTGTGTGTGTGTGTGTGTGGGGGGGGGGGGGTGTTTTACCCTGTGGATTGGAAAAATCAAAAGATTGATGTATAGCCAGGGCTGTGGCAGCTGTGGGGCTGCCCAGAGGATGAATTGCTGCCCCTTTGGAGTGGAGGAGCGTGTTCTGACCTGGAAGTACCAGAGGAAAAGGGGCAGGAGCAGGGCAATCTGTATCATTGGGCCCATTTTTACTTAAAAAGAAGGCCAGGCATGGTGGCTCACACCTGTAATCCCAGCACTTTGGGAGGCTGAGGAAAGCTGATGGCTTGAGCCCAGAAGTTTGAGACCAGCCTGGGTAACATGGTGAAACCTTGTCTCTATGAATTTTTTAAAAAATTTGCTGTGTGTGGTGGTGTGTGCCTGCAGTCTCAGCTACTTAGGAGGCTGAGATGGGAGGAACGCTTGATCCTAGGAGCTTGAGGCTGCAGTGAGCTGTGATCATGCCACTGCACTCCAGCCTGGCGTCAGAGTCAGACCCTGTCTCAAAATAAATAAATAAATAGAAGGAATGTCTATTTTATCTGTCAATTCCTATCTATAGCTATCGATTATCTATTGTTCAATCAATTATCAACCATTATTTATTATCTATTGATCAACATATCTCTTGATCTATCAATTATCTACTGATTTATCTATCCATTATCTACCTATCTGTCTATCTAATTTGTTTCCTGTCAGCTACACTGTCCCACTCTCAATCTGTTCTCCACCCAGTGGACACCCGAGGGGTCCTTGGGCAACGCACATCACATCAGGTCCCCTCCCTTCCCTCAGTGGCTTTCCGACGCCCTCAGAATAACGTTCAAGCTCCTTATGGTGGCCTACAGTGCCCTCTATTGGAGCTCCACTCAAATGTCCCTCCTCAGAGAGCCCTTCCCTGGCAATCCCACTTGCAGCAGGTGGAAAGTGGCATTTTACTCCTGCTCCAGGCCACCTGACTTCCGGTCCATCACCTATCATCCCACCATCCCTTCCCCCCAAGAATTCATCACCATTTGAAACATTCTCCTCCCCTCCACTAGAATCGAGGCCCCATCAAGGCAGTGGGCTCCATGGCTGCTGACTTGTTGGCTCTTGCAGCCAGGCTTAGCCCAGAGCCCAACACATAATAGGTCTCAGTCCTTCTTACTTGTTTAACGAAGGTCCTGAGAGAACCCAAGGCAGAACAACGCTCCTTCAGCCACATTAGTGACCGGCGAAGGGGGACTGGAGAGGGAGAGAGGAGATTATCAACTTTTTCTTTAGATACCTCTGGTTTGTTTAAGCTGTTACAAAGAACATGTAGTACTATGGTTTTTAATTAAAAAGAAAATCCAAGAAAGTTAATCAAAAAGGAAAAGACATAAAGTTTTCACTTCCTGGGGACAAAAGAAGAAAGCAGCAGAGGCTTTAAGTGGGAAATGGTTGGTGTATAGGTGAGCACAGAGAGTCTCCTGAGGCTGCGGATGGAGTGGGGCAAAGGGGGCTGGAGGGTGTGTGGGAGCAGAGGGTGCTGGGGAGATGGGGAGGCTCTAGAATTGTTACGGATTGAGGGGCCTGCAGTCTGGGTGGAAGGTGGGGGCAGGGGTGGGAGCTGTCTAGAAGCTGTGCTTTTGCAGTCGGCTGGATGGGGGTTTGAGGTGACTCGTGGGGGTGACTAGGGAGTCCTGGGGCATCCCATGCTTCCACCACTGGAACCTGGACAGCCCCCACAGTCCAGTCCCGGGCCCAGCACCCGGATGCACCGGGCCTCTCTCCTCTCTTGGCTTCAAGTTTCCCAGCAAAAGAACAGGGCTTGGCACAGGAGTCTCCAAGGTTCTCCCAGCTGGGATGGCCACCTCCGTGGCCGCTGACTCCGGGCAGAACGCTGGAGCACCTGCCTGTCTTGTAGGCAGCTCCAGTCCCCGTTTCCATCAGAGGCCCTGAACAGGCGGCCTCCGCCTCTGGCCAACAGAGGGCGCTGTGGCACCGCCGCACCCGAGCAGGCTCGGCGCATGGCAGAGCGGGTCCCTGTAGCCCAGGCCCTGGGTGGGCCCCAGGCATCCGGTACCTCCTCGTCCACGTGTCCTTCTCCGCGCAGCCCTATTCACTCCAGAGTGTCCACAGGACTCGAGTGTCCGGTTCTCAGGGCCCCGGCCGGTGAGGTCATGCTGGATCTGGACCTGCCCAGGAGGTCATTCCTTCCATGCCCCTGCCTCCGGGCAAATTTCACAGCCTGGTGTGTCTCTGGGCAGGAGAGAGAGCTCTCCTTGCGCCACGCAGTCGTTACCCCTGGTGTCAGGTCTTGGTGTCCAGCTCGAATCTCTCTCACTGTAGCTAAAAGCGACATGGCTGCTTCCAGAGCTGAGGGGGAGCTGGTGTTGAAGAAGCCAGGAGAGGGGTGTTAGCCACTTTCCCAGGCGTCTTAGTGGTTCCCTGCCCAAACCAATAAATCCCAGTAAATCCCGCCGTCCTCTAACCCCAGCACAGCCCTCCTCCCTCTCTTCTTGGGAGTGGAGAATAGCTGGGATGGGAGCCCTGGGTCTCAGCGGGCAGGTGGGAGAAGCTGAATTGGGAGGCTTCTACCAGATTCTCCCCAAGAAACCTGGCAGTGGGAAGGGGGCTGAGAGGGTGGCTGGCTTCCTGGTGCATGCCCAGGGCAGGGGACCCCAAGGCTAGAATATCCCTGGACAGCCCTTTCCTGTGCACGGCAACCTCCATCACGGGCTCTTCTAGGCCTCACCCTCCCCACACCCCTAATCCCTACATCCCCGCTCCTCCCCATAATTCTCCCCACGCCCAGAGCTGGCCGGGCCCCAGCGGGGACATCCAAAGGCAGCATCAGCCCCAAGCTGCAGGCCTCTCACGCCCGTGTCTTGCTTCATTCCAAGAAAGCCCCTCCTTTCCTGTTTCATGCCCCATTGGCTCTGCCGTCCCAGGCTGGCAGGCTCCCGGGAGTGTGCTTGGTCCCAAGAACAGAGGAAGCTCTACCACCTCTCAGACGCCTAGTTTGTCCCTACTGGGATTTGGGCCATCTGAGACACCCTCCCTGAAGCAGACTGGGCACACAGGTGGAACCAGGCCCACAGCAGAACATCCAGGGACTCCCACCACCTGATAGCCAAGCCCCCAGCAGGGTCAGGGCAAGGGGGCTCCCACTGACTCAGGGGGCCAGGCAGGCCCAGGCTTGCTGTGTGACTTGGAGGAACCACTCTGGCCTGGCTGTGGCCCAGATGTCACCCAGGAAACCCATGTGCCCCTGCCTCTTTTGCCCTATGCAGTCCCCATAGCCGTCCTCACAGGACTGAGGGCCCCCATTAGGCTGTTGGCCCGAGGTCTGTAGTGGGAAGGTCGGGGGGAATAGGGCTCCCCGGACGTGCATTCCAGGGCAGGCTTCCCAGGAGTCACGTGGTGCTCACTCTCCTGTGGCGTGTGGAGTGGAAAGGTCTCCCCAGCCAGGTGCTCCGGGCCGGGATGCTGAGTGGAAGTGTTGGGAGGGGCTGAACGACCAGCACCCTGGGCCCTTGTGGAAAAAGACCTTGGCCCCAGATCCTCCTGTCTCCCCTTCCCCTTGTGGCCTCCTGTTCCTGGGTACAGATGAACCTGTTTGCCATGGGGATGGGGCCACGGGGCAGCTCCTTCTCAGGTGTCCACACTGTCATCAGTTGCTGGTCCACCTGGAGCACAGGCTGCATGCTGTGGAGACACAGCGGGGGCATAGACACACACAGACAGGCCACACCACCAAGTCCCGGGCTGGACATGTGATCAGTTTGCCCAGAACCATCATATCCTGATCCATGATGACAACATGAGGACATCTTGGTTAGGCCTCTGCCAGATCCAGGTTCAAATCTGGGTTCTGAACCTTGCTTACCTTAGCAACGAGGGCCCTAAGCATTCCAAAACTTGCTTTCCTCACCTGTGAAGTGGGATAACCGTATCTCCAACAACACAAGGTTGATGTCAGGATTAAATGATAGTGTATGTAACAGTAATTATAGCAACAAACCCTGAGGGAGTGCCAGGGAGCTCTTTTAAGCACATCCTGTGAATGAACTCTAATCCTCATCATAAGTCTAAGGTCTGGCCTCTTATCCTCATTTTTCAGATAAAAGAGACATAGCCCTTGCCCTCAAGGAATTTCCAGTCCAGCAGGGAGATAGAGAAGTGAGCAAAAATCCTTTGAGCCAAATTCGTCTTTACTGTTCGGTGTAATGAGAATTCAGGTCACAAAGGTTCACATTTTAATTGGGTCCTCATAATCCCCCACCGTGAGCCCATGGTACAGGCGGGGAAACGGGCCCCGAGAGATTGCAACACTTGCCCAAAGGTGCAAAGCAGAGAAGGGGGAAGCAGCACTGTGTGACTTCCGTGCCTGGGCCCTTCCACAGCAATAAACACAAAATACCATTGAAACCAAGATGCTTGCCATGTAATTGCAGTTTCCAGAACAGTCCCCTGGCTCCTTCTTACAAACAGAGGATTGCAGCCCACGAGCCCCAATCCAGACAGGCCAATCCTGTCTCTCCACCACACTGTTCTGCCTCTGGATGCCCAGAGTGAGGAATGACTACTTCTGCTTGGTAAAGCTGGAGAAGAGTTTACCCACAAGGTGACATTTGAGGTGGGATTTGAAGGATGCATAGGAGTTCATCAGAGGGACAGGGAGGGAAGCCAACCTAGGAGGAGGGAAGAGAATGGACAAGGGCAAAGAGGCACAAGTGTATATGGTGGAGGAAAGCAAGCAGGTGTTCTGGTGGGGAACAGGGTGAACAAAGGTAGAAGGCAGGGCCACCCAAGGAAGCTGTGTTTGGTGATTAATGAAGGCAGGGGACTTGAGGGGGTGGGAGGGATGATGGAGATAAGACAGAAAATGCAGGTAGGAGCCATATTTCAGTGGAGACAAAGCTCTCACTAAAGGACTGCCCCCTAACTTGGGAATTCCAGAGACCCCTTGGTGGTAAAGCCACTGAAACAGTCACACAGGACAGCTGCTGCCAGTCCTGCCCAGGTTGGGGTCTGGGAGGGGTCTGCTGCTTAGAGCACCTCACTGGCAGCCAGGCCCAGTGTGTGGAGCGTGTGCAGGCTCTGGGCCCCTGTGTGAGGCCGAGGTGTGTGTGCTCATTCATCAATGGAGGGTGCAGAATGCACTGGAGGCTCTGGGAGGGTGTATAGGAGTGTAGAGAAATGTGGGTGAATTGTGTGTGGGTGTGAAAACACATAACCATGGGTGTCTGTGCAACTGCCTGTGCAAGTGTGTACATGTGTGTAACAGTGTATATCCCCATGGAGCATGCACAGGGCCAGGCACCCAGGACTCTCATGGAGGGGGCTATAGGTGTATGTATGCAAATACAGGTCTGTAAATGCAGGTATATGCAGGGACTGAAGTGTGTGTGTGTGTGTGTGTGTGTGTGTGTGTGTGTGTGTGTGTGTGGCTGTCCTTTAGGAGGTGTCTGGGTCAAGGCGGGATGGAGAGAGGCAAGCCCCAAGAATAGATGTGAGGAAAGGCTCAGCATCCTGAAATCAAGATTCCAGCATAACTTAGAAATGGCCAGCCTCACTGCACATGCAAATCAGATGGGAGTGATATGCAAATAAGCAGTCTTCTCCTTCCTGGCCTTTGCCTGGGCTGTCACCCCAGAAGTCTTCCTGGAGTTCTGGGGACAGGGGCCGTGGAAAGAGGGGCTCTAGCAGTGCTGGGAGCAGAGCTCCTTGTTGCCTTGGTCCCCTCTAGCTCATGGGTTAAGGCTGAAAACTCCATAAGACCCTACGTATTCCGTGAGACCCCACGGGAGGCTTCCAGCTGCCACTGGGCCTAGTTCCCAGCTGTGGGGGCAGGCGTAGGAGAGGAGGGGGGAAGAGCTGGGGGAGCTGGGTGAGGGCTCCCAGGCCCCACCGCGGAGAATGGATGTCACAGTGACAGCTGGCTCAGCCAGCATTCACTGGTCAGGCCCAGTTGTCGGGGCGCCAGGGTGAGGGATCAAGGGTAGACAGAGGCCTGCAGTGGGCATGCAGGGCGCCTGGGGCTTTCCTTGGGGCTCAGAACACAGACCCATGTTGCTGGAGAGGCTCACACAGCCTTCTGACTCCCTCCCTGCGCACAGGGCACCCGAGATCACTCAGCACGATGTCATCGGGCCAAGACCGTGCCCAGGCTCCCCACCTCAGGCGAGTGCTTGTCCCTCTGCCCGGGAGTACACATCCTGACTCATGCACGCGTGCTGCACGGGCAGTGCACACGCCTACACCTCACACCCTCTTAGGCCCTCCGCAGAGTGTCTACACGGAGCACGTTTACTGGCATTGAGGACCAAGCACACAGGCACGCCCAACCTCCAGGCCGAGCACAGAACACCTGCCCATGGATGTGCTCACAGCCCCGAGCAGGACTTTCTCCCACCCACCCGTCTTCCCCTATGCAGGTGTCCAGACAGGCTGTGGGTAGGGGGCGATGCCTGCTCCTCCAACATAATACACTTTCTCCTCGGTGGGCGGCCATCTCTGCTCCCTGTAGCTTCTGATCAGTTTCATAGTCACACGTGGTTGGGGGTCCAGCTGCCTCCAGAGCTGGGGCTTCGTGTTTGCCTGACTCCTGGGTCTTTCTTCATGTGACAGGTCTCTTCCCTGAGGCAGAGCCTGGGACTCCTTCCTTTGACTGGGTGGGGCCCCTGATGGCAGGAGCCAGGTATCCCCCATAGGATTTGAGCTCCCTGACAGTGGCGACTGTCCCTACTGTCCTGAAGGCAGGGGCGTGTCTGCCTCTGACCTCCAGACAGACTGCCAGCTCCTCTCAGAGCCCAGCCCTGGGTTCTACACAGTCCTAATGATCTGGGGTGAGTGGACAGACAAACAGCCTTGCCCTAGGCCTAACCAAAGGCCAAAGGTCAAACTCCATGCATGCCAGGAAGGGAACCCAGCCCAGAGCAGCCCAGGACAAAACTCTGTGGCCCAGCTACAAAGGGCAAATGTGTACTCCTAGACTGCCTTGGCCCCAGACCCCTCCTGGCCAGCCAGATGGAGCCCTGTAAAGAAACCACACGGGGCCCATCCAGCGGCTCACACCCTCCTTCTCGAAAGTCCTTCTGGGTGTCAGCCTCAAATCTCTCATGCTGTGGCATTTCCCCTCCTTTGCCTCGTGGGTCTCTCACATGGCATAATTCCTTACCTTTCAACTTCCCAAGATGTATTGTCCCTATTGAAATTAAAAAACAACAGATAGGCTGGGCTCATTGGCTCACACCTGTAATCCCGGCATTTTGGGAGGCCGAGGTGAGCAGATCACTTGAGGTCAGGAGTTTGAGACCATTCTGGCCAACATGGAGAAACCTCATCTCTACTAAAAATGCAAAAATTGGCCTGGCACAGTGGCTCACGCCTGTAATCCCAGTACTTTGGGAGACCGAGGTGGGTGGATCACCTGAAGTTGGGAGTTCGAGATCAGCCTGACCAACATGGAGAAACCCATCTCTGCTAAACGTACAAAATTAGCTGGGCGTGGTGGCGCATGCCTGTAATCCAGCTACTCAGGAGGCTGAGGCAGGAAAATCGCTTGAACCCAGGGGGTGGAGGTTGCATTGAGCCGAGATCCCACAACTGCACTCCAGTCTGGACAACAAGAACGAAACTCCATCTCAAAAAAAAAAAAAAAAAAATGCAAAAATTGGCCCAGGCATGGTGGTGCATGCCTGTAATTCCAGCTTCTTGGGAGGTTGAGGCAAGAGAATCGCTTGAACCTGGGAGGCGGAGGTTACAGTGAGCCGAGATTGCACCACTGCACTCCAGCCTGGGTGACAGAGCGAGACTCCATCTCAAAAACAAAACAAAACAAAACCCCAACAACTGTGAGGGCCAGAAGGGACTGCCATGACCACCGCAGATCCATCACCTCAGGGGCAAACTGAGGCCAATAGAACAAAGGCCCACAGGACTGAGGACGGAGGCTAAGGACACTTTCCGCAGCCAGCCCTCCTGTTCCTGCCCTCGGGCCCTCTGAAAGTGAGAGCGAATATCAGCCTCTGCCCAGAGTCCCCAGCCCCACTCAGCAGCCACCCCTGGCTTCCACAGCGGAGGGCCCAGGGCTGTGGGGAGACTGGGCAGCTGTGGCAGCAAGGGCGGAGCCCCAGGGGGGACCTTATGTGGGGAGATCTCCTCTGGCCACATCCCTGAGAGGTGCTTCTGAGAGAAAGTGGGCGGCCTGGCTGCCCTGGAGTTGTGGGCTCAGCTCAGTTCAGCGGGTGGCTGGTGAGTGTTTCAGGATGACACGGCCTGTTCCCCTCTGTTCTGGCGCCTCAGGTGGTGTAGGGAGCAGGCAGGGCCTGACAGCCGGTGCACAGCCACAGCCCTGGCAGGAGACAGACCCTCTCTGAGGGAGCCTCCAGCCTGCAGAGAGCACACTGCTCCAACCTCAGGGACTCCAGAGTGAAGGGGGAGACACAGCCCCTGCCCTCAGGGAGCTCGAGGTGCACAGCACACAGCCTGGCCCCTTCCTTTAAGAATTCGTAAGTCATCACTCTCTTTGCGATGTGTTTAACACCCGCTTGTCCCTCACAGGCTGGGAGCTCTGTGAGATTCCTCATCTGGCCCGTTCATGGCTGTCCCTTGCACATGGGACAAGCCTGGCCTGTCACAGATGCTCACCCAAGCATTGAATTGAGAGGAGCGGGTCACAGTCACGCTCCTGGGGAGACTCCAGTTCTTTCCCTTCTGCAGCTGCAGTCAGTCGCCAGGAACTACCCATTTTCCTCCTCAACACAAACTTGGCCCCTTCTACCTGGGCTTCTGGGCCACCAGGCTTCAGGCCCGCACCATTCCCTAGGGCCGGCCTTGCCAACCCCTACTTCTCACAGTAGCCAGAGTGGCTCTCCAGAAACCCACATCTGAGACATCACTTCCTGGCCTCAAACCTTCCATGGTTCCCTAGTGCCCCAGGAGAACGCCCCAACTCTTTGCCTGGCATTCAGAGCCTGTCACCTCCGGCCTCACAGGGCCGCCCTACCACACCCAGCCTCACTTTCTCTTCCAATAGCCCAGAGCCCCTTTCTCCCTCTGCCTGCCCTGGCGACGAAGGGCCCCTTCTGTGTGCGCCTGCAACCCTGCATGTCTCAGCATTTGTCAGGGCTAGGAGGTCTTGGGGCAGGGCCTGGCACCCATTCACCTTTGAATCTGTCTCCCAACACATACCAGGACCCAGGCCCTGAGAGATGGGCAAACCCCATCTCTAAACCCCAGCCCTGACTGTGGCTGCCCCCTCCTCCTCCCCCCCAGGCCCCTGCTCACCCCCATTTTGATTTCCTTCCTGTCACTTGTCACATCTAGGATTACCACGTTTTGCTGATTTGCCTATGGGTTCAATGTCTGCCTCGCGCACAAGAGTGTGAATTCAAGATGGCTCAGATGTTGTTGTCCCCAGAGTGTGCTCAGTACCTGCTATTGTCATAAAGATAGCCAGAGGCAGCCGCCGAGCAGTCACCCTGTGTGGCAGGCATGGCCTCCTCTCGTCCTCTGAGTAGCCCGCATGGGGCTCCTATGCTCACTGTCATCCTGCAGATGGGGAAGCAGGGACTCAGAGACTTGTCCAGGCTTGGTTAGTGGGTGGGGACCTGTGACCAGGCTGCACCCATGGCTCTGTGCTGCCTCCAGAGCAGAGGCAACACCCTTGGGACATGGAGGTGCCTTGAGCTCCCTCCAGACCCTGCGATGGCCATGTCTCCTGCTCCTACTATTCCTAGACCTCCTGTTGGCCCACCTGGAGGCTGAGGGGAACTGGAGATCCAAGGGCAGGAGCCACTGGCCAGAAGGGGGCAGTCAGCAGCTGCCATAGCAGAGGACAGCAGTGACCAACACAGAGTAGGAGGGTCAGACAACAGGAAGAACTTCTAGACCCTGGCACCTTGGGGGCAAACCTGTCTTACCCATGTCTGTAAAAATGAGAGAATGAATGAACCTGTTCTTCAGGAAGCAAGGAAGGGGGAGCATGAGGCTGGAGGCAGGGGAATGGCAGCGATGAGTTCACAGGGGACTCCTTGGGGCCATGCTGGAAGAGAAAGGGTTAAGCCCACCCCCTGGCCAGCCTGCTTGCTCAGGCCCCTGCCCGTTGTATGCTTTGGCTCAGGGCAGCAGATCTGTTTGTCTGAGGTGTCCCCTGTGTGCCCTCCTTCCCCGGGCTATTGGCAGGCCTACTGTCCCACCGGCCAGGAGGCCAGCTGTGCAGCTGTCTGGGGCTGTGTCTGGGGCGATGGGGCGTGAGAACATCTGGGTGGGTGTGCAGAACAGTGAGGCAGTGGGGCGGGGGCCCCTGGGCCTGCTGAGTTGGGCACAGAGGGGTGACCCACCCCGGGGAGCACCCACAGCCTGCAGACACACGGCAATGCCCCTCTGGCTGGCCGCGTGCCTCTGAGTCCATGCAGGGGTTCGGGATTCTGGGGCTTTTCCTTCATGGTGGGTGAAATCAGGAGGAAGGTGCCAGGTTGGACTTGGGCACACAGGAGTGTGGGTGGCCTTTATTTTGAAAGAGGATAAGAATTAGGGACAAGGAGGTTGGTTCCAGACCTTATTTTCATGTGTGAGGGCCAGGAGGCACTCCCCTGTCCTTTTCTGTTTTCTCTGCCGTGGTTCGTGGGGCGATGTGATATATGGGTCACCACCACGGCTTGGCTGCCTCCTTCCACCACATCCCCTCCCATCCGGGCCTCTGTGGACTTGCCAGACTAGGTCAGATCCTTGGTTCCTTGCTCTTGCAATACCCTGTCCTCTCCTAGTTCACACTGCAGATGTAATTGATGACTTGGTTTGTCTGTCCCGATTCGTCTCTAAAATCCCTGAGGTCCCCTCTCTGCTGATTCAGTATTGCATTCCCAGCCCCAAACACAGTGTCCGGCTTATAGTGGGAGCTCAATATAGAGAAGGAAACGGGATTCTCAGGAGGCGTCCATAACAAGATGTTATCATGTCCCCCACCCACAGGCACACGTGGCTCCCCATTGCCCCCAGCCTGACATTCCCAGTGCTCCCCCAGCTGCCTGCCAGTCTGATCTGTCTGTCTAAAGCCCTGCAGTCAACAGCCACATTGTTCCCCAAATCCACTTTGCTTAAGCCGCCCCTTAGCTGGAGCTGTCCTTTCCTCTCCCCACCCCCCATCCTGGCTGCCCGCAAACTGCCACCAGCCCTGGCTCAAAGTACCCCTCTGCTTAGACACTTTCCTGGTTTCCTCTAAGGATCTAAAGTGGCTTCTTTATGTGGAGTTAGCCTCCCCGATAAGGATGGGGGTCTCAGGCCTGCACACCCCCAGCATGCCTGGTGCACCTTCCACAGCCCTCTGTGAAGTCAAAGTTGAAGAAAGAAAGGGTCCCCCCTGCCCCCCTCCCTGGACTATTGGCAGGCTCGCTGACTCACGGAGACCGAGATGGCAGAAGTCTGCAGAAGGAGGAGATGTAGTGATGTGAGAAAAGGTGGGATGGTGGCAGAGGCAACCTAAGGTGACCCCAGTGAGTGATGCTCTCGCAGATTCCCCTCCCCCGGGCGCAGGCAGGATCGGCAACCTGCTTTCAGCCAATAGAACACGGCAAAGGTGAAGGGGCTTTGCAGATGTAATTAAGGTCCCAAACTGGTTGATTTTGATTTATCAAAAGGGAGATTACCTTGGGTGGGCCTGATGTAATCAAGTGAAAGCTCTTAAAAGAGGGACTGAGGCCCTCCCTGAGGTCAGAGAGAGCCTCCTGCTGGCCTTGAAGATGTGTCCTGCCCTGCACTGAGGGGGCCTGGGTGAGGGCCAGTGGCAGGGACTGTGGGCGGCCTCTGGAGCTGAGAGCAGCCACTGGCTGCCGGTTGGAAAACCGGAACCTCAGCCCTAGGGCCGCAAGAACTGAAGGCTGCCAACAACCGTGTGACCTTGGAAGAGGCCCATGAGGAAAGGTAGCCCAGCCGACACCTGGACTGTGAGACCCTGGGTAGAGGACCTGCACCCAGGCTCCTGGCCCGCGAAACCTCTGAGGTGGTAAATGTGTGTTGTTTTAAGCTGCTGAATGTGTGGTAACAGAGACAGCAACAGGTACAGGTGGGTTTAGAACAACCAGCCTCAGAGGTGATGGAGGGAAGGGTCATGGTGTGTGAGAGCCCTGGAGAACAGGAAGGTGACTTCAGGCCTTCGCACTCCCACCTGCCCCCGGGTTTACCCAGCCCCACCTCCACCCAGCTCACCACCTCTTCTCGCCTGGAATATTGTGAGGGGCACAAGGTTTGGGGGTCTCAGTCTCTGGTTCTCCTTGAATTCTGACCAAAGTTGGGATAATGCTAATCCTATCCCAAACACATGCCCAACCCTAACTCCAACTGTAAGGCCCCAAATTACCATAGAGGCAGGTGAAACACGGATTCCCACTGTCGCCACCCCCTTCCAGAGCCCTGGCGTCAGCCTGTGGCCAGACAGCCCCGAGCAGACAGCTGCCGCCCCCTCGGCTCTTCTCCTGTTGTTGTGACCAGGCAGGCCGCGGGGAAGAGTTCACAGCCTCCATGGCAGCAGCAGCTGGGGCTCCAGATGTGAGGGAGCCCAAGCTTGGGGATGGTGTTACACCCAAGTGGCTGTTCAGCTTTCCCGGAGGGGTGGGGGTGTCTGGGAATGGGGAATCTGGGGAGTGGCCTATTTTTCTACTCTACCCTCACCCCCGGTTCTGCTCCTAGGCCCCCTCCTGGGTGTGGATAATTTGGAATCAGTTAAAAGGGAGTCTTGATGCGTGGATTTGGGTCCCCAAACTGCCACCTCCTTTGGCTCTTTCCTGACCCTGAAGAGAACCTGACCCGGATGTACCAAGACCTTGCCGGAAGCCTCTAGCCAGAGCAGCTGGTGAGAGGAGCCTGACCCCCTCTCCAACCCCTTCCTTTTGTCCATAGTGAATACACCAGGATTTGGTTTCTCCACTGACCCCCCCACCCCACTAGCCTCTGGCCCAGGGCTCCCATCCATCCTGTCTCCCCCGGGCCTCTCCAGGATGCAGACAAAGACAGCATCTCAGGTTCCCTTGTCTGGGCGCCCGCCCTTTGATCTGCCCCCTCTTCCTTCCCTGGGGGGTCCTGGGGTGCCCTGGGGAAGCTCCATCCAGGGACAGGCACCCAGAGATAAGATCTGGGATGGGAAGGAGCCCAGAGCACAGGGGACTTTAAAGGGCTGCCGACAGAACCCCCTTCACCAAGCTTGCCTCTGCCTGCCTGCTGAGGCCCCTCCCCTCCCCCACCTGCTTGTTGTTCTCTCCCCAGGCCCTGGACTCCCACTGGGACACTGACTGGGAGATTCTTAGAGCACTGAACGATTGGCCCTCCACCTTCCCAGCGGCTCTTTGGGAAAAGATGCCCATTGCATGAAGCGGGGCCTCTCAAGGAGGAGCCCCAGGTCACCTGTTGCAACAGAATCGCCTGGGAGCTCCAAGGCCCAGCCCCAACCCATACCCAATGAGTCTGAATCTCCAGGAGGTGCCCAGACATCTGCACATCCAGCAGGTTCCCAGCTTCACATTGTAAGGCTCCACCTCTTTCCACCCCCAGGATCTTCAGGGGCACAGTAAAGTGTCCACCATGAGCTGCCTTCACCCCAGCCCTTGGGACCATGTGGGGACCGGGTGGGAACTCTGGGCTCCTGTGACACTCAGACCAAGCCCCTCACATTGCAGGGGCCCTGCTCAGCATCCTGGAGGGGAGCAACCCTTCTGGGACCAGGAAAACCCAATTTTGTCCTCCATTTCTGTTCCTCCTGGGGGCTGTGAACCTCAGGCAGGGTCCCTCGGTCTGGGTCCCGTATGAACTCCTCTTCACCTTTCTGGCCAGGTTATCAGAATGGGCAGGGTTGTAAGTGGTTCAGAGTTTGAGCTCTGGGGTCAGGCGGAGCCGAGTTCAGCCTTGGCACATTCCCCTGCACCAGCCCGTGCCCTGGGGTGAACCCCTGGGCTCCCTTGGCCTCTTCTCAGCTCCTCACTGTGTCCCACCCCTCTGCCATCTCCTCTTCTCCCCTCCAGCTATGGGACGATCTGTCCCGAGTTCACTTTCTTCTTTTCTATTTCCTACTCCCATGTCCCCAAACACATCCCGCCCTACAGTTCCCCACCTCCAGGCCCTGCACGGGCCCTTTGCTCTGTTTGGCATGCTCCTGCCCTCCTGCATCCTGGCAGTCTAAACTTTAAGTGAGACCTGCATGGAGCAGGGAGACTGGCCAGAAGTCTTAATTAACTTCAAAATTTAAAGCTGGAAGAGAGGGATATGATTTGGCTCTGTGTCCCCACCCAAATCTGATGTCGAATTGTAATTCCCAATGTTGGGGGAGGGACCTGGTGGGAGGTGATTGGATCGTGGGGGCAGATTCCCCCCCTTCGTGTTCTTGTGATAGTGAGTGAGTTCTCATGAGATCTGTTTGCTTAAAAGTGTGTAGCATCTCCCCCTTTGCTCTCTCTCTCCTGCTGCTATGTGAAGATGTGGTTGCTTCCCCTTCACCTACCACCATGGTTATGTTTCCTGAGGCCTCCCAGCCATGCTTCCTGCATAGCCTGTGGAACTGTGAGTCAATTAAATCTGTTTTCTTCATAAATTACCCAGCCTCAGGTAGTTCTTTATGGTAGTGTGAGAACAGACTAACACAGAGAGTTTTAAATTCTTTAGTTGTAGGCCTTTGCCCAGGATGGAGTAGCAGGGACTGTATTTCCTTCCCCTTCAAAACTTTCAGACAGCTGGAGAGGATATATGGAACATCAGTTTCAAGGTACTGGACATCAGGCAATGAAGGAAAGAAATTCTTGAGAGACAGAAAACAAGTGAGCTGAGCCCTAAGATTTCTCCAGCTTCCTGCCTAGAGAGTTATCAGGCTGTGGCACAGGGAGAAAGAACTGGGCAGAGCCTGGGGGACTTTCTGGAAGGAAGAGATGGAGGTGAGAGTCCAAGGAGAGACCAAGGGGACTAGAGTCAGCAAGACAGAGTGCTGGAGAGGAGACAACTGCTCAGAGGGCAACTCCCAGATCTGCAGAAAGGGCTGCCTTGAGTATCAGGCAGAGTACTAATCAGTGCATGTGTGTGAGGTAAAGATAGATAAACAGATCAATGTAACAAAGTAGAGAATCCAGAAATAGACCCACATGTACATGGGCAACTAATTTTTGACAAAGGTGCAAAGGGAATTCAGTGGAGAAAGGATAGTCTTTTCAACAAATGGTGCTGGAACAATTGGATATTCACATGTAAAAAACCTGATCCCGTAGGGCGCGGTGACTCACGCCTGTAATCCCAGCACTTTGGGAGGCCGAGGTAGGCAGATCACCTAAAGTCAGGAATTTGAGACCAGCCTGGGCAACATGGTGAAACCCCGTCTCTACTAAAAATATAAAAATTAGCCAGGCGTGGTGGCATGTCCTGTAATCCCAGCTACTCAGGAGGCTGAGGCAGGAAAATCGCTTGAACCCAGGAGGCGGAGGTTGCAGTGAGCTGAGGTCGTGCCATTGCACTCCAGCCTGGGCAACAAAAGTGAAACTCTGTCTTAAAAAAAAAAAAAAAATTAGCTGGGCGTGGTAGCACATGCCTGTACTCCAAGCTCCTTGGAAGGCTGAGGCAGGAAAATTGCTCGAACTCAGGAGGCGGAGGTTGCAGTGAGCCGAGATCATGCCACTGCACTCCAGCCTGGGTGACAAGAGCGAGACTCTATCTCAAACAAAACAAAACAAAACAAAACAAAACAAAACAAAACAAAACCTGAACTGTGTATCTCACCATATATGAAAATTAACTCAAAATTTGTCATAGGCCAAATGTAAAATTTAAAATTATAAAACTTCCAGAAGAAAACCTAAGAGGAAATATATTTGGCCTTGGGCTAGGCAAAGGTTTCTTAAATATGACAACAAAACCAGGAATTCATAAAAGAACAAGTTGATAAATTGGACTTCATCAAAATAAAAATCTTTTCAAAAGACACTGTTAAGAAAATGAAGAGAAGCCACAGATTGCAAAAAAAATTTGCAAAACACATTTCTGAAAAAGGACTTGTATCCAAAATATACAAATAACTCTTAAAACTCAACAATATAAAAACATACCAACCCACTTAAAAAATCAGCAAAAAATCTGAACAGACATCTCCCCAAAGAAGATACACAGATGGCAAATTAACATTTGATGTTCCATGTCATATTTCATCAGGGAATTGAAAATTAAAACAAAAGCCAAAACAAAAAATGTGATATCACTACACACCTATCAAAATGGCTACAATTTAAAATACTAACAATATCAATTGGTTGACAAAGATATGAGGCAATAGGGACTGTCATTCATTGTTAGTGGGAATGCAAAATGGTACAGAACACTGGAAGGCAGTTTGGAAGTTTCACATAAGGCTAAATATACGATCCAACCATCCCACTCCTGAGTATTTACCCAACTGATTTGAAAACTATGTCTACACAAACACATGCATGCAAGTGTTTTCAGCAGCTTGATTTATAATTGCCCAAAACTGGAAGCAACCAAGATGGTCAACAGGTAAATGGATAAACAAACTGTGAACATCCATTCAGAGAATATTATTCAGTGATAAAAGAAAAGATATGGATGGCCGGGGGCCGTGGCTCACACCTGTAATCCCAGCACTTTGGGAGGCTGAGGCGGGCTGATCACGAGGTCAGGAGCTCGAGACCAGCCTGGCCAACATGGTGAAACCCCATCTCTACTAAAAATACAAAAATTAGCTGGGTGTAGTGGCAGGCGCCTATAATCCTAGCTACTCGGGAGGCTGAGGGAGAAGACTTGCTTGAATCCAGGGAAGTGGAGGTTGCAGTGAGCTGAGATTGTGCTACTGCACTCCAGCCTGGGGGACACAGCAAGACTCCATCTCAAAAAAAAAAAAGAAAAAAAGATATGGATGAATCTTAGATGCATATTTCTAAGTGAAATAAGCCAGCCTAAAAAGGCTACCTATTGTATAAGTCCAATTACATGTTTCTATAAAGGCAAAACTATAGTGATGGTAAAAAGATGAGTGGTTAAAAGGAGTTTGTGGGGTAGGGAGGAAGGATTGAATAGATGAAGCAGATGAAGCACATGGATTTTTTTTTTAGGATGGTGAAAACTATTCTATATGATACTGTAATGATGTAAATATGATGTTATACATTTGTCAAAAACCCTAGAACTTTACAGCACAAAGAGCAAATCATAATGTATGCAAATTTTAAAAATCATTTAGAAGGTTGGGGGATCTCAGAAGAGAATGCAGAATGTGTCAATACAATCTATCACAAATGTATAAAACAACCTCACTAAAGGAGGTGGGGGTAAAGGTGCTGACCCAAGTCACTTTGGAAATATGTAGAGTCTGTAAGACTAAAGTCAAAAGAAATTTTACATAAGCACTGTACTCTAGTTGATAAAGTTATTTCCCACAGAGGTAAAGGTTAACAATTCTGTTACTGCTATATGTGTGTACTGAAATTAAACAATTAAGAAGGCTGGGGATGGTGGTCACTCCTGTAACTCCAGCACTTTGGGAGGCTGAGGCAGGTAGATCACTTGAGGCCAAGAGTCACTTGTGACCAGCCTGGCCAACATGGAGAAACCCATCTTTACTAAAAATACAAAAATTAGCCAGGTGTGGTGGCGGGCATCTGTAGTCTCAGCTATTCAGGAGGCTGAGGCAGGAGGATCACTTGAACTTGGGAGGCAGAGGTTGCAGTACACTGAGATCACGCCACTACACTCCAGCCTGGGTGACAGAGCGAGACTCTGTCTCAAAAACAAACAAACAAACAAACAAACAAACAACAACAAAAAAACCCCAAAACAATTCAGTAAATGGATGGTTGATGGGAGGAGCCAGATTTCTCTCTATGTAGGAGGTTACAGGAGGTTACAAGAAAGCAGGGGAGGTCACAGGAAAGCAAGGAGAGAAGGCAAGAATGATAGAATGATCTATGGATCAGAATTGGAGACATCAGTACAAACTCATGTTTAGTTGGCTTATTTATTTATTTTTTTCAAGACAAGACCTCACTCCATCACCCAAGCTGGAGTACAGTGGTGTGATCTCAGCTCACTACAGCCTTGACTTCCTGGAATCAGGTGGTCCTCCCACTTTAGCTTCCGAGGTAGCTGGAACTATAGGCACACGCCACCACACCCAGCTAATTTTTTTGTATTTTTAGTAGAGATGGGGTTTCACCCTGTTGTGCAGGCTGGTCTCAAACTCCTGGGCTCAAGCGATTCTCCTGCCTTGGCCTCTCAAAGTGCTGGGATTGTAGGTGTGAGCCACCATGCCTGGCCCCATGTTTAGCTTAATACAGATAAAGATGGTTACATATAGAAATATTTATAGATTCATCTATACATGGGTTAGCACACATATATATGTATACGTATATATGTATATGTGTGTGTGTGTGTGTGTGTGTGTGTGTGTGTGTGTGTGTATATATATATATATATTTCCTTGCTCTGTCAGATGAGAAGGCCTAAAGCAACCACATCCTATTAAAAATGATCACATCTCATGCCCAGCTCTTGGGATCTAATAATAATTCCAACAAAAGAAACCAGGAATCTGGCCAGGTGAGGTTGCTCACGCTTGTAATCCCAGCATTTTGGGAGCCCGAGGTGGGTGGATCATGAGGTTAGGAGTTCGAGACCAGCCTGGCCAACATGGTGAAACCCCAACTCTACTAAAAATACAAAATTAGCCGGGCGTGGTGGTGCATGCCTGTAATCCCAGCTACTCACGAGGCTGAGGCAGGAGAATTGCTTGAACCAAGTAGGCGGAGGTTGCAGTGAGCCGAGATCGCACCACTGCACTTCATTCAGCCTGGCGACAGAGAGACACTCTGCCTCAAAAAAAAAAAAAAAAAAAAAGAAAGAAAAGAAAGAAAAAATACATTATATACAGACATACCTCGCTAAATTATGCTTCACTTTATTGCACTTCCCAGATATATTTTTTTAAAACAAATTGAAGGTTTGTGGCAACCCTGTATAGACCAAGTCTATTGGTACCATTTTTCTAACAGAATGTGCTTACTTTAGGGAATAATCTGAGCAACAAAATAAATTAAGTGATATTGGATTATAATACAAAGTATGAAAGTATGTCTCTATGTCATATTTTGGTAATTCTTACAGTATTTCAAACTTTTTCATTACTATCGTATCTGTTATAGTGCTCTATGCCTAGTGATTTTTGATGCCACTATTGTTTTGGGGAGCCATGAGTCTCACCTATATAAGATGATGAACTTAATCAACAAATGTTGCACGTGTTCTGACAGCTGCACCAACTGGTCTTACCCCCAACTCTTCCCCTCTTCTTGGACCTCTCTATTCCCCAAGACAGGACAATATTGAAATTGAGCCAGTTAATAACCCTACAATGGACCTGAAGTGTTCAAGTGAAAGAGTCTCTCATTTCTCACTATAAATCAAAAGCTAGAAATAATGGAGTGTAGCGAGGACAGCATGTCAAAGCCAAGCCAGGCCAAAAGCTGGGCCTCTTGTGCCAAACAGCCAAGTTGTAAGTGTAAAGGAAAAGTTCTTGAAGGAAATTAAAAGTGCTACTCCAGTGAACACATGAAGGCAAAACAGGCCCCAAATCTGTTCAATCCTGTGAATGCTGAGAAAGGTGAGGAAGCTGCTGAAGAAAAGTTGGAAGCCAGCAGAGTTTGGTTTAAGAGGTGTAAGGAAAGAAGCCATCTCCATCACATAAAATTGTAAGGTGAAGCAGGAAGTGCTGATGCGGAAGTTGCAGCAAGTTATCCAGAAGATCTAGCTAAGGTCATCAGTGAAGGTGGCTACACTCAACAACAGATTTCCAGTGTAGATGAAACAGCCTTCTTTCGGAAGAAGATGCCATCCAGGACTTCCATAGTTGTAGATGAGAAGTCAATGTCTAGGTTCAAAGCTTCAAAGGAAAGGCTGACTCTCTGGATAGGAACTGTGCAGCTGGTGACTTGAAGTTGAGACCAATGTTCATTTATCATTCTGAAAATCGTAGGCCCCTCAAGAATGATGCTAAATCTGCTCTGCCTGTGCTCTATAAATGGAACAATAGAGCCTGGATGGCATCTCATCTGTTTTCAGCATGGTTTACTGAATATTTTAAGTCCATCGTTGAGGTCTACTGCTCATAAAACTGTTGTTTTTATGCCTGCTAACACAACAACAACCATTCTGTAGCCCCATAGATCAAGGAGTAATTTTGACTTTCAAGTCTTATTATTGAGGAAGGGCATTTCATAATGCTATGGCTGCCAGAGATGGTGATTTCTCTAATGGAGATGGGCAAAGTAAATTGAAAGTCTTCTGGAAAGGATTTGCCACTCTAGATGCCATTAAGAACATTCATGATTCATGGGAGGAGGTGAAAATATCAACATTAACAGGAGTTTGGAAGAAGTTGATTCCAAGCCTCACAGATGACTTTGAGGGGTTTAACACTTCAGTGGAGGAAGTCACTGCAGATGTGGTGGAAATAGCAAAAGAACTAGAATTGAAGTAGAGCTGAAGATATTACTGAAATGCTACATGTTATAATAAAACTTGAATGCTTCTTCTGGATGAGCAAAGAAAATGGTTTCTTGAGATGGAACCTATTACCAGTGAAGATGCAATGAACATTTTTGAAATGACAACAAAATATTTAGAATATTCCATAAACTTAGTTGATAAAGGAGTGGTAGGGTTTGAGAGGACCGACTCCAATTTTGAGAGAAGTTTTTTTTTTTTTTAATTCTAGAACTACAAAATTTAATTCAAGAAAATATAGGTCCCATGAAAGACTTAAAAGTTTTATAAAGCTAAAATCTAGTTTTTCCCGATAAATTGTACTTTAGACAAAACCCTCCCAACGCTTCTAAAATAATACTAAAAGGGGCATCTGATTATACAAGAGCAATTTAAAAAATTAAATATTTATTTGAATAACAAGTTTAAGTTCAAGCTGCAATGCTGGCAATGCAGGTTTTTAACACAGATCACAAAAAGCGTGCACAAAAAAGTACTGACGCAAAGGACAAAATAATGCTAAGAATTAGGCCAAATAGCTGCTGATTTTAAGAAAACAAAAGGCCTGAAATCACTATACAAAATAGAAAATGTATTAAACACTACCATCCACAGAACAGTCTTCACTATTGATTATATTTAAAAATTATTTGTGTAATTATATATTGAATTGTAAATGAGTATTATACATGAACCTCCATTCGGAAGGCAATTCCTTGTAGCACTATAGAACATCTAATTACATTGCAAAAAGTATCCTTTTTTTGCTATCGATAAAACAGTTAATGGTATTACTGTAAATATCAGGAAGGCTACAAAAAAAGAAATAAGATTTCTTTTTTGTCTTCAAAGTGTTTTCCATGCAGTGAAGCACTTGCTGTGTTGAACTGAATGCACTACTGGAGAATGTTCTGGGTCCGAGATGCTCTTGAGAGACAAGACTAGGCTTTTCAAATCAAACACTCAAAGGAATCATGCAACCCTCTTATGACTGGGATACCGTCATGTGCCACTTACCAGTGCTGTCTCTCCAGAAAACCATTCAAGACGCTTAAAAAAAAAATCAGACTTATATGATAAATATACATAAAATGAAGACACCAACTGCTATTTGACACGACTACTGGTAATGTCTGTGCTATGGGAAAGCACCTTTAAAAAGAGCCTATGCGGCAGAGAGAAGTTTTACTATAGGTAAAATGCTGTTAAACAGCGTCACGTACTACAGAAACATCAAGAGTCAATCAATGCGGCAAACTTAATTGTCTTATGTTAATAAATTGCCATGGCCACTGCAACCTTCAGCAACCACCATCCTGACTAGTCAGCAGTCATCAACATAGAGACAAGACCCTCCACCAGCAGAAAGATTACAGCTCTCAGAAGGCTCAGATATCATTAGCATTTTTAGCAATGAAGTATATTTAAATTGTTATGTACATTGTTTTCTTTCTCTGTCTCTCTCTTTCTTTCTTTCTTTTTCTGACAGTGTCTCACTCTGTCGCCCAGGCTCAGGCTGGAGGGCAATGTTGTGATCTTGGCTCACTGCAACCTCTGCCTCCCAGGTTCAAGCGATTCTTGTGCCTCAGCCTTCCCAGTAGCTGGGATTACAGGCGCCTGCCACCACACCCAGCTAATTTTTGTATTTTTTTGGTGGAGACAGGGTTTCACCACGTTTACTAGGCTGGTATCAGACTCCTGGCCTCAAGTGATTCGCCCACCTCAGACTCCCAAAGTGCTGGTAATACGTGTGAGCCACTGTGCCTGGCCCCATTCATATAAAACTTTAGAAAATAGAAATTAACCTGGCCGGGTGCGGTGGCTCACGCCTGTAATCCCAGCACTTTGGGAGGCTAAGGCGGGCGGATCACGAGGTCAGGAGATCGAGGCCATCCTGGCTAACATGGTGAAAACCTGTCTTTACTGAAAATACAAAAAAAATTAGCCGGGCATGGTGACGGGCACCTGTAGCCCCAGCTACTCGGGAGGCTGAGGCAGCAGAATGGCATAAACCCGGGAGGCGGAGCTTGCAGTGAGCGGAGGTGTGCCACTGCACTCCAGCCTGGGCGACAGAGCGAGACTCTATCTCAAAAAAAAGAAAATAGAAATTAACCTGTAGTAACAGAAAGCAGATCAGAGTTGTAGGGGGAGAGAACAGATTACAAAGCACGTGAGGAACCTTTTGGGGATAATGGATATGTTCACTATCCTGATTATGGTGAGTTTCATTAAGTGTATACTCATGTCAAAACGATCAAGTTGCACACTTAAAATATGTGCAGTTGCCGGGCGCGGTGGCTCATGCCTGTAATCCCAGCACTTTGGGAGGCCGAGGCAGGCAGATCACGAGGTCATGAGATCGAGACCATCCTGGATAACACGGTGAAACCCCGTCTCTACTAAAAATACAAAAAAATAGCCGGGTGTGGTGGCAGGCGCCTGTAGTCCCAGCTACTCGGGAGGCTGAGGCAGGAGAATGACGTGAACCCGGGAGGCGGAGTTTGCAGTGAGCTGAGATCGCGCCACAGCACTCCAGCCTGGGCGACAGAGCGAGGCTCCGTCCCCCGCCCCCCCCCCCAAAAAAAGTGCAGTTTATTATATGTTATTTGTATCTCAATAAAGAAAATATATCTGGAAAGAAAACTCAAAAAATCCTTTAGTTGACTTAAAAAAAAAAAAAAAAAAAAAAAACCAGGGTCTTACTCTGTCGCCCAGGCTGGAGTGCAGGGGAGTGATTTCGGCTCACTGCAATCTCTGCCTCCTGGGCTCAGGGCTCATGCCATCCTCCCACCTTAGCCTCCCAAGTAGCTGGAACTACAGGCACAAGCGACCATGCCTGGCTAATTTTTGTATTTGTAAAGACAGGGTTTCACTATGTTGCCCAAGCTGGTCTTGAACTCCCGAGCTCAAGTGATCCCCCAACCTCAGCCTCCTAAAGTGTTGGGATTACAGGTGTGAGCCATCGCACCCAGCTGAAACTTTTAATTAAAACAATTTATTTAAACAGTTTTGTTTTAACTAAGTAATAAGTGCATATGACTAGAAAATTAAATAGCCCCGAAGGGAGGAGAGTGAAAAACAACTTCTCCCTGTCCCATCTAGGGTCCTGCTCCCCAGGGAACCCTTTTAACCATTTTTATTTCTATTCTGGTTATTGCCTTCTTACCTCTAATTTCTATACCTTATTTATTATTTACTTCTCTTCCTTGTCTTATCACCTTTAGACATCATTGATTGATTGCCTTTTAGGACTGATGAGGATTTAGCTTTCAACCTCCCAATTTCTCATCTCCTTCCAAATATGGTTACACTCCACTGTTCTCAGACCTTCTGCTCCTCTTCACCCCTGCAGCATCAAGCATCACTTTTTAAAACTTTTATTTCCTTTCCTTTCTTTCTTTCTTTTTTTTTTTTTTTTTTTTGAGACAAACTTTCACTCTTTCACCCAGGCTGAAGTGAAGTGGTGCGATCTTGGCTCACTGCAACCCCCGACCCCCAAGTTCAAGCAATTCCCCTGCCTCAGCCTCCCGAGTAGCTGGGATTGTAGGTGCCCACCACCATGCCCAGCTAATTTTTGTATTTTTAGTAGAGACGGGGTTTCGCCACGTTGGGCAGGCTGGTCTTGAACTCCTGACCTCAGGTGATCCACATTTCTCGGCCTCCCAAAGTGCTAGGATTACAGTTGTGAGCCACCGCGGCTGGCCAGAACTTCTATTTCTTGTTCAGCCCACCATAGATGAGCTCTGATTCTCCACTTTGGAGGTGAAGACATTGGTCCCCATCCCCTTTCTTCTAGGATGTAACCATAGACAAGTCTTCTATGATTTGCCTAAAAGTTGATCCTTGTTAAAATAAAACATAACAGCATTTGACCATGTAAATATTGTTCACTGTGAAGCCAAGTGGTGTACAACATGGCTGTCGCAACCAATCGTCACCATTTTACAGATGCGGAAACTGAGATCAGAGGTTCAGTGTCTTGGTAAAGGTCACATAGATGGTGAGTGGTAGGGATGCAACAAGCTTCCACTCTCCTAGAACCAAGCTTCCAGATTCTTAGTTACCCTGTCGGGGGGAAGACCTGAACCAAGGCAGTTGCCATTTGGTTTGCAATTATGGGTAGGGGAGAAGTGGAGTCACTGGTAACCAAGATTTTAAGCCTGTGTGGGTACAAGTGTCAGCAATTAAGAACAGAGAACCTGACCAGCCTGGGCAATGTGGAAAAACTCTGTCTCCACAAAGAATACAAAAATCAGCTGGGCACTGTGGTGCACACCTGTAATGCCAGCTACTCAGGAGGCTGAGGTGGGAGGACAACTTAAGCCCAGGAGACAGAGGTTGCAGTGAGCTGAGACTGTGCCACTGCACTCCAGCCTGGGTGATAGAAGGGGACCTTGTATCAAAAAACGAAACAGGCTAGGCACGATGGCTCACGCCTATAATCCCAGCACTTTGGGAGGCCGAGGCGGGCAGATCACTAGAGGTCAGGAGTTCAAGACCAGCCTAGTCAGCCTGGTGAAACCCTGCCTCTACTAATAAAAAATGCAAACATTAGCTCGGCTTGGTGGCACACGCCTGTAGTCCCAGCTACTTGCGAGGCTGAGGTATGATAATTGCTTGAACCCGGGAGGCAGAGGTTGCAGTGAGCCGAGATTGCGCCAGTGCACTCCAGCCTGGGTGACAGAGCAAAACTCTGTCTCAAAAAAACCCCCCAAAACCAAGACAAAAAGCAAAAAAACAAAACAAAACGAAAAACAAAACAAAAAAACCAGAACACTAATAGGCAATCTAAATAGACCTGTATCTATTAAAGAAATTGAATCAATAACCAATATCTTCCCGAACAGAAGGCACCAGCCCCAGATGGGTTCACTGGTGAATTTTACCAAACATTCAAGGAAGAAATTATGCCAGTTATCTACAGTGTCTTTCAGAAGTTAAAAGCAGAGGGAATGATTTCCCACTCATTCTATGAGGCCAGCATTACCCTAATGCCAAAACCGGACAAACACATTACAAGAAAATAAAACTACAGACCGATATCTCTCATGAACATAAATGCAAAAGTCCTCAGCAATATACTAGCAAATCGAAGCCAACAATGCATGAAAGTAATTATACACTACAACCAAGTGGGATTTATCCCAGAGATGCAAGCCTGGTTCAACATTTGAAAATCAGTTAATGTAATCCATCACATTAGCAGGCTAAGAAAAAAACACACAAGATTCTATAAATAAATGCCAAGAAATCATTTGACAAAATCCAACACCTGTTCATGATAATGATAAAAAGTCTCAGCCAGGTGCAGTCGTTCACGCCTGTAATCCCAGCACTTTGGGAGGCTGAGGTGGGTGGATCACAAGGTCAGGAGTTCAAGAACAGCCTGGCCAACATGGTGAAACCCCGTCTCTACTAAAAATACAGAAATTAGCCAGGCGTGGTGGCACGCACCTGTAGTCCCAGCTACTCGGGAGGCTGAGGCAGGGGAATCGTTTGAACCAGGCAGGCAGAGGTTGCAGTGAGCTGAGATCACACCACTGCACTCCAGCCTGGGCGAGAGAATGAGATTCCATCCTGAAAACAAAACAAAAAAAAGCTACAGTAATCAAGACAGTATGGTAGTGGCAAAAGAGTGGACAAATAGATCAATGGAACAGAATACAGAGCCTAGAAAAAGACCCACATAAACACTTCAACAAAGGAACAAGGGAATACAGTACAGCAAATTAGTCTTTTCAACAACTAGTGCTAGAGCAACTGGACATCCACATGTGAAAAATGAATCCAGACACAGACCATACATCCTTCACAAAATTAACTCAAAATAGACCATAAACTTAGGCTTGCGCCTGTAATCCCAGCACTTTGGGAGGCCAAGGCAAGTGGATTACTTGAGGTTAGGGGTTTGAGACCAGCCTGGCCAACATGGTGAAACCCTGTCTCTACTAAAAATACAAAAACAATTAGCTGGGCGTGGTGGTGCCTGCCTGTAATCCCAGCTACTTGAGAGGCTCAGGCAGGAGAATTGCTTGAATCCGGGAGGTGGAGGTTTCAGTAAGCCAAGATCACACTACTGCACTCCAGCCTGGGCGACAGAGTGAGACTCTGTCAAAAACAAAACAAAATGAAACAAAACAAAAACCATAAACTTAAATGTAAAACACAAAATTATAAAACTTTTAGATGATAATATAGGAGAAAACCAAATTGACCTTGGATATGGCACTTAGATATGGCAATGACTTTTTAGATATAACACAGAAGCCATGATCAATGAAAGAAATAATTGATAAGCTGGACTTCATTAAAATGAAAAACTTCTGCTCTGCAAAAGACAATGTCAAGAGAATGAGAACACAAGCCACAAACTGGGAGAAAATATTTGCAAAAGACACACCTGATAAAGGACTGTTATCCAAAATATCTGAAGAACTCTTACAACGCAACAAGAAAATGAACAACCCAATTAAAAATAAATGAGGCTGGGCGCAGTGTCTCACGCTTGTAATCCCAGCACTTTGGGAGGCTGACGCAGGTGGATCATGAGGTCAGGAGTTCGAGACCAGCCTGTCCAACATAGTGAAACCCCGTCTTTACTAAAAATACAAAAGAAAATTAGCCAGGTGTGGTGGCACGTGCCTGTAATCCCAGCTACTTGGGAGGCTGAGGCGGGAGAATTGCTTGAACCTGGGAGGCCGAGCTTGCAGTGAGCCAAGACCACGCCATTGCACTCCAGCCTGGGTGACAGAGTGAGACTCCATCTCAAATAAAAAAAGAAAAAAGAAAGACCTGAATAGACACCTCACCAAAGAAGGTATACAAATGGCAAGTAAGCATATGAAAAGATATTTAACATCGTATGTCATTAGGGAATTGCAAATTAATATGACAATGACATGCCACTACATACCTATTAGAATGGCCAAAATCCAAAACACTGACAATGCCAAACACTGATGAGGATGTGGAACAGCAGGAACTCTCATTCACTGCTGGTGGGAATGCAAAATGATACAGCCACCTTGGAAGACAGTTTGGCAGTTTCTTACAAAACTAAACACACTCTTACCGTACTATCCAGCAGTTGTACTACTTCGTTTTCCAAATGAATGGAAAAGTCATGTCCACAAACCTGCACATAGATATTGGATATTTAGAGCAGCCTTTTTTTTTTTTTCTTAATTGCCAAAATGTGGAAGTAACCAAGATATTTTCAGGAGGTGAACAGATAATAAATAAACTATGGTACATCCAGACAATGGAGCATTATTCATTGCTAAAATGAAATTAACTATCAAGCCATGAAAAAACATGGAGGAAACCTAAATGTATATTACTAAAGTGAAAAAAGCCAATCTGAAGAAGCTACATACTATATATTGCAACTATATGACACTGTAGAAAAGGCAAACTGTGGAGACAATAAAAGGATCAGTGATCGCCAGGGGGTTGGCGGAGGGGAGGATGAAGAGGTAGAACATAGAGGATTTTTAGGGCAGTGAAATTGTTCTGTATGATACTGCAATGGGATATACAACTCATTATACATTTGTCAAAATCCATAGAATGTACAATACTTAGAGTGAACCCTAATGTAAACTCTGCACTTTAGAGGATAATGATGTGTCAATGGAGGTTCATTGATTGCAACAAATGTCAACAGTGGGGAAGGCTGTGTGTGTGCATGGAGGGGTGCACAGAGGCAGTGTATGGGAACTCTGTACTTTCTGCTCAATTTTACTGTTAACCTAAAACTGCTCTAAAAAATTATAGTTTAGGGCTGAGCTCAGTGGGTCATACCTGTAATCCCAACACTCTGAGACATAGAGGCAGGAGGATTGCTTAAGGCCAGGAGTTTGAGATCAGTCTGGGCAACAGATGAGACCTCATCTCTGCTAAAAAAAAAAAAAAAAAAAAAAATAGCCAGGCCTCCCAACTACCTGGGAGGCTGAGGCAGGAGGACTGCTTGAGCCCAGGAGTTCAAGGTTGCAATGAGCTATGATTGTGCTACTGCACTCCAGCCTGGGTGACAGAAAAAGACCCTGTCTCTAAAAAAAAAAAATTAAAGTTTATTAAAAAACAACAGCAACAGCAGAGCACGGAGGAAGGAATGTTGGTTATTGCTTTGTTTTTGGAGGAGTGATGCAGATAGAGAATGAATTCTCATTGCATTTTGAGCATGTTGGGTTTGGGGTATTGGTAGAACATACAAAAGGCAGTAACTAACAGGCAACCAGAAAACCGGGTCTAGGAGAGAGGCGGTACCCAGGTAACAGATTTGGGAGGCATTTAGAGTGGGGTGGCAGCCACCACGGCAGTGAGCTATCTTACGCAGGAAGGCGATACAGCCTAGAGAGAGTAAAAGGTTGGCCAGGCGCGGTGGCTCACGCTTGTAATCCCAGCACTTTGGGAGGCTGAGGTGGATGGATTACCTGAGGTCAGGAGTTCAAGACCAGCCTGGCCAACATGGCAAAACCTTGTCTCTACTAAAAATATAAAAATTAGCTGGGCATGGTGGCACAAGCCTGTAATCCCAGCTACTTGGGAGGTGAAGGCAGGAGAATTGCTTGAACCTGGGAGTTGGAGGTTGCAGTGAGCCAAGATGGCACCACTGAACTCTAGCCTGAGTGACACAGCGAGACTCTATCTCAACAAAAAAAAAAAAAAAAAAAGAAAAAGAGAAAAAGGAGACTAAAAGGCCAAGAAGGGGACCCAGAAGCTCTGGCCTTCAGGCAGTGGGCAGAGGATTGGATGGAGAGGTAATTCTGTGTCCAGTGGCTCAAGGAAGGTGCGGCCCCAGGGCCCAGGCTGCAGGGAGGCTGGGAAGGTGAGGCTTAGGTCCCACAAGGAGGGAGGCCAGCTTGCAGTGGGAGGAGGGTAAGGAATCAGAGGGGAGTGCGACACTGTTGGTTGCCAGTGGGAGGGATGAGGGGTGAATCTTTTTCCCCACAATCTGGAGTTCTGCAGGGAAGGCAGGAGGAGAAGTGTGAGAGGGTGGCAGGGCTCAGGGAAGGTGTTTATAGGATGAAGAAGGTGGGAGAGTGTTTATAGACCGAGGGGACAGAGTCTTCAGAGAGAGCCCAGAGCAATGAGCACAAGTGGAAGGAATGAGAGACTTTTTCATGGGTTGCTTCGATTTATTATAGGAAAAGTATGACATTAACTCCTAACAAAGAAAGAAAGAAATGGAAAACACCTATAATTTCATCTCTCAATCTGCTTAAGGGTTCCGTTTTCTTCTGATGTCAAAAACTTTTCCTGGCAGGGAGAGGAAGGGAATCCAAGGCAGTGCCATCCCAAGACCTTGGTCTGCCCTGGGAAGAGTAGACGGGGCGGGTGGGCTGTGGGGCTGGGCGCTGAGGACTCAGCCACAAGGGGATCTCATAAGGAATCTGTCAGAAATAAATAAAAAGATTATCTCCCCAGGTCCTTCCCACCTCCTGGTCCCCCCTCCCCTCTTCCCTCAGGCCACCCCTTATCAGGGACCCACCCCTGACCCCCTGTGCGTGGAGGGGGCTGGGAGGACCAGACCGCAAGTGGGGAGGCTGGGCAGTAATTGAATCCAGGGACCTCAAGACAGGCAGAGGCCAATGGCTTTTCCCGGCCTAATTAGAGGGATTTTTTTCTAAACCCAGGAAACAAATCCATATGGTCTGCAATTCTTTTCTCAGGCTCTTTACCCTCCTGAAGTCGTAAATGTCGTGGGCTTTTTAGCACCGGGGGATTGAGAACGGGGAGGACCCACAGGCTAAAGTTTCTCCACTGGAGCTGGGTCCAGGATCTGGGGCCTCTAGCACCAGGGTCTTGCCCCAACCCACGCCCCCCTTCAAGCCCCTTGGGCTCCCTGGGCTAGTCCTGGCAGGCAACCTCCATCCCTCACCCACACAAGCCTCCTCTTCTCCCCCTGGCCTCTCACTGGGCCAAAAACTCTTCCCCCATCCACCCTGCCCATTCATGTCACCTCTCCTCTGCCCCCAGCCCCCTGCCTGCACCAGTGCCCACTGCTCTTTGTCTCTCTCCAGTTCTCCATGTGTGACCTGTTTCTACCATCAGACTAGGAAGTGGCCAAAGACCAAAAACACATCTTTCCCATCAGTCTGGGAGGCTTCTTAAAGGTTGCACCAAGCAACTCTTATTTGCTGTAAATAGCAGAAGGCACTGAGGTTAAGCCTAAGGCAGGAGGAAGGGAGAGGGTAGAGCTTTGTTATTTATTTATTTATTTTTCAGACAGAGTTTCACTCTTGTTGCCCAGGCTGGAGTATAATGGCGTGATCTCAGCTCACTGCAACCTCTGCCTCCCGGGTTATTCTCCTGTCTCAGCCTCCCAAGTAGCCGGGATTATGCGCCACCACGCCTGGCTAATTTTGTATTTTTAGTAGAGATGGGGTTTCACCATCTTGGTCAGGCTGGTCTCGAACTCCTGACCTCAGGTGACCCACCCACCTTGGCCTCCCAAAGTGCTGGGATTACAGGCGTGAGCCACTGTGCCCGGCCAAGCTTTGTTATTTTTTACAAAGATGGCTCAGAGCGCAGGGCAGACTGGAACCTGGAGCCAGAGCCCTGAGCTGCCTTCAGGGCGGCATCGCTGGCTGACTCACTACACCTCCAGGGCCTCGCTTCCCCCTCTGTAGGACCAGGGCAGCAAAAGAAAGGTGGGAGAGGCAGGGGTTTGCAGTAAAACTGCCTGGTCAGTAGCTGAATGGCCTTGCTCAGGGCCTTCTAAGCTAAGGAGGTCACTTTGGGAGCCTGGGGGGTCCACGGTGGGAAGGAAAAAGCTTGCTTTCTGCTCCCAATTCCTCCACAAACAGCCGAGGTTTGGGAGTTTGCAGAGGATATCTTGCTTGTGAAACCTTTCCTGTGGGAGTTGTGAGAAAAGTCCAGGTCTCAGATGGGTCTCTGTCTCTGCTGTGCATTCATGGTGTGACCTTGGGAGAGTCACTATGCCTCTCTGAGCCTCGATTTCCTTATCTGTACAGTGGGGTGATTGTACTAGCAACTGTCCATTGGGCATGGCACTGGGGAGGGAGAATTAATGAATAAGAACCAGCCCCTCGTTCTCAAGGAGGTTGCAGTTCAGGGGAAATGAAGAAGGGACTTTACTAAAAATCTAAGCAGAGCTGGGGCAGGGAGTGTACAGGAGAGCAGACCAGAGGGCAGACAGGCTTGGGATGCATTAGTCTCCAGCCCTGTGTCAGCCGCAACCGAGCTCAGCCATCGTTCCCCGCACCCCACGGTCTTCCTCTAACTCCTGCCTAGAGGCCCAGGCTGCGTCTTTCTCACAAATTGGTGCCTGTGGGTGGCTTCTACTTCTCCACATCACCATGAGCCAAGAATGGGGGAAGGCGCAAGCTGCTGGCCTGGCTGGAGCCTCAGAGACGACCATGAGTGGCTTTTGCCAAACCATGTCAGGCTGGATTAAGTCACAGGGCTGGCCCGGTTCATTTGCGTCTCTCTGCTCTCCCGTGTTCTTCATCTGTCTATCTGCGCACAGTTGGGTTCTGCGTTCTCCGGGATGGCCGTGCTCTGTCCTCACTTGCTGACACAGCCCGCATGGTCCGAAGCCTCCGTGTGGAAGTGGATCTGAGTGGGCAGGAGGGAGGTGGACTGACCTCACTGTCGTGGAAGAGGACGACAGTCAGAGCATGGGGCCGGGGTAGCGGGGAGGCAGGCGGGGGGACAGGGAGGCTGCAGAGATGAATCTGCTTATAGTTTAATACAAGATGTAAAGTAAAGACCCAAAGTGGAGCAGAGCCCTTGCTATGCAAAGTGCTAAGGAAGTCCTGTAGGCAATGTGAGAGAGAAATCTGGAAAGGCTTCCAGGAAGAGGTGGCAAAGGGATGTGGCTACAGATAGGTCTGTGGAGAGGGCCCCACAGGCAACAGGCTCTGCAGCAAAGGCTCCAAATGGGAAAATGTAGGCCGACGTCAGGGAACATGAGTTGCGCACACTGGCCGCAGGGAGGGAGACAGGCTGGACTGGCAGGCTGGGGTTCCTATGAGGGCCTCTGACACCAGGGTGGAGATGATGATGACTCAGGTATTCACTGTGACCCAGGGTTGTGTTAGATCTAACCTCACACATACTAGTTTTCAGTTTTGCAGCAAATTTCCGAAGGGCTGCTATTGATCCCCATTTTACAGCTGAGGAAACAAAGGCTCTGAGAGGATATGTGACTGCCTTGCCCAAGATCCCAGAGCTAGTAAGTGGCAGAGCCTGGGTTTGAGCCCAGGATTGTGTGACTCTAAAAACCACATTCTTTTTTTTTTTTTTGAGGTGGGGTCTCACTTTGTTGCCCAGACTGGAATGTAGTGTCTAGATCTCGGCTCATTGCAACCTCTGCCTCCCAGGCTCAAGCAATCCTCTCACCTCAGCCTCCTAAATAGCTGGGACCACAGGCATGTGCCATCACACCAGGCTAATTTTTAGTATTTTTAGTAGAGACCAGGTTTTGCCATGTTGGCCAGGCTAGTCTCGATCTCCTGGGCTCAAGTGATTCACCTGCCTCAGCCTCCCAAAGTGCTGGGATTACAGGTGTGAGCCACTGCACCCGGCCAAGGCCACATTCTTTCCATTCATATCCCTTGGGGTATGAAGCCAAAATAACCAGCAGCAAAGGTGGGAAGAGTGTTCTAGAAGGTGGGCCTGGAAGACATCATTTCGGGGACCCGGGGAGGGTACCTGAGGGACTAACCAGTGGGATCCAGCTGAGCCCAAAGTTGGAAGGGCCGGGGTGTCTTGAAAAGGCAGACTTTTCCGAATCCCAAACTGAGGTCCCAGGCTCTGGGGAAACTCCACGGATGGGCAGAGTGGTGGGCACCTGGGGATGGGCTGAGGGGTCCAGGCAGGGGCCCCGGGGGTGGGTAGGAATCAGTCTGCAGCATGCCCATGCTGTTCTGCCCCTCTCCACCAGGCCTAGCCTATGTGGCCCTGTGCCAGGCTCCTGGCGGCACCAGCCTCCTGCAGCCTGGGGTGAGGGGCTGGGAGTGGAGGGGAGGGGGTGCCGGGGGCAGCATTAAGGTTAAGACGCCAGGCTCTGAACTGGGATCCCCTTTCTTCTCTCCCTTGTGGGCTCCAGCTGTTCCTGTCACTCTTTGTGGGAGTGGGCAGGCGATATTGGGAGGGGAACGAGCTTTTGGCAACATTGAAATGGGGTCCGTTTATCTTCACCCTGCATCCTCCTCTCTGAATTGAATTCCGGTCCCACTCCAGGCTCCCCACCTCTCCAGATGCCCACCCTTGCCCCCACCCTTCATCTTCACCCCATCCCCAGTGCAACCACCTCTACCTCCACCCCCATGTTGGTGGCAGTCAACCTGGCACGGGGGAAACGAGACCAGGGTGCTAGGGCGGCAGATGTGGCTCCCAGGTTGGCTCAGCCCCTTACTCAGGTGGCCTTGGGCAAACCTCTGGGTTTCAGTTGTCTCATCCATAAAGTGGGTCCTATAATGCCTCTCTGGCAGAACTAATGAAACGATCACATGGAATTATGGCTGTGAAAGTGCTTTGTAAACTTTCAAATGCTGGGCAAATGTCATCCGCCGTCTCAGGAGGCCCCAGGGAACAGGGAGCTGTGTTGCTTGGTTCAGCTGCTTAGTGACTCTGGTTAGCTCCCAGCCCCCTCGCATCCCCTAGGGTGTGCAGGGCCTCTTCTCCCAGACTCTGCACCCAAAGTCCAGGGAATCAGGCTATGAATCCCTCTACTTGCTCCTTGCTGCAAGCTGAGAGGGCAGATCCCGCCTCCTGGACTGGACGGTGGCTGCATCTTTGCCCTGGATGCAGGGTCTTTGCTGATGGAGGGCTGCCTGGCTGGCATCAGGCATCCTCTCTGAGTTTGCATCTGCTTAAGGCAGTGTCTATGCCAGTCTGCCAAGCAGACTCTCCTCCTGCGAAGGGGGACATTACCGTGCTCCCAGACAGGGCGCCCAGCCTGTTTCTGGTGCTGCCAGCCTGCCATGTTCCCGCCCTGTCCCTCAGCTCACCAGGCACCAGGTGGGGGGAGGGGGGACCACAATCTGGCCTGGGCTGCAGCCTTCTTGCCCCAGCCTCCACCCCTCACCTGAGTCACTGTTGGGGTTTACCCAGCTCCAGGGCTTCTGGCAACCTCCCTGGAGAGGCGTGAGGCAGGCCCCAGCCTGATAGGCATGTGGCAGTCTCTGGGCACGTGCCCAGCCCATGTGTTACCCCAGGAAGTGGGGGCTGGGTACCCAGAGCTGCTGAGGTGGCTTTTGCATGAACCTAATGTGATGTGATTCTGGCAGCTTCTTCTGTCCCGCCCTGGCTTTCAGCCAATCACCGCCCTGGAAGAGATGGTGTGGGGGTCTCACTCACAGGGCCTAATGGCTGCTCATTAAAGTATCGAAGAGGTAGCATTTGGACCGGAGATCTAGGATGTGGTTCCCTGGCAGAGCCCAATCCCATTTTGATTTTTAGACAATTTCTTTCTTCATTTTACCTGAACTTTGAGCTCCTTGAGACAAGGCACAGGTTCCTGTCTGCCATTTGAGTCCCTGATAATTAGCCCCCTGCACCAGTGGTGTGTGATGGTTGACAGGGGACTAAAGCAGGCCGGGGTCAGGTGGGGAGGGGGGTGCGGCAACAAGAGGGCCAGGAACTGAGGACCAAATCTGTGCAATTTCTTCCTTTTTTTTTTTTTTGCGACAGTCTCACTCTGTCAACCAGGCTGGAGTACAGTGGCATGATCTCGGCTCACTGCAATCTCTGCCTCCTGGGTTCAAGTGATTCTTGTGCCTCAGCCTCCCAAGTAGCTGGGAATACAGGCATGCACTACCACGCCTGACTAATTTTTTGTATTTTTAGTAGAGACGGAGTTTCACTGTGTTGGCCAGGCTGGTCTCAAACTCCTGGCCTCAAGTGATCTGCCTGCCTCAGCCTCCCAAAATGCTAAGATCATAAGCAGGAGCCACCTCACTGGGTGTTAGCTGTGGAATTTCACAGAGGTGCTGGGATGGTTGAACCAGGCCCAGTTTTAAAATCTAAAGCTCCCTGATCCCACAGATCACATCCTCCCTCCCTATCCCTATAATAAAGCTCCTCCTCATCCCAGGGAAAGCCTCTCTCCTTCCCTTCTCAGCAAAGCTCCTAGAAGGAGAGTTATACAGGGGCATCTCCACTGTCTCACCTGCCACTCTCTCCTCTGGCCACTGCCCTCTGTCTCTGCAGCCTTCTTCCAGGCCAGTCCAGTGGCCTGTCCAGCCCTCTGCCTCCTGGGCCTCCCTGCGGTCCCTCACTGGGGATCACCGGCTGCCTCCTCCTGAAAGCTTGCTACTACCTTAGGCTTTCTTGATGGGGTAAGATCCAGGCCTCCCAACTCACTGACAAGCCCTTCTCAGTTATCTGCCTCCTCTTCTCCTCTGGTCACCTTAGCAGGCCTGTCCAAGGGCCTAACCCATAGGAACCTCACGCAGTGGCTTGCAGATGATTCAAAAACCTTCCACTGTAACCCTGGAATTTCCCTGAGCTTGTGACAAGTACGGCTGTCCCCACTCCCTTATCCATGGTCTTATCCAAGACCCCCAGTGGATTCCTGAACCCGTGAACAGCACTGAATCCTATATATCCTATGCTTTTTTGATCTGATAACTGAGACGAAGTGACTAGTGGGTGGGTAGTGTTCACAGCATGGGTATGCTGGACTAAAGGAGGATTCACGTCCCAAGCAGAATGGAGCCAGATAGCGTGAGATTTTCATCACGATACTCAGAACGAGGTGCAATTTAAAATGTACAAACTGTTTATTTCTGGAATTGTCCATTTCCTATTTCGAGACTGCGGTTGACCACAGGTCACTGAAACTGGGGAAAGTGAAAGGGAAGTGGATAAGGGGGACTAGAGTATAACCAGTGTCTCCTGACTTTCCCCCCGATGTCCCACAGGCTTCTCCAACTCCACATGGAATTCCTCCTCTTGCAAGAAACCCTCCTCCCCTGAGCTCCCCACCTATGAACAGCTCCATCATGTCCATTGCCAAGGCTTAAGGCTGGGAGTCATCTAGACTCCTCTCTGCCTCACTATCTTCCCATCTGATCTGGTGCCAAGGCTAGTCATTCTCCCTCCTTACAATTCCCTGGATTGCTTCCCTGTTTTCCTCCTCACTGCTGGTTCCCCCAGAACATGAAGCACTAACCTCCCACCCCCATTCTTGTGCTTTTGCTCCAGCTCTTTCCTCCGCCTGAGACATCCTCCCCAGCTCCTTTCCAGCCCCACAACCCGGATCCTGTCCATCCCTCCAGGCTGGATTCAAACGGCTCCCCTGCAGAATTCTTCCTGGGTCCCTGCAGCCAGAAAACTTCCTCCCTCTTCGGAACCCCAGTGCGTCCTGGACACTCTTGCGTCGTAATATATTATTGTTTCCTAGTGATCCTTAGTGGAAACTCACACTTTGGTCTGGGGGAGGAGGCTTGCTCAGGCTGCCTGTCGAAGAAGCCCAACTGTCAATCTAGACTGGAGGCCACATTTGCTGTTTTTAAGTGGCCTGTTTTTGGGGATGGTACCTCAATTTCCCCCACTCTCAGTCCCATGCTTCAGGTAGGATGATATCCTTGCCGTAGGGACAGAGCGTGGGACCTCCACCTTAGCCAACTGATGATCACATTTCCAAGCCACAGGGATGGGCCAGTCAGTACCAGGGACACCTGGAGACCTTTGCTGGGATTATTAGGACTGAGGGGGTCTCTTCCCCACCGCCTTGAACCTGACGCTTTGCGGCCCTCTTGTCCCCACAAGGAGACAGCCTATCTGAGGAAGTAGAGGCCGAAGTGGAAAGAGAGCAACCGGGTTCTGGGGGTGTTGTTTGAGCCTCTGAATCAAGCTGTGCCTAGAGCCAGCCCTACTCCCTTTTCACTTCTGACGGACAGTAAGTTCCCTCTCACCACCCTCTGTTGGGTTTTCTCTCTCTTGCAACACAAAAAATCCTAACTGGTGTAGAGGGTGAGGAGAGAGGAGCTGCTAGGTGGCCGCATCAGAGCCCTCAAGCTCATCTTCCCAGAGGTGGTGGTGGGGCCTTTAACACTGATGAATGGAAGCCGGGCAGTTCTGTGCCCTTGGCCCGCACATCCCGTGCAGACTGCGGGCATCCCAAGGTCCGCAGGGTAGAAGGTGAACCATCTGGACTACTGTTGAAAGCCTTAGGCCCTGGGGTGGAGCTGGGGCTTCAGAATGTGGACTCCAAGGGCTTCTCAGGGTGAGTCAGAAGGACCCCCAATTTCTATGAGTCTCTAGAATACAAAGAGCAGGGGGTAGGAACATTCCCAAGCTTTTCCAAAGGGAGCAGTCCCAGCCCAGGGAGGAGACCCAAATCTACGTCTCCCAGAAGCCCTTTGGGAATGTTGCTGGAAACGGCTAGAGCAGGGATTGTCGGGAAGGGAGCAGAGGGATGGGGAAGTTCCCGGATACTGTGGGAAGAGGGCAGGACTGAGTGCCCTGTGAGGGATGGGAGGTGAGAGCTGGAATGTTCCTGAATGTTCTTGCATGATGGAGCCTTTGGGAAATGTTTTTGGACTCAACCCTGGATGGTTGGAAGGCTGGAATAGGTAGATGCCCCAGCTGGAGTATCATGGGAATTGGGGAGTGGGGATTATTGTGCAAAACCCTGACTTCCAGTTGAGCCTGGGTGGGATCACCCTGCGTGTGGGCATGATCTGAATGGGGGTGTTGTGCTGGAGACCCTAAGGGTATGTGCTGAGAATGTCCGCCCCCCACTTTGATGGAGCTAGACAGAGATCTGGAGCCCGGGCATGGCCCAGGGCAGGAAGACTGTGGAGGGGAGCCTGTTGTAGCTGGGGAGGGTCAGTGTGGGGGCAGGGGTGTTGGGAGGAGTGTAAGGTGGGGGGCAGGAGGCTGACGAAGGAGCCCTCCTTGCCTCAGCTCTTCTGTATCCAGATGCCTGGGGGCCCAGCCTTGTCCCCTGGCCTTCTGCCCACCAGCTGCCGCAGAGCTGGGAGGAATCTGCTTTGCATTATCAGAGAAGCAGCCTCCCCCAGGCATATGGTCAGCAGACCCCCAGCCCGAGCATCATGGGAAGTGTCTTCTCTTGACCCCAGAGCTGGCCCAGCCCCTTCTTCCCCTAGAGCACAGGGTTACAGGCTCAGCGGACCCCCACGCCCCTCCCCGCTGGATGAAGAGGCATTTCACATTGTTCCAAGTCTCATCGCTGCTTCACTGCCCTGGATGAAAGAGCAGAGGGAGGCACTAGGGGAAGAGATGGGACCCTGATGGGCCAGCAGAGATGAAGGCTCATGGATCCTCCAGCCTGGAGGGTGAGAGAGACAGAGACAGCCTCCAGGCCTGGGCCCAGAGGAGAGAGGCTTTGGGGTAGCAGTGGAGAGGAGGAGGGGAGAACTATAGTCCTCAAGCCCAAGGAGATGGATGACACAGGAAGAAGCAAGGGAGTATCCATCATCTGCCGCGGAGCCCACTGAGGGCTCAGCATGAGTCCCTGCTCTGGGAGGCACGAGCTGAGCTGCCTAGGATGGTTCCTTGAAATGGGGCTAGTCCAAATGGAGATGTGCTACAAGAATAAAATACACACTGGATTTTGAAAACTTGGTGGGACCAAAAATGTAAAATTTTTTATTAATAATTTAAAAATATTGAGCCAGGCGTGGGTGGCTCATGCCTATAATTCCAGCACTCTGGGAGGCCTAGGCAGGAAGATCCCTAGAGGCCAGGAGTTCGAGACCAGCCCAGACAACATAGAAAGACACCCCCAACTCTAAAAAAAAAATTATATATATATCTTAATATTTTAAATATTATATATAATATTTCGATATGTATACAATCATGTTGAAATAACATTTTGGATTTATTGTGCTAAATAAAATATATTATTAAGTTCACCTGTTTCTTTTCACTTGTGTAATGTGGCTACTAAAAATTTTAAATTACATATATGTCACTTGCATCATATTTTTATTGGATGGAGTTGCCTCAGACCACACTCATTCATTTATTTAACATAATTTTATGAGTGCCAACTATATGCCAGGCAAGGTGCTAAGGATTAGAAGATGAGCAAAACCAGACCCTGTCTCAGGTTTTCTGGAGTTTACAGTAATCAAATAATCACTCAGACGGGTGCCTAATTACGAAGAGAGATGAAGTGGTCTAAAGAAAGGCAGTGAACGTGGTGTGCTCTGAAACCTGATTTCGGCACAGAGTTCAGTGAGGGCTGCCCTAAGAAAGTATTGGGCTGAGGAAACTTGGGAAAAAGGGTTTGAAAGAGTGTCCTTCCAGCCAGAAGGGATAGCGTGTGCAAAGGCCCTGTGGCTTGAGGGACCAGCAACACTTGAAGAATTATAAGAGGCCTGACTTGGGGGTGAGGAGGAGGAGGAGGATGGCTACAACAAGGCAGTGAGTCTGGGGGAGCCCCTGTGCTCTGTGCTCCCGCCCTCCAGGGCCTTTGCTGAGTTGGGTCCTCTGCCAGAACCACTCTCCTCTCCCCATTTGTTAACTTCACTCATCCTTAAGCACTTAGCTTCCACACAGCCTCCAAGGCCACACTAAGATTGGTAAGCAGGCTGGGTGCAGTGGCTCATGCCTGTAATCCCAGCATTTTGGGAAGCCAAGATGGGAGGATTGCTTGAGGCCAGGAGTTTGAGACCAGCCTGGTCAACATAGGGAGACCCTATCTCTTTAAAAAAACAAAACAAAACAAAACAAAAAAACGGTAAGCTGAAAGCTGGTGAAGCATTTTAGCTGTTGAGAGGGAATCAGAGAAGGAAAAATGGAAGGAGGCAAAGAGGATTTCTACACAATGTGATGGTGGGGGTGCTGCAGAGGGAATCTTGGGTACCATGTTGTATTAGTTCATTTTTACACTGTTATAAAGAACTACCTGACACTGGGTAATTTATAAAGAGAAAGGTTTATTTATTTATTTATTTGGAGGCAGAGTCTTGCTCTGTCACCCAGACTGGAGTGCAATGGTGCGATCTCAGCTCACTGCAACCTCTGCCTCCCGGGTTCAAGTGATTCTCCCACCTCAGCCTCCCGAGTAGCTGGGATTACAGGCATGTGCCACCACGCCCGGCTAATTTTTGTATTTTTAGTAGAGATGGGGTTTCACGATGTCAGCCAGGCTGGTCTCAAACTCCTGACCTCAAACGATCCATTTGCCTCAGCATCCCAAAGTGCTGGGATTACAGGCGTGAGCCACTGCATCCAACCAAGAAGAAGGTTTAATTGACTCACAGTTCCATATGGCTGGGAGACCTCAGGAAATTTACAATCATGGCGGAAGGCGAAAGGGAAGCAGGCACCTTCTTCACACGGCAGCGGAAGAGCGAGGGCGGTGGGGGAAAGTGCCATACAGTTTTTTTGTTGTTGTTGTTGTTTTCCTTTTTTTGAGACGGAGTGTAGCTCTGTCACCCAGGCTAGAGTGCAGTGGCGCGTTCTCGACTCACTGCAACTTCCGCCTCCCAGGCTCGAGCAATTCTCCTGCCTCAGCCTCCAGAGTAGCTGGGATTACAGGCTCACGCCACCAGGCCTGGCTAAATTTTGTATTATAGTAGAGATGGGGTATCACCAGGTTGCCCAGGCTGGTCTCAAACTCCTGACCTCAGGTGATCCACCTGCCTTGGCCTCCCAAAGTGCTGGGATTACAGGTGTGAGCCACCACGCCTGGCCCACACACTTTTAAACCATCAGATTTTGTGAGAACTCACTCACCATCACAGGAGCAGCTTGGGGGAAAACACCCCCATGAGCCAATCACTCCCCACCAGGTCCCTTCCTCAACACGTGGGATTACAATTTGAGATGAGATTTGGGTGGGGACACAAAGCCAAACCATATCAAACGTCTTTAAGTTTCTTAGCCCTCCTGTTCCTACGAGCCCCTGGACGGTGTCAGTCACTTCCCTACCCACCACCCCATGCCCCTGGCTCTGAGGAGCTCTTTAAAAGCCCCTTTTCTCACCACCCCTATGCTTCCTCCTTGATTTCAGGCCGCCACTGACTCCCACCTCTCAGCCCACCCTGCTCCACCCAGCACCCTCCACTCTGCAGCTGGAGCTAGTGCTTTCTAAAGTACAAGTCTGGGCTGGGTGTGGTGGCTCACACCTGTAATCCCAGCACTTTGGGAGGCCAAGGCAGGAGGATGGCTTGAGCCGAGAATTTCAAAAGCAGCCGGGGCAACATGGCGAAACCCCGTCTGTACAAAAAATACAAAATAATTAGCTGGGTGTGGTGGCGTGTGCCTGTTCTCCCAGCTACTCTGGAGGCTGAGGTGGGAGCATCACTTGAGCCTGGGAAGTTGAGGCTGCAGTGAGCTGAGATTACACCACTGCACTCCAGCCTGGGTGACAGAGCCAGACCTTGTCTCAAATTTTAAAAAATAAAAAATAATCAATAATAAAGTACAAGTCTGTCTATGGCACTCCTATACTTAAAACCCCCCAGTGGCTCCCCAGTGTTCCAAGAATGTAGTCCAGACCCCCTAGTGTGTCTCTTCACAAGCCCTCCCCGCTGAGGCCCCACTGATCACCTTCCTACTCACTCTCTGGGCTCTGGGCCCTAGAGCCTCCCCAGGCCACGTGTGCTCTGTGCTGGCGCCCTCCAGGGCCTTTGCTGAGCTGGTTCTTCTGCCAGAAGCACTCTCCCCCCGACCTGTCTAGTTAACTCCACTCATCCTTAAAGACTCAGCTTCCATATCCCTTCTCTGGCAAACCTTCCCTGACCCCTGGTGTGGGTGGGTCTTGCTTAGGATCCCCCCACTATTATAGCAGTACACACCATAGAGGGCCGGTCTGCTCTAGCTCCCTCAAGAATGTAAGGCTGGTGAAGGCAGGGATTTGAGTTCTCCTTATTTCACAGGACAGCATCTGGTTTTCCCCCACCAGACAAGAGTGGGGGGCAGAGTGGAGAGCCACTCTTAGGTCAAAGAGTATATTTCCCCATCAGCATGGGGGCACCCTTAGGATAGGAGGTGTGCCTCCTTCATCAGGTTAGAATATCCTCAATTCTGGGACTGTCTCCTTCATTAGATGGGAGCCTCGCTCAAGACAGAGATTGTCTTTCCCATCACACTGATTTTCCAAGTACCAGGATTATTTCTCTTACCTACTCTGAATCCCTCCCGCAACATCTTCCATCTTCCTTACACCCCTCACAGTCTGGGGGCGTAGGAGGGGAATGGAAGACAGAGAACCTCCCCTCCACCCTTGTCTGACTCTGGCTGGGCCTGGCTGGCCCTTCTCCCTGGATCTGGAGGTCAGGCAGGCTTGTTTGCTGTTTTTACTGGAAGAGCAAGCCTCCCTTTGTCTTCCTCAGTGACCACAAGCCAGTCTCCCCGGAGGACTTGGCCAAACAACCAGCAGGGGCTGAGGCTGAGCCTCAGAGACAGGCACAGGCCCAGGGCCAGGAGCCCTACAGCCCTGGGAGCTCCCAGGCCTGGGCCAGGCGGGGCTCGAAGCCAGGCTGTCAGGAGCCTGGGTTAGGACCTGCCCACGAGAGCTACAAGGGAGGGGCCTGCCTGCCTAACTCCAGGCCAGGCCTGCCGAATGCCTCCTGCTAGGCCATCTGGAGCCAGATTCTCTCTCTCTCTCTCTGTGGTGTGTATGTGTGTGTGTGTGTCTCCCAGGCCACGTGGGTGGCTGGGAGCTGTGGGGTTGTGACCTGGCCCTCCTGGCGAGCCTCTGACTTGCCTGTGGTCAGTTTCACTTCTGACATCTGGTCAAGTTCACAGCTGGCTAGCTTCCTGCGTGGCCATTTTCACTTTCCCTCTCCAAGATCTGGGAGCAAAGGGCCCCTTCTCCTTCCCCACCTCACCCCATAGTGATACATGGGAACTTACTGGATTTCTGTTAAAACTTCCCCTTTTGGTGTGGGGGAAAAGAGGGCAGGAATTGACCGAATTGGAAATTATACCTGGGTCCCTGCCACACACCCAATCCCAAACAATTCAAACCATGTGTATTTCCAGAAAATCTCTTTGTACTATTTTTCTTTCTTTGCTATTTAATGTTCATCACTTAACGTTTTGTGTGTAAGTTTCAGGAGGGCCCAAGAAATGATTACACAGGAGGCAAGGAGGGGAGGTGATAGGAGGGTTGCTGGGGGTCTGGAGCTCATGGCCCCCAGCTCGGGGGCCAAAAGGGTTCCATCTCAGCTCAAGGGGAGTAAAAAGGGGCCCCAGAACCAAACACATGCTAAAACATACTTGCAAGCCCCCAAACCCCCTCCCCACCTGCTGGGGAGGAAAATAAATACACCCAGACTCTGTCCCACTCCCCAGGTGCCCAGGTGAGGGGCCAGCAGGTGAGTTTCCTCCCCTCATCACAGGTTGAGGTCAAAGAATTGCCATTTACTACAGTGCTCCTAGTCCCTTCCACAGGGCTGGGGGAACCCTGGGCTGGGGAGCGGTGGTTGTCAGCGCACAGCCTGCCTGGGGCTTGTCATGCTAAATAGAGGGGAGCCACACTCACTCCAACTTCAGGCAAAACAGAACAGGCCAGGGAGGGGGTGGAAAGTCCACTGAGGCCTCATGGCCCCCTTCTGGCCAAGCTCAGGAAAAAACAGTCCTTTGCAGGGTTGTCTAGAGCTGGGAGAAATCCCCACAGGTCACAGTCGAAGTCAATTCCTTCTTGCCGCATTCCCACACTGGCCCACTTTTCTTCATCACAACCTTCTGGGCCCAGCCAACCCCATGTTTGCAGGGAAGGGGAGGATGGGGGAGCATTCCTCCACGTGTAAGCCCTTGAAGACAGACGCCAGCTCCAGCCTCGGTCGGCAGTCCTTGGCCCGCCAAACCCGGGGGCGAGTGAAGACGGCCGAGCAGACCTCAATTCCCTCCGATGCTTCTCTGGCAGCTGCCCCGGGCAGTATCCAGTCTCAGCCCAAGAGAAAAAACTCATGGAGAAAAGTGAGATTTCTCCTCCTGTGTGTGTGTGTGCGTGTGTCTGTGTGTTGCAAGGTGAGGGGTCCTTGGTCCCTGACCCCTAGGCTGATTCTAGGGGCCAGTGTTAGCTCCGGGTCCATGTCGGGATGGAGGGCAGCAGACTGGAGCCATGCCACTGATGTCACACAGGCATGCCTGAGAGGGACAGGCAGAGGGAAGCAGCACCCTTTCCACGAACCCCAAACCTGACTCCATCATGGACCAGGCCCTAGGCAAGCATCCCATCTCCACGGGTGGGCAGGCAGTGGGGAAGGGGTGGGGGTCTGGAGACAGCGTGGAAGGCAAAGCTGACTTGGCTTCAAGCCATTTCCCAGAAGGTCACCTGCCACCCTCCCCTCGCCCTCAGGCAAACCTGAGGCCCCTCATTTAGAGAAGGCGGTGCCAGCCTGCACTTGGCCTCCCCGTTGCTGTCTGGCTTTGGGCGAATCATGGCCTCTCCCTGGGCCTCACTGACCTATATCCAAAATGAGGGGGGTGGGCTGAGCTTCGAAAACCCCTCCCAGCTCTGACAAGCCTCCGATCCTCTTCATCTTAGGCTGGGGTGGGGGGCAAGAGGGGCTGAGGGAGGGTTGAGGCCACTGGGATGCCACCCTTGTTCCCCAAGTTCACAGTGTAGAGTCCATGGCTCTGGTTCCTCGATTCCTCCCTCTGAGTCTCTGGGGCCTTGTCACTTCCCCCTAGTACCATCCCTGGTGTTGGCCCCCCATATATGACACCTGCTGTGGTGGGAGGGGCTGGCCCACCTAGCAGTGTGGGAGAAGGGGGCAGGTGGCCTGAGATGGTGACGGGGCAGGGGCAGGGTTGGGGAGGCAGCAGGGGCACTTCTCTCTCTGGACAGGAAGTGTGGTCAGAAGTGAAGGGGCCACACGGGCTGCACTGACAGGGCTGTGGTTTTGGGGCCTGGACTCTGAGGTCCTGCCCAGAGGAGCTCAGTTCTGCCAGGCGGGCCCCCCCCAAAGGGTGGGGGTGCGGGCTCCACAGGGGTTGGCTGGAGCATCGGTTGTCGGAATGTGGGGCGGGGCGGGGGCTCCCCGGTTGGGCTCACACCGGGGATGTGGCAGTGGACTCACTGCACAGACTCTCCACGAGGTCGGCTCGCTGGATGCGGCGCAGGGCGGCCAGGAGGGCGTCCAGTGTGGCGCTGTCCTGGGTGGCCCAGCTTGCAAGCAGGGCGCGAACGGGGCAGGCCTCATGGGTAAAGGAGTCTATGTGCTCGGGCTGGTAGCCCAGCTCGCCCGCCAGGTGCCGCCAGGTGTCCCCCGCAGAGCCGTTGAGAAGCTTCTCCACCTCCTCCCGCTTGGCTGGGGGCAGGCTGCTGTAGAGGCCTCCGTCACCCTTGAGGGCTGCAGAGAAACCAGAGGAGAGTCAGGTCCTACCCCTGAACTCCTTTCCCCAACAGTGGGCACTGGGGTGAGACCCAAGAAGGGCCGAGGCAGTGCTCCTCCCCATCTGGAGGCCTGGGGCCAAGACAAGGTCCTGGGTGGGGCACCAGGAAGTGAAGGCACCTGGGGGGACTCGTTGTCCCTTCCTCCTGTCACTCCAGCCCAATCCCTATCCCCATCCCTCCTCTCTTCCCCCCCAGCAATTAATCATGGCAGAGGAGGAGATAGGGCTTCTCAGTTCTAGACAACTACAGCAAGTGTCCCGGAGCTGGGCTATGGGCCACTAATTAGGGTACACACTTAACTACTTGTTCCCCAGAAGTCCAGGGCAAGAGGCTAATTGCAGCTACTTTGGGCAATAATTAGCCCCCAGGGGGGACAATTAGCTTGATGAGTCTGGATGCTCCAACTTGTAAAAGCCTCCATTTCCCAAGTCGTTCCTCTAGAGAGGACCTCTCCCTCCCATTCCCCTCGGCCAGCCTCTCCATCCATCTACAGGGGCACCGCTGAGCCAGCCCTGCCGCCCCCCCGACAGTCCTTCCTGGAGTCTAATCTTAATTGCTTCTGTTTCCTCAGCCTCAGCTCCGCCTCAGCTCCCCAGCGGGCCGCTGCTCACCCTGGCCCGAGGCTGTCTGCGTGTGGGGCTGCTGGTCATGCAGGCTCTGGCTGTCCACGGAGATGCCACTGTCGCTGTGGAGTTTTTCTCCCTCTGGTGGGGGCGTCTGGTTCACTGGCCGGCTGTTGGCTCCTTGCTTGTTCTGCTTGCAGCTGTTCCACCTGGAGCCAGAGGACAGGCCAGGTTTCAGGGGGCGAGGGGCTGTAGTGGCCGATGCAGCTGAGTATCTGTGCTCTGCCGTGTGAGGGCCAGGGGCATGGCGGGTGCCCAATTATAACCGCCACCCCACCATCTAAGGCTCCTCTTTGCACATCTGCCCCCACCTACCCTGAAAGCTCCATGAGGGCAGAGGGGCCCTCTGTAAGTGTTCAGTAAATGTTCCTGGAATGAGCAGTGCAGCAAAAGTGACTGCTCAGGAACTCCTCTTCTCCCAATCTACCCTTCTAAAATACTCCCACATGTGGGCAGTGACATATAAAAGGATTTCCTCTGCAATTATAAGCAATAACAAAAAACTGGAAAAAAAAAAAAAACAAATGTCCATCAATGGGGACTGGCTAAATAAATTACCATCCATCCATACTATTGAATGAGTGGTTACAAATGATCAGCTAATCTACATTCCTGAGGAAAGGTCTCCTGAGGGAGACTGAGTGAAAAAAGTAAGCTGTAGAATATGTACAATGTGATCTCACTGATGCCTAAAAAGCCCTCCATGTTTACATGTAATTATAAAAGGTTTATATACATGTTTATAAAAAAAGACACACAGAAAATAGTTGGGAAGGATCCATTTCAAACAGATTCCAATAAGGAGAGAAGTAGGATTTGGGGAGATAAAAGGGGGCTTTTACTTTTTGCTTTGAAAGATATTGGTCTTGTTTGCATTTTCCTAAACACGGATGTGTTACTTTGATGATTTTTTTTTTTTTTTTTTAGAAAGAATGGAAAATGCATTTAAAGCTTTAAAATGCCTTCTGGGAGTTCGTGCACATCCTGGATTCCTGGATGTGGGTGCCACAGCATTCCCAGTGTGACAAGCGAAGGGGAAGAGACATATGCACACGCAGGTGACTGTGGGGTGAAGGAGGTTGGGGATGAGGACACAAGCAGTTGGGGGTGGGGAGTCAGGGAGTGGTGCGGCATGGGAGTGGGAGGGGCTGGAGCCAGGACAGGGCAGGAGAGGACAGGACAGGACAGGTGGATCCTCTCCCCTCACCTCCTGCTGACCTGCTGCACCCTGGAGTGGGGCGGCAGATGATGAGTGAGGATGAGCTTGGTTTGGGGTTGAGTTAAAAGGGTGTGTATGTTTTCAGGTCAAGGTCACAGCAAAGTCTTCCTTGAGGGCAAACATCTCCCCTCTCTGTCGCCACCGTGCCCTCTCTTACCTCTTGAAGGCTATGTAGGCCACAAGGCCCACAACCACAGCAGCCAGGATGGAGCAATAGACAGGGATGAGGTTGTCGGTGGTGCCTCGGGTCACCACGGGCTGGGAGCTGCCCATCACTGTGGTCACCACACCTGCCACCGTGCTGGCTATGAGGTCTTGTTCTGGAGGTGCCTCAGGCTCCTGGGTGCTGGGGGCTGTGCTGTCCGAGCCCTCTGGGGGTGTGGACCGTGTAATCCAACGGCCAGGGATCTCTGGGAGAAAAGGCCACAGGAGTGAGGACCCACTTCCCCCACTCCTCCCTTTTAGCTCTAACCCACTGCCGTGTTCTTCCTGTGTCCCCGCCCTGGCTCCAGGTGCTCTTGTGCCCAGCTGTTATGCACAGCTGGGATTGCGTGCATGATGTCATGATGCTAAAGAGCAAGGCCTGTGGGCCCACAGAGCTGCATCTCCTTCAGCTTCGCCACTGACTTGCTGGGTGACTCTGGCCCAGCCCCCTTTTCTCTCAGAACCTTGATTTCCTTATTTATCTAATGGGGCTATTAAGAGAGACAGTCTCTAAGCTCCCTTCCATCTGGGGCTATGGTCCTGGAATTCTATTCCACCTCCTGAGTACCTAGAGAGGCCTATCTAGGAGCAAACACACAAAGAAGCCTGACCACAGGGAGGCCTTGAGCTGGAGTCACTCTGGGAAATGTCTCTCTGGCCCCAGCTTGTCCTTGATGACCCTAGTCACTCCTGTCCTAAGGAAAGAAGAGGGTACACAGGTCTGGTCAGAGAGGTGCTTCCCCCACACCACCTCCCTGAGAGCACTCCCCGACTTTTTGACCTCATGTCTCAGGCTCTAGGCTTGGGTGGAAAGGAGGGGTGCGGGGGCAGCTGGATTGCCTCCCTCCAGCCAGCCCTTGGACAGTGGCCAGCCTCTGTTTCCTGTCTTGCCTGGCTCCCACCTAGCCTGATCCTGCCAACCAGAGATGACAGCATCAGGTAGCCCCAACCCTCCTTGGTCAGGAAGCAGAGAGCCAGTGGAGAAGGGGCCCATGAGGCAGGTCCAGCTCAATGCCTCAGCTGGCGGGGGGAGACTGTGACTTGCCACCCACCTAGACCCTCTCATGCTAGCTGGGCATTGCCAGCCTCCCTGGCAGGGGACCCAGCCCTTCCTGGCACCAGTGGGTGGGATTTTCCATTCTGCCACACAGCCAGGGGCAGTGCTAGGGGTTGTGGGCTCTGGACGGCCTGGGGATACTTGTCTGGGCAATGTTGCCTACCCCGTCCCTCCTCACTTCCCACGCCTGGGGCAGGGAGGGAAAGCAGGCAGGACATGCCAATGGGGTGAAGGGGAGGGTAACTGGCTCCCAGCTCTGCCCTCCCAGCCCCCACTTTGCCCACCCAAGCAGGAGTAGAAGCTGCCACCCATCTTCTGGCCTCTTCCACTCAAGATGAAATGCTTCAAAGGCCCGTTTTCAGCACCTTCTGAGGGGCAAAGCCCCCAGATGTGAATCTAGAATCCATCTGGCTGCCAGCAGTGAGGGGCTGCCATCTGTCACCCAAACCACCCTTCCCCGTCTCCGTCCTGGGAGGGGCCAGAGGTAGTGAAGGAGACAGAGCCCTGTCTTCTGGCAGCCCCAGGTGGAGCATTGGACTGGGGAGGGTCTTCTCTTGCTCTGCCAGGGGACTGGGCAAGCTGGGGGGCAGCCCAAGTCCAGAGGCTGGAGACACAGCTCAGCTCAGACTGACCCCAAGCCAGAGGGTGAAGGAGTGTACATGTCCGGGTGCCCAATGAATGAGACCATCACCGAGATCAGAGCATGGTAGGGGAAGGCTGGGAGGGTAGCAAGGCGTGGCCAGACCAGAGGCGGCACTGACTCTTGGGGAGCTGCCCTCATCTCTCCAATCCCCTCTGACGGGGGCGGGGGGATGAGATCCAGATGTGGCCACGTCCACTAGCATTCCAACCTACTAAGCCCTTGGCAGGTCCTGACAGCCATTTCCGGGCTGCATGGAGGGACCAGGTTATCCCTATTCAAACCGAATTTCACTGGGGCAGCGGGTAGCCCTTCTGCCCTGAGGGTGGGTGAGTCACCATGTTGACACCTGAAACGTAAGTAAATGCGGGGAAAGTATGGTACGCTGGAGGGGAGGGGGCAACAAAACCAAGAATCAAATTCCATTTCCTGAAATGGTCTCTTGTCCCAGAGCTGACATTTAACCCTTCAGAGCCTGAAGCTGAAAGGGGAACAGGGTCTGGTATGAACACTCCCTCAGGAGCACCCTCCTCCTTCGGGGTGGCTGGGAAAGTGGGCTGGTATCTGAGAGGAATCTGTGAATGCCCCAAAAGACAAAGCCTGCTCCTCCCACAGTCACCACCTTTCTTTGCTCTAGCAGCGCCCCCAAGTCCCCCCGCCCCGCCCCCAGCTGGCTGGTCTGGACTTGCCTACAGAAATGAGCTGCCTGCTTGCCTGATGCCTGGCTGCTGAAACCCTTCCTGCGCTCTGCCTGGCGCCTGATGCCACTTGCCTGTCTCCTGGCCCAGGGCAATTGCCAACAGAACCACCACATCCTACTCCTCATTCCTTCTCCAAGGCAGGAAGCTTTGAGCTCAACCTGGCCTTAGCCCAGCGTAACAGCCCTCCCCATCCTGAGCTCCTAAAGCCAGAGATGGCAGGACTTGGAAGGCAGGTGTGGGTTGGAGCCCCTATCAGACTGGAGGGTCCCCAGGGGCAGGAGATCTGGGTGCTAACTGAGGCAGAAGCTCTGCTGCCTCCATCAGAATGGGGGATCTCTAAAGTGAGAGCTATCTCTCCTTCAGCTGGGGACTAAGTGCTGGGACCACGTCTCTCTCATTAGACTGGGCGAAGGCTATCTCTCCCATCAAACTGGGGGCTCACTGAAGGAGGTACTATATTGCCTGCTCAGGGTAAAGGCAACCTGAGGATGCAGGTTAGTTCTCAAAGGGAAATAGCTCAATGTGTGCATGGCCACAGGATGATGGACAGGATGTAAAGGCACTGCCAGCCTCTCCCCGAAGTGGAAAAGCCCACCAGTCTCCCCTGAGACGGACGTCACCAACCAGAGACCAAAACAGCTCTGCCCTGGCTCCCACGGGGCTTCCTTCTCCCATCCCAAGAACCACCCCATCTCCTTGGGGCCTGTGCTTGGCTAAGGTGGGCACGCCCAGCTCCCATCCATCCCTGGAGCTGACAGCCACGAGCATGCACTGCCTTGTCCCCGGGCTTTTGAGCCCCAGGTCTGCCCCTCCCCTCCTTCTTCTTCCACAGAGCCCCTCCTTAGTGTTCCCTGCATGCCCCTCATCCTTCACTAAACTGCGGAACACGGTTGACCCCTCCCCTAGACAGGGCAAGCTGAAGTGGGCCAGCCCCACTGTATTCCCTAACCCGCAACAACCCTGGCAGCCATATGACCAGTGAGGAAACCGAGGCCCAGAGACAGGAGTGGACTCCCTAACGTCAGTCAAGGACAGGGTGGGTTCCATCTCAGGTCCCAGAGCCAAAACCCACCATGGACCTAGACCAGGGCTCAGAGTCAAAGGGTCCCAGCTCCTGAGGGTCCTCAAGCTGCTCTTCCAGTTCAGAAAGCCTGCCTCATGGATCAGACCTCTCCCGTTCTGTGCCCTGGGGGTAGTGGCCACCTTCGAGCTGCTTGCTGTTCAGCTAATCACTAGCGGGAAGCCACAGAGAAATGCGTCCCGGAGGATGAGTTACAATGTAGTACCCGCGGCCTGGGACGCTGAGAACGCCCACTTTCCAAACAGCCCAAAGAAGGTAACACAGAGAGGGGTTCTTTGCTGAGACAGGATGGGGAATGACCTCCTCCCTTAGGTTACCAGGAAAGGACTGAAGCTCAGGGAAGGTGCACGCTGCCTCAAGGTCACCAAGCTGCCCCAGCAGGCCAGGCAGGGTCCTTGTCGACCTCCAGAGAGCGCCCTTCCTTATGCCCCCAGCCCACCCCCGCACCCCCACTCCCCCCGCCCCCCGAACCGCACTCACCCTCGCACTCGGCGTCGGCCCAGCGTGTGCACTCGCGGAGCTGGCGCTCGGTGTCCTCGCACACGGTGCAGGGCAGGCACGGGTCCACGTGGTTGGCCTCGTCGGAATACGTGCCGTCGGGGCACTCCTCGCACACGGTGTTCTGCTTGTCCTGGCAGGAGAACACGAGGCCCGAGCCCGCCTCGCACACGCGGCACGCCTCGCAGCGCCCAGTCGTCTCATCCTGGTAGTAGCCGTAGGCGCAGCGGCACACGGCGTCGTCGGCCTCCACGCACGGCGCCGACATGCTCTGGAGCCCCACGCACTCGGTGCACGGCTTGCACGGCTCGGTCGCGCTCACCACGTCGGAGAACGTCACGCCTGAGCGCAGCGGACACCAGATTTAGTCGTCTGCTCTTTTGGGCACCCGGGACGCAGGAGCTGGAGTCTCTCCCTCCCCTATTGCCTGCCAGGACGCTGACTTCCTCCTTCAGCCTTCTCATCGGCTCCCACCCTCTTCCAAGGGACCCTGACCCCTAGCCTGTGAAAGTTGGTGGCAGCCAACTGGGAAAGGGGGAGGAGGCCCGGAGCCGCATCCTCCAGGCTCCAGAAGCACTGGCCGGCCGGGAGGCTTTCCGGCATAACCCAGCTGGTGCCGCTAAGTTTCTTGGCAAATTCTCTTTGAGAGTTCCCAGGCCTGTACTATGTTCCCAGCATGATTAAGGAATAATCTGAACGTGGTTCCCACCCAGCCCTCCCCGCGGGCCAGAGCTGGGCTGCTAACCCGGTCCAGGCAAGGTAGGCCTTCCCCTAGGGAGCCTCCTGCCTCATCTGCCTTCAGTTCCTCTCCACACAGGTGTGGGCTCAGATGCAGCCTAAATGGGAGTGACCGGGGTTAGACAGCAGAATTTCCCACCCATGGCACTACCCCCATGCTGCTGAAGGGCTTGGATCCTGAGGGTGGGGACGGACCTGCAGGCAAGAGGGCTCAGGTAAGGCAGGAGCCACTGAAGCTAGAGAGCTGGCTCTTAGCCCACACTCACTCTCTCAGATGGATATTGTTGAGCAGTACACAAGCTGCACAACTATATGATCACCCTTTTGAGATCTGCACATGCGTCGTCTGCCCTTTCGGCCAGGATGCAAGGGAGATGTCCAAGCTCATTCTTCACTCATGTTTTCTTAATTACTGGATGTGCACTCCAGAATAAGGAGAAGGAGGCTGGGCACGCCAGGGTCCTTGCCTCCTTGTACAGGGAGGGGAAGGAACAGGGCCAGATCTTCTTCACCCCTTCCAGCTTTGGGTGGGGAACTCTGTGCCACCCTGGATCTGGCAGGACCTATCCTTGCTCCAAGGACAGGAAGAGCATAGATTTAGGAACCTGAGAACCAGGGAAGGACAGATTGTTCAGAATGTGGAAGCAGAAGCAGAAAGGCTAAAGCGCCATTAGGGGGAAACTGAGGCCTGTAGGGGGGTCTCAACATTATTCAAAGGCATCAGAGACAAGATGGAGCAAGGGGTCACTGGCTTCGGGGGTGTGGTGGGGGGATGAGGAGGCAAAGAAGGAAAAGCCAGAGAGAAGTGAAAGGGGCAGAACTGGGGACAAAGGCTGGGCGTGGTGGCTCACTCCTGTAATCCCAGCACTTTGGGAGGCCAAGGCGAGCAGATCACTTGAGGCCAGGAGTTCAAGACCAGCCTGGCCAACATGGCAAAACCCCATCTCTATAAAAAATACAAAAATTAGCTGGGTGTAGTGGTGCACGTCTGTAATCCCAGCTACTCGGGAAGCTGAGGTGGGAGGATTGCTTGAGCATGGGAGGCAGAGGTTACAGTGAGCCAAGACTGCACCAGTGCACTCCAGCCTGGGTGACAGAGTGAGACGCTGTCAAAAAAAAAAAAAAAAAAAAAAGAAAGAAAGAAAGAAAAAGGGTAGAGGAGAGAAGAAAAGACCCAGGAAGAAGGGCCTGGAGGGAGACTTCAGTTTCAAGTGAATTCTGACAGAGGAACCCTGTGTCCCTTTTCCTAGGAGCAGGCAGATCTGGATTCAAAATCCATTTCCATCGCTTATAAGCTGTGTGACTTTGGGTGTTTTACTTAACCTCTCTGAGCTTTTTCTTTCTCTGTAAAAATAAGGAGCAATATCTGCAGTCACAGGGTTGTAGTGAGGAATAAATGAAATTCAGCCATAAAGCTTTGGCACGTAGTTGGGATCCTATAAAGATTGGGCCCCATGGGGGTGGAGAGCGATGAGGACATTGAACTTTGGAGGTAGGAATATGGTCAGACAGCAGAAAGAACGTCCAAACACAAACAGCAAAGGCAGGATGTCTGAGCTATACAAACAAGAGGGTCCTGGCTGGCTGGCGTGTGATGGAGGGTAAGTCTAGTCACACAGGAGGGGAAGAGGAGAAGCCTGCTCATGGCAAAACACAGAAAATTAGCAGAAAACTCCTGGGAGAGGGTTTTAGGTGGTGTGAAAAATGTGGTCTTTTTTGGCAGAGAATGAAGGCAGGGGCTTAATAGGTTTCCTTGTGGAAACGTTTTAAGGGTAGAGGGAAAGTCCGCTGGGGTCTCCGTCCCATAAAGTGGGCTTGTAAAGGCAGCCTGTTAATGCAGCTGGAGGTGGAGGAGGGGGAGACAGGGAAGGAGGGGAAAATGGAGGGGAGGGAGGAAGTGGAAGGGAGGATTCTCAAAGCCACCTCTCTGCCTGCCTCCCTTCCCTTCCAGAGATTCTGGAACTTCCCTCTCCTGGTGTCCTCCGCCCCACCTCCTGCTGAAGGTCCTTTGACTGAAGGGAAAGGGTTCCCATCATTTAGGTCCTGGGAGGAGAGTCCTGGGCTGGAGTCTAGGAAGCAAGAGAGGCAGATTTGGAGGTTCTGGGATAGCTGATGGTTGGCCACCCCCGCCCTGGAATGGAAACCCTGTTAGGCCAGGGCCAGAGCAGGTGGCCATGAAGCAAGACGGCAAAGGCATTGGAGGATGTCCCACCTCCACACATACGCCCAGGCATTTCTTGGCTGGGGAATGGTGTTACAGGATCCACAAGCACAGAGATGGGAAAACAGTGTGTCTGGGGAACACCAAGAGTTGGGGTTGCCTGGAGGACAGATAGACTCAGGGGGGACATCCAGAGGTAACACTAGGTCCGCAGGTGGGTTCAGAGGCCCCAGCTCTATCCCCTTATTCCCAGCCGGATTAAAGAATAATCTGAGTATGGTTCCCTCGAGCCCTCCAGGTGGGCATCGAGTGCCAGGTAGAAGGCAGGGAGTCAGGAAAAGGGCAGGGAGCCCACGGCCCAAAGGCAGCAACTGAGGACTGGGGGCACCGATCAGGGACCGAGACTCCTGACTCAAAAGCATGAGGGAATTCAGACCCTGGACAAGACTGGGGCCAAGGGGCCCAGACCCACCAGCCCAGGAAGATGAGATTCTCTCCCCTCCTGAAAGAAATCCCAGGCAGGGTCGAGCACGGTGGCTCACGCCTCTAATCCCAACACTTTGGGAGGCTAAGGCAGGTGGATCACTTGAGGCCAGAAGTTTGAGACCAGCCTGGTCCACATGGTAAAACCCCATCTCTACTACAAATACAAGAATTAGCCAGGCATGGTGGCATGCATGCACCCGTAGTCCCAGCTACTCAGGAGGCTGAGGCATGAGAATCACTTGAAACCAGGAGGTGGAGGTTGCAGTGAGTTGAGATCATGCCATTGCACTCCCAACCTGGGCAACAGAGCAAAACTCTGTTGAAGGAAGGAAGGAAGGAAGGAAAGGAAAGAAAGGAAAGAAAGGTAAAGAAAGAGAGAGAGAGAAAGGAAGGAAGGAAGGAAGGAAGGAAGGAAGGAAGGAAGGAAGGAAGGAAGGAAGAAATCCCAGGCAGGAATGGGCACAGCTCCCCGTCTCCCCTCCCCTCTGTCACCCCACAGTAAGGACGTCTTCATGGCGCTCTGACCCCCATCCCTGCTGCCTCGGGAAAACTCTGCTTCCTGGTCAAAGCTGGAGAAGAGTTGGCCTGTAGGGAGGAACAGCCACACCCCCAGGATCCCCCAAGGTCAGCCTTCAGGGCAGCCAGGATTTGATCCTCCTCTCCCTTCCCCCAAACACACCGGGGATAAGTGGCAGCCATTGATTTTGCAGTGCAGATGATATTTTTAGCTGGTCTTAGCATCAGCTACTCCTCCCTGCCCAGCCACACTCTTCTACCAAGCCTCTGCCTTCTCCAGAGCTGGGAATGGGCACCCCTTGGAGATCCCCCATGGGGTTCCCCTCCTCCCTCTGCACACTTCCCTTCTCCATTCTCAGCTTCTCGAATCTGGGAGAAGCGCCTCCTACACTGGGTCAGACCCACTTCTGATGACCTTACAGTGGTGGTCTTATAAGGCCTCTACTGGGCATGCTTCTCCCCAGCGCCCCTCCCTTTCACCCCTCTCCTCCCTCCCATTCTTCTCCCCTCCTCCTGCCCGCCACCCTCTACTCACTGTCCAGGCAGGGCTCACACACGGTCTGGTTGGCTCCACAAGGCTGGGCCACACCCTCGCCCAGGTTGCAGGCTTTGCAGCACTCACCGCTGTGTGTGTACAGGCCTGTGGGGCATGCCTCCTTGGCACCTCCAAGGGACACCTGGATGGAGGGAGATCGGAGGGTCAGACTGGCAAGAGAAAGCTGGGGTGGGTTGGGGGGGGTTCTTCCGGGGAATCAAACACCCTCCTCCCACTGCCTTCTATTAGAACCACCTGGGCTGGGATGAGCTCACCAGGGAGGCGTTAGGAACATCAAAGCTGACAGGGGAAAGGCAAGTGAGGGACAGTGTGCCCGTGCAGGCTGCTGGGGGTGTGAGGTCAGAGCTTCAGCTGCTGACCTTCTGCAAAGTTCATCCTGGGGTTACAGCAACTCCTGGAATCCCAAGGATATACCACATGGGGAAGGTGGCCAGAGGCCCAGCGGAGGGCCTACCAACAGGGATGTCATGAATGGTTGGACAGGTTGTAGCTTGCACAGGGCTCCCAGCCAACGGGGCAAGTAGAGCTGAAACCTATCCCAAACTCCATTTGCTAAGCTTTGCACCTGCTGGGTTGTATCTACCCAGAGGAGGGCCTTTTTCTAACAAAGGCCAGCAGGGCCTTACTCCAGGTCCTTAATTCCACATATTAAATAATAAATGGAAGATGTCCATGCCCAAGAGCAGAAAGGAGAGGGCCAGGGTCTTGGGTTTGAATCCTGACTCTACACTGGGGGTCTTGCTTGCCCATCTTCCCTCTGAGTCTTCATTTCTCTACAGAGATGGCAACAGCCTGGTGCCAGGGCAAAAGGCCAGCCATTTGGCAAAAGCCTCGCACCAAGATGGAGAGAAAGGGAGAACTGTTATCAATGATGGGACAGTGGCTGCTCTCACCACCCAGCAGCCCTGCCCTGCCACGGTTTGATTTCCAGCCACCAGTCCTCCCCCTCCCCCATGTGGCCACTGGGAACAGGGCTGGAACCAAGGGAAAGGGGAGTCAGGTTCCTGCCACTGAAGCATCTTTGCTCGTGGATGTAACAATTTAACACCAGATTCCCCAGGGGAAGGGGCTGGTGGAGGCTTGCTTTATATTTCTGTTCCTTTAAAAAAAACTTAATGTCTAATAAAACTCCAAAGCCTGCTTTGCTAGCTCCAGACCATGCAGCCCTCATTTGATGCTGAGAAGTATGGGCTTTGGGGTCGTGGGACCAGAGGGAAGCTTTACAAGCTTGTTTTGGGCATTCTGCTTCTTCTACATTGGCCAGATCATGGCCAAGACACTCCTTTCCCTCCAGCCTTTTAAAATATCCTGCGGCCTCATCAGGGTTTGGTGGGGAAGGAAACAGAGGAGTCAGGGGGATAGACAGGTTGGATCAACCCAGGAGGGAGTCTGTGGTCCTCATGAGACCAGCAGGACAGGCACAGGCAACAGAGGAGGTGGAACCTTGGTGTTGCCGCACCTCCTCCAGGGCAGCAACACACTCAGTGCTGGGAACATCTGCAGACCAGGAGCCTCAGGGTCCCAGATGCAGGCTTTCCCTCAAGAGGCAAGATTCCAGAAGGGCCTGTTCTGATTTCTTTTCATCCTTTAGGGCTCTGCTTAAATGTCACTTCCTCAAGGAAGTGGTCCTGTTGCACCCACCGCTCACAGATTAGGTGGGGCTGCCATGTTACGCATCCAGCCTGTTCTCCGGTTCTCTCTGCTTTTGTCTGGCCTGAACTTTATAGACTCCCTCATTGGACTGTCAGCTCCCTGAGGGAGCTGGATTGCCCCAGGGCCTGATGCGGTATCTGGCATGCAGTAGGGACACAATGCATACACGCGTGGAGTTGAAATACATGAAAATACTGTATGACCTCAATTAACCAGAACTCTGGGAGAGCGACTGTTGGTTAGCCGAGATTCCAGACTGCCAGGCTTTGCTGCCCTCATCATTTTTGCTTTTCACCATGGTGGCTGCACCCTTCCCTGTCTCTGGAGCAAAGCTTCATGGCTTCCCATGACTCAGGGACTCTGTATTTACACCAGCGATTACTCTGGGCTGCAATACAGGGAAACTCTTTTGTTCTTTTCCCAAATTACCACACTTTTGTCTTTTTGAGTTCTCCTGTCAGCCTTTTTTTTTTTTTTAATATAGCTTTTCTGTTTCCTCCCTTCCTGTCAAGGTATCAGTTGTCACTTCTTGCTGCTACCAGAGTGTGACCTGAAGCAACCCTTCCCCCACCACGCTAATCTATTTAAGGTCTAATTGAATCTTCAGAAACTGTGGAACTCGCCTTGGTAGAAAGGCATGTGCCGGCCGGGCGTGGTGGCTTACGCCTGTAATCCCAGCACTTTGGGAGGCCGAGGCAGGCAGATCACGAGGTCAGGAGATCGAGACCATCCTGCCTAACATGGTGAAACCCCATCTCTACTAAAAATACAAAATATTAGCCAGGCGTGGTGGCGGGCGCCTGTAGTCTCAGCTACTCAGGAGGCTGAGGCAGGAGAATCGCTTGAACCCAGGAGGCAGAGGTTGCAGTGAGTCGAGATCGTGCCACTGCACTCCAGCCTGGGTGGCAGAGTGACAGTCCGTCTCAAAATAAATAAATAAATAAATAAAATAAAAATAATAAAAAATATAAAGGTATGTAAATAGGATCTGAACCAGGAGGAGGCAAGCCTCTGAATACAATCTGTGAGCTCTCACGCCACTCTGAATCCTGGCTCCACACTTGTCCTGGGTCATAATTAGGTAATGATGACAGTACCTGCATCATAGGATTGCTGTAAGTATTACACAAGTAAATAAGGTATTTATGTACTTTGGGACCCCTCTTTTCTGTCCTCCAGGGTCTACTTTGTGGCCATTGGCTGTGTTCCAGTTTGTTGGGCTCTGGACAGCTGAGGAGATCTGTCTACAGTGGTCTTGGGTGGTGTGGGGGCTTTGTGCAAATGCCCCTGCCAAGAAACCTGTTCTCCCTGCTGCAGCCTGAGGTCCTCTCTCTTCTCTTAAAAACTGCATTTGGAGTAGGGGCCAGATAATTAGTAACCATGCATTTCCTGTCCTTGTTTTATGTTCCCTATGTTGTAAAATCCTAGATCTGCTTCTTAATAGTATGTTGCTTAGGGTAAATTACTTAATTTCCCTAAACCTCAGTTTTTCTCACCTAAAACATTGGGTTGATAATGTCTATTGCCCAGGATTGCTGGGAGAATTAAGTGAAATAATTTATGCAAATATGTCTGGTCTACAGTAGGAATTTAATAAATGTTAGTTATCAAAGAAGCATCTCATCTTAAGGAGACCCCAGGCAGGAGGGGAGAGTTTAGCCAAGTAGGGAGGGGTGACTAACATTCAGGCTAATTGCTCCAAAATCAGATCCAAAAGGATTAATTTATAGGGATGACAGATAAATTTCCCTGAAATTTGTATGTGTTACACTTAGTCATTTCACATTTGACAGAATGATTTCATCTCATTTTTAAGAACGCTTGTAATCTTTTTGTTTTGGCCATTTCAAGGCTTACAAGGAACTAAGGTGGAAGGATCCTTAGATGAATTGACTTTTAAGAATTTTCATTTTTTTTAATTAGAGAAAAGAGAGAAACAGCGAAACAGTTGAAAGTATTTGAAACCATACGAATGTTTCAGTATAATCAGCCCTGGCCATTCCAACAGCTTCAGCAAAGAGCTCTTAAGTGAATGGGGCCGTGGTCACCGCCATGGGATGGGAGAGATTTTCAAACACCTGGAGGGCCTTTTGAGGTCGATGCAAACCCAGGGGAGGCACTGGCACATACCCCTCACTCCCTTTGGATAGGGGAGGAGTTGGGAGGAAAGGAGCTAATTACCCAAGATAATGTAGCATAGAGACTTGAGAGGGGGCAGGGCCTCTGCGTGTGGAGAAGGGGCTCAGATCTAAATGTGTGGGGCCAAAGGCATAGGGCACGATTTAATCTCTCAGAGCCACGACTCCTTCCATGATCTAGAAGGTAGGGGGCGGGAGGGAGCCTGGCATATGTAGGAAAGAGAACATCCCAGGCCAAGCATCCTGGGTTCCAACAAAGACGCCACCACTGACTCACTGGGGGAGCCTGGTCTCGGGCCTGAAAGTCTAGAAGGTTCTGTTTCCTCAACTGCGAAGTGGGAATAACTAAATTCACCTTGCTAGGACCTTATAAGGATTAAATAATTCAAGAGAAACTACCAGGGAAGTGCAAGGCACTTAGTAGGAACTCAGCACATGCGATTATTCCCGCCTCCCCACGCGGTCCCCCAGGGAAGAAGCGAGGCGCTTGAGCCAGACTGGGCTGGAACAGTGCGGTAGGGGCCCGTCCCCCGCGGAGCTGCCTCCCCATCCACCATCCACCCAGCTCAGCCCGGCCGCTCACGCACGCCCATTTGCTGCCCTCGTTCCATCCCTATTAGGCGCATTAGCCAGCCCGGCGGCTCTGGTTACAGACGTCTGAATGACAAAGTGCCTCCATTACCGGCGCGGCCCGCCAGCCGACCCGCCGGGACGCGCTCTGGTTTCAGCCCTCTCTCTCTCACCGCGGCCCAGGAAGAAACTCGGACCGCGCACAGCCATCCCAGACCGAGCAGCCGCGCGCCGAGGCGGAGGCGGGAGCCGCAGGGGCTGCAGACGGCAGGTTCCTGTCGGGGTACACCTTCCCAAGCGCCCAGGTCCTCCACGCCCAGCTCCCCTCCTTCCTTGGGTCTTCGCGCGGGGACCCTCGCTCTTGCCCAGACCCGGAGCCCAAGTCGTTGCCCCTCTGGGATCCGGTCCCTCCTCCCCGCTCTCCTGGTCTACGCTCGCCCACCCGCGTCTGAGCAGCGTCTCTAACCAGCGGCGTTAGTCAGCAGACGTGCCCGCGGTCGCTCCCAAATCCCCGGACGCAGCCACAGGTCCTGACAGCTCCAGGGAACTGGGGCTGAGCTTTCGGGCTGGGGCCCGCACCCGGACAGAATCTCTGCCCACCTCACCCGCAGGCTCTACCGCCGACGGACTCTGGGGACAGTGTCAACCCCCCCCGCCCTGCTGGGAAACGCAGCCGTGACCCCGAGCTGGGACAGCGGCTGCCCCCTGAAAAGGTGGGGGAGTACCGAGCTGGGAATCAGGTCGGGGAGTCTAGCCACGACTCTGGCCCAACTTGCTGTGAGATCTTGGCCAAGTCGTTTAAACTCTCAGAGCCTCAGTCTCCGTATCTGTAAAGCCGGAATTTGGGGCGCAGTGCTCTGATGAAAGATGCTGGCGGGGAGAGTGAAGACGCCTCCTCCGTTGCCAGACCTTCCAGGGCATTCGGTTCATGGCCATAAAGCAGGCCACATCTGACAATCTCGTCGGACCACCCGGAGGACCCGCCGACCTTTGCCGAGTCGGTGGCCCGGGATACCGCGCTACAGAATCCGAGGCGTCCGGGCGCCCCCGTCTCGTTAGGTGCCCAGCGGCTTGCACCGAGAGCCAGGAGAGGCTCAGACCGGATCCCGACCCTTCGAGGCGCGGGAGCCCACGGAGCGCGGTGGGCGCGGCGCTCGGGTCGCGCAGCTAGGTGGGGAGCGGCGCGCAGCCCCAGACTCGCAGGCAGGCAGCGGCGGACTGCACTTGCCTCGCCCCGCAGCGCCCCCTGCCTGCCGCCTCCCGCCTGCGTAGCCAGAGCTGCGCGCGGCCAGGAAGGGTCCCCGCCTAGTGCGCCCCGGCGCTCTGCACCCCGAGACGTAGCCACCGCCAGCCCGGGTAGGGGCACACCCGCTCCGTCCCTCGCGATCCGCTGCGCTGCTTCAAGCCGTGAGAACACGCGCGTCGGAGGAGCCCGCCGGCCGTGGGGGAACCCCGGGAGCGGGTTCGCCCCGGCGAAGTGGGCACTCCCCTCCCAGCCTTAGATCCGCAGCCCCAATTCCGGGACTGGGAGAGGCCGCGAGCAGGAGCGCGGGGACAGGCGCTGGAAATGTCCAAGCCTCTGCTCTCTCTTCTCGTCTCACTGTCCCTCAGCGGGCAGGCGGGACCCCGACCACTTCAGGGTCCGCGCCCCGCTCTGTCTCCTTTCCTTCTGCTTCCATCTCTCTGCCGCCCTCGCCGTCGCCCCTCTTCTGCCCTCCCTAACCCACTTCTCAACCTCTCTCCCGCTCCCCAACCTCTCCCTCCGACGCCCCTCCCCCCCATTGTCTGGCCGGTCCCCATTGTCCTTGCCGGGTCCCCTCTGCCTCCAGTCCCTCCGACCTCCTCCATTGTTCCATCCCGTCGTCCCGGGCTCCCCGCCCCAGCCCAGCTCGCCCCTCTCATCTCTAGTCCCCGTCCAGTTCCCCCTCCTTCTCTCGCCTTGGTTCTGTCCCACGACTCTCCAGAGACCGAGATGCTGAGGGGAAAGTCCCTTCGGGATCCCGGCATTCGAGTGTCCTCTTCCGAAGAACCTGGGCATCGGAGAGCCCCATGCCCCCTCTTGAAAGACCCCTCCCAGCTCCCCCACCGCCCCCTGCGGTACCTGAGGACCGGCATCCGTGCTCCGGTCTTGCCCTCATCTCCACCCTGGAGAGTCGCCTCTGCGCTCCGGGAACCCTAGACCCTCCTTCGTGGTCCCGGCATCAGAGGTCCTTTCCCACCACCCACCCTCAGTATCTGGGACCCCAATGCTCTGTTCTGTTTCCTTGGTGGCGGCGCCCGGCTCTTCTCGGAGTTCTGATCCCGGGAAAGGGAGCGGGCCCCCTCCGGCTAACACTCACCCCCAGAAGCAGCAACAGCAGCAGGCGCGGCCCGTCCATGGCGCGGCCGGTGGCACCTGCCCCCATCGCCCGCCTCCCGCGGCAGCGCTCGACTTCCAGCTCGGTCCGCTTTGCGGACTGATGGGGCTGCGCTGCGCTGCGCTCCAGCGCCCCCCCTGCCCGCCGGAGCTGGCCGCGGCTCGGCTCGCTCTGGCTGCGGGCGGGAGAGGCTGGGTGAAGCCAGTGCTGCGGCCCCGCCTCCGCCCCGCCCAGCCCGCCCACCCCCGGAACCGCGCCCGCCCGCCCTGCCGCCTCGGGGTGGGAAGCAGAGGCAAAGGGAGGGCGTGCGGTTCCCCGCACCCCGCTGCGCTTCTCCCTGCCTTGTCCCTTAGAGCCTCTCACCCATCCCGCCCTGGTACCCAGTTCCCGGCCCGCGCTACTGCGCGTCCGTCCCGGATGCTGTGGGCCCGGGGACCAGGGCGTCCCCACTGCGGTTCCTGTTCCTCTCCGGCTGCGGCCCGCCACAGGGTTCACTCTCTTACCCATCTTCCTCCGCCTCTGGCTTCACCTTCTCCCTGGAGCCTTGCTCCCTAACTGCCCCCTATCAGTAAGAATGCCCGCTTGCCCTCCCTGCCCTTCATCTCAGTCCATCACCCCACCTCCACCCCATCCCCACCCCTCCCCTTCCCAGTGCAGGAGATCCCTGGGCAGAGGCCTAGGGGGAGGGGAGGGGCGCAGGCGCCCTTACCTCGGCCATCGACATTCAAGGTGGAGTCCATTCCGACATCATTTGATTCTCAAATGAGGGGTTTGAAGGGGTCACAGGTGTGCACACAGTGCACAGGAATACACACTCTCAAGCTCACTTGTATGTGTGATCGTGCACTTACGTGTGCCCACACCGTTCTCATGCACTCCTGCCGACCTGACTGTCCCACACATGCACCTCTCCAGGCATGCACACGGGCACATATGTGATCCGGACATTCAAACGCGCATATGTACACATTCACACATGCATGTATACAGTCGTGTCTGCATAAGCCCTCACATGTATACAGTCACACAAACACACACATTCATGAGTGCACACACACACTGACACCCATCAACAAACAAACAGATGCATCTTCAACAATATAGACTTCACCAGACTGTGAGTGTCTCCATGGGCTTATGAGCTCTGCAGGCAGGGATTATGGTTTCTTCTCTGAATTCCTGGTATACAGTAGGGTTCAAGAAAGTTTTGTAGAAGGGAATAAATAGAAAAGTGGTGAAATGGACTCATATCTGTGTACCCATCCATGTGCTAGGACCAAATTCATCTTGCCCTAGAAACCTTGCCAAGTCCAAATAATATGCCTCCCAACCCCAAAAGCATGCCACCCACCCCCATGCTTACCCCTTTCCTGTTCCCTCCATTTCTTCGTTCCCAGACATCAAGACCCTGGAGCACAGAGTTGATGGGGGTGTCTGCAAAGTCTATCCCAACACCCAAATCTTAACCATGTTTGGATTTCAGTTTCCTCCTGGAAAAAAAAAAAATCTCACTACCCTCCCCAGTTATGGAAACAAAAGGGAGATCAAGAGCGCTTGTGGGCCAGGCACATGCCTGTAATCCCAGCACTTTGGGAGGCCGAAGCGGGTGGATCACCTGAGGTCGAGAGTTCGAGACCAGCCTGGCCAACATAGTGAAACCTCATCTCTACTAAAAATACAAAAATTAGCTTCGCGTGGTGGCTCACGCCTGTAGTCCCAGCTACTTAGGAGGCTGAGACAGAAGAATCACTTGAACCCAGGAGGCGGAGGTTGCAGTGAGCGGAAATAGCGCCATTGCACTCCAGCCTGGGCCACAGAGCAAAAACTCCATCTCAAAAAACAAACAAACAAACAAACAAAAAACAGTGCTCATGAAGAGAGCACGCTAGCAGTCTGTAGGTGACTTCCAAGATCGGCTGAAGCTAATTCATTCATTCATGGGGGAAAAAAATATCTGTCCTGTGAATTTCTTTCCTGTGTAACCCACAAAGTCCAGGGGACAGCCCTGGCCTGGAAAGGACAGGTAGACATCATTGTGGTTTTCAGCATGAATGCTGGTGAGCCACCACCTTCATGGCTGGACATAAGAGGCCAGGCAAAGAGCACCTCTTCAGAAATCACTGAAGAGTCATTCCTTCCAGACAGGGACTGCTTCTAAGATGTCTCCTCCTCCCGCTGCTTTTCTAGACCTGCCTTCCTCTCAGCTGAATTCATAAAAGGCAGGAAGGAAGGGGCAACATTAGTACTAACAGCAGCGTTGAGCTGCTTATGACTAAGGGTATCGACAGTGTGGCATTAATTTAAATACTCCTGTTATTAATTTATGATCCCAGTTACTATTATTGCTAACGTTATCCATCTCAACACAATTTAATACGACCCACACTATGGCTGGGCCTGGGTTATTAATAATTTCCATGGTCCTGATCATTTAAGCCTTACTCAAACAATTACAAACAGCAATTGTTACTATTATTAGCGGTATTTCTATGATTAAACCCAAGCGCAAGACCACTACGTAATGCTGAGTGCTGGCGGGGAGAGTGGCTGCAAAGTGTGTAGAGGAAAGAGCATTGCACTGGGAGTGGGACAGGCCTGGGTATTATTCCTCCCTCCCTCTCTGCCATTGCTGACTCCTCAGGCAGTTTACATCATCTCTTTTGGTCTCAGTTTTCTCATCTATCAAATGGGAATTTTGAAAGGGCGGGGTGAGGATCAAATGAAGTAACGTGGTGTTCATCATAAGGAGGAACTCACTTCCCTTGCATTCATTCAACATGTATTTATTGAGCATCTGCTGTGTGCCACACACTGCTCTAGGCCTTGGGGATTCTGCAGGCCTTGGGGATTCATGCAGCTCCTTATGAAGCTGATGTTCTAGTGTGTTAGTTATTTGATATGAAGAGTTATTTTATTTTATTTATTTTATTTATTTTTTGAGTCAGAATCTCTCTCTATTATCAGGCTGGAGTGCAGTGGCACGATCTCGGCTCACTGCAACCTCCGTCTCCTTGGTTCAAGTGATTCTCCTGCCTCAGCCTCCCGAGTAACTAGGATTACAGGCATGTGCCACCACACCCAGCTAATTTTTGTATTTTTAATAGAGACAGGATTTCACCATGTTGGCCAGGATGGTCTCGATCTCCTGATCTCAGGTGATCCACCCGCCTCAGCCTCCCAAATTGCTGGGATTAGAGGCGTGAGCCACCGCGCCCAGCCATGAAGAGTTAGTTTATAATGTGAGGTCTTGGCTTGACTGACCATACCAGATAGCCTGGATATGATCAGGATATTCCTTTGCTGAGACTCCCACTATCACCATGACCAGAAGCATCTATACCAAAACTAGTACCACTATGACCATCATCATTATGACCACCACCAGTACCATCACCATCATCACCACCACTGCCACCATCACCACCACTTCTAACAACACCAGCACCATTATGACCATCATCATTATGCCACTGCCATCAGTGTCACTACCAGAATCACAACTATCACCACCATGACACGGCCACAGTTATCACCATCACTATGATCACCATAGTCACCACCACCACGGCTGCCATGGCCGTGGCTTCCAACACCTATCTTCCTACATCTGCACCACCACGAGCAACAGAGATTCTTCATGAGGGCAGGATGCACTGGCCCTTCCTTTTCCTAGGAACAATATCAGAGGCCTCATGGAGCCACTGCCTGCCTGAGTATAACCCTCTAGTGTCCACAACTCCTGGCCCCAGACATGAGCGGGCTCCAAAAGTTTCTCCCTGCTTGACAAGCCACACTGTCTTCCCAGCCCCCTCTCTCCTAATCCTCAGCACTTAGAGCCACAGCTGCAGGATATGGCATGGAGAGAGGGCTCGTAGGGGCTGACCAGCAGGTGGGATCCCACAGAGGGCACCAAGAGGCCAGCAGTGTTCCTGGAGAGTCCCTCAGAACCATCTCCTATAACAGAGTGCCCATAGAGAGGACTCCTCCCCCTACCCCCCACCCCCAAGCTTCCTGGTCCTATAGTGACTCTGAAGAGAAAGGGTGGAGAACATCAGTGCAATTCCACATGGAGCTGGGAGTGGCAGTCACGTCAAACTGCATCTTTAGGAATCAAATGGGAGGGGCAACTCCTCCCCTATATAGCTCACCACCCCACCGTCACCCTGCCCCTCCAGAAAGGCAACGTCCTTAATACACACTGTCCTCCCTGTCCTCCCATTCCACTCCACCCCCCTCATCTCAGCCCCTCAGCAAAGCACAACTCACAGCTCCCTGTGCCTCATGTCCCCAGCAGTTGCTGGGGAGCCAGCCTGCAGCTCCAGCCAACTTCCAAGCAGAAATGGGATCGCAGACAATGAGAACTCACACTTATTGGGACTGCTTGACCCCCTTAAACTCCACTACAATCCCATGAGGGAAGTACAGTACTGGGATCACCATCCTACAGAAGAAGAGACTGAGGCTTGAAGACGTTAAGCCACTTGTCCAAGGACCTCCAGAAGGAAGCAGTGGTACCGTAAGTGGCCACTGTTCTGCACCAGGCCCTCAACAGTCGCCTTCCCCGGTCGCTTCTCCCATCCATCCCAGCTCCTCCAGCCTTCACCCCAGCTAGACTGGCAGCCACCCCGTGGATTGGGGAGATAGAACTTCCATCTCAAAGAAGTGAACTCTGCCCTCCAGCTACTACTCAGACTCTCTCCTGACATGTATTTATAGAATTTAGCTTAGGGGGCAGGAGAGGAGGGGTGGAGGCCAGCCAGGGAAGTGACCTTCACCAGTTCTCACTTTTCCTGCTTTGGGGGAATCACTTCCCCTATTCTTCAATTCCAATGTCCAACCAGAGGAGGGGTGAAATGAGGTGGGCAAGGAGACAACCATCTCCAAGGCAGAGAGCCAGGGAGAGAGCGGAGGACGAGGTGGGGCCCTCCCCCAGCTGCATCCCATCTGCCCCGGGCAGGCGGCCAGGCAAGGTAAGTGAAACCTGCTGCCCCCCATTCAGAGCTTGCTTAGCGGCTTTGAAGCATGATGCAGTGATTACCTCTGAGCTGACTCCTGGGCTGCAAGGGGGTTCTGTCCAATGAGGGAACAGGGTGGGGCCTGGGGACTGGTCTGGGGTCAGCGAGTTTTGATTCTGGAGCTGAATTAGTAGTGAGAGGGGTGGGAGGAATTAGCAAGGTTGGAGTCCAGTTAGATTAACTTGAGCATCAAAGTGGGCCAGTTGCACAGTGCCCTCCCCCACCGTCTGCTCCAGCCTCAGAGGCTGGTGCGCCTCCACCCTATCCTGGAAGGAGCCCCATCTGACCCACATTCGTCAGCTTCTCCCACCTCCAAGCCCTTGCCTGTCTTCTCTTTTCCTTTGACATGACAGTAGAATGACGTCTGCAGTCGTCTTTCTTCCAGGCCACCCTCTCTCCCAACACTCCCCCGTGTGGCACCCATACCTTCTGTCAATGTCACAAGATCTGGTCACTTCATTCAAACATAGGTGCTGGGGACTTCATCTTCCCTAGGCTTTGTGTCTTGGAGAAGGGGTACCCAGAGTGGGCAATGCTAAACCCAAGTGCTTGAATGGGAAGGGCACAGAGAGTACCCCATACCCCAGGGCAGCCATCTCCCTGAGTCTAGGAGCCAGCCCCTTACCTCCGCCTTCTGGTCCTGCCTCTCTCCTCACCTCTACAGCACACAGTTCTCCTCCAGGAGCCTTCCTCTAGGAAGTTCCTCGCAACTCTCAACTTTGATTCTTCCCAGCCCTGAAGGACTGCGGAGCTGCCTGACAGTTCTGAAGCATCCAGTCATCTTTTTCACTTTTTGTTTTGCATCCAAGGACAGGCAGGATAGTTTTTTGTTTGTTTTGCTTGTTAGTTTGTTACTTTGTTTGTTTGTTTGGTTGGTTGGTTTGGGGTTTTTTTGAGACAGGGTCTTGCTCTGTTGCCCAGGTTGGAGGGCAGTGATGCGATCACAGCTCACTGCAGACTCAAACTCCCAGTCTCAAGTGATCCTCCCACTTCAGCCATCATGAGTAGCTGGGACTACAGGTGTGCACCACCAGACCAGGCTAATTATTATATTTTTTGTAAAGATGAGGTTATGCCATGTTCCCCAGGCTGGTCTCGAGCTCCTGGGCTCAAGCAATCCACCCATCTTGGCCTCCCAAAGTGCTAGGATTACAGGCATGAGCCATGGCACGGGCTAGGATGTTTTAAAGAGAAACTAAATAGGCTACACCATGGCTGGAACAGCGGGAAGTCAACAATGGGAAGATAGGAGGAAGAGGCATTGGGAGACACGGGCGCTAGTCTATCATTTATTTGCTGTGTGGCCTTGTGACAGTCCCTTTCTTGTTCTAGGCCTCCCTTTCCTCGTTTGTAAAGTGGGCATAAGATACTAGTCTCACCAAATTACTTTGAGGAGTCAAGGAAGTACTGTATTGAGTGTGAGTGTGCTTTGAAAGTCAGATGAGCTGAAGAGATGTCAATTAGTCTTACTCTGTTTGATGCTGCTGCTGATGGTGCCTGCGGGCTGGAGGCCGGATGAGGGGTGAGATGACATTTCAGCACTGGAGACTGAGGCCCGGGGTCCTTCCTGCTGTAGATAAGAGCCAGAGCTATGACAGGCCTCCAGCTCCAGCAAGATTCCCACGGGAATCGCTGGGGTAGGAGACGTCCCAGGCTTCAGCTTATCTTCACTTGGACTTGTCTGGGAAGTGGGGTCAAGTGCAATTGTCTGGGTTGGTTTCCAGCAGGGGAGGGCAAAGGGCATGGATGCACAGTTTGGACTAAGTCCCGCCTCCCCTTCAAGGGAAAACCCATCTGAGCGCTCAGGAAGGGGAGGAGGTGAAGGAGGATCATTTCCCAGTCCTGCCATTGCAAGGCCAGGTTGGCCGGGCCAGGGGACCCCTGAGACAGGGCTGGAAATTTAAAAGCAGAAGACTGAGTCACCAGCTCTTCCTGCACCAGCTCTTTCAGTACCACCAATGCCACTTGCCAAGTCAGTGCTTTCCTCCAAGGAAGGAGGAGAGAGAAATGCAGTCCTGCCCTGGAGGAAGCTCCAGTCTGAGGCCTGGAAGTCCCCCTGCTCTGAGGAGGGAGACACAGTCCTTAGGAGGACAGAGGTGGGTCTGGAACTCGGAGGAGAACCTCAGTGCAATACTCCTCTCCTAGGCTCTGGGGCTGGCAGGGGAGCAGGGAGGGGGAGATACACAGCCCATGGCTTTGGGGAGGGATGTCTAAGGAGTTCCCCAATCAAACAGGACCGTGTTGGGCCAGGTGCGGTGGCTCACGCCTGTAATCCCAATGCTTTGGGAGGCCGAGGCGGGTGGATCACAAGGTCAGGAGTTCGAGACCATCCTGGCTAACACAGTGAAACCCCATCTCTACTAAAAATACAAAAAATTAGCCGAGCTTGGTGGCAGGCACCTGTAGTCCCAGCTACTCGGGAGGCTGAGGCAGGATAATTGCTTGAACCTGGGAGGTGGAGGTTGCAGTGAGCCAAGATCGTGCTACTGCACTCCAGCCTGGGCAAGAGCAAGACTCTGTCTCAAGCAGCAGCAACAACAACAACAACAACAACACAACAACAACAAACAGGACCATGTTACACCTGGGGCAGGAACACAAGCATTCTCAATTACACATTCTAGGCTGGGAGTCGGATTTCAGAAGTGGAAAGTAGCCCAGAGGCCATCAACAGTAGGGGAAACTGAGGCCCAGAGACATGTGCCACATGTTCCAAGTCACTCAGTAAGGCAGTTGCAGAGAAGGGGATTATACAGCAGTTTCGGCAGGTGTGGTGAAGAAGGCCTGGGCTAGGCCCCTCAGCATTGCCCCAATTCTCTGTGTGTCTAGAAGCCACTCACAGTGCCCCTCCATACCTGTGTCCTCCGCCTGTGACAGAGAGGAACTGTCCTTCCCACATGGCCTCTGCTCCTGCTCCCTGGGGAGTCTGAGTCCCGGTTCTTGTCCAGCCCAGCCCAGCCTACAGGGTGCCCAGAAGAGGGGAGAGAGGCAGGGTGGGGGCACCTCCTGAAGGAGCCAGCAGGGGAAGTGCTGAGTCGGCACTCAGAGCCCTGGCCACCTCCGCTCCTGTTCCATTATTCATCCCTGCAGAGGTTCTCCCTCCTTGTTCCCGACCCAGGCCGGGTCTTGAGAAATGTCTTTGCCCCCGCCTTATATGCTCCCTCCACCTCAGCTGGAAACTCTTAAGCAAAAAGGTCGTCAAGATGATTAAATGCGAACAGATTTTCAGCTCTTTTTCCACTTTAATTAAAAATGTGCTCTCCTTTCAGAGGAAGCTGGAGACGGGATTGCAGCTCCCCAAAGGCCCCTGGGCTGAAAATCGAGGCAAAAACACTGAGAGGTGTCTGGGGGCTGGCCCATGGCGGCCTGAGGTCAGGGGCCTGGCCTGGAGCTGCCAGTGCCGCAGGCCCTGCCAGAGAGAGCAGCAGGGCCTGGAGGCTGGTGGGCACTGGGAACAGGGCAAGGACACAGGTGGAGGGTGGGATGGCTGGACCTGGAGTGGGGTGGGGTGGGGAACAGAGATACTTCATTTCCACACTACTGGGGAGCCCCAGGTCTGGGGAGGAGGGGGACCAAGTCACTGTCCTCAAGGAGGACTGCAGTCTGCCACAGAGAATTCAGGCTAGAATATGGATCAGCAACTCCCAGGCAACCTGGGGCAAGCCCAGGGGTGGCCCAGTGCCCCTCTGTCCAGAGCCCAGAGACTGAAGAATGCGGGCGCACAGCACACAGGAGGCAGCAGGATCAGTCTCTGCAGGCTTCCCTCAGGGGAGTTCGGATGCCAGTGGGCAGAGAGGTGAAGCTTACATCAATACAAAGATGGGGAGATTGGGAGCAGGCAGAAGCCACCAGGAGGAGGACTCTCCCCTTCTCCCCTCCCTCTTTCTATCACAGATCAAGAGGGAAGAGAGGAGAGGGGAGTGGCCAGGGAAGGGATTTAGATGAGACACCTGAGAACATCCGCAAGGGGAGGAGGGGAGGACGGGGGAGCCGGCACAGGCAGCAGGAACCAGCAGAGCCCACAGCCCTTGATCGAAGATGATCCCGTTTCCGGTCTGGCCCCAGCCCTTGGCAGGCCCGGGAGTGGAGCTTCCCTCCAAGAGCGTAAGGCAGGAGTGTTGCATTTGAAGTTCCTCTTCTCGTTCCCAACCCGCCTCTGCACTCCAGTGGGACAGGAGACTGCAGAAACTGCTGCTGGGGCCCAGAGGGAAAGGCCTCCCACCACTTCCTGTACCTGCGCTGGGGTGGTCCCCCTGCTCTGCACTCCGAGTGGGGAGTTGGTCCTTAACCCAGGAAGGAATGTGATCTCTGCCTGCCGAACCACCCTGGTGTTGGGGGCAGCCCACTGCCCAGCTCCCAGGCAAGAAAGCAGTTCCCCATCACTTCTAGGGAAGGGGCCAGACTCTAGTGGGACATCCAGGACCCTTCAGAATCCAGCCTCCGTATCTTTCCAGTCCTATCTTTACCACCAGCCCTCTCTGCCACCACTGAGAATCCCACTAAACAAAATGAGGGGGGCCCTGGAGGCGGGAAGCCACCGACTCAGCTGGGCTCAGAGGAGGCAACAGGAGAGTTGGCCTTGAACCATGGTAGACCCTCACAGGGGAGAGGGCAGGGCACTCTGGGCGGGCCAGGGGGTGCTGCTTGCGAAAGGGAGTGGTGTGGATGGAAATGCTGAGCTATCAGTTTGGTGGCAAGGTAGGGGATGGGGCAGCAAATGGATTGAGGGGAGCTGGCAAATTCTGAAGTCCCCTTTCCTGGTAGGTGGTGATCACTGCCTCTCTTTGAAATGCCCTTCCTGCCCACAGGCAGACAGCAGGCTGCAGGTCAAAACCTCCTGCTTCTCCGAGAAGCTCTCCCATTCTCCTCTCTCCTTTCAAACCTGGCAGCTGTCTGGCTGTCTCTGATTCCTGTCACCCTGGTTGGTCCAGCCTCGCTCCTCCTGGCTGCTTTGGTAGAATGAACATCTATGCCCAGAGCTTGGGTACAGCCTCTCCTGCTCTCCCAGTGCGGTGGGCTACACTGCACATCCCACCCGGACCAGCAGCTGGCACCTGCTTCTCCAGGAAGGCCATCTGGCCAGAAGAGGAGAGGAGCACTGGCCTGGTGCTATAGCGTTGGACCTCTGACAGCCTGAGTCCCCTACTGCAGCCCCTATGCCTTTGGCCTTCCCACCTACATTCTACTTTTAGAAAACCCAGGGCCTCGGCAGCAGAGAGTAGCCTATTTTGACAGAGTCCAAATGGAGCAAGTGGGGAGGGGCAGCGACGGGGCGGGAAGCGCGTCTCCGTTGGCGGGCACTGCTTTGCCCGGAACTCACTATTCTTTCCCAGTGTTAATTATCAAAATTAACCGAACACTATAAATAACCCAACTTGGAGACTTGAAGAGCCTCACTTCTAATTAATTCATTTCCAATCAAGGCACTTCTACGCCCCCCTACCCTAGAATCTGACGGATGGGAACCTCATTGTGCAGCTTCTTGAATATCGAATCCCACCGTCCCTCTCACTCCTGAGCTGTGAACGCTCAAAGAGAAAAGAGAGAGAGGAGGAAAAAACACTCTGCTTTCTTGGAAGGGGGTAGCCTATAAATAACCCCATATTGGTGCATTTGATGGACGACGTTTGTCTAGATTGGCTTTTGTTGGGATGAGGCGATAGAGAGGGTGGGGGTGGGGTGGTGGAGACTTCCATCTGCCGCCGCATTCACTGGGCAATAAATTTTAAAGCAAGACTGTGAGTACCATCCAAGGCCTTCGTGTTGGCTAGAGCTGGGGAGACTGATCGATAGAAGGGGAGGAGGGGTGGGGAGGGAGAAAAGAGAGAGAGAAAAAGAAAGAGAGAAAATGCAAGCTCTAGGATAAATGCAGGGAGGAGGAGAAAATGAGAAGGGGTGAGGAGAAAGAACCAGAGAAGGAGAAAGGAGGCAGAGAGAAGAAACAGAAGGACAGGAAGAGAAAAGAGGGATTGGAAGGAGGAGGAGGGAGGAGGATTTTTGTCCCCACCTTGCACCATGACCCTGGCCCGGAGACCCAGTGAGCAGCTCCTGTGCCGTCCCACCTCGAGTTCAGCTGCCTCATGCCCAGATTCTCCTGTCTCCTCTCCCGGGGCTGTTGGCATCCTTCAAGAGGTCATGTGGCCTGTGTGCCCCACCCCCATGCCCTCACAGCCCCCTGCAGGCAGGCCCTGGCTCCTGGCTCCCAGCCTTGGGGGAAAGGACACAGGTCAAGGGCACAGAATCCCCCCACCCCAGCCCCCGCCATGGGATTTGCTCAGCACCTTCCTGGGCCAAGTGACCTGTTTGACTGCACTTGAGGGAGGGAAGTAGGGGAACAGAGACAGAGTTAGAGCAGAAGAAAGGAGGGAGAGACAAGGAGAGAGAGAGAGAAAGAGGAACTGAGATGGAGAAGAAGAGAGAGGAAGGAGAGAAAGACAGAGACTGAGGCAGACATAGAGAAAGACAGAGGGATAAAGGACAGTGGAGAGCGATGGCTTGGGCTCACTGACTCTTGGTCCCTTGGTGTCCAGAGCACAGGGCCTCCTGGAGATCAGGCGACGGGGGCCAGTGCTCAGTGGGCTTCCTTGAGGGCTCTGACCTTGGGCAAGTGACTTCCCCTCTCTGAGCTTTGTCTTCTCCATCTGCAAAATGATGGTGACGTCAGCCCTTTCCTCCTCTTGAGGTGGTTGTGAAAATTAAATGAGGCTAAGTGGGTGCAAAACTCTTAACTAGGGTTCTGGCACAAAATGAATGCTCAATTTGAGATTGCTGTTGTTATTATTACTAGCAGTACTAGTAGTAGAAGTACTAATCCTAGAAGTGGTAGTAGTTTTGTCTTCCCCTTGTTGTGAGTGCTTCCAGGGGGTCAGCACTGTCACTTCTCCCAGCCAGGCAGACTGTTGCACCAGCCACCTCTCTCACCAAACGGGCTCCCCGAGGCCAGGGACATCCTGCATCCTAGGCCGGGGCTTTCTGGAGTGTGTCCCCTCCATCAGGTGGGGAAATCTTCTCAGCGGCGTAGCCCAGGTTTTCTTCTTCCTATGAGTGCCCCACCCCAGCCCTTCATGGCTAGAGGGTCCTGTGCATGGGGAGGCTAGTTCATCAATAACCGAGTGGCCACCTGTGGAGCCCAAGGCCTGGGGGCTGAGTAGCCAGCCGGCTTCTACACTCTCTCCCCATCTCTGACCACCTCGCATAGGATACAGTCCATCTGGTCCTCCTCCTCTAGCTTCAACTCCCTCAACTCCAGCTGAGATTAAGAGATGGACCACGTGGAGAGAGTGGCCCTTTCCCATCTACATCCTGTCCCCAGGCCTCTCCTTTCAGCATGCTGGGGAGGGGGCTGCTGGGAGGCAGCCCCCGGGCAATCTGATCTCCATTAGCCCCTTCTCTGGTTCTCATTACTGCAGCCAAGGCAGCTTCAGAAACTCTAATTTCCCTGGCGACTTTTCTCTCCTTCCTCTGCCTTTTGAGGTCCCTCTCCCATCCCAGTCCTCCTTGGAGGCCCCTCCTGCAGCGGGCCAGCAATGGGGTCACCCAAACTTTATGGGGGAACCTATGGTGTGACCCTCAATCTCAGCCCAACTCTGGATCTTAGGGGGCAGAAGGCTGCCTCCCCCCTCCCACTTCAAGCATACACCCCCACTGTCTGAGACAGGGCTGCTGACTGCTCCACTGGGTTCCAACAGAAGGTCCCTGTTGGGATCCACAGCACCCAGCCTGTGCCTGGCACTGAGGGAGGGAGGTTAGAATGAATGAGCTGCATGAACAGTCAAACAAACTAATGAATGAAGACATGGCAGCAGGGAGGGGAAGGAACTCAGCTGCAGAAAAAGCTGTAAGCCAATGACTCATCATTTCTCTTTCTCCAGCCTCACCACCTCACCATGTCCCTCTTTGGGACTGTCTTACTCCCTTCTACTCATCCCAGCACAGGCATCACCTCCTCCAGGAAGTCCTCCATTTCATTACAGCCTGGGTGACTGATGCGGACCTCAGGCACCTTGTACTTCTCTGCCTGTCACCAGCACTCTGTGGTGTGGCTGGTGCTTTCCTTCCCTCTCCATCCACCCGGGCGCTGAGCTCCTTGGGGAGGGGAGTGATTGCCTCTTTTATCTGAGTGTCCTCTTTGCCTAGAGCAAGCCTGCATAGCAGATACTCAATTGCTGTGGGTGAATGAATGTATGATAAAGGAGTGAAGGAAGGAACAGATAACCAACAACAGCTTAAACAGCCACTGGTAGAGGATCAGGGACATAAAAGAAAGCCCCTCCATGGACTTTAGCCATTAAAAGCTGTGATTGGGAGGCAAGGTGCAGCACAGGGAGAGTATCAGGTAGAAAGAAGTGAAACCGCAGCTCTAGGTAAACTCCTTGCATCATGTGCTCAAAGACCAGAAGAGGACCAGGTGCGGTGGCTCACACCTGTAATCCCAGCACTTTGGGAGGCCAAGGCGGTTGGATCACGAGGTCAGGAGATCGAGACAATCCTGGCCAACATGGTGAAACCCTGTCTCTTCTAAAAATGCAAAAATTAGCTGGGTGTGGTGGTGGGCGCCTGTAGTCCCAGCTACTTGGGCGGCTAAGGCAGGAGAATCACTTGAACCAGGGAGGCGGAGGTTGCAGTGAGCCAAGATCGCGCCATTGCACTCCAGCCTGGTGACAGAGCAAGACTCTGTCTCAAAAAAAAAAAAAAAAAAGAAACAGAAGGGAGCAATTGTATGTGTTTTTTCCTCTTAAAAAAACCCCTCTGTTAATGTCACATTGCTAAGTTTACACTTCACAAGTGACATTTTAAGGCCTTGCTGATGCCAGTGAGGGCAGGGAGGAATTCCCAGATGAACAGGAGAGACTGCGGGCAGGGGGCTGCTATCATCCCGTTCTCAAGTCTCTGGCTCTTTACTGCTTCCAGCCCCTCCCCTGGCACTGGACAGTGGCCTGGCCCAGCCCAGATCTACTGGGGAAGGGAGAGAACTCCCTGCTTGCAGGGAAGGTCAGCTGCAGAACCCAAACAGCCTTGATTAAGTGTCTAAATGGACAGGCCTGGGCAGTGCCAAGATGGAGTGTGGCAAACATTGTCCCTGCCCTCTGGGGCTTCCAGGATGATCCAGACACACAGATGGGGGCAGACACGAATGGACAGCTGGGGTTGAGAATAAAACAGAATTGAAATCAGACTCTGTGTGTATACACATGCATAAGGGGACCCTTGCTCTTTTCTCTACCTGGTGAACTCCTATTCACCCTTCCAGGCCCAATTCACTTATCCAATCATTCATGTATTCATTTGTCATGGACATCTGTTTCTCAGCACCACTTTGCCTTTTTGTTTATGGGAAACTTCCTCTTCCCAACTCTTTTATGGAGAGAAGTTTACTTTCACTCCACCTTCACCCCTCTGCCCACTCTGGGTGTGGCCATGTGAGCAAAGCGGGGCAAATTTGCATACAATAACCCCAGCCATCAGATTGGTTCAGGGATAGGAACATCACTATCTCCACTGAGAGTCAGCCCTGAACTTTCTTTCGGGCTGCATGGAAAGAAGTGCTTTCTTTGTGCTGGGGTTGCCACTCCCTGGGAGAGCTTGATTGAGAATAAAGCTGATATATGGAAAAAGCAGAGCCAAGAGATGGTCAGTGGCGACATTTAACACCTGCACCTAGCTTTAACCGGACCTCAACCCTAACCCTACTGCAGTAAACTTAAGTTATGTTGAGCCATAAAGTCTCTTCTTTTTTTCTTAGGCAGGTTTGAGATGGACTTCTGTTATTGACAACCCAGAGGTTCCTGACTAACGCATCATTCATTTGTCAAACACTGTGCTCCTGCTCTATGCCAGACTACACAGGATGGTGGAATCCGAGGATGACTGCGACACAGCTCCTGCCTTCAAGGAGCTTGGAGTCTCCTAAGCCTTGTCCAAATGCTGCTCCTCTGTGACTACTTGGCCAGCTCCCACAGACAGTGAGCCCCCTTCTCCCCTCTGCTTCCCAGCACTAGGTTCACACTATTCATTCAATGAATATTGCCAGGAGTGGTGGCTTATGCCTGTAATTCCAAGACTTTGGGAGACTGAGGCAAGTGGATCACTTGTGGCCAGGAGTTTGAGACCAGCCTGAGCAACACAGGGAGACCCCACTTCTACAAAGAAATAAAAACATTAGGTGATGTGGTGTTCACACCTGTAATCTCAGCTACTCAGGAGGCTGAGGCAGGAGGATCCCTTGAACCCAGGAGGTTGAAGCTGCAGGGAGCTATGGTTGCACCACCAGCCTGGGCGAGAGTGAAGTTCATTGGTTACCTACTTCAGGCCAGGCTCCATGTTCCTCCTATTGTAGAATTGTCCCAGACTGTGTCTGCCTCTGCCTCTTAGACTGTATGTTCTTGGATAATGGGCACCATGCTGGTGAATCCCCAGTGCCTAAGGCTGCGCCTAACGTGTGCTAATTGCTTGTGTTTATTGAATGAATGAAAGAATGTGGATTTCTGTGTGTGTTTATGTGTGTTGGGATGAGGGAGTGGACAACCAAAGAGAAGGACAATATGACATAGCACCCATAGCAGAGGAGAGGGTCCTGGAAGTTTCTAGATCCAGCCAGGGCTCAGCCAGAAAAGCCAGCACACGGCTCTGATCAATTGAATAAGAGCAGATGTCTCCCTGCAGATAGATGCCTTCCCCACATTTGCAACACAGGCGTCCCTGTCTCAGCACCAGTCCTGAAGAGCTGTCTCTGGAAGTTTTTCCCTTCTCCAAACCCCACCCATAGTGTCCCGCCTGGCCACTACATGGATTCGTGTGAGGGCTCAATGTAGCCTCTCCCTCTCAGGCTGACGGGGCCCATTCTTCACACACAGCACTCGCTCACCAACATGGGCTGGGGCCTCCTCAGAGCCGTGGAGGCAGGGAGTCACGGACTGACAGCCGGGCCTCAGGTGAGCCAAAACGCCCCGCCCTTCCCCTGGCTCTCCTGCCACTTTAGAAATCAGCACCAAACTCCTGCGATGACTTAGTCTTTGCAGACTGAGCTCTTGACTGGGAGTTAAGATGACCTGAGTTCTGATTGCAACCCTGCCACTGTCTGAGGGTAACCTTGGAAACATCACTACCCGCTCCTTGAGCCTCGGGTCCCCATCCGAAAACTGAGTAGCAGCACCAAATCCCACACCATTCCTGGGAGATATGAGGGCAGAGTGACCCTCCCTATCTTACAGATGCAGGCTGGAAGGGACGGAGACAGCTGGCTCTAGCCTCTCTGCACAGATTCTGCAGCACCCAAAGCCTCACCTTCTGATCATCCTGACCTGGGGGTGCCACCTCGGAGGAAACTGGTCCATAGTTGATCGTCCAGCTCTCCCACCTACAGAGGACATTCTTTTCTCTCCCTCTGGCAGCAATCCCCCAAGCTAATTCTCCTAGTAACACCCTGTCTTCCACTGTCCCCAGTCCTCTGAGTGTGGCTGGGCACCAGTGGTCTGGGTCTCCTCCCCGATAGAGACCATCCTCTCTGGGCAGCAAGGCCCCACTGCTATCTGCAGGGTTTCCTCCCTCCTCCCTGCCTTCTCCGCCTTCTCCACCTTCTCCTGTCTCCCTGTCTCTGCCTTTCTCTCCTCTCTTTTATTCTTCCTTGAGCCCTCTTCCTTTGCATTTCCTCTTGACTCTCCCCTTAGTCTGTCTTTAGCTGCTTCTTTCCATCCCATCCTCTTTCTCTCTGATTCCTTCTCCAGACACCCTTCCTTCTTGGTTCTCTTCATTGTGCTCCTCTCCTCCTTTTTCTTTCCCTTTCTCTCTTCCCATCCCTCCTCCACTCCTCTCCCTTCTCCTCATCTGTTTCTCCAGCTCTCCCATCCTCCCACTGGGTCCATCCTCCCAGTCCTGTCTGCAGCTGGGTAAATTTCTATAAACAATTAAGTTTGTAATAAATTCAATTGTATTACATCCTTATTAGAAGCTTATAGCATTTGGGAAGAGGGATTTGGGCAGCTAAGAGGCTGATATCCTCTCTGAGGATATCAGAGAGGCTGAGTGCCTGGAAGTGGAGTGCTCCCATTTTCAAATTAACTTGAGCTCCACATATTTCATTATCTCCCCACATTTCCCCATGTCAAATGATCCCAAACATCTCTCTTTCCTTCCTCTCTGCCTGAGCATTTCTCCTCCTCTCCCTTCCTCCAGTCCCAGGGGACAGACTGTTGCAGCAGGAAGGTAGCAAGTTCTATAGCAAGAAGGACTTCCCAGTAGATGGTGCATTAAAAGAATCCTTGGCTAGAAGGAGGGGAAGTGGGGGAGGTGAGAGAGTCTCCATCAGTGGAGACCTGGGGTCGTGGGTGGGAGAAGGGGAGGCCAGCCTCAGCCCCAAACCTGGGGATGTGTGACCCACTGGGCAGCTCACATGAGTCTCCAAGCCCAAGACTCTGGATGGGGAATAGGAGAAAACAGCTGCAGACATCTGGAAGAGGCTTGCCCGGTTCCATTAGCCTAGGCACCAGCCAGGCCGTGCTTTTGATGTTTGATCTTGCCCTCAGCACAGGGAGAAAGCCAATGAGATGTCAAGGACTACTCATAGAGACACCCCCTGCCACCAGCCAGGCTCCCCTCCCAGTTCCCCTGACAGCCCAAGCCAATTTCCAAGGCATAAATGAAATGCCAGAAAACAAAATACTGACCCCCCACCCCCATCCCCACAACAGTGGAGCCAAAGCCAATTCCCCTTGGGTGGCGGTGGAGTGATAGAACCTCCTGCCTGCCTGCACCCTCCCAATGCCTTTCTTGTCTGTCCCAGACCCTAGGAGAGAGGCTGAGTGCCAGACCACAGTCGTGCCTCATTTTGGTTCTTTTTGCAGAGGGCAGGTAATGGGTGGAGATTTTTTTTAGAGGGGAAGGGAGTGAATCCTGAAGACCTATTTGAACGAGGAAATGTTTATGGATAGCAAAGAGAAGCAGCAAACTATGATTAAGTAAGACTGGAATGTATAGCAGGGAAAGTAAAACTAATCTGCATGTATTGAGTGCCTGCTGCATGCATACAGACAGAGGTCAATAAGATGGTCCACTGGGGGAGGTAGCTGTATAAGCTGACACAAGTAGGATAATGAAGACAGCAAAGGCACCCATGCAGAAGATGGAAGGCATCAATTCTGCCAGGAGAAGTGGAGGGCTTCATGGAGGCAGTGACACTTGAGCTGGCGTGAGAAGGATGAATAAGGGCAAGCCAGGCAAAGAAGAAAGGGAAGAGCTTCTGAGCAGTGGAGGTGGCATGAACAAAGACTTGGGGTGCTTTGGGGAGCATTAAAGTAACCCCTGGACTTCAGCAGAGGGTGTGTGTGTGTGTGTGTGTGTGTGTGTGTGTGTGTGTGGTGGAGGAAAGGCAGTGTTGAGAAGAACTCATATATACTAACCCTTCACATTTATACAGCACTTTGCAACCTGTAAGGTGATTTTCTTTTCCCTTTTTTTTTTTTTTTTAGATGGAGTTTCACTCTTGTTGCCCAGGCTGGAGTGCAATGGCATGACCTCTGCTCACTGCAACCTCTGCCTCCTGGGTTCAAGCGATTCTTGTGCCTCAGCCTCCTGAGTAGCTGGGACTACAGGCACATACCACCACACCCTGCTAATTTTTGTATTTTTAGTAGAGATGGGGTTTCACCATGTTGGTCAGGCTGGTCATGAGCTCCTGACCTCAATTGATACACCCGCCTCAGCCTCCAACAGTGCTGGAATTACAGGCATGAGCCACTGCGCCTGGCCTGTAGGTGCTTTTCAAAGTCACAGTCTCATTGAGCCCTTACCACAAGCCATGGGAGGCAGGATTTAGATGCCCCTTGTAGGAATAAGGAAACTGAGGCTCAGAGAATTCAAGTGACTGACCCCAAATCACACAGCTGCTGCCAGGCTGCCTCTGAATTGAGCAACCCCCTTTCAGAGTTTCTGACCCTTGTGGAGCCTTGAAACTGAGGCAGGTGGGGTGGGGCAGGGTGGCAAGACTGATGCACTGGGGGCCCCAGCCTAGACCCAGGGACAGAGAAGGAGACATGAGAATGAAGCAGGCAGCCCAGGCAGGCTTCCTGGCAGAGGGAGCCATAGAGTTTGGTTGGGGTGCAGAGGAGGGGGGCAGGCAGGGCATAGCTGGCATGAAATTTAGTGAAGGGGTTGGTTAGGGGACAGGGAGAGCTCATCTGGCACAAGGAAGATGCCAGAATTGTGAGTTGGATCAAACCGGTCCAAAGTGGGACGAGCTGGGGACAAAATGAGAGAAGGATGTGAAGGCAGCCCTCAGGGAGACATCAGCCAGTGGGCAGGGGTGGTGCCTATGGGAGGTGGTGTGGGGCAGTGGTTAAGAGTAGACTGTGGAGGGAAAGGAGCTGATTTCAAGTCCTGGCTCCACAGCTTTCTAGCACAAACCACCTCAGAGGAGGAGTGAGAATTTTTTTTTTTTTTGAGACAGGGTCTGATATGGTTTCACTCTGTGTCCCCATCCAAATCTCAAGTTGAATTGTAATTTCCAGTGTTGGAGGTGGGGCCTGGGGCCTGGTAGGAGGTGACTGGATCATGGGGGTGGTTTCTAATGGTTTAGCACCATACTCCTAGTGCTGTCTCGTAATAGAGTTCTCCCGAGATCTGCTTGTTTAAAAAAGTATAGCACCTCCCCACCTCTCTCTCTCTCCTGCTGCCATGTGAAGATGTGCTTGCTGCTCGTTTGCCTTCCACCATGATTGTAAGTTTCCTTAGGCTTCCCCAGCCATGCCTCCTGTACAGCTGGTGGAACTGTGAGTCAATTTATCCTCTGTTATTCATAAATTACCCAGTCTCAGGTAGTTCTTTATAGCAATGTGAGAATGGACTAATACAGGGTCTCACTCTGTTGCCCAGTGCCATGATCACAGATCACTGCAGCCTTGACCTCCCAGGCTCAAGTGATCCTCTCACCTCAGCCTTCTGATTAGCTGGTACTACAGGCACATGCCACCATATCTGGCTAATTTTTTTGTATTTCTTGTAGAGATGGGCTTTTGCCCTGTGGCCCAGGCTGGTCTCGAACTTCTGAGCTCAAGCAATCCTCCTGCCTTGGCCTCCCAAAGTGCTGAAATTACAAGTGTGCGCCACTGCACCTAACCAGTAGTGAGAATTAATAGGCTAATGCTTAGCACCTTCTGGCACATGGCATGTGTGTTCATTATGTGGCATCCCTTAAGAAGATAAGGGTGGAAACGGAGTTTTGGGGAAAAAAATTTATTGAATAACTATTATGTGCTAGGAGCCATGTAAGAAGCTTCTACATAGGTTAGAATTTTCCAGAGTTGCTGGATCATTAAACTTGCTGGGGTGACTCAGACCCTCTAGAGGGATTATGGATTTTTAACAAGGTTTCCCAGTGATTGTTAAGCTCCGACAAGTTTGGGAAACACCAGCAGATGAGAAAAGGCAAAGAAGGCTGGTTCTGGCATGTAGCAGGTGGCACAAATGGGATAGAGAGGGACCCAGGGCCCATAGACAAGGGGGCAGCTACTGGTGTGGTCCAGGCCAGAAGGATTAGGGACTGTTGGGATGTACTAGTTATCTATTGCTGCATAACAGATTGCCCCCAAAATTTAGAGACCTAAACCAATTACAACCATTGATTACCTCACATAGTTTCTGTGGGTTAGGAATCTGGGAGCAACTTAGCTGGGTAGTTCTGGCTAGAGATCTCTGGAGAGATTGTAGTCAAGTGTCACCTGGGGCTGCAGTCATCTGAAGGCTTGACTGGGGTGGAGGAGCCACTTCTAAGATGGCTGTCTCACCTGGCTGGCTGTGATCCTGACAGCACATGGGCCTCCCCATAGGACTGCTCGAGTGTCCTTACAACATAGCAGCTGGCTTCCTGTAAAGCAAGTGATCTAGGAAAGAACAAGGAGGAAGGTGTGTCTTTTATGACATCTCACACAATCGTTTCTGCAATATTCAATCGGTCATAGACATGAGCCCTGTGCAGTGTGGGAAGGGACACAGAGCATGGATTCCAGGATGCAAAGTTCATTGCGCACCATATTGCAGGCTGGTGACCACAGGAGGAGATCTGATCACCTCCATTTTACAGATGGAGAAAACTGAGTTCATTTAGTTTCTCCAGGTCATCCAAAGCAGAGGCTGGAACTCTGATCCTTCTCTCTGAGCCCAGCAACTCTCCACCACCCCTAAGCTCCTGGCAGAAGAAACCACTGGTGGTAAAGTCCAGATCTGTGTCCCGCAGTGGGGAGAAGGGGAGGGGTAACAATTGGGCCTCCCAGGCCTGCAAAATAAATATAATCACGTTTGCCTTTGCAAAAAGAAAGCTCCCGGGCGGGTGGGGGAGGGAGGGACTTTCTTCATCTAAATATGCTTCTGCCCTGGTGGCTGGTGTTTTCCATTTAAAACCACACTTGAGATGGCTGAGAACATATACTTGATCCTGGTGCATTTTTCAGAAATTCAACCTGTTGGGTTTCTTGCCCTTTTTCTGGCGTCCCCAAGGGTGGGCTCAGCCCAACATACAACCTTTGTGGCTCACTCACAGGGTGGTCCCAGACCCAGGTTTCACCCTCTCTGAGCCCCCAGGAGCTGGGGTGGCTGCCAAGTCTCTCCCAGTATCAGAGAAATAATCTTCATGTCTTGATATCAGTAGAGTTTGGGGAAGAATGACCTTAGGCCAGGGAGACTCTGCTTTAAAAAAGACCTGAGGGCAGGACCTGTGCCTCCCCGTGGGGCTCCCTAAGAGATGAGGCCTGTGTCTCTCCACAAATGGTAGCCCTTAGAGTGGGGCCATGCCACCCTCCTCGGCTGACAGTGAGTTGGGGACAGATGGTCAGTGGCTGATGGCTGGAACAGGATAGGAGGTGACTGGGGGTCCTCCCATGCCTTCTGCTCCTTTCTTCTACAGCCCCCTCCCCAGTTTTTTTTCTCGCAATTAACCAGAGCCAGGCATGGGGAAGAAGAGGGTTAGTAAAAAAAAATTAAATTAAAAGGACCAGAGAGTGGCCAAGGTGATAGATCTCAGAATGGCACTGCAGTCTCCACCCCAACTCCCCTGTGTGGGCACGTCCCATCCCCTTGTGTGTACATTGACCCCCCCATCTCCCAGCTGGATGGCTTCACAGAACAAATGCTGCAGAGGGACCCTTTGGCTTACTGTGCAAATGGAGAAACTGAGACTCAGAGAAGAAACACCACTTGCCTCAGAGCACCCACTGGGTCCACTACAGAGACAAGCAGCCTCCCCCAGGTGTGGGCATTGGGCAGAGCCAGCAGTGGCCACCACCAGGGTCAGAGGTCACCACATTCCTTCAGGAAGCCCATCCCTTCTTAGGGGAGAGAGAAGAGAAAGGAAGAGGCACAGGGGGTGTTAGACATCTCAGGGGCCCCCTATGGGGGACGGTGTCTGCAGTGGCGGCTGAAGGCAGTTGGAGCCCTCCAGGAAAGGGGGAAGGCAGGAGTGGCAGGAGGATCCTGGTCCCCAGGTGGCCTTAGGAAAACTGAGGCAGGTGGAACCAGCCCTCCACGCCTCAGTTTTCCTTCCAGAAAATGGAGATTTGTTCCTCCATTCTGGCCCTATTGCCAATTATACAGCAGAGCCTCTTCCTGTTGGCCCTGGCCTCTAAGCACTGAGGACATGAACTTGGCCTCTTCTATCCTGACCTCTAACCCCCAGTTTCCTCTGTGGTGGGGTTGGAGGAAAGGAAATAAATCCTATGGGAGGATTAGGGTCACTCAGGTCACCCGAGAGCTCAAATTGCAGCAGAGTGGATGGAGGCGAGGTTAGAGGGACTTCCTGGCCCGGCAGTCCCGCAAGGCGTGGCCACCCCCTCCTGGGTGGGATCCTCTCTCCTGAGACAGCTCTTCTTACTCCTCTTCCCCAGGGGCAGAGGTTGGGCATGGAGATGTGGGCAGCTGCTAGACTCCTGGATGCTGCAGGGTCCTCCTCCCTGCCAGCTTCAGAGCCCAAAAGCCACCTGTCCTCTTACAAAGCCACAGAGACCCTGAGCAAAGAGGGGCCACCTTCTGGTGACCACCCTCCCACCACAGCTCTGCCCCTCAGCTTCCTGCCTGCGAGAGGCCATGGGGTGGGATGCAGGGTGGGCCGGCCACCGGTTAGGGCTAGCTGTCCAGCTGCAGGGAGGATATGGAGAAGACGAACTTTCCAAAAACAAAAGCAGAAGCGGCAAAATACCCCATTAGGAAAAGCTGGTGGCGAGTCTTGCCCTTTGAGTCCTTCTTTCAACCCTCAGAGTGCTAGGAGAGATCCAGACAACCCCCAAAAGCAGCAGCCAGTACAGAGAAGGCTCAGGAGACAGGACTGGGCAGGGAGGGCAGCAGATTTTTAAACAAATAAATGAGAATTTATCAGATCATTATAAGGGTGAAGATAATAAAATAGGCTGGTATGATAGACAGTGCCTGGGGGCTGCGACAGATGGTGTAGTCATGGAGGGCCTCTCTGAGGAGGTGATACTTAAGCTGATGGCTGAAAGCCAAGAAGGAGCTAACCAGGTTTAGAACTTGGGGGTGGGGGAAGCATTCTGGGCAGAAACAGCAGCAGGTGTAAAGGTTCTGAAATGGGAATGACCCTGAAATCCCTGAATGTGAATGAGCTTGGTAGATTTAGAGCCAGAAGAGGAAGGCCAGTGTAAGTGGAGTGAGACTGGCCAGAGGTGGGGTCAGAGAGGTAGCCAGGGGCTAGATTGCATATGGCTTTGGAAGGTAAGGCAAGGAGGTTGAATTTTCTCCTAAATGTGATGGAAAGCCATGAGAGGGTTTTGAGTAGCAGAGTGACGAGGTCTGATTTATATCTAAAAGATCCTTCCTGCTGTCGTGCAGAGAATGGATTGCAGGTGCCAGCGTGGAAGCCAGGAGGGGAGAGCAGACCCGTGCTGTTGCAGTGTCTGGCTGAGAGCTGCTGGCGGCAGTGGACACAGAGAGAAGAGCCTGATTCTATGTTTAGTTTAGAATCAGAGCCAGGAGTCTTTACTGACAACTGACTGTCGCTGAGGGTCAAAGGGAGGAGTAGAGATGACGCCTGAGCTTTTGGCTGGAGCCACGGAGAGGCTGGTGGTGCCTCGCTGCGGGCTGCATTCTCCATTCATCCCCTGCTGTTGCAAGTCCAGGGCTCCCTCTGCGGAGGCTGCAGGCAGTATTCATTCATGGATTCCAGCAGGAGATATTTCCTGAGCTTCAGCTAGGCCCCTTCCAACCCCTAGCCCTGCCCTACCCTGCCCAGCCCCTGCCCAGAGTCTGCTCTATTTCTGACAGTCAGGGTGGACAGCTGCCCTCCCCCTCCAGCCTGGTGGGTGTGTGCTTTCATGCCCTGCCTCGGCCCAGATGTGGGGTGGAGACATTAGCGGCCTTGGAGAACTTGAAAATCTCTCTATGTGGTGAGATACTCTGGAGGAGAATGGGTGTGTGTGTGTTGGGGGTTGTTCTGTCCAGGGAGCAGAGCCTCAGCCCATCCCTGGACCCAGGAGGGCAGGCACTGGTGGACATTTTTTGTCATTGTGAAGTGTAATGAATTAATGACAGTACAGGGATTCTTGGATGCCTGGAGCAAGAGGCTGCCAAAGGAAGTTCCCAAGAGTGCCTATGCCTGGGGGTGATCCTCTTCCACTAAAGGTCCTGAGATGTGGAGGCTCAGGCTGGATAGTGACTTACCAAAGGTCACACAGCAATTTCTCAAACAAAGCCTTAGGTCTTTTTTGTTCTGGGCAACTTGAGATGAAGCTCAGAGCACCCTGGGACAGATCTCTGTTCTCTTTGAGCCCCACCCTCTCTTGTTCCCAAAGCCTCTCCTCCTGCCCCCAATGCTCTTCCCACTTTCCAGCTGCATCCCATCTCCCCACACTCTCGGAGGCCACCTCTCACCACTCACACCTGCCTGGATGTCCCCAGTGTCACTCCCTAGGACCCCGCCCAGGCCCCAGGCTGCCCGCGGAAGCCGCTCCGTGGCTGGGGTGCTCGGTGGGGTCCGTCGCATCCGATGGCAGCTCCGTGTCGGCGTCCCCTCCCCCACCCCGATCCCCAGTCTGTCAGCCGTGATGGATGCCGGGCAGCGGTCCCTTGGAACGGATCCTGGGTCTAAAAGCCTCACGCAGCCTTTCCTGGGCGGGAGGCGCGGGGGAGGGACACGGGGGTCCCCGAGAGCCCGGCTCCCTGCCATGAATCAGTCGCTGGCCCAGCCAATTAGCTCAGACAAGAGCCCAGCGATGAATCATGAGCCATTAGGGCCGACTCGCTCCTCCCTTCCACAAAAGTGGGGTCCTGGCCCTGGCAGGGTGGGGAGTGCTGCTTCTCTCTGGACGGCCTCCCCCGTCCCCAGCGCCCTTTCTATTCAGAACCGCTGCGAAGACCCTCGCCCCGGGAAGCTGCGGTGGGCAGGGCCGCATGCGGGTCATTTGCGTGCCATTTGCATGGCGCGAGGGCATTGGACGCTCCCTGACACGGGCCCTCCCACCTGCCCCGTCCACCCTCCAGACAGGTTCACCGTGAGAAAAGACCCCGCCAGTGACCCCTTAGCGCAGCCAGGGAGCAGGGCGCCTGCCCCTTTCCTTCATCTTCCCGAGCAGAGGCTAGACCTGCGTTGCCAGGTCCTAAGAAATAGGAGCACTGGACCGGGCTCCAGGGATCACCCAGGCCAACTCCTGCCATCCAAACTTGTCCCCTCCTCTAGCAGAGGAGGGAGTGGAAGCCCACAGAAGGCAAGAGCATATCAGAGACCTAGCTCGGCCAGGTAGTGAACAACCACACCCTGTCAGCCTAGCCAGAGCCTAGAGCCTCCTGCCTGAGCCCTTGGGAGTCTCTGTATTGATGTTCTTCGCAGCCGGCTGAGGCCCCAAAGCTGGACTCTAATATGACTGGTCAATGGTTGGCATCAAGGTAGTGGCAGGGGAGGAAGTCCTCTGTCTGGACCCTCTTAGGTAGGAATGAATTTGGGGAACTAGAATTGCACTGAGGGAGTCAAAGAAGGTGGAGGGAGAAAGAGCCAGAGCTTGTTGCTATGTGACAAGGCTGACCATGACTTGGTCTCATTTGATCATTGCTATTACTTTCCCCATTTTATAGCTGAGATTACTGAGGCTTGGAGAGGATAAGAGACTTGTCCAAGGACCCCAAGTAAGAACATAGGAGCCGGATTGGAACCCAGGTCTGTTTTGCTTCAGAGCTTGAGTAGATGATCTCTGAGCCACACAACTCTGATTCTGTCCTGAAAGCAGCCTCATTCATCCACCTGCCTGTGTGACATGGCCAACCAGCTGTCCCACAGGGACCTCTAACTCACTGTGTTGAGACCTGAGCTCATTATCCCTGCCTCCCCAGCCCATTCCTCTCTTCTCTGCAAAAGGTACCATTAGCCACTGGCTGCCCAAGCCAGCAACATGGGGATACTCCTCCCTCTGCCTTTTCCCATTCCACATCTGACCAGGCATGTGGGTGTGGAATCTGGCCAGTTTTGTTGTGAAATGGGACCCTCATGGGACCTCTCCTTCCCAGCTGTGTGTCAGTGGTATGGCTCAGACCCTGGGCCTCTCTCACCTGGAAAATTTCAGTACTCTCCCAGTGGGTCTCCAGGGTCCTTCCCTTCAATTCCTTCCTCTGTGCTGCTGCCAGAGTGCACTTCTTCAAGTGCAATTGAATACTTCACTTTCTACCTTAAAAAAAAATTGACTCCCCAGTACTTTCAAGATAAAATGTTATGGTGGCTCACTCCTGTAATTCCAGCACTTTGGGAGGCCGAGGCAGGTGGATCACTTGAGGCCAGGAGTTCGAGACCAGCCTGGGGAACATGGCGAAACCCCTTCTCTACTAAACATACAAAAATTAGCTGGGTGTGGTGGCACACGTCTATAATCCTAGCTACTTGGTAGGCTGAGATACGAGAATCACTTGAACCTGGGAGGTGGAGGTTGCAGTGAGCCAAGACCACGCCACTGCACTCCAGCCTGGGTGACAGAGCAAGCCTCTGTCTCAAAAAAATAAATAAGTAAATCAAAAGTTTCAAAAAGATAGAGCACTAAAGGGCCTTCACAGGTGGGCACAGAATACCTTTCTAAACCCACCTCTGGCCACTTGCCCCTCAGGATCCAGTAAGTTGCTGGGCACATGGGATTGCTCGCCTTGCCCAGAATGTACCAAGGATCTTCCCTCCTCTCAGCCTTGGCTCCTGCTGTCAGCTCTGCTAGGAATGCCCTTTCCCTATCTCCACCTGGCAACTTGCAGTCTCCTCCTTCCACCATCTCTGAAGCTTCCCCCACCCTGCCCAGGCAGGATGAATTGCCCTCTCCTCTGTGCTCCTCCAAGCACTTTGCTCAAATTGCTAGCCTAGCACTTCCACACACAGTAGTGCGGTTAGCAGAGTGTCTGCCCCCTCCCTGCCTAAGAGGCCTGGGGCAGGGGCTATGACTTGCTCAGCTCCGCTTCTGTGATGGGGTCTGGCACGTTAGACATGTTCAATACTGGTTTGATGGATGGGTGAGCTGCCCTCTCTCCTCTTTCTCTACTCTCCACCTTCCTGTTTGGCCTGTCTCCCGAGATGAAGCCATCCACTTTAAGAAGTCTTGCCAGAAGGCAATCTGGGAGTTGGCCAGAGTCTATGTGACCCCTGGACCCACAGGTACCTGACCTGGACAACCACATGGACAAGCCACACAGAGAACACAGATTGGAGTCAGGAAATCTGGATTCTGAACCTCCATGGGAGACCATGAACAAGTCACCTCTCTTCTGTGGCCCTCCGTTTCCTTATCTGTTTAATGAGGTAGAGGGTAGATGATGCTTCTAAGGTCCCTTCCAGCTCTGATGTTTTATGAATTTGTTGCTTTCTGGTTCCATGGCCTGGGCAGGGCCCTCAACGGTTGGCATGGTATGTGAATGAGAAACAAGAGCTGTGCATTGGAGGTGGGCTGTCCAGGACACACAAGCCATTCTCCCAGGAAGTGACTTCTGAGAAAATAAGGGACCAGCTGGAGAAGAGGTCAGGACAGACATACACTGAGAGGATGGCTGTAGCTCTCCTGAGTCAGTGAATTGTGAAAATCAAGGGTGTGGCCAGAGGCAGGAGACAGGGGGATGGAGACTCCCAGGCAGTGAATGGGGTGGGTGTGGCATCCTTTCCCAGGGCTGGTCCAGGGGGTTCTATAGGCAGAGCAAGGCCCAGGTGGGTTGGGGTTCAGGGATGGAGCAATGGAAGGGAAAAAGCCTGGTATTAGAATCTCGGGGAGAAGGACACAGAGAATGTAGGTGCAGTGAAAATGCACATGATATAATGTTCAAGAGAAATTCATTGTTGTAAGTTTAGATGGACACAGGGTGCTGGAGACAAGCCGTTTGCTCCTTGTTCCCAAGTCCAGACGTGGGTCCTAGTCCTGGCCCTGCCACTGACTCGTGTTGATATGGTTCTGAGTTAAGTCCTTCTTTGCTTTTGAGCCTCTGTTTCCCCACCTATAAAATAATGAGTTTACCATCCCCAAGAGCCATAGTCCTGGCATATACAAGGTGCTCCCACCAAGGGTTCTGCCAGCCTCAGTCCACCCACCACCTGTTTACCACCTCCGACCCCTCTATCCAGGTTTCCACCACCAGCCCCTGGGTTCCTCCACGCCTTGCTGGCTTTCTCTGGATTTTTTCCCATAGCAGTCCCTGTCTGGCTCTGCTTCCCAACTTCTCACTTCCAGGCAGGCCTTCCAGCCTCTCTCAGATCCTGGTTTGGGCACTCAGGCTGGTGGGAGCACAGGTTGTTGTAGGCCAGCTGGGGCCTCCCTCCCCTTCCCCTCCTTCTCTCCCAGTTGATACCACTCAGTCCTCACTCACTCCATGGAAGGAAACAAACAGCTGCTAGGGTGTCCTGGGAGGGGAAGACATGGACCTTTTTTGGGAGGGGCGTCCAAGGAGACCCTGATTGGGGGAAGTGGTAGGAAGGAGTAGGGACCTGGAATAAGCCACTCTTTTTTCATCAGCAGCCTCCCAGTATTTCACTCCATTTGGTGGGGCAGAAAGGAGGTGCCAGCATTGACCCTGAGCATGGACGGAGCCATTCCCTCAGCAGTGAGCCCCCGGCCACCCCTTTGATCGCCCCTCGCCCACTCCCTAAGAGGCTGTTAACATCCTTCTTTATGGGGCTGGGGACGAAGCCAAGACTCTCTCCTCATCTGGGGCCCCCAGGCGGCTCCCTTTGTACCTCTTCTCATGCCCAGCGCCTGCCATGGGGGACTAGCCTGTCCCGCCCCAACAAAGACTGTAAGTGAGAAGTCCTGAGCCTTGAACTAGTTAGGTGATCTGATGGGAGGAACAGTCTGAGCTTACAGGGGGCTCCCGGTCTGATTGCGGGAGGGGAGCAAGTAGAAGAAGAGATAGACCAGCAGAACAGAGCTGGGAAATGGCCTCAGGTGAGCTTCCTGGAGGAGGAGGAAAGGAGAGCACAGGGGAGCAAGGCAAGGAAAAAGGGAGGAAGCGTCTATGTGAGACTGAAAGGGAGAAGGGGGATTCTGTGGGGGAGGTATGGGATGGATTCGTCCATCTGAAAGCAGAAAACCCAAGCCAGAGTGTGGAAAGGGGGTAAAAGGGCTGGGGCGGAGAAATGGGCAACCTCAGAAGCTGAGATGGTGGTGCCGGGCCTCAACTATTCATCTGTAAACTGGGCCTGACACCTGCTTCCCCCAGTTGCCGTGAGGATTTGCTGGGCCCATGCATAGAAGGGCTCTGGCTGGAGATCACACTCCCTTCTCACGCATTTCCTGTCCTGCTTTTATTCCCCACTGCATCCAAGCCCAGAGGGGCCAGTTCCTCCCTGTTTCTCAGCATCTGGCCTCATCTAGAAACATCTGCCTCTCCTGCAAGAGGTCCCAGTTAAGGCTCTGAAGGAAGAAGTGGTGAAGGCAGGACTGCGGGTGGCGGGGCGGGCGGGGAAGCTGGACGGAAGGAACAGAGGCCCATTTTCCTCACCCCCACCTCCCCCAGGCCTCATTCTACACAGATTTGCCATTCATCTCCCCAGATTCCCCTCACTCCTGGCTGCCCTCAGTACACACACGCGCACGCGCACACACACACACACGCACACACCTGTTTTCTCTCTAAACAATTCAGTGCGGCCCCACTCCGACCCCGGGCCCCCAGTAGAGGACCCCACTCTGTTTCCTCCAGCTTTTCCTTCAGTGGCTGCCCAGCAATGGATTCTCCAGTTTTATTTCCAAAATTCTGGCCAATTTTGTATTCTTCTCCATAACATGTCCATGTTATTTCAATATGAAAATATTTTACCTCCCAGTTAAATTATCAAACTTTTCCCTGAAAAATCTTCCAGTGAGAAGCAGAACCATATTTTATCCTTTGTTTTTTCCTGCTGAAGACACCCAAGGAGGACTCAAGGGTCCCTGTGCCCCATTTGAGTCACGCTGGCGGGGCTCTGTGCGTACACAGAACCCCCAAGACAGAGCCTGCTGTCCCGCACCGGGAGAGGAAGGCAAAGGCAATGTGGGAGAGGGGGTGTCCCTGGATCCCTGGCACCAGTCTTGGTCTCAGAAACAAGACTTTAGCTCAGTGGAGGTTGAGGGGGCTTTGGGGATAGTCAGAGTTAAAGTTGGAGTTGGATGGGCAGGTGTCACCCATGGCAAGAAAAGGAGATGGTACTCCTGTGGTCTGACCTCAATCTCTCCTGCTTCAGGGGTAGAATCCTGGGCTCACAGAATGTCCCTCAAGCTGGGCGTGGTGGTGTGTGCCTGTGGTCCCAGCTACTCTGGAGGCTGAGGTGGGAGGATTGCTTGAGCCCAGGAGGTTGAAGCTGCAGTGAGTGGTGATCAAGCCACTGGACTCCAGCCTGGGTGACGGAGCAAGACCCTGTCTCCTCCTACAGTCCCATCCCTATGATTGCAGATGAGGCCAGACAGAGGGCTCACTTGAGACTGCAGAAGTCTTCATTCTTTCCAAATTGACTCATTCTCAGTTTCCAGGGTCTGGTGGGCAGAATAATGGCCCCTCAAAAATGTCCACATTCTCATCCCCAGAACCTGTGAATATGTTACTTACATGGCAAAAGGGATTTTGCAGATGTAATTAAGGATTTTGAGATGAGGAGAATATCCTGGATGGTCTGGATGAGCTCAGTGTCATCATAAGTATTCTTATCAGGGAAAGTGGGAGACAGGAGACTCACAGAGATGTGAGGACAGAAGCTGAGGTGAGAGTGATATGAGGATGGGGCCATGAGCCAAGGAATGCAGGCAGCCTCTAGTCAGTGGAAAAGGCAAGGGACCAATTCTCCCCTTGAGAAGGAACCAGCCCTGCTGACCCATTTCAGATTTCTGACCTCTGAGCTCAATTTGTTTATAAGCCACTAAATTTGTGGCAATTCGTTACGGCAGCAATAGGTAACTAATTGCTAATTAATTACAAACTAATTACACAAGGCTTTGGGGTGAGAGGCTTTGTGGGCTCCAGTAGGGAACCCAGTGAGTCTTCCCCTCCACTTTCTTTCATCCTTACCCAGCATTAATTGCACATCCGTGATGTGTCAAGCACATACCAATTTAATCATCACAGCCCTGCCTTCAAGGAGCTTCCAGTCTAGTGGGACTACAGACATGCAAACACATAAGAACCACATAGTAAAAGAGTGATTTTTGGTGGTTGGTATATACAAGCTGCAATCTGCATGGGGACAGGAGCCAGAAGTAAGGGAATACTTGGGGTTTTGGAGCCAGAAAGAAGTGAGGTCTTGATCCTGACTGCTCATTTTGTGATGCTGGGCAAGTCACTTACAGGGGACCAGGTTGCTCCCTGATCCACCTGGGGAGGTGAAGGGGGTGCTGCCTTAGCCCATTGCGTTATCCCTGTGAACCAGAGCTTCAGAGTGAGTGTGGGATAGGGGTGGAGGCTGGGGACAGGGAAGAATGCAGGTATTACTATGCCCTACCTATGCCTTAGTTTCCGCATCTGTAAAGTGGGAAAAATAATGACACCTATCTCATGGAGTTGTGAGAATTAAATGATGGTGCATGGAGACTGCTTGACACAGTGAGTTACACCTAGTATTTGCTCAGAAAACAGGGAAGGCTTTATGGAGGAGCTAGAACTTGAGCCAGACTTGAAGGCCAAATAGGAACTTGTGAGACAAACAAACAGGAGGAAGCTCTTCTGAGCAGAAAACAAACAAACAAACAAAAAAAACCAGCATGCGTGAGGCACAGGGATAGGACATGAACCTTTTGGGGAATTGCAGTGAGATTCAGGAAGCTGAAGCCTAATGTGGCCAAGAGGCAGGAGAGGTGCTTGGAGAGTAGGCAGAAGCTGGATCACCAAGGACCTTTTATGTCATTCTAAAGATGCTTTTATCCTGAAGCCAATAGGGAGCCACTGAAGGTTGTTGAAAAGGGGAGTGACTCAACTAGATTTTTATGTTGGAAACAAATCTGTTTTCCAGGTTGGTTCCAAAGAGAAACAGGGACTGAGGGAAAGGATCCCATTCCAATTCAACCTGTTGGGGCAGGGAGGAGAAGGTGTTTCCTTTTTTTTTTTTTTTTTTTTTTTGATGGAGTCTCGCTCTGTCACTTAGACTGGAGTGCAGTGGTGCAATCTCGGCTCACTGCAACCTCCGCCTCCTGGGTTCAAGTAATTCTCCTGCCTCAGTCTTCTGAGTAGTTGGGATTACAGGTGCGTGCCACCACACCTGGCTAATTTTTATCTTTTTAGTAGAGACAGAGTTTCGCTGTGCTGGCTGGGCTGGTCTTGAACTCCTGGCCTTGGGTGATCCGCCCACCTCGGCCTCCCAAGGTGTTTCCAATGTCCCCAGCTGTGAACCCAGAGATGATCTCTGGAGGAAGGGGTTTCAGGAGAATCACAGCAAGTCAAAGGAAAAGACCCAAATACCTATTATCCATACGAGAAAACTGAGGCCCAGAGAATGTCACACAGTAGCGGCAGAGGCAGGACCAGATCCCAAATGTCCTGACTTGCAGCCCAATGCTCACTCTAAAGTACCCTGACAGCCACAATCGTTGAATGAATAGCCAAGTTGCAGATGGAAGACTAATACAGAACAGGCAGTCTCCCACATTGACTCTTTGGAGGGACAGTGAAGAAAGACTGCTCGGGCTGGGCGCGGTGGCTCATGCCTGTAATCCCAGCACTTTGGGAGGCCGAGGCAGGTGGATCACAAGGTCGGGAGTTCAAGACCAGCCTGACCAACCTGGTGAAACCCTGTCTCTACTAGAAATACAAAAATTAGCTGGGCATGGTGGCACGTGCCTGTAATCCTAGCTACTCCAGAGGCTGAGGCAGGAGAATCGCTTGAACCTGGGAGGTGGAGGTTGCAGTGAGCTGAGATCACACCACTGCACTCCAGCCTGGGCAACAGAGTGAGACTCTGTCTCAAAAAAAAAAAAGAAAAAAGAAAAAAAAGAAAGACTGCTGTTGTCCAGTGTTTCTGGGGACCTGGTTGCTCCCTGATCCACCTGGGGAGGAAGGAGGAGGGGGTGCGGAATTAGCCCATTACATTATCCCATGAAATGGAGCTGCAGAGTGAGTGCAAGATAGGGGCAGAGGCTGGGGGCAGGAGAGGATGCAGATGTTATTAAGTCCTACCTATACCCTAGGGCTGGCTGAACCTAAACTGTCCTCAGTGCCATGGAACTGAACCTGTGACAACACAATAGACTAAAAATAAACTGGGCATTTACCACTTTAAAGCCTTAGAGCCAAGTCTCCCCATTCAGTTGCAATGCCCCAGTGAGGCAGTAGACTGACCTCACGTGACTTTTGGGAATGAACACTGAGACCATCAACCCTATCAATGAGGGTTATAAAAACAACAACGAAGTACCACCTGACAACTTCAAATTATTTATTGATTCCTGAAAAGGAAAATGAAAGGAAGCTGGCCAAAGCCACGGAGTGCCAGTTGAATAAGTTATCAAGAGTCTTCTTGGATTGACGATGCGGCTCCATTTGCAGCACTTAGCATCTTCTGCCTTGGAGGAGAGCTCCTGGTGGGCGCTCAGCCCACCTGCTTCAACTGCAAGCTCACTGAAGACAGACACCCCAGTTTAGCATGGTGCCCGGCTGGCAGGAGGGCTCTTTTCCTCTTTTGCAGACTGTTGATGCAGCCTCCTAAGTACCCTCTCTGCCTCCCATCTTGGCTCCTCCAGTCCACCCTACAGTCTTCCTAAGACACTGACTGATCGGATCCTCTGACTCTGCTGAAATGCCTCAGGGACTCTCCACAGCTACAGCAATGACTTCCCAAGAGTGCCCTGGGGCACAACAGTCCCAAGAGATGCTCCTGAAGAAACAGCTTAGGGCCAAAATAAATGTAGAAAATGCTCTTTACTGAAGCTCCCCAGCCCTTGGAGATTCACATGCCCTATGAGCATAATCAGGGATCTGAGAAGTCCTGCAAGGTTAGCATGCAGCCAGGTTAGCATATTTGATACAGTTTTCCGAAGCTTTTTCCATCACAGGCAATCTTTTTGCAAGCAATGTCTACAAACAGCCCAAGACATAGTCCCACAGAACATACTTTGGGAAGCAGTGAGCTGCATGGTAGAGCCTGAAGTTCAGTCGGGGAGGGGAAGGGCAGCGGTTGTGTGATGAGTCCCTGCCCAAGGGAACATGGTCTGTGGGAGACTGAGATGGCTCAGGGTGCAAAAGGGAAGGTGCTGGCTGTGTGCAGACATGACAGAGACTTGTGGGTCAGGAAAGTCCATCAGCAGCTCTCCTCTCTGCCTTCAGTCTCTTCATCTAGACACAGATGTCCTGGGCACGTGTGTGTTTCTAGACCTGGCACATCCTGAGTGAATCTTGGCCTCTTAATGAACCCAGCAGCCTCCTGCTGCAGAGTCGCTGAGATGCTGTGCAGTTATGACATATCCTCCCACCACAAAAGAACATTCCAGCTTGTCCAGGGGATGGTCACGGAGGCCAGTGCTCCACCGGATCCCCAGCAGCAGGAGCCTTCTGTGGTAGAAAAAGCATGGGCATCGGAGGCCGAGTCCGGGATTCCCATCCTGATCCATCACTGACTAGGTGCTGTGGGGCCTTGGGTAAGTCACTCAATCTCTCTAAGCCTGTTTCTTCATCTGTAAATGGGGAAATAATAGCTGCCTTCAGGGTTATTGAGCCAGCGTGGTTTGTTGCCCTGGGGTATCAGCCTCACCACCTCCAAAGTTCTCGAAGATCCCCGAAGATAGGATTAAGTCTCACCATTCATTCATTCACTCCATGCAAATACTTGTCAGGCACCTTCCCCATGCTAGGAACTGGGGAAACAGTGCTGAGGAGAAACAGGCTGGGTCTGTGCCTGTGGGGAGCATACCTTCTTGTAGGGATTAGGTAATTCGTTCATTTATTCAATACTGAGCAGCCTCTGTGGGCCAGGCACTGTGCTGGGCTCGGTCCTCCTGTATGTTTTCATACAGAGTTTACAAAGTGTTTACAAAGCACTTTTGCCATCATTGGTTAGTTTGTTCTTCATGACAATCTGACAAGATAGGAAGTAGAGATTACCACCCCATTTGGTAGACAAGGAACTAGAGGATCAGGAAGATCAAGAGGAAAATTGAACTGGGAAGCAAAATCTCTCTTCTCTCCATAGGCATTCACTGGAGGAGCACTCTGGGCCAGGCGCTGTGTTCACAGTGAGATGCAAATGTTCCGTCTGGCTGTGTGGGTGGTGCTGACAGCCATTTGTTTGCCCGTCTATTGCTGTGGTCCCTGTTCCTCTCTGAGGCAATACCCTCCCCCAGCCAAGCCCTCAGCTATGGACTTTCCACACAACATGGAGCACATAAGTTGATTCCTCGAATTCCACACCCTCAGCTGTCACCCTTTGTAGCCCAGGAAATCCTTCCTGCACTTGACTTCAACACCTAAGGCGAAGGTTGGTCCCCCTACCGCCAGGGGCCTCTTTTCGGGTAGAGCAATGCTCAGGGAAGACCAAGATGACTCAGGCCCTCCTCAAATGCCAACATGTGAACCAGAGGCACAGTAGACCCTGAGCTCCCAGCCAAGTGGGTGCTCACTATGGGGGCTACTCTGGGCCTTGGCCAGGGAGGAGCAGGTGGGAGCAGGGAGCAGAGCATGCAGATCTTCCAAAGTGGGTGGAGTTATAAACTGGAGCGGGAGAGGAGGAAAGGGTAATGAAGGGGCTGAATGATGAGCCCACCATCATTTTACTAAAGGCCTGGAAACTGACAGCAACGTGGGATCCTGGAGGGAGGTGCTGAATTGGGGGTGGGGGTGGGGTGTCAATATCACTCAACATCCAACTCACTGTCAGCTTAAATGAGCAAACCCCAGCTGAGCCAGAGAAGACTGACATATCCAGCATTCCCCAAATCCATCTGAGTATCTCCTCCTTCTCTCCACCTCTTCCTTCTCCTCTAGGAAGGCCCCTCAAGTCATCTCCACCCCCACAGGTGTGTTCCCTGTGTGCCTGCCCAGCTCTTGTGCCTATACCCTGCATCCTGGCCACTCCATCTCCCTGTGTTCTGGGCATGCTCTATTTCCTCCATCAGCAAGAAGTGGAGGTTCTTTTTTTTTTTTTTTTTTTTTTTCAGACGGAGTCTCACTCTGTCACCCAGGCTGGAGTGCAGTGGCGCAATCTTGGCTCACTGCAACCTCCAGTTCCCGGGTTCAAGTGATTCTCCTGCCTCAGCCTCCGGAGTAGCTGGGACTACGGGCGCGCGAGACCATGCCCAGCTAATTTTTGTATGTTTTTTTTTAGTAGAGACGTGGTTTCAACACATTGGCCAGGCTGGTCTCGAACTCCTGAAGTCGTGATTCGCCCGCCTTGGCCTCCCAAAGTGCTGGGTTTATAGGCATGAGCCGCTGCACCCGGCCCAGGTTGAGGTTTTTGAAGAGCATCACCTTTGCAGGTACAGAGTATGGAATTTCCTTTGAAGCTCCCTCCACCTGGGCTTTCTTAATTCCCAGGCCACTGCCAGCTTCACCAGATCCTGAACTGTTCTGTGAGGTGTTTACAGCTTTTCTCCTGTGCTCCAGGCACGTGGCCCTCCACCTGGATTCTGTCTGCTCTTTCATCCCCTGGCCCTAGTTCCACCAACAGCTTCCTCCAGCCCTGTTGGCAGCAGTCTAATCTAAATCACGCTCACTGCGGTTTTCAGTACAAGGTTTTATCATCAGGTTCTGTATGGGTATGGGTAGCCTGAAGGATGTGGGGTAGAACCAAGATACAACTACCTGCCTGGGGAGAGCAAGCTGCGCTACTCTCACAGCTCACACCAATGCCTGCCTGAGATAATTTTTGTCTCCGTTAATTCATTTGTCACCAGGAGAAAGTCGAGCTGTTTCTTTCCTCTTTACAGGTGAGAAACGCTGCAGGCAGGAATCCAGCCGTCATTCTTGACACCACCCTTATCTAATCCCCTGCCAACTGCTAGTTCCAGCCAGCATCAGCTCTCTCCTGGACCACTGCCACTACCTCCTAACAGGATTCCCACCTCCACCTCCGCTCTCATTACCCCCGATCTGCAGCCAACTTGAGATGATCATATCACCCCCTCCACACCCAACACAACTCCAAAATGCAAAGAGGCTTCCTCTGTTCTTGGATCAAGGGTTTAAACATGACCTAGAAGCCCTCGCGTTGTCAGTCTCCATCCACCTCTCACTCCTCTCTCTGCACTCCGGCCTTGTCTGCCTTCTCCCAGCACATTGTATATGCTCCCTCCTGCCACAGGACTTTTGCACATACTGTTTCCTCTGCCTGGGCTGTTCTTCCATCCCCTCAGGTTTCAACTCAGACATCACCTTGTTGGGGAAGGCCCCCAGCTTCCCTGGCCGGTCAAATCCCCTGTACATACTCTTAGGGCATCATGTTCTTCGTTTTCTTGGCACTGACCACAGCTGTCATCCTGACTGCATTTGGGTGGCTATTTGATTGATGTCTGCTCCCCATTACACTGCAGGCTCCATGAGGGCAAGAGCCAGCCTAGCCCAGTGCCTGCCACATAGTAGGTGCTCAATAAATAGTTGTTTGAGTGGGGCCTGAATGAGTGAGCAAAGCCTTAACCAAGCCAGGACCAGGAGCTCAGAGCCCTTGGCTCCCCAGGGCGGGAAGACGGTTATTTACCAAGGCAGGACCAGGAGCTCAGAGCCCTCGGCAACCCGGGAAGGGAAGATGGTTAAGTGCCCGAGGCTAGCTGGGGAAGCCACAGTTTGTGCCCTACTGGAAGAGAATGCCACCAGCTCTGTGCTTGGGCCAGCAATTGGTCACTATTTGAAAACAGAGTTTGCCCCATAGCAAGCAGCCCCACAGAGACTGGATGTGGAGGGTGTGGAGGAGGGTGCCAGTTAGAGCAGTGAATCCCGCCACAGTCCCACTGCTGCTGTACTCTCGCAGGGGTCTGGTCTTTGGGTTTTGGGAGCCTAGCGCTTGCTACCTCTTTACTTTTGAGATGGTCCTCCCCAGGCACACCCCAGAGAAGAGAAGTGGGAGGCTTCAGTCCCTTGCTTACATGCTTACAGGGTGGAGGGAAGGTGTCTCTGGTGGGAAGGAGAAGGATGAAGAGGAAGGAAAGGGAAGACAGAAGTGTCCATGAAAAACTCAGTAGAAAGGCTCATGAGAGGCAGGATATTGGCTATTTGGGGAGGCACCTCTAGAAAATGACTCACCCTCCCTTGGTTCTTGAGTGGCCCCAGGGAGGCATCACCATCTCCCTTTTTAGCATCCCTCCCATGGGAAGGGAGAAGGAAAAAGACATCTACTGTCCAGGCAGAGCCAGTCAGACTCCTCTGAGCAATCCTGGAGGGCTTCCAGGAGGAGATGAGCTTTATAGAAGCCACAGGCTACCTGGGAGGGAGATAGTACAGGCAGAGAATCATAGGGAGAGAGGACCACATCCCAGGGTAATAGCTGAGAAGCAGGAGACAGCAAAATAAGGAAAGGCAGCGTGACCAGAGTGGAGGGGGCATTGCAAGGGAGGCAGGAATCACCCTGTTGTATTAACAGGTCTGGTTGTGTCACTCTCTGCTCAGAACCGTGCAGAGGCTCTCATCCCACTCAGAAAAACCACAAACCATCCTCCCTGCTCTCCTCTCCTATGCCCCTCACTGCCACTCCCACTGCTGAGGCCATGTTGGCCTTCTTCCCAGTCTGCATCGCATCGCATGCTTCTTAGGCTGTTCCTCTGTCTGGAACCTCCTTCCCTACCCAGCTCCACTCTCACTCTCTCCCTTCCTGCAAAGCTCTGCTCAAGTCTTGCCTTCTGACGTTGTTATGTAAAACTGCAACACTTCCCTAGCCCCATTCTTGGCCCTCCTGACTTCCTTCACCTTGCTTTTTTCCCCTAGTCACGGAACTTATAACTTTCTAACATCCCCCATGATTTATTTACTCTCTCCCACGAGAAAGCAAGCTCCGCAGGGCAAGAATAATGGTCTGTTGTTTTGTTGACGTGTCAGCACAAGAGACAGGTCCTGACACATAGTAGGTGTTCAACAAAAATTGGTTCAATAGCTAAGAGGGGTAGAGGCGGAAGTGGGGCTGGGAGCCTGGGAATGGAGTGGAAAATCATGTTTCCAGGCTCCTTGGTCAGTGGGAGAACAGAGGCCCAGAGTGGGTGGGCAGCTCCCAAGTAGCCACCCAACATGCCAGGAACAGAATTGTCTCAGCCCCTGTTATGTCTGTCCCAGCTCTCCCTCCTCCCCACCCTCAGAGTCATCCCTGGGTGACGGTGCTCCTGGCATCTGGAATCCATCAGTCCCTTCCAGAAGTCCCTGTGAAACAAAGGGGGGTGGCTAAAGCGATCCCAGATTGGGGGCAGGGGGGAGTCTACAGGCAAGCTGGCCCTGTTGCTGACCTACCCCTCCCCGCACCCCCCTGCCCAGCCCTTCCCAGAGCTACCAGCCCGCAGGTTTCACCACCCCCAACACCCAACCACACACAACTCCTGGCTTCGGATTTGAGGGATGAGGAGGGGAGCTGGCAGGAGGGAACAAGGGCATGCAAATGGGACCTGACAGGGGCCGGGCACCTCAGGCAAAGAATGTAAATAAAAATCGGTAAATATTTAGGGGAAATGGAGCGGGAAGTGGGAGAGGGAGGGTGGAGGGGACGTGTTGGATTTCCAACAACATCTGGAGGGCAGTCCTCTCCTCCATCCCCCCCATGCCCCATTCCCCCCCATATGGGGGCTTGCAGTTGAGAGAGGGTGGTGGCTCTTGAGGGGGAGGTAAAGTGTCTGCGCTGGGCTGTCTGGATGTGTGGGGGTGGGCACAACTTTGACAGTCTAGAGTGTTTGCCCGGCCAAGCACACACAAGGCCTCACCCAACCCCAAACTGAGTGCTTCCCTCTGGGCCATTCATGTCTTCCCTTCCACAAGGCCCTGCTGTGAGCCAGGAAGCAGGGATTCTGGGATGAAAAGACAAGGTCTCTCTCCTCAAGGAGCTTCTAAGAGAAGGGAGAGCCTTAAGGAGGCCCCACATAAGGAGGGCCTTGACAGAAGTCAGCTTAGGGAGCTATGAACTGAGGCCAGGGGGAGTGACATAAAGTAGAGGTCAGGGAGGACTTCCTGGAGAAGGAGGATTATGAAAGTATAGACGGACATGGATGAGAAAAGGATGTGTGTGTAGTGGGAGGTGAAGTTCATTTTCAGGGAGATGTAAGAGTATGGAACCTCTATGGACAAGGCGATATAGGAGGATGGAGCAGGGGGGCAAAGAGAATTGAAGCTTAATTACCCCAGAAGAAAATCTAAACTAAGAGCTCAAATGGGGCAAGATAAGGGACGAGGAAAGGGGCTTGAGGAGGTCTCTGCCCTCTACCCCACCATCCCCACCACCTCAGCCAAAGTAGTTCCACCTTCATCTGCTTTACTGACCGGGCTTCTAGGAAGATTTTATTTGAAGGGTCTCAATACTTTTGAAAAAAAAATTGAAAACTACTGCTCTCTCAGGAAATAAAAGAAAAGCTTCCCCGCAAATGGAGGCCAAAGCTGGAAAAATGGAAGAGCAGAAAGCAGAGTATCTACCTCTAGCTTCAGAGCAGTGAGCCTTCACGTCCCCAGATTGAGGTTAGACCCTAGGAGGGACTTCTTAACAGGTATTTCAAGCCTTTCTCTTGCCATCCAAATTGGGTCAGGCCTGGCTCACTGTGCTGGCCTGCCCACCCCATGCTGAGCCGCTCTGGGCAAGAGTGCCGGGGCTCCAAAGAGGGTCCAAGGACTGGAGTGTCATCCTCCGCCTCCTGCTTCCAGTCTGGGGAACAATTGGCCTTTTGTCCAACAGAGGATGCCCAAAGGGTGAGGTCACTCCCGACATGGCTCTCTTTGTCCCAGAGCCAAGGAGACACCAAGGCTGAGTCCAGGCAGCCTCCCCTGATCCTCTGTCCCCAAACCCCTGAGCACTACCCCATCCCTCACTGTCCCCATGAAGGGATTTTCCAGGGCCACAGGAAGGAACACTTGAAGGGAAGGAGACTGGTGCGGCAGGCACTGGTGGAGGTGAAGAAAGTATGAGATGGGTAGAGAGGAGAAGGAAGGGGAGCTGGCTAAGTCGCCGGTTTAGAGGGTGATCCTTCTTCACAAGGAGCTCCAGCCACTCATGTGTCTTGCCCTACAAAAAAGGTTCCAGGCTGGGCACAGTGGCACATGCCTGTAATCCCAGCACTTTGGGAGGCCAAGGTGGGAGGATCGCTTGAGTCTGAGGGACCAAGGCTGCAGTGAGCCTCGGTCACTGGCCAGAGAGGCCAAGAGGATGCTGGGAGCAGAGCCAGCACCACTGCATTGCAGCCTGGGCGACAGAGTGAGACCCCCTGTTTGTTGTTGTCTCAAACAACAACAACAAAAAAGGTTCTAAACCCAAAAGGGGGAAAAAAACAAAAACAAAGGTGTCTGAGCCCCGAGGCCCCCATTGCTTGCATCAGCTTTAGACCAAGAGGCCCTTGGGTGATGTGGATGAACTGGAAGTTCCCCAGGTATTGCCACGGGAAGGGCCTTAAACAGGATTCCCCTGTCCCAGGGGCCCCTCCCCCAGGGAGATGAAGGGCTCCCTGAGAGACGGAGAGTTCAGAGCCCAGAGGACAGCACAGTCGGGGAGGCAGAAGGCAGGGGAAAGGCGTCTGTGGCCTGGAGGAGCCAGAGGACCAGAGTCTGAGCCAGAGCATCGCTGAGGAGCTGCGATGGACGGGCTTCCAGGAGGCTCCGTCATCAGGATGGGCCGAAGACAGAGACAACAGAGACGGGCCATTGGCAGGGGCGGTCTAAAAAAGGAGAGGTCACTGTGGTGCCATGAGCACTAGACAGGGAAGCAAGGGCTCCGAGTTCTAGTCCTGGCTCTGCCTCGGACTCATGGAGGAACCCTGGACTAGCTTCCTTTCCCTGGGCCTCAGTTTCCTCCATCTGTGCAGTGAGAGCCTTCCAGAGGCACAGTTCTAGTAGTCTGGACTAAGATGCTGGGGGCAGCAGTGTGCTGGAGTGCAGAGCAGGGACTCAGGATGAGGGTATCCTATGGCCGCCTGCTGGGACAAGGTGGGACCTGGCAGGACAGGAAGGGCTACCCTGAGAGCTGCGGCTCTTGGAGCAGCTGCCTATGAGGAGGAGAGACAGAGCTATGGCGGGAGCCAACCATGACTGGGGGCTGGCCAGGGAGGACAGTAGTGCTATGGGTAGGGAGTACAGCTGTCCTGAGGCCACCAAGGTTGGGAGTGTGGAGGGGCGGGTCCACCCCCAGGGCTGAATGAGAGGCCAGAGAGGCCAAGAGGATGCTGGGAGCAGGGGCCAGTGACAGGACATGGAGCGGTGTGACCAGGTCAGCCTCTAAATGTGGATTCTCAGACTTTGGGAGCTTCTGTCCCAACACCCTGCCTCCTCCCCTCCCACCCCATTCATTCTGGACCAGCCCCCATATCCCATCTTGGTGGAATGTTTTGTGAGCTGAGAATAGCCATTGCCAGGGTCAAGGAAGGGAGGGTCGCCAGGGACTAATTGCCCTAAATAAATGAGCAATTAAGGCTCTTACAGGAAGAATCCAGACCCCCCCTCCACCCACCACCCTGAAAGATCACCATGGCAACTGCTACTGGCTCCACCCCAGGAAAGGCTGAGCCACTTGGTTGGCCTACATTGCTGTCATCGGACAGTGGAGGGTGGAGAGGGTGTGGCTTCAGTCAGGGGAAGCAGGAAGGGCAGGGGTGACGGGTGTGACTTTCTGGTTAAGGTCTCTGGGCGACTTCTCCCAGTCAGATCGTGGGGAAGAGGGGAAGAGGATGGTGCACACTCCATGGCAGTCTCATCCAATCCCCACAGCCTGCAGGACCGAGGCCCCTGTGTGAGGGACTGGGGGTGTGAGGAGTTGCCAGGAGAAGCAGACCCTGCCAGGTGCCCATCTCCTCTCAGCACCCCTCCCCCCAACACACTTCCTGTAATGGCGTCTCCAATGGGGAGCCCATTAGTCCTGCTTAGGGCAGCACCTAAGTACTGTGGCTGATAAATATAACATGAGCCCATCGATTAGAATCCTCCTAGTCCTACAGCAGCTCGGCTCCCTAATGGCTCCCCTCCCCTCAGCACACTGACTACCCACCTCTCACCCCCCACCCCAGGCTGATTTTCTGGTTTACTTGAGGCTGTGGGGCAAACATGAGAGGAGCAGAAGTGAGGTGATGGGTGCAACACCCAGAGCCCAGTCAAAGGGGCCACTGCTTGGAGACAGGCTGGACTGGTCTGGGCCCTGAGGCAGCCTGGAAGCCCCTCGGTCAGTTAGGGGCAGCTAGGGGAGGAGCCGCCTGTGAGTTCCCGGGGCCCCGGCCCTGCGGTAGGACATGGAGCAAGGAAGGCAGAGGGCCCCTACTTTCTGTGAGGCGCAAGACACAGCACCTGCCCTTGGGGGCCCTTGGGGGCTCTCCTGGTAACTCCTCAGAGAAACCTGCAGTGATGCCAGCTCTGGCCCTGTCACCACGCCCTCTTCTCCCTGGCATCTCCTGCCCAAGCCCCCGCTGCACCTGTCCCAGCCCAGCCAACCCTCTCTGTCTTCATTTCACCCGTCTCCAGGGCGTCCACATTTCCTCATCAGATCAGGGTTCTGAGGGCAGGGGCTGTGTCTCCTGCATCAGCTTAGGGCCCCTAAGGGGTAGGGACTGCTTCCCCAGGGTGGGGGCTCTGGAAGTCATGAGGCTTTTCCCCCCAAACCACCAAATTTGGACTGAGAACTGCATAGGGTAGGGTCTGCCGCACCCCCCGCCCCCACCATAAGGTAATCAAACCAATTAGGCCTTCAGACTTGTTAACCATCAGTGCTGGGTGGAAGCTGAGACAGCAGAGTGAGACAGCTCTGCTACACCTCCCCCCAGCCTGAAACCCCTCGAGGCTCTGGCCTGCTGCTCGAAGACGTCTGGAAGGGCCTTGGCAAGAGGTGCAGGAAGAGCTCCTGCCTGGGCACCAGAGGGGGCTTGCTGGGTGGGTGGGGGCACAGGCCTGGGAGGGGGGCCTGTGGTTTTGCAGAGCTGTGTCTCTGGATGGAGGCTGCCCACAGAATCCTCTAACAGGAAGGCTGAGCTAGGCTGGCTGCAGCCAGGAAGTGAATCCTTAATGTGCCTCTGGCCTTGCTGCTGTGCAAACTCACCACTTAAACACTCAGCAGGCTGGGTGGGGACCAGCCACAGAGCCTGCCTTCCTGGGGGTGGGTTTGGTGCCACAGCACGCTGTGTGCCAGGGATGCTGGGTGTCTGTAGGTGATGCTGTGTGTGCTCCTGGGGTACCTGTCTGCCTGAGTGACATTGTATGAGAGGGGTGGGTGTGCAAGAGGCCAAGGGTGAGGCTGGCCCATTCTCTGCTGTGTCCCCTGTCTCCATCCCATGCCTCTCTTAAGAGATGTGTTTTTCTAGGTTGGGGGTTCGGGCACCATTCTTCTCATGCACATGTCTAGTTGCAGCTGTAGGGATGGTGATTAGGTTGCAAGAACTTCCTCACGGGCACTGGGTGGGAGACTAGGATGAGCAACACTTAGGGAAGTGAAGGTGCATTAGCACGTGTTCTTCAGAGAAACAGAACCAACAGAAGAAAGAAAGAGAGAGAGGAAGGAAGGAAGGAAGGGAAGGAGAAAGGAAGGAAGGAAAAGAAGGAGGGAAGGAGAAAGGAAGGAAGGAAGGAAATAGAGATCGATATAAACACACACACACTCACACATAATACAGAGATTTTATTCTAAGAAATTGGCTCACGTGATTATGAAGGATGAGAATTCCCATGATCTGCTGTCTACAAACTGGAGGCCAAAGCAGGTTGGTGGTATAGTTCCAGTCCAAGCCCAAAGGCCTTAACCAGGAGCACTGGTGGTGTAGGTTCCAATCAAAGGACAGGAGGACCAATGTCCTAGTTCAAGCATTCACGTAGAAGAGTGACTTCTTCCTTATCCATGTTTGTTTCATCCGGGTCTCTGATGGACTGCATGGGGCCCACCAATACTGGGGACAGCAATCTGCTTTAATCAGTCTACAGACATGACACAAATGTCAATGTCACCCAGAAACACCCTCACGGATACACCAAGAATAATGTTTAAATATCTGGGCACCCTGTGACCCAGTCAAGTTGACACATAAAACAAACCATCACAGGATCTCCCCTTTGAAGAAGTTTCTGGAAGGGGCATTGGCTCTGGGAGACATGGATAAAAGGGTAAGGGATGGGCAGATTCTGCTTACAAGTTGTCTTGGCTCAGGCTGCTGTACCAAAACATCACTGACTGGGTGGCTTAAACAACAGAAATTGGGCCCAGCACGGTGGCTCGCACCTGTAATCCCAGTACTTTGGGAGGCCGAGGTGGGCAGATCACCTGAAGTCAAGAGTTCGAGACTAGCCTGGGCAACATGCCAAAATCCTGTCTCTACTAAAAATATAAAAATTAGCCGGGCGTGGTGGCACATGCCTGTAATCCCAGCTACTCGGCAGGCTGAGGCAGGAGAATCTCTTGAACTCAGGAGGTGGAGGTTGCAGTGAGCCAAGATTGCGCCACTGCACTCCAGCCTGGGTGGCAGAGTGAGACTCCGTCTCAAAAAAAAAAAAAAAAAAAGCAACAAACAACAATAACAAAAACCAGAAATAGATTTTCTCACAGTTCTGGAAGTTGGAAGTCCAAGACCAAGGTTCCAGCCCATTCAGTCTCTGGTGAGGGCTCCCTTCCTGGCTGCCTTCTTGCTATGTCCCCACAAGGCCCTTCCTTGGTACATGTTGCTAAGAGGTGGAAGGGGGCAGGGAGAAGGGGGATGTGAGGGCAAGAAGAGCTGGGGGGTGCTGGGAGAGAATGTTCTAGTGTCTTTTCCTCTTATAAAGACACTAATCCTGTGGCATCGGGGTCCCACCCTAATGACCTCATGTAACTTTAATGACCTCCTTAAAGACCCCGTCTCCAAATACAGTCCCACTGTGGGTTAGGACTTTAACATAAATTTTGAGGGGACATAGTTCAGCACTAGGTAAGGAATGTCTCTCTCTTTTCCCCCGACATTGCACCCTCGCTTTAAAAGATAAACTTGTTCAGATTTCCCATTCCAACTGGCCAAGCGAACTACCTCCTGTCTCTTCCCCACCTCCTCACCCCTTCTCCCTTCTCTCCCAGCCTCCCCTTCCCTAGCCTCTCTCTGCATTCTGAGGCTGGGGCTGGGGCAATCGAGAGGCTTCAATAGCATGAATTCAGCCCCCAGCCCGGGCTATATTTAGCCTGGTAGCTCAGACACTGGACAAAGCCACTTCCAAGAGGCTGGTGGGGACAGAGTTGAGAGGAGGCTGCCCTTCCTGCCCCTTTCCCTTCCTGATATGGATACCCCTTGGTTGCCCTCCTGGGGTTACCAGGAATGCTGTTCACAGGGCATGGGCTAGGACTTTGTGTGCACTGCATGCTATTTCTAGATCATCCGCTGGGAAGGGAGTTCTGAGCCCCCTGCCCCAGCCTGAACGAGCACATTCTGCAGTGTTCTCCTTTCACTTCCTGCCCATGCATCAGAGTCACTTGGGAGCTTTCAAAGCTATGGATGCCCAGGCCCCACCCCTAAAGATTCTGATTTAATTGGTCTGGGGTGAGGCCCTGGCATCTTTCTTTTTCTTTTTAAAACCTCCCCTAGGCTACTTGAATGCACTGCCAGGATGGCAGACCATGGTTCTAGATCCTTACCACTCAAAGTGTGGTTCCTGGATCAGCGGCATCGGCATGGTGGGGAAGGCAGGGCTTGGCTTGTTGGAAATGCACATTCCTAGGCCCCATCCCAGCCTGCTGAATCAGAATCTTCCTTTTAACAAGGTCCCCAGGGGATTCCAGTGCAGGCTGAAGTTTGAGAATCACTGCTGTAGAGCCTCACACTGTCACGGGCAAGACTCCAGATCTGTGTCTCCAAGGGTTTTGGTCAGGCTGGAGCAGTGAAGGGCCCTGGTGCTCACCCTGCCTGTCTCCGCTTTCTTCTTAGGACAAGATTGTGGTTTCTTGGGATTTATATCCTGTGGGGGATGGCTGGGTCCATTTCTCCCAGGCCCAGATGGAGCCAATCTAAATTCTCAAGTTTCGGTTAGCTGAGAGTGTCTTACGTGTAATTCACACTTTGCCTTTACCCAAAACGCTTCCCGACTGTCTATAAGACAAAATGCAGAGTCCTTAGAAGAGCATGGAGGCCCCGCCAAGGTACAGAGCCTTACTCCTGCCACTATCCCCACCCAACACCCAACACTAGAACCAGACCCAGCACCTCCTGGCTGCCAAAATCCATACTGCTCCCTTAAGGATGCTTCCTTCACACTAGAGCATTTTGCATTCGTTGTTCCCTTAGCTGGAATGGCTTTATCTCTCTTTTTTTTTTTTTTTGAGACAGAGTCTCGCTGTGTCACCTGGGCTGGAGTACAGTGTCACGATCTTGGCTCACTGCAACCTCTGACTCCCGAGTTCAAGCGATTCTCCTGCCTCAGCCTCCCAAGTAGCTGGGACTACAGGCTCCTGCCACCACTCCCAGCTAATTTTTGTATTTTTAGTAGAGACAGGGTTTCACTATGTTGGCCAGGCTGGTCTCGAACTTCTGACCTCATGATCTGCCCACCTTGGCCTCCCAAAGTGCTGGGATTACAGGCGTGAGCCACTGCCCCCAGCCGGCTTTATCTCTTCTTTTCCTATCTGTTTAATAGGTTCCTATTTATCCTTCAAGTCTCAGATAAGGTCACCTCCTCTGGAACACCCTCCTTAGTCCTTCAGGCACAGCAAGTGTTCCCATGGTTGTTTGTACAGGCCCCACTCCCGGCACCTATTACATTGTGTCTGTCTATCTCTATCTCTTCCACTAATCTCTTCAATCAGAGAGGCAGTCCCATTCATCTTTGTAACTCTGGTACCTTAGCCCAGCACCTGGACAGAAGTAGAAGTAATAATAATAATAATAGCTAACGTTCATTGAGTGTTCATTCTGTACTAGGCAACATACAAACCACTTCCTATGTATTATAACATGTATTCTCACAGCAGCCCTACAAGATAGATAATTTATTATCCTCACTTTATTGATGAGACGTCTGAGGCTCAGAGAAGTGAAGCAACGTGCCCAAGGTCACACAGGAAATCATGGCAGAACTGGGATTTGAACTCAGTCTGTCAGGCTCCAGAGCTCATGTTATTTACACTCTATGGCCACTCAACAGAGTTCCCGAGATGGATGACGGATTAATGAATGAACAACTCAATGATTCCTAGGTAGGAATTTCCTAGTCACCTATTCATCAACATGTTCTTCCTCACTGTTATCAATCTCCTCTTTCTATCTTCCTTGTTACCTTCATCAGCAAGAATCCTTTGTAGGAATCAAGCAATGAATTGGTCCTGGCTCAGCTGACCTGCTGCAGGGATCAGGATTCTATTCTCTGGTTTCTGTTTTTGGTGAAATGAATCTCGGGATTTAGACTGCTTGGGTTCAAATCCTGACTCTACTGCAAACTACCTGAACAACCTTGAGGTGGGTTACTTCATCTCTTCCAGCCATTGAGCAAATCACTTAACCATACTAAGCTTCTGTTTCCTCTTTTGGCAATAGTAATGGTACTTACCTCTTAGTACAAGGATTAAATGAGATAATGCACGCAAAGTTCTGGCCCCTAGCAAAAGCTCAGTTAATGTTAGCTATTGTTATTCTCCATGGCCTGAGAGGAGTGCTACCGGGGGAAGGTAAACTGCCTGGTTCAGACTTTTCTCCTCATTCTGCCGGAAGGTCAGGGATAGCCACTTCCCAGGACACCAATCTTGATGAGGAAGATGGTTGTCACGTGGTGCCAGAATTCCTTTAGTCAGCCATGCTTCTCCCTGATAAATCCACGAAGACCTCCTGAAGGGGAGAGGAGAATTTTGAGATTGCTGGAGATATTATTCAAGAGATGGCTCAGAGGGCTGAGGACTGAGGGCGCAGGGAAGGAGGCAAGGGTCCCTGAGCCTGTGGCCACCACAAGCTCCAACAGATGCTCTTTCCTGGCTTGCTGCCTGCCCGCCTCTCCACTCACCCCGCAGCACTGTGGGTGCTGTGTTATAACCTGGAGGAGACCCCTCACATCATCCAAGCCTCATGCCTTCCTTCTTGGCCCTGGGACAGACCCTTGTTGGCACCATCCCCCGGGTGGGCACTGAAAGGACAGAGAGCAGGAAGAGGGGACCTTTGTCCAAGCCCCAGTGGCAATGGCTCCTCGGGTCAGGGCTGGGCCAAGGGGCCAATGCACAGCCTCCTCCCTTCATCCTTCTCTGCCCCATGAGGAATGTCTTCTCAGACTCACCAGCTTGGCGGTCAACTCCGCTTCACAGAGGGGGCTGTGTCCTGCCATCCAGGCTCCTCTGAAGCCCCCATTGTCGGGCCGGGGGTACTGGGGCAGGCAGGGGCCACATCTCAAAGGCCTGAATGTTCTCAGAGGTGGGAAGGCCAAGACGCTTCCCGGAAGCATTGGGCCAGGGGACACCTGGCTCTTCTCTGTCTCTCTGCACTAAACCCTGTCTGGCCACAAAGAAGGGTTCCCAGGAAGTGGGACAGTTATGGGACATCCTCTGCATTTGCCTGCATTGGGTCAGGTTGTTCGTGAATCTGGCAGATAGGCTAGAGAAGGGGAAAAAAACCCAAAAACATATAGGTAAAATAATATAGGCTATTTTTTGTTAAGTCCTGCTGAAGACCAGGCATGGTACCATGGATTTCACAACCATCACAACCCACCTTGAAACAGCATGATAATTATCATCCTCTGGATATTGCAGATGGGAAAATGAGACACAAGGACATTCAGTAAGCTGCCTACAGTTACACATGCAGTAAGGGACAGAGCTTCCGGGTTGAATCCAAGAAGATTCATTGCAGAGCCCATGTCTCCAATGACTATGCAAACCAGGAATGGCAGAATACTCATGGGGAACACAAAGATAAATAATGCCCACCTTAGCCGGGTGCAGTGGTTCATGCCTGTAATCCCAGCACTGTGGGACGCTGAGGTGGGGGGATGGCTTGAGCCCAGGAATTTTTTTTTTTTTTTTTTTTTAGACGGATTCTCGCTCTGTCACCCAGGTTGGAGTGCAGTGGTGCGATCTCGGCTCACTGCAACCTCTGCCTCCCAGGTTCATGCCTCTCAAGTAGCTGGGACTACAGGTGCGTGTCACTGCGCCTGGCTAATTTTTTGTATTTTTAGTAGAGACGGGGTTTCACCGTGTTAGCCAGGATGGTCTCATCTCCTGACCTTGTGATCCGCCCACCTTGGCCTCCGAAAGTGCTGGGATTACAGGCGTGAGGCACTGCACCCGGCCGAGCCCAAGAATTTAAGGCCAGCCTGGGCAATGTGGCAAGACCCCATCTCTACAAAAATTTTTAAAAAGAGCCAGGTGTGGTGGTGCGTGCTGTGGTCTCAGCTACTCAGGGAAGCTGAGGTGGGAGGATCACTTAAGGCCAGGAGGTTGAGGTTGCAGTGAGTCATGTTTGCACCACGGCACTCCAGCCTGGGCAACAGAGCAAGACCCTATCTCGAAATAATAATAGTAATGCCCGTCTTTCGCCCTTCAACAACCCCGAGGCACCTGTAAAGATCCCACAAGTCTCCCAAACACAGCTGAAAATCGTGTGCTAAATCTTCTCCCAGGTTCCTTCCTTAGTGGGGTCTCCAACCTCTGGTTCCTAGATTGCTTTAGTTTGGGGCTGGCTTGGAGGCAAAGGACAATGCCCACCCACCCCTCTCTGCCCACCCGCCCCTTTACTGCAGCTCCACCAGCTTCCACTAAAGCCCCTTCCAGGCCGGATGGAAAGTACTAGTGCGTTTTTATTCTGGGGCATGAGGCCAGCACTGCTGGAGGAAATAAAGGCTCTGAAAGGAAAATACAAGATGTCACTGATGGTTTTGATAAAAGCACAAAGACTTACTCATCTAACCGCGTGTAGTCCATTTCAAAGTAATCATTCCATGAGGCCCCCAACACTTTGGGAAATTCCTGCTGTGGGCCAATCTTTGAGCTAGCAGCTCAGGCTTCTGGCGATCCTGGACAGAGCCAAAGCTCCCTGCCATGATGAGTGAACCTGAGTTTTGGGGACAGCCAGGAGCCACTTGAGTCCAGCATGACAAGTGAGAGGAGCCTCCTCCAGTTGGACAAGTAAGTATCGCTCAGAACATAGCCATGGGGCAGACATTACCCTGTGTGCAGTGCCAGGTGAGGTGGCAGTGGGCGTGACCCAAAGATGACCAGGGGATTCAGGACATTTGCTGTTCAGTGAGGACAAGACCCATCCCGGGGCAGTCTAGGGCAATGTGGTCAACACACGTGTGGCCTCCTGCAGGGTGGGTCTTCCCTCTATAGGAGGCCCTGGGAGAGGGCAAAGAGTAGAGAAAGTGCTGCTACGAGACTCAAAATCAAGTATGTCCAAGAGGTTACCTCCAGCATGTAGAGAGGGGCTTATAAAATCCAGGATTGCTTCCTGAAGGAGGTAGGCTTTGCCCTGGGTTTAAAAGGATAGGTTGGATTTGGACAGAGTTGAAAAGGAAAGGGATTTCAGGTAGAGGGGACGAGCTGGTGGGTGCCATTTTGATTAAAATAAATCAGTCAATAAAACAAACCCTAGCCGAGCACAGTTGTCACAGGAGGTTGAGAGGTACTGCAAAGTCATGTTTAGAGTTCTGACGGAGAAGTGAGACCTGAGCGCATCTAACCTCCACCATTTACTAGCTGTGTGGCCTTGGGCAGGTGGCTTAATCTCCCCAAGTCTCGGTTTCCCCATGTGAAAATTGAAGATAATAATAGTGGCTTTCTCCTGGGAAGTTCTGAGAAGCTGGTGCTTGGTTACCAGCCCATGGTAAGGGCCCAGCCAGTGTCAGTTCTTGAGTCAATGACATCATCTCCTTAAGAGGCTCCTAAAGAGACCAGGAGACTTAGTTCTCAAAAAGGGGTCCCAAGCTACACTATGAGTCATGGAAAACAGGTGAGATGCCACCTGCCCTTCTCCCAACAGGGCTAGTGGGGAGGGGAGGATCCTTGTTGTCCTTGGAAGTCTATCATCACAGCCTTGGCACACCGTCCCTGGGGATGTCCTCCTGCTTCCAATCCATCAACAGATCCTGTGGGTTCTTCTAAAACAATTCTCCCACCCTTGCCCTCCTCTCTGCCTCCAACCCAAAAGCAGCAGCCTCCTGAGGGTTCACCCTGGCCTGGTTTTTCCCCTCACCAATCCTCATCCTCACCACGGCATCCAGAATGATCCCCCCAGGGCAGAGCAGATCATACCTTTCCCCAGCTCAAAAACCTTCCATGGTTCCTACAGCTTGCAGAATCAAACCCCACCCTACCTACCTTTCCAGGCTCCTTTCCAGACCCTTCGGTCACACTGGGCCAACCACCACTTTTGCCTGAAAAGTCCTTTCTCCTTTCTCTGATGGTTAAATCCTAGACATCCTTAAGTTCCGGTGCAGACACCTCCTCCCTAGAGTCCCCCCAGACTCCACTCCTCAGTAGGGACTGTAGCTCACTCATGGCCGTCTTTTTCTATAACTGGGCATGGACTATGCATGAAAGCAGGGGCCCCAGTCTGCAACCACCCAGAAGGACTGTCAGGGACCACCCTCAGGGCTGACATTACTGCTGAAGGAGGCTGTACCCCACAAAATCCCTGGAAGAGAACAGGGTGGGGCTGCAGAAACCTCTACAGAACCTGGCACGGATGCCAGCAGCCCGGATAGAGCCCAGGCGGCTGTGTTGGCACCACTCTGCTGCCGGAGATGAGGGTGAGACAAACAGCAATTAGCCAAGCACAGGCTGGGCTCGCAAGGCTAATTACCAATTAGACGGGGCCGAGCGATTAGCAGCAAGAAAGAGACAGTCAGCAAATAGTCACTGGAGTGGCAAAGCGGAAGGTGGGAGAGGGGGTCATCTCTGTTTCTGCCAACAGGCCTGGCCTCCTGGCAGTTAGTGTAGCTCTGTTCTAGGGGAAAGGGTTTCCAGCAATGCAAGGGACTGGGGAAGGACCCGAGACCCTCTCGGAGGACTTGGGCAGGTTTCGACTTCTTTTTCATTCCCAGAATTATCTTCAGAGTGGGGCTCAGAGTGCTTCTAGGTGGTGCTGGGGTGATGCTGGTGGGAGTTTTGACACACTTGGCCAGGTGAGCTCAGCGGAACCTCAGAACCTCAGAGCAGTTGGAGCCTCCCTGCCAGACGCCCATTGAGATGCATTTGTGTCTGGAGTTTTGCCTGGTGTGGCTGCAGGGAGGGAGGGAGAGGGGCCAATAGCTTCCTTCCTCTCATCTTGGCTCAGCACTTCTTCACTATGTCTCCCCTCTCTCCCTCCCCTCCCCTCCCCCTCCACCTTCCTCTCTTCCCTCCGCTTTTCTCTTTTTCTCCCTCCCTCCAATCCTCCATCCCTCCATCCATCCATCCATCTTCTCTGCCTCTCCATTGCTTACCTCTCTGGCTTTCTGTCTTTATCTCTGGCTCTCTTTGGGTCTCACTCTCCCACCCTCCCTGAATCCCACGTGGACCCCACAGTCCCTGCTTTCACTTAGGGTGGGGTCTCCTTCACCGCAGGCAGAATTGAGACTGTACAGATACAATGAGTTCCTGATCATCAGAGCCAGGCCACTCTGGAGCGAGCTGTTCCTGGGCTGGGAGAGAGTGGAAGGGGGAATGGGCCTCCTCCCGCTTTGGGATGCTTATGAGGGAAACAGTGATATGTGTGAATGATCCTACAAGAAGGCTAGATCAGCCGGGCGCAGTGGCTCACACCTGTAATCCCAGCACTTTGGGAGGCCAAGGCAGGTGGATCACCTGAGGTCAAGAGTTTGAGACCAACCTGGCCAACATGGCGAAACCCTGTTTCTACTACAAATACAAAAAAAGTAGCCGGGCGTGGTGGCAGGCACGTGTAATCCCAGCTACTTGGGTGGCTGAGGTCAGAGAATTGCTAGAACCCTGGGGCGGAGGTTGCAGTGAGCCGAGATTGTGCCACTGCACTCCAACCTGGGCGACAGAGTGAGACTCTGTCTCAAAAAAAGAAGAAGAAGAAGAAGGCTAGATCATAGGACTCTACCTCAGATGGATTCAGGGCCAAAATCAAGTTCAACTCAGAGTCTGGTTACTAGTCTCCACCTGCCATTCACTTCTTACCAGTCTCTGGTCTACTTGGAGCCTGGGGGCCCAGGAACCTCAACCTGCTGAAATGGCAGGACTTCCTGAGTCCAGATGGGCCTTCTCAGGCTGGGCCTGCACAGGGGTGGTGGTGGTGGTGGTGGTGGTGATGACAGGTGCACTGTGTGTCTTTAGGGGGTTGGGCACAAGCAAACCAGTGCAACCTGTCTCAGCCACTACCTACGGGGTCTGTGTTGTAGACCAGACCTTCTGGGGCCCATGGAAATTGGAAGGAAAGGACACCAATCTCCCAGAGATGGGATGACTCATAGAGATAGGGATGGGAGAGGAGAGGGGGTTCAATGAGGGGAGAGATTCAGTGAGGAAAGAGGTGGGAGGTCCATTAGTGAAGAGGTCTCTGAAGGAAGATGAGGGCTCTGATCTGGAAACAAGCTCAGGAATTGCAGACCTGGCTAAAAGACCTGTGTGTGCATCTCTGTTAATCTTGGCAGCTTCCACAACAGGCGCACCGCACAGGAGATCAAAGCACCCTGGGCTCTCATCCCAGTGTGGGTGGGGCTCCAGGGGCTGCCCCTGCCCCCAGGGACAGGTGGCACATCCCTGCTTCCCCCCACTTTTGCTATGTCCGGAGCCCCCCCACCCCGGAAGGTGGAGATCTCCCTGGCTTGCTTGGGGAAGAAAAGAATGGAGCATCTGCCAGCAGGAATGCGGAAAAACAAAGGGAGGGGCCGTCCTGGGGGGAGCACGGGGGAGTGTGTGCTTGGATGAGGAGGGCAGTGTCTGGGCTTATGGTCCTGTGTGTGCACTAGTGTGTGCCTGCCCCTCACCCCCACAGACCACACAGTTCCCCAACTCCCTCCTGCTGTGGTCAGAAGACTGATGACCAGCCCTGTGGTCAACATCTCTGGGCTCTGAACTCACCCCTCAGCTATGCCCCCTGGACAATGGGGTTCTTTCTGCACAAGATGGGCACGAGGGACCCCGTCATGGACTAGTGACCTGAGGGACATGGCAGCCCCAGGGCATGTCCTAGCTTTGGTCACTCTTGTGGACATTGGCTGGCCTTGAGCCAGGGTGGACCAAAAAGAAAGAGACCTCTCCTTTTTGCCTGTCCCAGGAAGGCTTCCTGGAGGAGGCAGTTCAGTGCTCCCCCCAACTCTATTACATGCCAGCCTATGGGTTTTTAGCTGGCATGCATGAGGCCCCTTCAGCACAATCAGGAGATTGAACAGGCACCTGCCGGGAAGCTTACCTGTCTTCCGTGTCAACCCTCAGGTGCCTTGTGAGTAAATACCAAGTGGATGGCTGGGAGTTCAGCTAGAGGAAGAACCAAATCCAGATCTGATGGGAGAGATGCTCCTCTGCCTGCAGGGAACCAGTCTGGGAACAGCCTTTGAGGTTGGGAGGCGGCAGATGAGGAAAGGGCTCTTCCCATCAAGAGAAACTAGAAGGGCTTCCTGGGGGGAAGATCAGGAGGACTGCTCAGGTAGGGATTGTCTGGGCCTGGGGAGATACCTTGTAGGGACTGAATGGAGGGTGAAGGTGCAGGGAAGAGCTTCAGGATGGCCCCAGAACTGGCATCTCTATGCCAGTCTCAGCCCCGCGGTCACACAGAGCAGGAGGAGGAAAGCACACCATCTTAGCCCAGGTTTCTGACTTGAGCCCAAAGCCCTTTCACATCCTCTTCCCCCTTCCCCTGCAACGCACACCCTTGGGCAGCCAGAGATCAGTGGGGGGCAGGAAGTGCCATTCCAGCCGCTCAGCGCCCTCAGCCGGACAGCTGTTCTGCGCAGCTGCTGGGGGCTCTGGGGGCTGCAGCGGATTTGATTTGATTCAGGCCCCAAAATAGCCATTGTAGCAGGAAGCGGCCCCTTCCCCCAAGCACTCCAGGACACTCCATCCGGGGGCTGAGTTGACACCTTAGAAGTTCTGCCCCCTCCCCGTCCCCCTGCACTCACCCCCTGGTCTCCGGAGACCCACTTTTTTTCCCCCTTAGCCTGCAGCCGTTCTCCTTCTTGCGCCTCCCCTCTGTCCTGTGCATTTCCACACTCCCATCCTCCAGGAAGCCTGCCCTGGTCACCCCTGCCCCCACCGCGCCTGTCCCGGCTCTGTGCCCACACACGATCCCAGGTCTCTCCCACCCCAGCCCTGCTCTTTGGGGGCCGTCAGGGGGATGTCTAGGGCTGGGGGCCTGTGGCCAGGCACGGGCGGGCTGCGGAGGGCACACAAAGACGTGGGCTGCCCTGGCCTTTGATGAGTAATCGCTGTTCCCTGGAGCCACGATTCCACTCGGTCGCTTCAGCCCCCCGGCCCCCTCCCCCATCCAGCTCCTCAAATAAGACTCGTTTTTGTTCTGAGGACACAATGCGAGAAAATGTCACCCAGGGGGCGTGCCCCCTGGCCCCAGCCCTGACAACCAGAGCTCTTAATCACCCTGCCTCCTTCCCCTGCAGCGTCCCTCCAGCAGCTGGCCGAGCTGTGGGAGGGGGTAGGAAGAGGGGCAGGGGAACCAGTTACCACCTTCTGGGACTGAGACTTCTTCCAGCTTGAGGTCTTAGATGTTCATTTTCCTCCCTCCCTTCACTTGATTGGCAGCTGGGTGTGCGACCCCTGCACCAGCACCTCACAAAGGCCTGGACCTTGGCGCTGGGTTCTTGGTTCTGTCTCCATCAAAGCCCACCAAGGTCCTCGAAACAGAAGAGGTGGAGGGGAGCCTCAGAAGTGCACCAAAAGCTCTAGAAGGTGGCTGCACCAGAGAACTGCGTCAAAGCTTTGATAAGTGCTATAAGAAAGTGAAAGAGAGTGTAGAGGGTGATGGTGAGGGGCAGGAGGTAGTGTCATCTCTCCAGCCAGGATGCCAGAGATAATCTTTGAGCTTTTCTGAGATGATCTTTGAGCTGAGACCTTGATGGAAAGAGGAGTTGGTTTGCACAGATTCGGGAAGAGAGCCTCCTATGCAAAGGCCCTGTGGCCTGTGGTGGTGTTAAGGATTGGCTTGGTCTGGGGGCAGTGGCTCATGCCTGTAATCTCAGCACTTTGGGAGGCCAAGGCGGGTGGATCACTTAAGGTCAGGAGTTCAAGAGCAGCCTGGACAACATGGTGAAACCCCATCTCTACTAAAAACACAAAATAAGTTGGGCATGGTGGTGCCCACCTGTAATCCCAGTTACTTGGGAGTCTGAGGCAGGAGAATCAAACCTGGGAGGAGGAGGCTTTTTTCTGTCTCAGAGAAAAAAAAAGTGGGGGTTGGGGGCTGGTGGCAGGGATTGGCTTGGAGGGACAAACCCTCCTTCCTCCATTATCTCTCTAAGCATCCCTTCATTTGCCCCAAATAAATAGTCTTTATTGCCCCTCCCCAAATATAGTCTAAGTAAGAAAGATATGCTTGCTATGTAGACCCAGCTTCTAGACAAGTTCCCCGGCTCCCTTTCCAACCAAAGGCTGCCTCTAAACTACTCTCCAGAACAGCTGAAACCTTCACTGTGGAGGCCTTTCCCCCTCTTGATTCCCACATCTCATACACCAGCCAGTCTGGTCTTCTCTTCCTCCAGTACCTACGCCCACCTGCCCATTTTTCTCTCTCTCTACCTCCACTCTTCCACCGAACACCATTCCTCATTCGTGCACTTCAGCAGCCTCTATCTGGTCCCTCAGCTCCACTTTTGTCCTCTATGATTGCAGACAGAGCAATCCTTATAAAATGAAAATCAGATCACGTCACTCCCTTGCTTAAAAGCCTCCAAAGAGTTCTCATTGCTTTGAGAATGAAACGCAAATTCTCCTGTAAGTAAAAGTAGGGAGGATGGAAGGATTCACATAAGATAAATGTTTATGGATTCTCACTGCGTATGAGAGAGGGACCAAAAAATAGTCAGATGACAATGACAACAATATATCATTCTGAGGAGTATGATTGATTGATTAAATCTGTGTACCTGAGATCCAATAAGAGAGAAATCATCCCAATTCTATATTTTTGGTTCCCAAAGCCCTACTTGGTCTGGTCTCCACCCATGTCCCCCATCTCATCTCCTACCATTTTCCCTTTCCCTTGCTCAGTGGGCTCCAGCAGAGAAAAAAGGAAGAGTGCAATTGAGCGTGCCATTTCCCAGACCATTCATGCATACGCATTCATTCATTCATTCAGCACATGTAAGAAATCCCTACCACACATCAAGCATTGGTTAGATGTGGAGGAACAGAGCTAAATAGGGGACTACAGTCTAGTGCAGGAGGCAGACAGATGATAAAGAAATATAAGAGGGGTGATGGAAACCTTGCCTGGGACACTTGGGAAAGGCTGAACAGCCTTGAGCTCAGTCTTCAAGGAGAAGTCCAAGTTCACCAAGCAAAAATCAGGGTCGTAGTTCTTGGCTGAGGGGACAGTGTTTGCAAAGGCAAGAACCCTGAAAGAGCACAGGCAGATCAGAGGGTGGGGAGCAATGTGGTGTGGATGGGCCCAGGAGCATGCTGGGAAATGAGCTTGGACTGGGAAGCAAGGGTCAGACCATGAATGGACTTGGAAGCCTCATTAGGACTTTGGATTTATCTTTAGGCCACGAGGCTACAGCCAAGATTTTAAAGCAGAGATGTGCATAATCAGATTTGTGCTTTAGAAAGAGCTCTCTGGCAGCAGCATAGATAGATGATAGATTGGAGAGAGGACAGACTGGAGTCAGAGAGACCAGCCGGTTCCGGAAAGAAACAATGAAGGCCTGAACTAGGGCAGGGGCAGCGGGAAAGAGGAGAGGTGGGCGCATTCAAGGTAAGCCTGTCTGGACTTTTTGGCCACATGAATATGGAAAGAGAAAGTGCGAGAAGAGAAGGCTTGATATTTACAGCCAGACTTCAGGCTTGGGGGATTGGGAGGGTGCTGGGCCACCGCTGAAATGGACAGCAGCCTGGAGTGGGG